>NC_000002.12:75417625-76042625 GCF_000001405.40 Homo sapiens | reverse complement strand
CCTTGTTCCCGTTTCTCCCAGTAAAGCATGTTAAGGTCCTCTACACCATAAATCTCTTAATAACTTGCCCAGGGAAATGTTGATCTTTCTCTAATGTTGCCAAATTATAGCTTCTTTGCAATGATTAGTAGCTCCCTTCTAAACTCTGGAGAGAAAGAATTGGAGAGTGAAGAGGATGTTTTTATTTCCTCTGATCTAAGCCAGGAGAGGCTAACCCCCAAATACATTTCATGTGTTTGCTTGTTCCACATGTGATTTATTTAATACTTAAATAGTTTCTAAAATAGAAAAATTAGGAGATTCACATAGATATTGAGATTTCTGGCTGCTATTAAAATATCAAAGAGCGAGACACAATAAGCATAGCAACAGTGCTCTGAATTTGATTAGTTGTCTTTGGAAAGGGCAGTTTGCTACAGTCTCCACTGGGCTTCTATCACCACCTCTGTTATCTCTCTGGCCACATTATGAATTAAGGTTTTGCAACTCCTGATATAAGCCTTTAGGCACTCATAATAGTTTCTTAAATATATTTATAATGATGTAATTGAACTGGGTGTTTATCTCAGGAAGTGTTAGTTAGTCGGCCAGGCACGGTGGCTCACGCCTGTAATCCCAGCACTTTGGGAAGCCAAGGTGGGCGGATCACGAGGTCAGGAGATCGAGACTAGCCTGACCAACACGGCGAAACCCTGTCTCTACTAAAAATACAAAAATTAGCTGGGCGTGGCAGCACGCGCCTATAATCCCATCTACTCGGGAGGCTGAGGCAGGAGAATTGCTTGAACCCAGGAAGCGGAGGCTGCAGTGAGCCGAGATTGCACCACTGCACTCCAGCCTGGTGACAGAGCAAGTCTCCGTCTCAAAAAAAAAAAAAAAAAAAAAAGGAAGTGTTACTTGGTCATGTCAAAAACATTTAGCACTGGTTAGAAACATGGGAAGAAGAGAAACCTTACATAGGTGAGCACATTGTCCAAATACTACCAGAGAAAATTTGTTTTCTCCTTTTTATTATTTATTTTGAAATTAATTTTTTTATTTAAGGGGTACAAGTACAGTTGTCTTACAAGAATATATGCATAGTCGTGACCTGTGGGCTTTTAGTGGACCCATCACCTGAGCAGTATACATTGTACCGAATAGGTGGTAGTTCATCCCTCACCCCCTCCCACCCACTCCCACCATTTGGAATCTCCAGTGTCTATTACTCCACTCTGTATGGCCATGTGCACCCATTGTTTAGCTCCTACTTAAAAGAACTTGTGGGTTTTGATTATCTGTCTCTTAATTTCACTAAGGATAAGGATACACACACACACACACACACACATATACACCACATTTTTATCATCATTGATGGACACAGATTTTCCATGACTTTGCTATGTATGAATAGTGCTGCAATAAACATACAAGTACAGGTGCATTTTTAATGTAATGATTTATTTTCCCTTAGTAGATATCCCAGAGTGAAATTGCTAGATAGAAGGGTAGTTCCATTTTTTGTTCTCTGAGAAATCCCCGTATTCTTTTCCATAGAGGTCGTACTAATTTATATTTCCACAAACAGTGTATAAGAGTTTTCTTTTCTCAGCATCCACACCAATATCTGTTTTTGTTTTTACTTTTTAAAAATACCCATTCTGACTGTGGTAAAATGGTATCTCATTGTAGTGTTAATTTGCATTTCTCTGATGATTAGTGATGTTAAACATTTTTTATGTTTGTTGGCTGTTTGTATATCTTCTTTTGAAAAATGTCTGTTCATGTTATTTGTTCATTTTTTAATGGGGTTTTCTCTTGTTGAGTTATATGAGTTCCTTATAAAATCTGGATATTAGTTCTTTGTTGGAGGCATCATTTTGCAAACAGTTTCTCCAATACTGTAGGTTGTTTACTCCATTAATTTTTTGCTCTGCATAATATTTTTAATTTAATTAAGTCTTATTTGTCTATTTTTGTTTTTATTGCATTTCCTTTTGAGGATTTAATTATAAATTCTTTGCCTAGCCCAATGTCCCTCAGGGTTTTTTCATACATTTTCTTCTAGGACTTTTATGGTTTAAGGTTTTACATTTAAGTCTTTAATCCATCTAGAGTTAATTTTTGTAGATAGTGAGAATAGGGGTCCAGTTTCATTCCTCTGCATATGGGTCTCCAATAATACCAGCACCATTTATTGAACATGTTATCCTTTCCCCAGTGTATATTTTTATCAATTTTGTCAAAGGTTATTTAGTTTTAGGTATGAGGCTTTATTTCTGGGTTCTCTATTCTGTTGTATTAATCTATGTGTCAATTTTCACACCACTACCATGTTGTTTTGCTTATTATAGCCTTATAGTATAATTTGAAGTCAGGTAATGTGAGACCTCCAGATTTATTCTTTTTGCTTAGGATTGCTTTGGCTATTTGGGCTCTTTTTAGGTTCCATATTATCTCTAGGGTTTTTTTTTTCTAATTCTGTGAAGAATTATGTTGATAGTTAATAGAAATTGCATTGTATCTGTAGATAGCTTTGGGCAGTATATTCATTTTAATGATATTGATTCTCCCAATCCATGAGCATGGGATGTTTTTCCCATTTGTTTCATCTATGATTTCTTTCAACAGTGTTTTGTAGTTCTCCTTGTAGAATTCCTTCACCTCCTTGGTTAACTGTATTACTAAGTATTGTGTGTGTGTGTGTGTGTGTGTGTGTGTGTGTGTGTGTGTGTGTAGTTATTATAAATAGAATTGAGTTCTTGATTTGGCTGTCAGATTAGTCAGTATTTGTAAATAGAAATATTACTAATTTTATGTTGATTTTGTATTCTGAAACTTTACTGAAGTCATTTATCAAATCTAGAAGTGTTTTGAAGGAGTCTTTAGGGTTTTCTAGGTGTACATATCATCAGCAAACAGAGATAATTTGACTTCCTCTTTTCTAGTTTGAATGCCTTTTGTTTCTTTCTCTTTTCTTATTGTTCTAGCTAGGACCACAAGTACTATGTTGAATAAAAGTGGTAACAGTGGTCATATTTGTCTTCTTCCAGCTCTTAGGGAGAAAGCTTTCAACTTTTTTCCATTCAGTATCATGTTGGCTGAGGGTTTCTCATATATGGCTTTTATTATTTTGAGCTATGTGCCCTCTATTCCTAGTGTGGTAAAGATTTTTATTATGAAGGGATGCTGGATTTTATTGAATGTTTTTTCTGTACCTGTTGAGATGATCTTAACTTTTGTTTTTAATTCTGTCTAATTCATAACCAGGAATTTAAATTTTTTTGTGGTTTGTTATCATTTTTGCTATTTTTCACTCATCAGAATGGGATAATTTTATAGGCAATTTTATAACCCACTTTTCTCAATATTTCATTGATTTTTATCAGTAAGGATAAGAACATATAATTAACACATAAATATTCCAATATATTTAAACAATTATGCCTATTTCATGCTTAGCATTTTCCATATTTTCTTATTATAAATCTTGCTGTAATTAACATACTTAGAAAAATATTTTATGTATCTGTACATTTTCTAAGATTAAAATTTAAAACAGAGTTGCTGTGATTTTTTTAGTTGTTATATGTTACCAAATCGCCTCTTTGAAAGGTTATAACCTTCATTCTCACAACATATTTCCATTTTCCTTCATATTTACTAACACTAAATACATCAGTCTTTGCTTACGTGTGAAAAAGAACCCACTGTCTAAATTTACATCTTTTGTTTACAATCATGTTAAACATTTTTTCCTATGTTAATTATTTTTAATTTATTCATCTTGAATTGGATGTTCATATCCTTTGCCCTTTTTCCTATTGTGATATCTGTCTTTTTCTTACTGACTTATAAACCTTTTATTTAAATCAACTCTTTACTGGACATGTACAATGTATATTCAACGTAACTTGGCTTATGGTTATTTTTGAGGCACAGAAGATTCAATTTGTGTAATAGACTAATAAATAAATCTTGCTCCTTATGGTTTCTGTTTTGGCATCAGGACGGCTCTTTTTAACTTTCTTATGTATTTTTTTAATATTTTCATGACTTTTGTGGTCATTTTGGGTAAGTTTTTCTGAGAAAGAATGTCTTTGGTCCAGTGGTAAAGTTTTATGGAAACATAAATATCTCTTCTTAATTTGGTAACTAATTGACCTATACTACCAGGAGACTGACAGACTGTCAAGTTATCAGATTTTTTATTAGGTAGAAACTGGATGGGTAATGCCTGTGGTTGAGGACACAATGAACTTTCTAATAATTCATCAGAGTTCAAATTAATCTTTCAGTGTTCAAAATTTTAAAATCTATAAAGACAGATGGTAGATTACTGGCTACCTATGGCAGAAAAAGACAGGGGGCTATAGGTAAGAGCACCAGTTTTCTTTTTGGGATGATAAACATATTATAAAACCAAATAGTGTTGATGGTTGCACAATTCTGAATATACTAAAAACTATTGAATTTTATATTTTAAAAGTTGAATTTTGTGGTATGTGAATTATATCTCAATACATGTGTGATTTTGAAAAATTTATCTTTCAGACCCAGACATAATTGAAGATCTCAGACATCCTATCACAGGTAAAACATTCACTGCTTTAAATGCAAACGGATCAGAAAGCACCCTATCTGCAAGCAGTCAGAGGAAAGAGAAAAATGCCTAAGAAGAACTAAGTGTAGTATATTCATTTCTTTCTCCTAAACTTTCTGTTCAAAAATGTAACTTGCTCCAGAAGGAACAAGTAAAAAAAGGAAGAGATGCTGGAATATACTTCCATCTATAGCCTGGAATTCTCGTTTGAAATTTAGACTTGAGAAATGGGAAAGTTTTCCAACTGAAATCCCAGTTTCCAAATTGATGTAATAGAATACAACTAATCCCCTATTATTCTGATGCTTTTCAATTATACTGTGTATCAAAATCATTTTGGGAGCTTTCAGAGAGTGCCCATACCTAGAGCCCAGCCTCAAATATTCTGATTCAACCCAACAGCACATAGGGCCTGAGTATCAGTTTTTGTGATTCAAATGGGCTATTAAGATTGAGAACCACTGAATTAATGTCTCCTTCCTCCATGTCTGTGGTTATTTACCTAATAGGATTTTGTTTACTTTTTTTTCTTTTTTCCTTCATTCATACTAGCTAGAGGTATCTCTGTCTCAACACTTCACATGTTCTTGGCACAGCACAACCAGCTTCATTGGAAAATTGTTAGAAATTCATTGCTTGGGGCCCACCCCAGATCTGCTAAATGATGAACTCTGGGAGTGAATCAAATCATATTTGTATAGCCAGGCACTACATAACAGCATTTCAGTCCACAATGGTTTACATATATGACGGTGGTCCCATAAGGTTATAATGAAGGTGAAAATTTCCTATTACCTAGTGATGTCATAGCAATGGTAATGTTGTAGCACAACATATTACCTTTTCTGTGTTTAGATATGTTTATATACACAAGTATTTACAATTGTGTTACAATTGCCTACGGTGTTCAGTAATGTGTTATACAGCTTTGCAGCTTAGGAATAATAGGCTATACCATATAGCCTAGGTGTGTAGTAGGCTCTGTCATGTAGGTTTATATAAGTACACTCTATCATGTCCATAGAACAAAGAAATCACCTAATGACACATTTGTCAGAATGTGCCCCATCATTCAGCAACTCATGGCTTCAGATATTTAGATATAGATAGATATTTCATCTTAGTTCATCATTCTATGTTATACCTAAAGCTCTACGTTTCTCTCCATGTGTCTCTTAAAGCTCCCTTTGTTTTCTATATCTTGACATTTGGTTTCTATTTTACTTATTTTATGTGTAGTTCAGGTGTTTCTTCTGATAATTTGGAAGGTTTTTTACCCATGTTTTGTTGTTCTGATGATGATTTTGGTAACTTTTAGTAATACATCTAACCCTATTTCTCAGTTTTCTATCTTTATGCATTACCTAATGGTTTTCTTCAACAAACTATGAGCAAATTAACACTCATACTTCCTCTCCACTTCCTCCATATCCTCCCGATTTTAGTTTGTTATATTGTGATTTTTCATTTATTTTTATATTAATTGCAGGTTCAGAAAAGGCCTTTTCACTGTTTGGAATTTGTGGTTCATTTTTTCTACAGGAAATAGGAGTGCAAATGTTCAATGTGGTCTGAAAAAGAAGGTGTCATTTCTTTAGTGTACAAATTTTGAAATAAATTGAACTAATGAGCCTTTAAATTATATTGCAGATATCTTCCACATATTCATTTTTTTCTAATGTTTCAAATATTGCAATACAAGCTTTAAAACCCCGTTAATGCTATTTTCTATTTCTTCTTGACCTAAGTGTAGAAAGTACATTAGAATATTTTTAAAATTTGTGTGTTTTAATTTACTGAAAAAGACTTTCTGTGGTTTTTAATGCTTTTTGTGCCTTGATTTCACTGTCTACTTTAAGAATTTGTTACTTCTTCCTATTAGATTTATTTGCTTGATATTTTTTCCAAAATTTTTCAACTGCTTTAGTTAATTAGTTTTAAATTTTATGTAGTGGTTGAGTTAGAATTTTGTTTCTGGTTTCATTTGGGGCCCATATTTTAATCTTTACATTTGAATAGTTGAGCATTTATCCACATGTTATGTATTTTTGTATCATTTCCCTCAGTAAACTCAAGAACCCTTTCCTCTCATTCTTCCCACCTCTCTAAAGCAAACAAGGAAAGTTAATATGAATTGGCAAAGTCCAGCTTAACAAAGGCTTTCATGAGGGTGGTTCCTTTTTGAGATTCCTCCCTCACTCTCTTCTCTCCCATGCAGTGCCTGCATTAAGATTAGCCTAGAGTTGCCTCCCACTAGAGAAATAGGGAAGGGGCTTTTTAGGCGCCATTGGAATGAAAGACTCTGTGCTATACCTTGGAGAACATCTTTCCTTTGCTGTGATTTATCCATAGGTTATATTTTCATTAAATTTTTAAAAATATGATAGAATGAAACAAATATACTGGAAATAGGGTGGAGGAGTTGGGTGAGAGGGAGATGATGTGTTTCTGGTTTAAATATCAAACTCATCTGCCACTTTGGGAATGTCTCTTTTTTCTACATGCCATCCAGCTCAGCTCAGCATTAAGACTACATTGAAGTTTGGAGCTCAGTCTCTTTTCAAAGAAAAATGACTTTTCTCTTTGCAAACATCTCATATAGACCTGGCATGGTGTTAGGCAACTGACAAAGAATTACTGGAAATGCCCTTTGCTATTTTTCCTGTGTGTCTAGTACCCTTGGGTACTTCAGGCTTTGAAGGTGTGGATTGGCTAAGATTGAGAATTTTCTGGGTTCTTTAGCTATCAAAATCTATCAAAAGTTTACTCCAGGTAACCTCTCTAATATTGTATCAAACTAAAAAATATTAGTTTCACATCTGCCTTTCAAGTTTGGTGGCTTTTTATGTTTTGAAATGCAGTGCAAGAATCTCTTTTTCAGCATTACAGAAGCAAGAATAGTGTTCTGAAAATTTTTCGTTAATAAATTTCAGTTGAAAGTATAGCAAAACTCATGCTTTATTCATACAAATGTAATGTGCAAATTAAATAAAATTTTAATTCATTATCTTTTAATAAATTTAATTTTCATCAGAAACATTAAAATTTACTGTGTAATCCCATTTCACTTCTCTCAGATTTGATTTAAGAAAGAAAACAGAAATAATGAATTCTCTCTACATTGCTGTTCTTTTCTCTTTTACTTCCCTTCTAATTATTTTTGGAGAGGGCTGGAGGTAGGGAGAAGGCAGGCCTAAACAGTATGATTAGTTTGTTATATCAGTTCTTCAGTACACAAGGAAAAAGGGATGCAGAGCATGAGTCCTGGTGACATGCTCCTTGGTTTTGAATCTCACCCTCCATCTCATGCCTTATGTTCAAGGATAGGGACCACATCAATGTAGAAAGATCACTTTGGCTAAAATGAGGAAGCCAAGTGATATGGTTTGGTTCTGTGGCCCCACTCAAACCTCATTTCGAATTGTAATCCCTAGGTGTCGAGGAAGGGACCTGCTGGGAGGTGATTGGATCATGGGGTTGGTTTCCTCCATGCTGCTCTCATGATAATGAGTGAGCTCTCATGAGAGCTGATAGTTTTAAGTGTGGCACTTCCTCGCTCTTTTTCCCTCTCTCTTTCCTGCCGCCATATTAAGACATCCCTTTCTTCCCCTTTTCTTTGTGCCACGATTGTAAGTTTCCTGAGGCCTCCACAGCCACGCTGAACTGTGAGTCAATTAAACCTCTTTTATTTATAAATTACCCAGTCTCAGGTAGTGTCTTTATAGCCATGTGAAAACTAATACAGCAAGGCACGTCAAACAAGAGAGAATGTGGAAAGACCCACTGGAAAACAAAGTCCAACTGAGGTTTATGATAGGAAGAAAACAAGCACTTAATATGTTTCAAATGTATTTATGAAAGAAGTTGGTAGTGCTTGGTGATTGATTGGATCTAGGTTGAAGAAGGAAGTTTTGATGGTGACTCTTCACACACTATAATTACATTTTTAAATATTTTAAATATAAAAGGAACAGTTTTGGAAAACAGACTTTAAGTTAGGCTAGAGACAACTCAGTAGGAATATCGATTATCAGTGAGATATTCGGGTCTAGAATTCAGAGGAAAAGGTGAACATAACCAAAGAAGCTGGCGACTCCAAGAACAGAGAGTAATCAACAGCATCAAATGCTGCTGAGAGCTCAAGTTAGATAAGAGTTCATTTAAATTCCTTTGGATTCAGTGACATGAAAGTCACTGGGATCAGCAAAGGCTATTTTGAAATAGGGATGGCACAAAAGTTAGATTGGAAAGAGTTTAAATATAGAGGAGAAAAATTAAGTAAGAGAATACAAACAATATCAAAAATCCTGGATATGAGGTTGATATTAAAGATGGAGACATGGTATTTTTTTCATTAGTTGGAAAATAAAGAGACATTATGTTAAGAAATTGAATAGTGTATATATTTTGAACCATGTAAGTATGTATTCTTCAATTTCTTAAAACTGTTTCATTAATACTTTTTAAAGAAGCATCAAACTTTTAACTAATTAATTTTAAATGTTTAAGTCCAATATTAATTGAAGGATAGTATAGAGGAAAGAGAAATAAGGTTCCAGAATTTTCTCTTTTTCAAAAATCAAAACACTGAATTTGTATAAAGAGACACTAAACAACTCAACAAAATCTGTGGAATTCTTATATGCCATACCTCATGCTGGGATGGCAGTTCTGTGTGCTTGCTACTTTGAGGTCATTTATTAGGGTGACACCAAAAAGCCCCAGTACTCTGATATTATTATTCAAATAAAACTTTATCTAATTTAACATTTGATATGTTAAATTAACTTACATTATTTATAAACAGAAGCTGCCTTGCTTACCATAGCAGATATGCATAATATACATAGTGAGGTTAACAGTCCTTTGTACAATAAACATGAGCTGCCCATATACCCAGGCAAGTCCTCCACAAGCTGCTGGTAAGATAATTTTCATAAGAGATTTATTCTCCCTCAAAAATTGGCAGAGCTGAACTCACATGGTCACCTGTCTTTGGTCCATACTACATTCAAATGTTTAGATTCCTCTTTGCTTTACCACCCTTTACTTAGCATTATTTCTGTAGTTCTTGTCTGTGTATGTTATACATGTGTGAGTTGTGTGTGTATGTGTGTGTGTGTATGTGTGTGTGAGGGTGCACTGGCACATGAGGACTTAATCCATTCTCCTCTGCCTTCATTCAGTCTATTCTGTATTAAATAAGAGCAATGTATCTGCCCAGTTATTTCAAGGAGCATGTATGCTCTGTGTGTCTAGTAATAACGTACTTTTACAGCCATGCCGATTGAATACTAAAACACTATTGTTCACAGTGAGGTGGGGAGCTAAGTACTTAGAGCAACCCTTAACAGACTTTGACATAAAAAGTAAATTCATTGTGGAGAAAAGGATGTGTTTTTAAAGAAGTAGTAAGAAACAAAGCAAATAATGTTCCTTTGCTCCTATATTTGACAAGAATGAGTCTAAAGATACATGATTGTTGATTATAACATGCACTGGATAATGTTAATAACTATCCTAGGTTATGCTCATAACTCTTCTAGGTTTTTTTCTCACTTTCTCTACTTTCCAGTAAAACTTCCTTACCATTCTGAAACATGTTTCAAGTGATGGCCAAAAAAAGAAGTATAATATATCAGAATTATTAATTGATTTAAATTGGCAAGATTTTCTGGATCATGAGTTCCCATCAAATATTATACAATCACTTAAGACAATTCCACGAGGTTTTCGAAGAGTACATTAACAATTTCTTGAATGGATTTGACTTGTTATGTAAAATGTTATTGAACGATTAAGATGGCAGCTTATCATCTGATTGTTAATTACCCTCTTTATAGGAGACACTCAATAAATATAGTTTTTCCATGATTTGGTCTTGTTAGAATTATAATAGATGGATTTAGATTTATTGTCTCTTGTTAATAATTTTTAAAAATTTGTAAATCTGTTCAATTTATTTTCTCTGAGTTATAGGTGTATATTATAGAAAATATTGAAAATAGAAATCTAATAAAGAACTTAAAATCATTTTATAATATAGTCTTCAATTCTGCCAAAAGTAAATAAACCAAAATGTGAAAGATCTCCCTTTATCTTACATTTTTGGACTGCTCTCAAAAAATACTCCATCAGTTCTCTATCTAATCACTTACATGTTTATGTGCCTTGCTTAAATGAGATAAATCTACACAACTATTCTGTGACATTTTTGGTTAGTAATGTTTTTAAAAAATTGATTTTTTTGGTCACATGACATATTCTATAATATAAAATAACTATTTCATCATTCTCATTAATGAACTAAAGGTTACTGTTAGTTTTTTAATACTAAAAATGATGTAACAATTAACATGCCTGTGCATATACCTTTTCTTTTCTTATTTTGGAGATAGAGTCTCTCTGTCACCCAAGCTGCAGTGCAGTGTTGCAGTGTTGGCTCACTGCAACGTCTCCAGGGTGCCAGTGATTCTCAGGCCTTAGCCTCCTGAGTAGCTGGGACTACAGGTGCACACCACCACGCTCAGCTAATTTTTGTGTCTTTAGTAGAGACAGGTTTTTGCCATGTTGGCCAGGCTGTTTGAACTCCTGGCCTCAAGTGAGCCACCCACCTCAGTTTCCCTAACTGCTGATATTACAGGCATGAGCCACTGCATCCGGCAAATCTTTCTTTTCATATGTGAGCATTTTCATAGTACAGAATTGGAAATGTAGAGTATCCAGGTCAATGGGTATATGAATTACACATTGTGTGAGGTGTTTTTCTTCAAATTTTCCTCCAATAAAATCTAGAGTTTATTTGGGGGCCTATCATACTATTTGTGGAAGAGAGAAAGCGTTATATATGTATATAATACTAAGCTTATTACTTTATCATTCAAATTATTTATATTTATAGTTGAGTATACTTTATATATAAATTTCTTAACTAAACTTGTTAACCCCCCACTATAATTATGAACTAAAGTTTCTACTAATTCTTCCATATTTTATCCATTTCCTAAAGAAAATATGATCTCAACAAACTGGACAGAGAAGAAACATACCTCAACACAATGAAAATCATACATTGTAGATCCACAGCTGACATATGCTGAATGGGGAAAAGTTGAATGCTTTCTAAGTTCTATAACAAGACAAGAATACCTATTTTCACCATTTTGTTCAACATAATACTGAAAGTTTTAACAAGAGCAACTAGTCAAAATAAAAAAAATTAAGGGCATGTAAATTGGAAAGGAGGAAGTAAAATTGCCCCCATTTGCAAATGACATGATCATATGTATAGAAAACTCTAAAGACTCCAGTTAAAAAAAACTATTAGAGAAATAATAAATGAATTCAGTAAAGCTGCAGAATACAAAATCAGCATACCAAAGTTAGTGGCATTTCTATGCACTAATAGTGAACCATTTAAAAAAAAATCAAGAAAGTAACAATACGTACAAAAAAAGAATATGCAAATAGGTGAAAGATCTTTAGAATGAAAACTATAAACCATTGATGAAAGAAACTGAAAACAACACAAATAAATGGAAAGATATCCTGTGCTTATGGATTAGAAGAATTACTATTCCTGAAATTTCTATATCATCCAAAGTGATCTACAGATTCAATGCAATCCCTATCAAAATACCACAAACATTCTTCACATGATAGAAAAGAAAAGTCTTAAAATGTATATGGAAACAAAAGACCCAGATGGTAAAGCAATCTTGAGCAAAAAGAACAGGCTGGAGATATCAAACTACTTGACTTCAAAATATACTACAAACCTATAGAAAACAAAACAGCGTGGCACTGGCATAAAAACAGACAAATATACCAATGAAAAAGAACAGAGAACCCAACAGCCAATTGATTTTCAACAAATATGCCAAGCATGCACATTGGGAAAAGGATACTCTCCTCAGTAAATAGTGCTAGGAAAATTGGATATCCACATGCAGAAGAATGAAACTAGATACCTTTTATCACCATATACAAAAATCAAATCAAATGAACTAAAGCTTAAGCCTATCTAAGACCCAAAACTATTAAACAATTAGAAGAAAACATTGGGGAAACATTTCATAAAATTGGATTGGATTTTTTTTTAAAATAAGACTTCAAAAGCACAGACAACAAAAGCAAAAATAGACAAATGGGATTACATCAAACTAAAAAGCTTCTACATAGCAAGGAAATTATCAATAAATAGACAACTTACAGAACGGGAGAAATTATTTGCAAACTATTCATCTTTAAAGGAGTTAGTATTCCAGAACATATAAGGAACACCATTAATAGGAAAAAAAAACAAATAATTTAATTTTAAAATGGGCAAAAACCTGAATAGACATGTCTCAAAAGAAGACATACAAATGACCAATATATATGAAAAAAATTCAACAATCTTCAACAAAATATCACCTCACCCCAATTAAAATGACTATTATCAAAAATACAAAAAAAAACCCATAAATGTTAGCAAGGATGTGAAGAAAAAAGAACTCTTGTGCACTATTGATGGGAATGTAAATTAGTATGGCCATTATAAAAAACAGTATGGAGTTTATTTTTAAAAATTAAAATAGAGATACCATATGATCCAGCAATCCCATTACAGGGTATATATCCAAAGGAAATGAAATCAGCCAGTCAAAGAGATATCTGCATTACCATGTTTATTACAGCACTATTCATAATAGCCAGGATATGGCATCAATCTAAATGCTCATCTGCAGATGAATGAATAAAGAAAATGTGGTATCAATATACAATGGAATGCTATTCAGTAATCATACAGAATGAAATTCTGTCATTTGCAGCAACATGTATGAAACTTGAGGATAGTATGTTGAGTGAAATAGGCAAGACACAGAAAGACAAACACCGCATGATCTCATACATATGTGGAATGATCTCATGGCCGGGCACGGAGGCTCATGCCCGTAATCCCAGCACTTTGGGAGGCTGAGGCGGTGGATCATGAGGTCAGGAGCTCGAGACCAGCCCGGCCAAGATGGTGAAACCCCGTCTCTACTAAAGATACAAAAAAAAAAAAAAAATAGCTTGAAGTGGTGGTGAGCGCCTGTAATCCCAGTTATTCAGGAGGCTGAGGCAGGAGAACTGCTTGAACCTGGGAGGTGGAGGTTTCAGTGAGCCGAGATTGCACCACTGCACTCTAGCCTGGGCGACAGAGCAAGACTCCATCTCAAAAAAAAAAAGAAAAAAAAAAGATCTCATGGAAGTAGAGAGTAGAATAATGGCTACCAGAGGCTGGGGATGGTGGTGGGGAGGAAGTAACTGAGAAAGGTTGGTCAACAGCTATGAAAATAACAGTTAGACAGCAAGAATAACTTCTGATTTACAGTTAGGGAGAATAAATAAGGAAACAATAGCAAATAACAACATAGTGTGTATTTCAAGATAGCTAAAAGATTTTGAATGCTATCACCACAAAGAAATGATTAAAATAATATAATTACCCTAATTTAATCGTTGTACAATGTATACATGCATTGAAACATTTACACTTACCTCCTAAATATGAACAATTGTATGTGTCAATTAGTTAAAAATCAATTAAGTAAAAAGGAAATCACTTAATTAGATTTGTACTTTTTTAACAGAAACATTAATTCATTCACTCTTACTATGATAAATTATTTTATTGTATTTACATTTCCACCTCATTTTATAAGTATTTATTACTGTTCATTTATTTTTGCTTTTCATTGAGTCAATTGAGCACATTTCCCATTTTTCCCATCATGTGGTTTAAAAAGAGATAGATCTTCTCTCTATTCTTCAGTAATTATCTTTTATAAATTCATCTATTCAACAAATGTTTATTGAGCTTCAACTATGTGTCCGGCATTGTTCTTGCTTTCGTGGATATACCATGAAAAAAAGTGACAAAATTCCTATCTGCATACAATTTATATTCTAGTGAGAGCAAAAACAGCACTGAGAAAGGCAATGGATATAAACAAATCATGTAGTATATTAGACAGTGACAGGTGCTATGAAGTGAAGTAAGTCAAGGGAAGTATGTGGGGAATGAGGGAAGCAAATTTAAACAGCATTCTCAAAGGAGGCCCAACACAGCTATCTAGGGGAGAACTTTCCAATAATAGGGAACAGGTGTAAAATCTCTGAGGTGGAAGCAGGCCTAGCATGTTCAAGGAATAGCGATGAGGCCAATGTGTCTAGAGAAAAGTGACACAGGGATGGTGACAGGAGATGAAGTCAGATAGGTAAAAAGATGCCAGAATGTTTAGGACTTTCTATTTCAATGAATTTGAAGTTGAATTTAAGAGCTGAATCAATGTAAAACATTTTTCATTGAATACAAATTTACTGGCTTTTTCTTTTCAAGTTTTATTTTGGATTCAGGCTATATGCCTGAAGGTTTGTAACAAGAGTATGTTGCACGATGCTGACATTTGGGATGTGGATGATCCTGTCACCCTGAGAGTAAGCAAAATAGCCACTAGGTAATTTTTCAGCCCACATACCCTCCCTCCTTACTCTAGTAGTCCCTAGTGTCCATTGTTCTCATCTTTGGGTCTAAGTGTACTCAATATTTAGCTCCTACTTGTAACTGAGAACATGTGGTATTTGGTTGTCTGTTCCTGTGTTAATTCACTCAGGATAATGGCCTCCAGCTGCATCCATGTTCCGGCAAAGGACATGATTTCATTCTTTTTATGGCTGTATAGTATTCCATGGTGTATATGTACCATATTTTCATTATCCAACCCACCATTGATGGGCACCTAGATCAATTCTAAGTCTGCTATTGTGAATAGTGCTGTGATGAACATGCAAGTAAGTACATGTATATTTTTGGTAGAAAGATCTGTTTTCTTTTAGGTATATACCCAATAATGGGATTGCTGGGTCGAATGGTAGTTCTGTTTTAAGTTATTTGAGAAATCTCCAAACTGCTTTGCATAGTAGTTGAACTAGCTTGCATTCTCACCAACAATGTATAAGCATTCCCTTTTCTCTGCAGCCTTGCAAGCAACTGTTATTTTTTTTTACTTTTTAATAATCACCATTTTGACTGCTGTGAGATGGTATCTCATTGTGGTTTTGGTTTGCATTCCTCTAACACTTAGTGATAATGAGCATTTTTAAATGTTTGCTGGCTGTATGCCTTCTTTTAAGAAGTGCCTGTTCATGTCTTTTGCCCACTTTTTAAATGGAGTTGTTTTTTGCTTATAGATTTAAATTCCTTAACAATTTCAGATATTAGACCTTTGTTGGATGCATAATTTGTAAATATTTTCTCCCATTGTGTAGGTTGTCTGTTTATTCTGTTGATAGTTTCTTTGCTGAGTGATAGCTTTTTCATTTAATTAGGTCCAACTTATCAATACTTTCTATTATTGCAACTGCTTTTGGGAACTTAGCCATGAATGCTTTGCCAAAAAAGATGTCAAGAAGGGTATTTCCTAGATTTTCTTCCAGGATTTTTGTAGTTTTAGATCTTACATTTAAACCTTTAGCTCATCTTGAGTTAATTTTTGTATATGGTAAAAGGTAAGGATCCAGTTTCATTCTTTTGCATATGGCTAGCCAGTTATACTGGCACCATTTATCAAATAGGGAGTCCTTTGCTTATTTTTGTCAACTTTGTCAAAGATCAGATAGTTGTAGGTGTGCAGGATTTTTTCAGGGTTCTCTGTTCTGTTCCGTTGGTTTATGTGTCTGTTTTTGCACAAGCACCATGCTGTTTTGATTACTATAGCCTTATAGTATAGTTTGAAGTTGAATAACATGATGCCTTTGGCTTTGTTGTTTTTGCTTAGGATTGCTTTGGCTATTTGGACACTTTCTGGTTTCGCATGAATTTTAAAATAGTTTTTTTTCTATTTCTGTGAAAAAATGGCATTGATATTTTGATACGAATGGCATTGAATCTGTAAATTGCTTTGGGCAGTATGGTCATTTTAATGATATTGATTCTTCCACTCCATGAGCATGTGGTATTTGTTCCATTTATTTGTTTTGTCTCTGATTTCTGTCAGAAGCATTTTGTAGTTCTCTCTGTAGTTTTTTCACCTCCTTGGTTAGGTGCATTCCTAGGTACTTCATTTTCTTGTGGCTATGATAAATGGGATTATGTTCTTGATTTGGCTGTCATCTAGAATGTTATTGGTGTTTAGAAATGCTAGTGATTTTGTACATAGATTTTATATTCTGAAACTTTACTGAAGTCGTTATCAGTTCTAGGAGGTTTTGGCAGACTCTTTAGGGTTTTCTAGGTATAGAATTTTATTATCAGTGAAGAGAGATAGTTCAACTTCTTCTTTTTCAATTTAGATGCCTTTTATTTCTTTCTCTTGAACTGATTGCTCTTGATAGGACTTCTAGTACTGTGTTGAATAGGAGTTGTGAGAATGGGCATCCTTGTCTTGTTCCGGTTCTCAAGGGGAATGCTTCCAGCTTTTGCCTGTTCAGTATGATGTTAGCTATGTCATAAGCTGGCTCTCAGTATTTGATGGTACATTCCTTTGATGCCTACTGTGTTGAGGGATTTTACAATGAAAAGATGCTGGATTTTATCAAAGGATTCTACTACATCAATTCAGATAATCATACGGTTTTTGTTTTATTATCTTTGTGTAGAGAATCACATATATCATTTGCGTATGTTGAACCAATCTTGCATCCCAAGAATAAAGCTTACTTGATCATGGTGAATTAACTTCTTGATGTGCTGCTATATTCAGTTTGCTAGTATTCTGTTGAGGATTTTTGTGTCTATGTTTATCAGATATATTAACATTTAGTTTACATTTTCATTGTGTCTACACCAGATTTTGGCATCAGAATGATGCTGATTTCATATAATGAGTTAGGGAGGAGCCTTTCCTCTTTGCTTTTTGTTGTTGTTGTTGTTGTTGTTTGAATAATTTTGGTAAGAATTGTACCATTTCCTCTTTGTTATATCTGATTGAATTCAGCTGGGAATCCAGGTGTTCCAGGGCTTTATTTGCTTCATGGGTTTTTATTACTGATTTAATTTGGAACTTGTTATTGGTCTGTTCAGGTTTTCACTTTCTTTTAGTTAATTTTTGAGAGGTTGTGTGTTTCCAGGAATTTATCCAATTCCTTTAGATTTTCTCATTCGTGGACAAAGAGGTGTTCATATTAGTCTTTGAGGATATTTTGCATTTCTGTGAGATTGGTTATACTGCTATCTTTCACAACACCCACAGACTCAAAGTAAAGGAATGGAGAAAGATCTACCAAGCAAACCAAACACAAAAAAATAGAAGGAGTCACTATTGTTATATTAGATAAAACAGACTTTAAACCAACAACAATCAGTAAGAACAAAGAAAGGCATTATATAATGATAAAGTGTTCAATTCAAGAAGAAGACTTAACTATCCAAAATATATACATGCCTAACAGTGTAGCACCCAGATTCCTAAAACAAGTTTTTCTTGACCTATGAAAATATTTAGACAGCACACAATAATAGTGAGGGACTTTAATAATTGAGACAGAAAACTAACAAAGAAATTGTGAACTTAAACTTGTCAGTTGACAAATGGGACCTAATAGACATCTACAGAATACCACACCTAACAACCACAGAGTATACAGACTTCTCATCTGCACATGGAACTTATTCTAAGATTGACCACACGCTCAGTCATAAAGCAAGTCTCAATAAATTCAAAAAAATTGAAATCCTACCAAGAACAGTCTCAGACCACAGTGCAATAAAAATGGAAATTAATACCAAGAAGGTCCCTGAAAACTACACGAAAACATGGAAGTTAAATAACATGCTCCTGGCCAGGCACAGTGGTTCATACCTGTAATCCCAGCACTTTGGGAGGCTGAGGAGGGTGGATCATGAGGTCAGAAGTTCAAGACCAGCCTGGCCAACGTAGTGAAACCCTGTCTCTACTAAAAATACAAAAATTAGCGGGGTATGGTGGCACACACCTGTAGTCCCAGCTGCTCAGGAGGCTGAGGCAGGAGAATCGCTTGAATCTGTGAGGTGGAGGTTGTGGTGAGCTGGGATCGCATCACTGCACTCCAGCGTGGCAACAGAGAAAGACTCTGTCTCAAAAAAAAAAAAAGAAACAAACAAACAAACAAACAAACAAAGAAAAGAAAACAATCATGCTCCTGAAAACCCTTGGGTAAAAAATGAAATGAAGGCAGAAATCCAAAAATGCTTTGAAATTAATAAAATAGAGCTAAAACTTACCAAAATCTTAGGGATGCAACTAAAGCAGTGTTAAAAGGACAGTTTATTGTGCAACTGTTTTCATCAAGAAGTCAGAAAAATTGCAATTTAACAATCTAACGTTGTGCCTAGAGGAACTAGGATGAAAAAGAACAACCAAAGCAAAGCTAGCAGAAAAGAAATAACTAAAACCAGACAACTAAACAAAATTGAGAGAAAATCTATACAAAAGATCAATAAAACCAAGAATTGTTTTTTTGAAAGAATAAGCAAGATTGATAGACCACTAGCTAGATTAACAAAGTGAAGATCCAAATAGGCACAAAATGAGAAATTACAAAATTTTACTGGTTTTTAGGACATTTCACTTAAGCCATTGCATAGTGCAAGATGTTGTATTGTTGTGTTTATGTCAAGCACATGCATTAACATACATATAACAATACATGTATAAACACACCACCAATCTAGTCTCTGTCAACAAATTGCTTGATTTGAATGATTTTTTTTCTACACACTGATGTAACATTGTATTTATTGAGATATTTTAGGCAGGCAGCATGACTTACTGTGATATCTATGTAAAACGTAACTGGCAATTAAAAAGAAATACTTATTATTTAAGTTATAACATAATTAAACTATGTTTTGAGTTTAGAAAATGGGTAAAGACAATTATGTTTTACATTAAAATATTTTAATAAAATATTTTAATATAATATTAGTGAAGAATTAGTGCAAAAGCTACTACTACAACCAAACAGTAAAGGAAAAAAAGAGACTAGAAAAAAGTAAGGCCCAAATGTTACAATGAATGGCAATTGCAATTCACCACAGCAGAACATAATAAATGTTTGTTTAGAAAACAGTCCAACATGTCTGAAACTCTGTCATATGTGCATCTACTTTTCCAACTATGAATTTTATGAAATATAAATGAAAATTAACTCAGTCCAATGAAAATTCAGTATCCAAATTGAGATGTCCTTCAGGTGTAAAATACACTGGATGTGATAGACTTTGTATGAATAAAACACATTAAGAAATGTATTATGAACAATTTTATATCAATTCCATGCCAAAATATTTTGGATATATTTGGTTACATAAAATGTATTGTTAAAATTAATTTTGCTTATTTTTCTTTTTTAGTGTAGCTAGAAAAATTAAAATTGCATATATGGCTTGCATTGTATTTCCGTTGGTGAGTACTGGTTTACATCATTTAGAAAGAGAGGTCTTTTTGCATAGAGCAGAGTTCAGAATGATCTTAGGACTTTTAACATAGAGGAAGATACATCCATTGCCATACACTAAACATATCTTAGGAGATAAATGACTTTGGTTGACCCAGTTCCTTAATCAGTTATGCCAATAATTTTCCCTTGGCCACTTGCTTGTGAATATTGGCTTCAAGCTTCAATTTTCTAGGATTTTGTCAGTTAAGATTTGCTCTTACTTCTCCTATGGCATCCCTCTGTATGTTGCATGTAATTCTTCCCTATGTTGCCTGTCGCAGGTAATATTTATGCTAATTTTGTTTTTCTGCATCAATTCAATTCTATCTACTTTCTACATCATCAATGATGTCTTCAACCAGGGAAAGGGGCTCACGCCTGTAATCCCAGCACTTTGGGAGGCCAAGGTGGGAGGACTGGTTGAGGCCAGGAGTTTGAGACCAGCCTGGGCAATATAGCAAGACTCGGTCTCTATAAATCTAATTTTAAAAATATTCTAAAAATAATTTCTCAAAACTCTATCTCATATTCCTCCCTTTCTCACCAAGTCCTATTTTTGTGTTTGGTAACCTGAATGTCCTTTGGACAATCTAAATGATGTAACAGCTTATCAGAATGTAACTCCTATATCTTCTCTTCCCCACTTTTGCCTCCAACTTTTATGTTTACTCCTTAGATCTTGTTATGTCCTATAGACAGTCCTTCTAAATAATGAGTGCCTCAAAGACCAATATATTGCTCTTTGATCTAAATTTTCTTTTAATCCAGCATTTTCAATGAAAGCCCTGAGTTCTCCAGTACACTATATAATGTTATTTTATCAAGAATATCAATTATTAAGTGTCAATTTTCTCCTAATCACTTCGTCTCCAACTTCATAATCACATGCCACACTATATCCATTAGCCTATGGGCCATGATTTACAACATACTGACATATATGCTTCCAGAAGTTAAAATTCTATAATATAGAGCTGGGCCCAGCAGCTCACACCTATAATCCCAGCACTTTGGGAGGCCAAGGTGGGCGGATCATGAGGTCAAGAGATAGAAACCATGCTGGCCAACATGGTGAAACTCCATCTCTACTAAAAATACAAAAATTAGCTGGGCATGGTGGCACGCACCTGTCGTCCCAGCTACTCAGGAGGCTGAGGCAGGAGAAACGCTTGAACCTGGGAGGCAGAGGTTGCAGTGAGCCAAGATCATGCCACTGCACCCCGGCCTGGAGACAGAGCGAGACTCTGTCAAAAAAAAAAAAAAAAAAAGCTTTAAAATAAGTAATATAAAGAAGGTATCATATAAAAAATGTTAAAATATTGAGTTAGAAGTTGTCTTTTCCCATCAAAATTCTGTATGTATTGCATAGACATCTTGCTTTCCATATTGTATGATTGAAAACCAAAGACATCTATTTTTATTTTTGGAAGAAATAAAGTTTTCTGCTTCAATTCTTATGAGATATCTCTTCTTTATCTTGAGAATCTAAATGTGTTTTCAATGAAATATCTATGCCTGAGTTTCTTTTCATTAACTCTGCCTAGAATATATTGAGCTTCCTCAATCTGCATGTACAGATACAAGTCTTTGTAAATCATTAAATTTCTCTTTCATTTAAAGTCATTGAATTATGTTTACTGTTCTCTTTTTCAAGCAGACCTCTTATTTATAGTTTAGGCCATCCAAATCTTCTCTGTCTTTTTTGGCTCTTTTCTCTTTGTCTCTTTCCTTTTAAATTACTGATGCTCTTCTCAAATTGCCCTCTACATTTCTAACTAATTTGCCTGCAGCATTAGTTCTCTTCTCTATTGCTGAAAATACGGATTTTAATTCTGTTATTGGGTTTTGATTTTCTCTGAGGCCATTTTTTTGTTTCATCACAACACCTTTTTCTAATTCTGCTGCTTTTTCATCTCCTTTTCTTTCTCCTGATGAATGCCTACTTCTCTTTCAAAGAAACAATGCCTTTTTGTCTTCTGAAGATGCCAAATACTTGTCTTAAAAATAATTTTTAGGTCTTTCAGTAGTTTACAAGAATAAGTCCTTTCTTTGAGGCTTCTGAATGCTATTCCCTTTTGTCTGTTCTATGGTTGTTTTTTCCTCAAACATGTGGGGAGGTTTCTACTCACTTCCTTTGAATAAAGCAAAGCTCTACCTAGTGAACTGCCTATGTCTCCTCCCTGCATAGGTACTTGGAGGTCACAGGTGACTGAAAGACATATCATGCTTTCTCAGGTCACAGGTGACTGGAAGCTTTATGTGCTTCACTCTCAACCCAATTTACAATTTCTAGCAGGATTTGGTCCAGTGAAATGTTGTAGGAGTTTCCACTACCTAGATCTCTGACAATGAGAACTCATAGAATAATTGAAACAAAACAAAAAGTTTAATCCATAGCATAAACTGCAAACAGACCTTCTCCACCTCTGCTCTTGCTCCTCCTCTACACAGAACATTTTGTATTTGGGAACTGAGAGGTGGGAGAGGAGGAGACTCTATCTCCTAAAATGAAACACACACCTCCACAATCTCCTCCAATTTCCTAATCTGTAGTTTACTTGCAGTTGCCATCTCTGAGTAAGCATTGAAAACTGTAAATTAAAGAGTTCCATAAATAGAGGTTGAGCAAAAACTAAAGGCTTCCTTAAAGGTGTGCATTTTGTGTGCATTTTCACTCATAGTGAGGCCATAGAAATTGTTGATCAACTCTGCACTCTAAAGGTTACCTTAATCAACCTAAGAGGACTTTCCTAAAATATCTTAAAAGCCATCTACTTTTTTGCTCACAAAAAAAAAGAGCTTCCCTTTCTTAATTTGAAAAGAATCTGTAGCATGTGCCAGAGGAGAAAAAAAATGCAATAGTAACCATCCAGTTTGAAATGTGACCCAAAATAGCTTGGTCTAAAATAATAAATAACAGAGATGAGCTTATTGCCCTTTCCCTATAACTTTCCAACAGATACATTTATAGAAAATTCTGGAATTTTGGACCTGAAAGGAAGCTTCCCCATGTTGTCTGGTTTAATATGCTAATTTTGCAAATGAGGAAACTGGGAAATAAGAAAAATTATTTGTATAAACTTAGATATCAATAGAACCGACAAGGAAACCCATTATCAGAGTGCCAGTTCAATTTATTTTCTGTGAAACCACTTTGGATTCTGTCTACCTATTACTACAGTGGGCAGAGCTTTCCTTACCTGGGAGGGAAACCTCAGCTGTCTTCAGAGAAACAGCCAGAACACTAAGCCTTGAGCAACAACTGGCAGAACAGTGCAGCTGTCATCAAGTCTGTCATTTCCTGCTTCTTCAGATCATTACCGACTGCCTTGCCAGACAAAGACCTTTGTGCATGTTTACTTCCAAAGAAAAATACCTTCTCCATATGCATGAAGCAAAAATGTTAAATTGTTCAAGGAAAAGGTTTTTTTTTCCTTCTTTTATTCCCAGCTCCATAATGACCAACATTTGAAATGTGTAATATCTGAAAGATATTAGCCCCTCATTAGGGTCAAAGGTCAAAGGCATAAGCTAACAATATTTATGAATTGATGAGTATTGTATGTAAATGTCAATATTGTTAAATCAGTAATAATTCTAAATTTGAAAGACCAAAGATAAGTATTGACATTTAACAATAACAGAGTTATATATAATGACATAGACTATTCTGAGAATAAAGAAGGGTATTAACTTTCTGTGATCCAAAGGATACATAGAAGCTTCTTGTATACATGTCCAAAATACATAAGTTTGTGTAAAGCAAATTTATTTGTGTAAAACACAATAAATTTGTTTGTGTAAAACAAATCTCACTCAGTCTTTACATTCTGTCCTTATTATAACAAAGTAGAAAGAGTAAGGACTATGGAGCCAACTGATGTGAATTCAGACCCACATCTCATAGCTGTAGTACTTTGAATACATTACCATATCTCCAATTGGGGTTTCTTATCTATGGGAATAATAATCCTACCTCAGAGTTACTATGGTTGCTGCATATGTGAAATTAAAACAGATATTGTATGCAAAGATTTTAGGTTCATCCTGTAACCTGAGCATTTAAGAAATATTAGTTCTTTACTTCTATATGGAAAATAATTCAAAAAACCAGTAAACTAGTAAACACATAATTATGCCCCTACTAAATTTTTGAATTGAATATGTACCTTCTTTCTTAATCACATACCGATTTATTTTATTTCATCTCCTGGTACATTCATTCAATTAACACATAGTTTTCAATCCCTACAATGTGCCAGGACTGTTGTAGGCATGTTGGATGCATCAATGAACAAAACAGACAAAAAAAGGTTCTAATCTCATGAAGGTTACAATCTACAAGGGAGAGAGATAATAAATAATAAACATAATAAGCATGTTTGTAACTGGCAAATGCTATGTGAAAAAACAGCACAGGTAAGGGATATTTGGACTGCATGGAGGAGGCATCTTTATATTTTAAATGCAAGAGATCAAGTCAAGCTCTTTTGAAGGAGGTAAGGAAGTAAGCTGTACAAATATCGGGGGAAAGAGTGTTCCAGGCAGAGGACAGAGCAAGTATAAAAACTCATGGTGGGAGCAAGAAAAAAGACAGCCAGTGTGGCTGGATCAAAATAAGCAAGTGGTACAATAATACATGAGGATAAGGGAAAGGGGATGGCAAGGTAGGTAGTCAGATTATGTGGCACTTACATTCTTTTTTGTGGTTGTGGCATTTAAAACACTATAGCAAGGCTGCATTGATACCTCATGATTTAGTAGAAAGGATTTATGGGCTTAGCATTTGGTTCCCTCATTACCTACTTAAATAAGTTAGGTCAAATCATGTGTCTATATCTTAGCTCACATAAGAATCTTAAACTAATAATAGATCATTAAGTCTAAATCAGCTCAAACTTTAAAAATCATAAAAATGATTTTTAAATCCCTAAAGAAGTGAATGAGAAAATAAGTGAATAACCTCAAGCACATGGCTTGGAGCACTAAGCCAAAATCTTAAATGTCTATCTCTTTTCTCTTTATCAATCTTATTTTGTCACCCAAAAGTGTGAGTAAGAGATGCCAGGGCTTTATTGGTTTTAATTTAAAAGTCACATCTTTTTTGGAAAAGGCAATGCAATTGGCACTTTTGGTGTTTTCCTTATATTTATCACAACTTAAAGGCTATTGGAAAAGTTAGAAAAGTAGTGAAGGAAAGAAACATGTGACTTTAGTCATAATCTTTAGAATCATGTATGCATTAAAGATGAAAAAAGAGAGAAAAAACAAATGTCTTTTTTAAAGTGTATTTTAAGAATGCTAGATTGCTCAAGAAAGAAGGGTAAGATGCTATTTTACACATACACTCTGAAAATCCATTTCTCAGACACCCATGGCCTCTGCCCAAGGCAATACTAATCACATAACTAACAAGGTTTAAAACTATTAAGCACTCATAGGTTGCCTCCTACTAGAAGTAACAAAAGAAGTTACTTTGAGTTTTCTTTTTTGTTATTTTACATCTTTCTTAACACTTTCAGAGAAAATACTGTTTTAATTTTGTATCAGTCAGAGTGAATTATGCACTAGCAAAAAATGACCCCATATCCGGGAGGTTTAAAACAGGGTTCAGTAAAACCTTTTCATTGCTTTCAGACCCCTGGTTTACAATAACAAGCCTATCTTTTGTTCATGCCAAATGTCCATCCCAGATCACCAGGGAACTCATCTCACAGAGGTCACTGGGCTATTTGAATGCCTCCCAAAAATACCAAGGCAGTAAAAGAGAATGTGTTGGATCATACTCTGCCTCCTAAATCTCCCCTTGGAAAGAGCACTCATCATTTTATGCATATCTCATTGGCCAAAGCAAGTCGTATGGTCACATCTAATTTCCCACTATGGAAAAACAACTGAAAGACTATCTCCCAGTCTTTACCAAGACCAAAAAGAGTGTTAATTGGTTTCCTCTCTGAACTGCTTCTTCTCAGTGTCCATTCTGGCATTCTGAATTTTTTAGCTTTTAGATAGCAAAGTCATATAAACCCCAAATAGAGGTTGAATGGAACTAAATCAAACAAAGTAGCAGAGAGCCCAGTGGCCCACAGGAGCCCAGAAACCTCTATACAAAAAAAAATTATTGCCCAAATTAACTCAATGGCCTAAAATTCTACAGCATTAAGAAAGTCGCTAAAGCTTATACACAATTCCCATCAGTCTTGTTCGCCATTATGTCACCTTTTACTCAAGGGCAAGCTGCTACTCTATGCCTTCAAATTGTTTGGGGAACTCTACTGTCAATTATCATTTACTCATAAAACTCAAGTGTCTAGAATAATGACATCAAAAAGCTTTTTAAAAGTTATCTAAAAAGTACAGTGGGTCATGTAAAATACTAACACTAAATTTAATCATAAAAGAAACAATAATACCTTCACTCAGTGCCTAGTAGTTCTTTTTTCTGTCTCAGTTCTAGTAAATGTTTGTGAACTCTCAGATAGCGTGCCCATCTGTCAGTTCTCTCCTCACCACTCATAGCTAATTTCTCTAATAAGGGCATCCAAATTGTCTTTTGGGAAACTCCTGTTCCATATTCTCAGCCATATGGCTTCAATGAGATTCACCGCAATTCCAGCCCCAAAGAGAATCCTAACTATATAAAGCCAACCAGATTATGATCTCTTTTCTCTGGCCATAATGATTATTTTAGGAGGGCATGAATGACCATTTCCATTAATGATGCCACAGCATACTCTTGACTGGGGCCTTTAGGAGAAATTTCCCCCTGGTTCTTACAAAAGCCATCATGAGAAATTGGATCCCCTAGACAGTTTGGAGAGAGAACAAGAGCAACAACTTCTATTATGTTGCTTCCATTAGTCATCTTGAAGACAACCTTGAGAGGAGACAGGCAGGGTCTGAAGACTCAGAGAGCACACCTGGAGACCCTGCAACCTGTGAATTCCTAAATCTAATCCTCTGTTGGACATTTCCATTGTATGAATGAATCCATTTTTTTGTTTCACCCCATTTTGTGCAGATCTTTGTCATTTGGAACCAAAATTTTGTTAACAGTGGCATTATCACACACAGAAGGAACAGCTAATAAAAAAGTAATCTTGTTAGTCAAGGGGGAGGTGTTGAGAGGCGCAGGACTGAGACAGCTGAGAGCTTTGCTAGTAAAGAGAAGACAAACACAAAACTAGCCTGGGACCCAGGAGACCTTGGTTAGAGTCACAGATCTGTGAGGTCTCCTTATATAAATGAATTTAGTTTTGTAGACCTCAGCATTTTAATCTGTAAAGGAAAGAAATTGCATTTGATAATTTCTTAGGTCCTGAACAGATTTTTAATTACATGATTTTATTAATAATATAAACAAGCGCAATAACTCAAAGGGGCCACTTAGGGTAATTGTAAATAGTCCCTGACGGCCTGACTGTTTATCTATTTGCCTGCAGTGCAAAAATCAA
The DNA here is from genome assembly GCF_000001405.40 of Homo sapiens. Taxonomy (NCBI): domain Eukaryota; kingdom Metazoa; phylum Chordata; class Mammalia; order Primates; family Hominidae; genus Homo; species Homo sapiens. Next base: position 76,015,142 of record NC_000002.12, on the reverse strand, counting down.
TATCCATAATCATGATATCAGGTCATCAAGTAAAGTTCAAATATTCAATAGGCTCTGTTTACGATGATCATATATTTTAGAAAGCTTTGAACATAAATGATTAAAATAGAAAATGCAACCAGCAGCTCCACACACATATTCCCTAAGAGTTTTGTGTATTGCCACTGCAGCACTGTTTGTAATAATTAAAAACAGAGAAAAATGTAAAATGTAAGGAAAAGTGATAAAATAAACTTTATCACATCCTAACTATGAAAGAACACATGGCAAGGTATAATTGGTGGTGACCTCTAAATGAAGAAGAGGAGAAGAAGAAAAGAACAAGTTTGGGAAAGAAAGTATAGGACCATACAGGTCCAGGTCCCAGAGGAGAGTCAGTTTATGCCAGCTTAATTACTAGCAGCCACCCATTCACTCCCAAAAATGTTCTTACTTGGAAGCTACATTACAGAGTCACCCTAAAATAAAAATAAAATAGGCACTTTCTTTAATCCACTGCAGAAATATATCAATATTTTGTAGTGAAAAGATATTAAAGTATTACTTTTTAAATGGAAAAAAGAAACTTCATGAGAATTGTTTGCAACATACAGAATAGTGGTTTTCAAACATATGTAGGATCATGGGAACTGAGATTCAAATGATGGCTTACTGAGAAGGCGGATATATAACATTGTTCTGTTTAAAGCGATGGTGACATGATTCATGGACCCCATCCCCTTGCCCTGATCTTTTCTCATTATGACATGGCCTGAAGGGATGCTTCACAGCCCCTCTAAAAACCACTGCTCCATGGGCTATTTCAGTTAACAAGAAAATGCATATGAGTAGACACATGATTAGACTTCTTCTGTAGAGGGTTCTAAATATGAGGCTGCAGCTGAAGTCATTTTATATTCATATATATGAAAAAGGTAAACTACAGGCCAAGCTGCAAGGGAAGAAAGGGAGTGGGGAAAGAGAGAGATTGATTTAATTATTTGATTGATTGATTTGCTTCAGTGAAAATTCCTTAGGAAAACCTCTTGCCTGTCATTCCTCACTAGCTTTCTACAATCAGAGATATTCTTATTCAACATAGTAAATATAGCATGAATAAAAATAAAAACATGTCCCCAAAACCACACATCACCATCCTCTACTGAGACACTGGAAAATGCTAGTTCCCACCCAAGAATGACTGACTCAGAACCTTTGGGAATGGGCCCTAGAATTTGCTTGTTATTAAACCCTCTAGGTGAAATGAATGCTCCTTTGGTCCCCTAGAGGAATCTTTCCTCTCCAGGATTGTGCACCCTAGCAGCAAAGGAGAATTTTTTCAAGAAAGAATCACTATAACAAACATTATATGAGCTGAACACAATGGGCTAGTATTGTACTACCTATGAGTAACACAAATTGGGTTTTAAAGATGAGTTGGTAGTCCCGGAGAAATCACCCATTGTAACAGAGCTTAGAAATACTACCAGTCAAATCATGTTTTCTAAAACATAAAATCCTGCTCTGATACATTTAGCCAGATACAAAGGCATAAATACCAGACACGACTGTTTTAAGAGAATCACACCAGATTTAACAGCTGAGCAGGCCATTTGTCATTCTTTAAAGGTGTGTCATTAATCTTATACTATTCAAAAAAGCCAGGCCTCTCCCACCCTGATCCACTTTAAATCTAACAACTATTTATTGACTATCTTTCTCATGCTTGGCACTCTGCTGAGAGATATAGACCTGCGGATGCATGGGATTCACATTTATTGGGTGCCTATTTTACATCAAACTACTGAGTCTTTACTCTAAATTGGGTTATGGTGCTTTTTGAGAACATTATTTGTTCAAAAGACCCAGTGTTGGTACAGAAAATGCAAAATAAATTTTACAAAGGGTAAAGCATAACAAGGACAATGCCCATGTTATTATTTTATGAGAGACAAACTCACCTACATTTAGAATTACATATTACATAGGCAAGTATACTGGAAGAAAGCATATCAAATGTTAATCATAACTGCCCCTTGACTGAAGGATTAGGAGGTTAATCAATCATCTATTTGACATTGCTTTTGCACTACTCAAATTTTGAACAATAATTTTTAAAACCTTACTGGCCATCAGAGAAATGCAAATCAAAACCACAATGAGATATCATCTCACACCAGTTAGAATGGCAATCATTAAAAAGTCAGGAAACAACAGGTGCTGGAGAGGATGTGGAGAAATAGGAACACTTTTACACTGTTGGTGGGACTGGAAACTAGTTCAACCATTGTGGAAGTCAGTGTGGTGATTCCTCAGGGATCTAGAACTAGAAATACCATTTGACCCAGCCATCCCATTACTGGGTATATACCCAAAGGATTATAAATCATGCTGCTATAAAGACGCACGCACACGTATGTTTATTGCGGCACTATTCACAATAGCAAAGACTTGGAACCAACCCAAATGTCCAACAGTGACAGACTGGATTAAGAAAACGTGGCACATATACACCATGGAATACTATGCAGCCATAAAAAATGATGAGTTCATGTCCTTTGTAGGGACATGGAGGAAGCTGGAAACCATCATTCTCAGCAAACCATTGCAAGGACAAAAAACCAAATACTGCATGTTCTCACTCATAGGTGGGAATTGAACAATGAGAACACACAGACACAGGAAGGGGAAAATCACACACCGGGGCCTGTTGTGGAGTAGGGGGAGCGGGGAGGGATAGCAATAGGAGATATACCTAATGTTAAATGATGAGTTAATGGGTGCAGCACACCAACATGGCACATGTATATATATGTAACAAAACTGCAAGTTGTGCACATGTACCCTAAAACTTAAAGTATAATAAAAAGAAACAATATATATATAAAAAAACCTTAAATTATAATAAATATACATTCAGCCCTTTGTATCCATGAGTTCTGCATCCACGAATTCAACCAACAATGAATTGAAAATACTTTGAGCAACAGATGGTTGTGTCTGTACTGAACACGTACAGACTTGTTTTTCTTGTTGTTATTTTCTAAACAACAGAGTATAACAACTATTTACATTCCTTTACATTGTATTGGGTATTGTAAGCAACCTAGAAATGACTTAAAGTATACAGGAGGATGTGCATAGTTTAGATGCAGACACTACACCATTTTATACCACGAGCTTGAGCATCCATGGATTTTGATATTCAGGGGATCCTGGAACCAATTCTTAGTGGATACTGAGGAACAACTCTTCTTAAGCAAAAATAATAATAATAATTAATACAAAGCACAGCTAGCTTTAGGTAATCAGTGTGAAAGGGAAATAAATCTTGGGACCCCAAACTCATTAAGCCAAAGGGAAAAGTTAAGCTGATAACTGGGTCACAGAAACCTGCCTCCCCCTTTTTGTTCCTAAATAAGATGGCTACAAGATGAAAAGCTACATGCCTCCTCCATATTTTGTCCACAAGGAAATTCCTAGTGAGCTCCAAGATCTTTACCCTAAAGTGCTTCTGTTGAAATTTCACCATGGCAATGTAAATTGATATCTTATCTGTACAGGTGCAGTCACCCCCCTGCCCACCTGACACAAATGCGTATCTGATTGTTCCCCGGTTCCATTTTCTATGTCATCTTATATATATTTAAAAAAAATGCAGATTCACTGAGCCAAAGGCATGAATGACTATTTTTTCCTACCCTCCTCTTACATGAAAATTGTGTACTTCTCAATATCCAACCCTTTCCCCTTTAAATTTGGAGCCCTCAAAATCATCTTCGGAGGAAGGCATAGGCCTGTCTCCCAGGTGCGCATCCTTAACTTTGGCAAATAAACCTAAAATGACTGAGACTTGTCGTTTTTCTCAATTGACATTAGCTAGTATGTGAAATTTTATTTTTATTTTTTTCCTCCAAAATTTTGGCCTTCTTGGCACCTAATAAGGTTTATCAATTCTGTATCATACTTTTCTTTTTTAAAATATTTTTATTCATCATTTTGTAGTGACATTCTTTATTGTGTTGCTACATATAATCTATGCATACCAAAACCATGAGTTTTAAATGTACTATCCAATCTAGTTGTATATTTAACTGCTCAACCTTTTTTAATCATGGTCCTTTAGACTCCCAGAATAATATACAAAACTCAGAAGCTTATCTAATTAACAGAATGTAGATTTTACTAACTTCATAATTCCTCCTCGACTTATAGAAGCAGAGTGTTTCTTGCCTTGATTTCTCACTTAAAAAGCTGATATTCATATGGAATTTCTATATGAGATCCAGTTTAGAGAATTTTCAGGAAAATTCTCCCTACAGCTATGAATTGCTGTTGGTGTCAGCCATGTTGGATTTGCCGTCTCTTGATATCAAAGGACTATTACTACATTTGTGACCCTTGTTCCCAAGTGTGATATGTCATATGTAGCTGCACCCTTTCTTATAAAGATAGCTCCCTGTTTGTATAAGAATGAAGAACATAAATAAAACTCACACTCTCATTTAGGGATTCTGCTACCTACACCTGTGAAATGTATATCTCTCTAGCCTATGGAGAGAGAAATTTGTTGCTTTAAGATTTAGCAAGACTGCCTGGCAAGAACCTCACCCTCCAATTATAATGAGGTTAAGCCCTGAAAAGAAGGAGATAGATTTGAGCACCATCCCACTGTCTGCCCTGTCAGGCCCTGTGGTTCAGAGCCCCACAGCTCATGGCAGCTCTATTCTTTTTCACTCCCAATTACCAAGAAACAAACTGCAGTTAGAACACAGGACCCTTTAACAGAATCAAAGCTCTCCACCCGCAGGTCTGAAAGTAATGTCAGTAATATCCACACATCATTTGAGAATTGCATTTACTAGAGAATAAAAAGGCATATGATAACCTCTGACCACTACCAGTTCTCTTGGGTTCTAAAATTTTGATTTTGATTAGATAATCAAAATACAGTCTCATCTGGAAGAAGCACTTAGCCCTGATTTGAGGCAATTCCTAAAACAACCCTACCTAATGTAACCGTATATTCTCCAATTTCTTCCCATTATTTTCCCTTCTATCTCAAGACTTGGGAGGGCCTTAAAAACACACCCTATGTTCTACACCACCAGCATTCAGGCAATTTACTATTTCTTCAGCCATATAGTAGTTTGAGTCTTTTTATTTTTCTTCCACTGACCAGCAATATATACAAAAACCTACGAGTTACACGGATTTTTATATAACAGATAAACTAGCATTCTTTTCCTTCCCATTATCTCTCATGGTAGTTGTAACCAGCCACAAGCAAAACATTAATCATGAAGACTTTCTCTTGGTGATAAAGACAAATATAGAATGTGAGAAAACAGACACTATCAAATAAAAGCTTTTGACTGGTGAAACTAGGAGATTCATAATGCACACAAAGCTACCCAGCCTCAGACAAAGGACAACTCTCTTCATGCTAATTCCTGATTAAGACACAAGAAAGAGGAAGTGGGAAAAGATTCCACTGTCTCATGCCCTTTAGCACAGCTCGCTTTGATTCTGTTTAAATTAGGTCACTACAGCATTGAGCCACTGCTAATACTTATTAACAGTTAACGGGAAATTATTTTTAACAGTAGCTCCACTCAAGAATTTACCATTCATACTAGGTTTTGCAAAATACAATTTCTTGGAAAGAATACTGATGCTGAAGGAAGGACAAATGTTAGCGAAAGGAATAAAGTGGATGATAAATTCTGAGCATTATTGGTTTGCTTTGCTTTTCAGAGAACCTAGAGAAATTCTTGCCACAGCAATTTTTGTGCAGAATCCAACTGCAAATACAAAAGTAATTTATTAGGAACCACCATACTGAAAAATTTTCTTCAGTCTATTAATTAATCAGTAACTAAGGATTTGTGTTGGTGGTATTAAATAAAAACTGAGGTCCCCCTATAGATATATTCCAAGACCAACAGCACATAGCCATGTAGTCAAAAGTTATCTTGAGTTCCCTGAAACACTAGCTGTAATCATAAAAGAAACAAAAACTGTCAGCTTTACATCCTTGTTAGCATGATTCAATGAAATTAAACTAATCAGCTATAGACAAATCAGATTAAACAGCTTTGCTTGCCTTACAAAGAATATTAATATATAATAGTCAATCACAAGAAAGGTCAAAATACTTCCTCCTTTATGCTTCAAAAAATTGTGCTGTAACTGCTGTGAGTGGGGCTTACCACTTTTGGTAAGTCCTTGTGGTTGGTGAAATGTTCCTTTGTATGCATGATACACTTTTAAATTTCTTCCCATTCGATCTAATTTTGGTTTTGACAGTTTGAATAAGAGATGTCTTATTGAAATAGGTAAATTATAATGACAATAGAGTGAGGCATAACTTATATGAATAATCCTGGAATGGATGAAATATTAAACTTGAAATCAGTTCAGCAGATTGCTCTCTAGAATATTTCTTGGGGAAAATAACAAAATCAACCAATGAGTATCTATTGAGTAATGTGAGTACAGCAATGTCCTAGGTACACTAAGGGAAAGAAAAATATCAGACAGCCAGACATAAATATAAACAGCATGCTAAAGTGGAAAGAAAAGCCTAGAGGTACAGCAGAAGTTTAGTAAATGTCTGAGTAGTCAAAAGGAAACTGAAAAAACCATTGAAGTGGCATCATTGCCTGGGGTAAATACACGGAGCTCGCTGTCTCGCACCAAGCAGATTAAGGACATGAACACACATAAGAAATGAGTTTAGGAGTGGAGGTTTAATAGGCAAAAGAAAAAGAAAGGAGAATAGCTCTCTCTCTCTTGTGAAAGAGAGGGGCACCTGAAAGAGAAATCTGGCCCATGGGGAAGTGCACCGGATTTTATAGACAGGCTTGAGGAGGCAGTGTCTGATTTACTAGGGCCCACAGATTGGTTGGACCTGGTGTGACATTTACAGAGCACATAGGGAAGGCTGGCCGCCCCACCCTAATCTTGTTATGCAAATGGACTTTCCACTTGGCAGCCAGCGATGTTGTCTGCTCCTTACTGTACACGTGGCTGGCAAAGAGAAGGGAACATAGAGCTACTGTTTTGAATATGCCTAGTCCCAGGTAGCCTTTTCCTGTTGGCACAACTGCCACCATTCACCTTTGCAAGCTACCAGCTTGCTTGTCTAAGTCTGCAGCTCAGTTTTACAGGCTACTCTTCGTTGAAAAGAAAATGACTGGGAGGCTGCTTTTCATTAAAAGGAAAACCTTACCAAGGACTTCCTTACCCTCACTGTCGGCCTAGATAATTTCTTCTTCACTCTTATATCACCATCATCATATGAGAAAACTGTGACCTACAACTCTTGGCTTTTGACAAATTAAGAGAAATAAAAAAAATTAGATGCCTAGAATAGTAACACTTTGAATTAAATTTAATAGGCATATCTACATTAAATTATATACCCTCTACATATCACACTTATACTCTATTCAAATGTCAATGAAATATTTACACAAATAGTTCACAAACTCAGCCATAAAGCAAACTTCAGTACATTTTAAAGTATAGAAGTTGTACAGTTTATATTTACTGACCTCAATGCTATAAAACATAATGGCAAAGAAATCAAAATCAAAATAGCAAATAGAGTACAGCACTCTGTTAAAGTACAATACACTGTGACCAAAGCAGTTTTGTTTCAGAAGTACGAATGGTTCAATATCATAAACATTATCAATATAATTCATTGCTTTTATAAGTCAAGAAGAAAAACTCAGCATTCCCTTTTGACTTTTTACAGCTTTAGGTAAGTCAAAGGTAATATCTAAGATGTGCCAAATAATATTAATACCAAAAAAGCAACTAACATGATACTCAATGTTAAGTCAAAGGTGAAACCCAAGACTTTTTCATTGGAATAAAAAAGAAACAAAGAAATTGACCTAAACACAGCAGTATTATCTACTGTTGTTCTGAAATTTAAGACATAGCAAGCACAAATATTGACAAAAAAGCATTATTATTTGCAAATATGACTGTCTACCTTGAACATTCCTTTGAGAATCACTGAATAAATATTGAAATCAATAAATGTGTTTAGGATGGTGTCTATAAAATAATGATGCAAAAAATTAACAGTAACGATGAGGTGCATATAAAATTATAGAATATTTTAGTCTCTAGTGCAGTCTCAATAAAATCACTAACCAACTCCAACATACTGGAGAGGAAAAAATACCCATTGTTTACAACTTCTCAGTATTTTCTGGTACGAAAAAAATTATGGAAGATGTACTTTTATGTCTCTGGGATGTACAATGGGAAGATCAAAATGTAAACATGTCTGAAATGTATTTTAGTGGCATCTCATAATATTTATAACTGATCTTATTTTGCTCTTGATACCCGACTCCTTATGATGATAGAAGAAATAGCTTAAACTTGGTAATTCAAAGAAATTAGTCCTCTTTTAGTTCATAAATTTCCTCTCTTAGTCACATTGGGAAACTATTTAATTCAAACTTTAATCTTCCTAACAGGGCTGTTTTTCTTGCTTTAGGAGGATTTCTTCACCCTTTGTCCTTCCCATGACATCTGGATTCATGGGAAAATTTACAGAGCATTGTTGTGTGAAGAGGAGCTTTGAAACCATTTGCTCACCTATGGGTTTTAACTGGTTTATATACAGTGGTGTTTTTGTCTGGACCTTGAGAGTCTAACACCAGAACCTGTTAAGTGTAGCTGGTCCCTCCTGATTTCCTATTACTTTTGTTCTCTTTCTCTGTCTCCTTACCCTCTCACCAGTCATACATCTAAATACATCTCCCTCATATTCCATAATTTTTTCCCACACAAACAAAGGGGATTTTCTTTGTAATGTTAGAAACTAATACACCAAAAGCAACAGAAAAACTTCTAAACCAGGTCTTCACTGGACACTGCCACCATGAGAAAAAAACGTATGCCTCAGTAGAGAGCTATGTATTATCTAGACTCCAGAATCTCTCTCTGGGTTATCTGATTATGATTCTACAGAAGCTATTCTACAACTCTAAATGGAGAGTAACTGATAGCAATGCAAAATAATTCTTGTCTAAACACATGTAAATTCCATCCTGCCCAGTAGAGGTTCAATTGACTCAATTGACACTGACTTAGATGGTCATTCTTTTTTGATGCTAAATGTTTTCTACTGTCTGTTTTCTTCTATTTCTTCATCTTTGTAATCGTCCCTAACAGGAAACCCAGTTTTGCTTCAATTTTCACAGTCATATTAATATTTCCAATCTATGTATTTTTCTGTTCTTTGGATTCTCTTTTGACCCAGTTTTAACATCTACTTATTTCCTCATTAAGTATGAGTTCAATAAAATCTTTAATTTGTATTCATTTTTATATCTATCTGAGAGTCATGATTTTACCCTTTACTGAAAATTATCTTTTCATAACATTGTTGTATTCCAGGACTCTACATTCTACTCTATTATCTCAGATACTGAGGCCCTAGCACTTTGGGGAACTGCACCTATGGGAATTTCAGACAAGTGAAAGTATCCTGCAGGGAAATCTGTAAGAAAAAAAAAACATTCTCTTGTCCAAAAGGGACTATCAGAATTTAATAGGAAAAAATCCCACGAAGTTTTGGATTAGCATTGATTATGGAGATGAAGACACAAAATGGTAATGCTTGATTTATTTGATTAGGCTTTATTCCTCAGTAGATGAATAAGTTTGTGGTGAGCAGAGCCTGTGAGGCAGGCCTCAAAGCAAATATATTGTCCAACTAGAGCTAGGTGACAGGAACCTCGTTTCAGTGACAACATGATAGACTGGTATAATACAACCCAATGGTACACTGGTTTCTCAATCCTGAGGATAGTTAATATCCTCCAAAGCATTTCACCAATTCTATAGCACTACAACACATCATAAAGTAGCTAATTTCTTATTTCCCAGAGGAAGTTGATCCGAATTTATGTCCAACAGCATATCAAGAAAGCTTCCAATTCTGACAAAAGCTCTGGCATTTACTGACGAATAGCTGTTGAAATAGAGATTCTTCGGTAAAAAATGAATCCTTTCTAATCAATTCAGAAAACTAAACTTACTGCATCCATTGGAGAAACAGATATTAGGGTGGATATTTATCTTTTGTCAAAACCTCACCCATTACTTTGGGAAGTAATTCCCTATACAAAGTGCTGAAAATAAGGGGTCCCAGAAACTGTGGTCTGTGATGGGTTGAGGTTCTGGAGGTCAAAGAATAAATACATTGCATATCATGCAAACTATAGTGGTGTCTACACTTGGACTAATTTTTTTTTATTATTATACTTTAAGTTTTAGGGTACATGTGCACAATGTGCAGGTTAGTTACATATGTATACGTGTGCCATGCTGGTGTGCTGCACCCATTAACTTGCCATTTAGCATTAGGTATATCTCCTAACGCTATCCCTCCCCACTCCCCACACCCCACAACAGGCCCCAGAGTGTGATGTTCCCCTTCCTGTGTCCATGTGTTCTCATTGTTCAATTCCCACCTATGAATGAGAACATGCGGTGTTTTTTTGTCCTTGCAATAGTTTATTGAGAATGATGACTTCCAATTTCATCCATGTCCCTACAAAGGACATGAACTCATCATTTTTTATGGCTGCATAGTATTCCATGGTGTATATGTGCCACATTTTCTTAATCCAGTCTATAATCGTTGGACATTTGGGTTGGATCCAAGTCTTTGCTATTGTGAATAGTGCCGCAATAAACATACGTGTGCATGTGTTTTATAGCAGCATGATTTATAGTCCTTTGGGTATATACACAGTAATGGGATGGCTGGGTCAAATGGTATTTCTAGTTCTAGATCCCTGAGGAATCGCCACACTGACTTCCACAATGGTTGAACTAGTTTCCAGTCCCCCCAACAGTGTAAAAGTGTTCCTATTTCTCCACATCCTCTCCAGCACCTGTTGTTTCCTGACTTTTTAATGATTGCCATTCTAACTGGTGTGAGTGGTATCTCATTGTGGTTTTGATTTGCATTTCTCTGATGGCCACTGATGGTGAGCATTTTTTCATGTGTTTTTTGGCTGCATAAATGTCTTCTTTTGAGAAGTGTCTGCTCATGTCCTTCGCCCACTTTTTGATAAGGTTTTTTGTTTTTTTCTTGTAAATTTGTTTGAGTTCATTGTAGATTCTGGATATTAGCCCTTTGTCAGATGAGTAGGTTGTGAAAATTTTCTCCCATTTTGTAGGTTGCCTGTTCACTCTGATGGTAGTTTCCTTTGCTGTGCAGAAGCTCTTTAGTTTAATGAGATCCCATTTGTCAATTTTGGCTTTTGTTGCCATTGCTTTTGGTGTTTTAGACATGAAGTCCTTGCCCATGCCTATGTCCTGAATGGTGATGCCTAGGTTTTCTTCTAGGGTTTTTATGGTTTTATGTCTAACGTTTAAGTCTTTAATCCATCTTGAATTAATTTTTGTACAAGGTGTAAGGAAGGGATCCAGTTTCAGCTTTCTACATATGGCTAGCCAGTTTTCCCAGCACCATTTATTAAATAGGGAATCCTTTCCCCCTTGCTTGTTTTTCTCAGGTTTGTCAAAGATCAGATAGTTGTAGATATGTGGCATTATTTCTGAGGGCTCTGTTCTGTCCCATTGATCTATATCTCTGTTTTGGTACCAGTACCATGCTGTTTTGGTTACTGTAGCCTTGTAGTATAGTTTGAAGTCAGGTAGTGTGATGCCTCCAGCTTTGTTCTTTTGGCTTACGATTGACTTGGCGATGCGGGCTCTCTTTTGGTTCCATATGAACTTTAAAGTAGTTTTTTCCAATTCTGTGCAGAAAGCCATTGGTAGCTTGATGGGGATGGCATTGAATCTATAAATTACCTTGGGCAGTATGGCCATTTTCACGATATTGATTCTTCCTACCCATGAGCATGGAATGTTCTTCCATTTCTTTGTATCCTCTTTTATTTCATTGAACAGTGGTTTGTAGTTCTCCTTGAAGAGGTCCTTCACGTCCCTTGTTAGTTGGATTCCTAGGTATTTTATTCTCTTTGAAGCAATTGTGAATGGGAGTTCAATCATGATTTGGCTCTCTGTTTGTCTGTTATTGGTGTATAAGAATGCTTGTGATTTTTGTACATTGATTTTGTATCCTGAGACTTTGCTGAAGTTGCTTATCAGCTTAAGGAGGTTTTGGGCTGAGACAATGGGGTTTTCTAGATATACAATCATGTCATCTGCAAACAGGGACAATTTGACTTCCTCTTTTCCTAATTGAATACCCTTTATTTCCTTCTCCTGCCTAATTGCCCTGGCCAGAACTTCCAACACTATGTTGAATAGGAGTGGTGAGAGAGGGCATCTCTGTCTTGTGTACACTTGGACTAATCTTAAGACTCCAGAGACCCAAACATTGGCAACATTGAGATAGATAAAAGACCTAAGTAGAAATTTTACTACTGTATATTTACTATTCAAAATATTTAGTAAATCTTCACTACAACAATGTATTAAGTGGTTTGGGCGTGGCTTAGAACCCCACAAATCTTAGAGAGTTTTGGATGAGATTTTAAATGATACAGCTTAGACATATATTGTGGTAAAGTATGTTTACATGAATATCCTCCTAGACCTGGCGAAACAGAACCTGGGGATCAAGAAAAGGCCTTGTCCGATGACTACCTGATATGTAGTTGCTGGATGACAATAGTGGGAGGAATGATGTCCCACAGAATCTTTGTATACTGTCGGTGAGAATGCAAACTAATACAATCAGTGTGGAAAACAGCATGGAGATTCCTCAAAAAATTAAAAATAGAAATATCGAATGACCCAGCAATCTCACTACTGGGTAAATCCAAAGGACATAAAATCTAGGTATCTGCACTCCTGTTTATTGCAGCATTAGTCGCAATAGCCAAGATATAAGATCAATCTAAGTGTCCATCAAAGGATAAATGGATAAAGAAAATATGGTACCTATACACAATGAAATACTATTCAACCTTTAATAAAAAAGGAAATGCTGTCATTTTTGACGACATAGATGAACCTAGAGGACATCATGCTAAGTTAAAGAAACCAGGCACAGAAAGACAAATACTGCATGATCTCACTTACTTGTAGACTTTAAGAAAGTATAAATCAGAAACAGTGAATAGAATGGTGGTTAACAGAGGCTGGGAATAGGAAGATTGGGAAAATGTTGGTCAAAAGATGAAATTTCAGTTAGATGGAAGGAATAAGTTCAAAAGATCTACTGTAGGTCACAGTGACCATTAGTTAATCACAGTATATTGTATACTTGAAAATTGTTAAGAGAGTAGATTTCACATGTTCTCACCACAAAAAAAAAAAAAGTGTGTGAGGTAATAAGTATGTTAGGGACTTGATTTAGCCATTCTATAATGTATACATACATCAAAACATCATGTTGTATATTACAAATATATACCATTTTATCTGTCAATTTAAAAACATTAAAAATAATGAAAAGAATCGTGTTCCACCAAAAGACATGTGAATGTGATCTTATTTGGAAATCAGATCTTTAAAAATGTAATTAAGATGAGGTCATACTAGATTAGGGTGGACTCATGTCTTTATGAAGAAAAAAAAAAAGAAAGGAAATAAAGCTCACCCCAAGGGTAGTTTGTAGCGTCCAAGTAATCTTTGTGGATTTATCTTTCTTTATCTTGACAACTCTCTCTGCTTTCACAGATACTAAGTTCTCTCAGAAGTCATTGGAAATGCAAATTCAATATTTTCCATAGTTGCATGCATTTCTCATAAAAACTCTGCTTCATAGGAAGACACTGATTCAGATCACATGCTCCCTTAGACGCACAGGGAGAATGTCATGTGAAAATGCAGAGTACACACACAGAATGAGAACACCATGGGATGACAGAGGTAGAGATTAGTGATGTGTCCACAAGCCAAGGAATGCCAAGGATTGCCAACAACCACCAGAAACTAGGAAGAGGCAAGAAAGGATCCTCCCCTAGAGCATTCAGTAGGGGTGTGGCCCTGCTGACACCTGGATTTCAGATTTCTGGCCTCAAGAACTGTGAGAAAATTAATTTCTGTTGTTTTAAGCTACATCATTTGTGGTACTTTGTTGCAGCAGTTCTAGGAAACTAATATAATGGCATAGTTCTGTAGCGTGTGTATAATATGAATACTTTGTAAGGGGAGTTGAGTCAGACCCTCCCACTTGGCATCTGTGCCTGAGATACCAGTGGTGTTGGAAATGAGCTAAGTTTGTTATTCCCAATTTGAAGATGAGGTCTTCTTTGCACCAAATGGGAAGAGGAGTTATAGAAAATCTAGATAGAGATGAATAAGGTGGCTTCTTCAGTAAATGCAGTGATTTGCCATTTAAGTATCTCACCCTCATTTCAAATTATTATCACAGCCGAGGTAAAAGGAAATAAGCTCACCCCAGGAGTAGTTTGTACCATTCAAGTAATCTTTCTGGATTTCTCTATCTTGGCAGGTCTTTCTGCTTTCATAGATGCTAAGTTCTCTCAGCAGTCATTGGCAATGCAAATTCAATATTTTCCACAGTTGCATGCATTTCTCATAAAAACTCTGCTTCGTAGGAAGACACTGACTCAGATGGACATTTTTTTTAGCTGCTAAATTTTCTCCAGCTTCTGTTTTCCTCCATTTGTTCATCTTTACACAATAAAGATTTTTGGTCCCATGGTGAATTGAGACAGGTTCCATCAGAGTTTGTCTGAGTGCATAGTAAATCATTTAGGTCCGGTAGAGGGGAGAAAAGATGACTTTTGTTTAGTGTGGTTTCTAAACCTTGGCCAGTGCAGTGGGTTGATAGCTGATAAGCACTCTGCAGGGAGCAACAGACAGAGGAAACTGAGGCAGGGAATTGCCTCTCTGTTGACAATTTCCTCTTCACATCTGTTGTGGGAGCACCCACATTAGCAGGGACAGTCCTCCATTTCTATCTAATGGGTGGCATGCCCTCACAGTGGTGTTCGGCTTCCTCCCACTTGCTGTCATCACCAGTAAACTATGAGAAAGTCCTCTAGCAGGATCGCTGTCTCATGTGTTGTTACTCATTTGCTCAACTGAATGTTTAGCAGAGTGCATTGTGGCAAGCATATATCACAGGCATTCCCAGAGGCTGAAAGTGTCATTGATGTTGTATGTGCTAGAAAAAGTTAAATAACACAGACATCTCCAACAGTACAACTAAAGTATCCAGGTGGCAAGGGGATGCCAGAAGACAACAAGAGAGAAGCCACACCACTGGAAATGGAAGTGTTTTATAGGTTTGGTGTTGAATCCTGCCAATAGTGAAAAATTTTATCTTCCCTACCCCATTCAACCACTATCTGCTGTGAAAATTAAAAGGATTCAAGATGAGGACCAATAAAAAAGGAAAAAAATTATCACAGCAAGAGATTGTGTGATAAAAATCACTTCATTGTATTAATCCATCCCTGCACCATAAAACTGGATATCTGGTGAAAGTACTTGGGGAAAATAGTCGATGAAAATACTAAACTGTATCATTAAAACAGGGATGCAATTGTCACAGCCTTAATTTTTACCTATTAAATGAAGAGAAAATGTTTCTTGAAAGGTTTTAGCAAAGTTTACAAGAGTATTAAGTACAAAGAAATAAGAACATAAATAAAGCAATAAATAATCATTTATTCAAGATATATATCTACATCCTTTTGTCAGGAACTGGTATATGGATGAATAAGCCCAGACCCTACTCTCCCAAGGCTTACAGTCTAGTGAGGTAAAATAGACATGAAACAAGCATTTCTACAAATGCATAGTTATGTAAACTAAGTTATATAATATAAAAGAAATAATAATGAAGTCTAAAACAGCAAGTATTTACATGTGCCAAGCACTGTTTTACGATCTTCATCTGTGTGTGTGTAGTCATTTAGACTCTTGTTTGATAGAGTAGAAATTCCTAATCATCACGGGAAGTAGGTATTTTTATTTCTATTTTATAAATAGGGAAACTGAAATACAGAAAGTTTAAATAACTTGCCCAGAATCACAAAGCTAATGAATAGTAGATCCAGAATTTAAATCCATCCTTCCCCCAGAGTTCATGAGATTAACCAGGGGCTTATCAGAGAGTACAACATGGAGATCTAATTCAGAGGGGCTAAGAGGGTGCTGGGAGGGCTCACTGAGGTAGTGGCCTTTTGAAGCTGAGAACCAAAGGATGGCAGGACGCTGCTAAGTGCTGCAGGGAGGCAAGAGTGTTCCACGCAGAGGAAGAGAATGGGCCAAGGCTGTAGAGCAGGCAGGAGTGTCTGGTGTAAAGGAACATAAGGGGAAATCTGTGTGTCCAGAGCATGGTGAGATCATGAGACCACAGAAAGCCAAGAATGATGTAGGCTGGAGTTGGATTACGCAGAACCTTCTGCAAAGCAAGAATCCTGTACATTACCCTAAGTGCAATGGGAAGACTTAAATAGTGAGAAGGAGAATTAGATGTTCCCCTTTCTGTTTGAAGTTGCTTATTCTGGCTGTTGTGCAATCATTAGCTCAAAGAGGACAAGGCTAGACTATTCTGTTGGAAAACATTGAAATTGGTGTGACTATGAAAGTGCTATTAAAACCTCCATGACTTCCATAACTATAGAAGGAGGAATTTCTACCCTACCGAACAAGTATATTTTAGTAAAGCAAACCATAAGCATTGAAATAAGTAAGTAGCAGAGAAAAACACTAGTCCCAGTTTCTTATTTCAGCTAATGCTTATCCAGACTGAATTATATCTTTATTTGAATTTTGAAAAGGAAGCCATATTTTCTCATTGCAATTACACTGAAATAATTTAAACATAAACCACAAAATAAAAATTGACATCCAACTTCCATAATGAAATTGTAAAAATAGAATTTATGTCTAATAGAAAAAATGCAAATTATTATAACTGACATATTTATTGATTTGAAACAGGGAATGATGAATAACTATGGAAGGAATTGAAAAAGTTGTCCAAAAATGTGTCAGTAGAAGACAGTTTAGAAAGCAGTTGTGAAGGAAAAATTTCCCTCCGACCTTGAAAAACAGATAGTTCCAGTATTAAACTGCATAAAACAATACTGAAAGGCCCCAACTCATGTTTTAGAGTAACCCTAAATATGATAGGAAGTCAAGATGAATACCACACACACACACACACACACACACACACACACACACACACGACCTGACTCAGTTAATAAAGGTTTGAAAATCTACAGTAGATTATGAGAACATAACCAAAAGAGAATAGCCAAAAATACTCTTCAGTTTAACAATTGGAAATCTATAAATATATCAGATTTATAAATAAATGGTTAAGGGGAAACAAATACATAACTACATAGTTCCCAAAAAGTCAATAAACGTTAACATCCTGTAAAAAAGAAAATAAAAGCTTCTGTACACTGTCAATAGAAACATACTTATTGAGATGATAAAGGATATCTACATTAAGTCAATATCCAGCATTTTACTTACTAGTACAGCACACACATGCACACACACACACACACACACACACACACACACAAATAATAAATAAATAAAAGAAAACAAAACAAAAGAGAAGGGGGAATAATTACAAGGATTATTACCTTCAGCTTCCAAAATGTATTATAATAAAAACCTGACCTAAATTAAATAGTGTGATACTGCCAGAGGAAGAATAACCAGATCCACGGAACAGGATGGAAAATTCAAAGATGAACAGACATTTATATTAAGTGATAAAAATGATATTTTTCAATCAGTATGGGAAAGGTGAATAATTAACCAACCATTGATGTTCATTGCCTCAATCCACAAATCACAAAATAATAAAATCTGGATTAAATATTTTAATGTAAAAAATAAAGTAAACTATGTAGTATAAAATAGGTAAATATTTGGCTGTGCGTGGTCATTCATGCCTGTAATCCCAGTACTTTGGGAGGCCGAGGTGGGGGGATCACGAGGTTAGGAGATCGAGACCATCCTGGCCAACATGGTGAAACCCCATCTCTACTAAAAATACAAAAATTAGCTGAACATGGTGGCATGTGCCTGTAATCCCAGCTACTTGGGAGGCTGAAGCAGGAGAACAGCTTGAACCAGGGAGTCGAAGGTTGCAGTGAACCAAGATCATGCCCCTGCACTCCATCTTGGCAACAGAGCGAGACTGCATCTCAAAAAAAAAGGTAAATATTTTAGAGTGAAAGTTATTAATTTAGAAAGGTATAGAGAAGGATATTGCCTAGGTTTTCCCAGGCATTACCATTCAGGACATAGGCATGGGCAAACACTTCATGACTAAAACACCAAAAGCAATGGCAACAAAAGCCAAAATTGACAAATGAGACCTAATTAAACTAAAGAGCTTCTGCACAGCAAAGGATACTATCATCAGAGTGAACAGGCACCCTACAGAATAGAAGAAATTTTTTGCAATCTATCCATCTGACAAAGGGCTAATATCCAGAATCTACAAGGAACTTAAGCAAATTTACAAGAAAAAAAACAACCCCATCAAAAAGTGGGCAAAGGATACGAACAGACACTTCTCAAAAGGAGACATTTATGTGGCCAACAAACATATGAAAAAAAGCCATCATCACTGGTCACTAGAGAAATGCAAATCAAAACCACAATGAGATACCATCTCACACCAGTTAGAATGGCGATCATTAAAAACTCAGGAAACAACAGATGCTGGAGAGGATGTGGAGAAATAGGAACGCTTTTACACTGTTGCTGGGAGTGTAAATTAGTTCAACCATTGTGGAAGACAGTGTGGTGATTCCTCAAGGATCTAGAACCAGAAATACCATTTGACCCAGCAATCCCATTACTGGGTATATACCCAAAGGATTATAAATTATTCTACTATAAAGATGCATGCACATGTATTTTGATTGCAGCGCTATTCACAATAGCAAAGACTTGGAACCAACACAAATGCCCATCAATGATAGACTGATAAAGAAAATGTGGCACACATACACCATTGAATATTATGCAGCCATGAAAAGGGATGAGTTCGTGTCCTTTGCAGGGACATGGATGAAGCTGGAAACCATCATTCTCAGCTAACTAACACAAGAACAGAAAACCAAACATCACATGTTCTCACTTATAAGTGGGAGTTGAACAATGAGAACACATGGACACAGGGAGGCGAACATCACACGACAGGGCCTGTCAGGTAGTGGGGGCTAGGGGAGGGATAGCATTAGGAGAAATACCTAATATAGATTACGAGTTGTTGGGTGCAGCAAACCACCATGGCATGTGTATACCTATGTAACAAAACTGCATGTTCTGCACATGTACCTCAAAACTTAAAGTATAATAATTAAAAAAAAAAAATGAAAGGCATGGAGAAAAAAATTGGTCAATTTGACCACATCAAAAACTTATACTAATAAAATCCTTTAAAAAATTAAAGGCAAACTATAGCCTAGAGGATTATTTGCAACATATATGATGAATTAAATTCAGTACTATATAAATTTACTTGAAAATTTTTAAAAATTGAAATAAAACATCAAAAATGGCCAAAGATCTGGAATAGAAAATGTTTTCTAAAAAAATTATAATCAATAAATTTATATAATATTCAGTTTTATTGATGAGGAATGTCATATGAATTAAACTACAATAGAATAATAAATATTAGAATAAAAACAGAGCAATTAAGTTTCTTGGTGATGGTGGAAGGGAAGTGCAAGAAAATACACTCAAACACTTTTTGCATAACACAAAGTAGAATTACCTTTCTGGAAAGTTTTATAATATGCACTAAAGACATCAAAATTTTAAAACTGTTTAATTTTTTAATTTCTAAAATTTATTCTAAAAAGACAATCATGGATATGCAGAAAGATATAGGCATAAGAATGTTCATCTTAAATAGTAAACTACCAAGCTATTTAAAATATTGAAAAAGAATATTTAAGGAACTTCAAGATGGCTGACTAGCATTTCATGCTTGCCTCCTCCATTGAGAAGAACCAAAATGGTATACAGACAATCACACTTCAAATACATCATCCAAGAGAACACTGGTATGCAACAGAAAAGTGACAGAAAACACCAAATGCAAGAAAGGAGAAGGAAGAGAAGTAGCCTACTTAGCCAGGATTGGCTGGGAGCCGAGAATGACTTCCCAACACAGGGAAAGGGTAAGCATGAGACTTCCAGCAGCCCACATTGCCATCCAATCCTGGCCACGAGAGGGCCCCTCGACCATCCCAAGTCCTGAAATGAACACAGGAGCTGCTGGAAGACTGTGAGACAGAACTACTCCAGCGGGGAGCTCATGCAGGGTCCCACACCCTCTCTGAGACCTAAGTGGCTACAGCAAGGTTCTATTTTTAAACCTAGCCTTTAACAGACACTATACAGTCTTGGGCCCCAGTCAGGACTGAAGGATAAGGGAACCTCGGGTTGTCACTGCTGAGACTGGGTCACAAGCTAGGAATAGGCTACCGCAGCCATGCCTGAGAAGCAAGTAAAGTGTGCACTTTATCTGCCAGGGCTGGGAAGCAAGCACTGCCAGCCCTGAGACTGGGAAATGAGCAGAGCATATCTTGACTCTGGGAATTATTTGTGAGCTGGACAAGGACTCTTGTAGCTGGGGCTAAGGCACGAGATAGGTGCAGGTTACCACTACCAGGGCTGAAAAGTTATACCCACTGACACTGGGGTGTCAGAGGACACATGTTCCCCACCCACTTGCCCAGGCTGTGGCCACTGAGGCTGGCTCCACCCTGTCAGTGGCAGGGCATCAGCACTGCTGCTACTGCCCTTTACCTAACCATTCTGCCTTGGGCCTGAGGATCACTCCACCCACACCCACCACAGGTAGTGTCTGCTCTCACCATGAGGGTCCCTGAGCACAAGACCACCTAGGCCAGCTTTGCCCTTCCCACAAAAAGAGAACACATAGACCAGGGCCCTGGGGATTGCCCAATCCAGTCCACTATAATAAGCACCTGAGAACTCATGCTGGGGGCCTGAGGTTGGGCCTAAATTCCTGACTACTACCAACTCAGCTGGCACCTATTTGTTGGCACCACCTGCAGGCATGCAGAATGGCATTCCCAGACCATTGCAGCCACCCACATGAATAAATTACACTATTTAGGTCCTAGAGAATTGTCCTTCCACTACTACTATCATTGCCCAAGCCACACCAGCTGCCAAGGAGCCTGAGAACCCATTCAGTTGTATAGTCTACTGCTGCTATCACTGGCATTCAAGCAAGCCTCCTGGAGGCCCAGGAAGTTACCTGATGGTAACTGCCAACCCCAGAGCCAAGGCATACTGCCCAGGGATCCAAGGATGGACATGTTTAGCTCACCACTACCACCACAGAGACCTGATGACTGCTCCACCTGGTATCCCAGTGCCCAGCATGACTTCAAGACAGCTACCACTAATAACTGCACGCTAACCCACTAAGGAAATCACAAATACCACTAATGTCATTAACAGCCAAAGAATTCATATAGAGACAACACTATTGTGTGCACTCAAAATCAAAGCCAAAGTGCCCTACCCAACTAACAGCACAGATATATTTTCAGGAAAAAGTCCTTTCCTATGAAAGTAAGTTAAAAATAAGAAGTAAAAAGGAAGAAGTAACTGTTATACCAGATGTACAAATATCAACTCAAAGACACAGGAAACATAAAAAAGCAAGTAAATATGACACCTCCAAAGGAACATAATAGTACTAACGATAGATTTTAATTGAAAACAAATTCTTGAAATACCAGATAAAGAATTCAAAATATTTTTTTTATTTTACTTTAATTTCAGGGATCCATGTGTTGAATGTGCAGGTTTACTACATAGGTATAAATGTGCCATGGTGGTTTGCTGCACCTATCAACCCATCATCTGGGTTTTAAGCCCCAAATGCATTAGGTATTTGGCCTAATGCTCTCTAAAAATTGATTTTAAAGAAGTTAATTGAAATACAAGAGAATTCTGAAAAACAATACAAAGAAATCTGAAAACTTCAGATTCAGAATGTTTCATTCAGGACTTAAATAAAACATTTACCAGTGATTGATTTTTTTAAAGGACCACACAAAAATTCTAGAAAGGAAAAATTCATTAAAAGAAATACAAAATACATTTGAAACTCTCAACAATAGGCTAGATCAAGCAGAAGAATAAATCTCAAAACTTGAAGATGTGTCTGTTGAAATAATGCAATCAGGTAAAAGTAAAGGAAAAGAATAAAAGAGAATTAGCAAAGCCTTCATGATCTTTGGGACAATGTGTAGTGACTGAATATTTGAGTTATTGGTATCTCCAAGTGTAAAGAGAGAACAAAAGAATTAGAAAACCTCTTTAACAAAATAATAGATGAAAGTTCCCCAAATCTAGCAAGAGATTTAAACATCCAGATACAGGAGGTCAGTGATCTCCAAGCAGATATGATGCAAAAGGATCTTACTCACTGCACATAATAGTTGGACTGTCTAAAATCAAAGATAAGGATTGAATCATACAAATCACAAGACAAAAGTGTCTAGTCACCTATAAGAAAAATCCCATCAGACTAAGACAGAAGTTTTCTTAGCAGAAAACTTACAGGCTAGAAACTAAACAGGAGTTTTCTCAGCAGAAACCTTACAGACTAGAACAAAGTGGGTTTATATAGTCAAAGTGTTGAAAGACAATAAAAACTGCCCAGTAAGAATAGTATATCCAGTAAAATTATCCTTCATAAATGAAAGAGAAATAAAGTCTTTCTCAGACAAGAAAATGCTAAGTAAATTAGTTACTACTAGACTGGCCTTACAAGAAATGCTCAAAGGAGTCCTAAGCCTGGAAGTAAAAGAATAACACTTACCATCATGAAAACATGAAAGTATAAAACTTCCAGCTGGCATGACATGCAATTTACCTATATAATAAACCTGTAATTGTAACCCTGAACTTAAAAGTTTTTAAAAAGTCAATTAAATTAAAAGTAATGTTTAAAAAATAAAAAAAACTTATTAGTAAGGCAATCATGCAAATAAGGATGAGAAAGGGCTTAAATGGTACCACTAAAGAAATCCACCAAACCAATGACAATAAAAGAAAGAGAAAGAACAAAAAATATATCAAACAACCACTAATTAATTAATAATATGACAGGGATAAAGCCTCATTTATCAATAATAACTTTAATGTAATAAGATTACATTTTCCACTTAAAAGATATACAATAGCTAAATGGATGATAAAAAATAATGCAACTGTTTGCTGCTTACAAGAAACTAACCTTACTAGTGAAAGTGAAGGGATGGAAATGGATACTCCATGCAAGCAAAAACAAAATCAAGCAGGTATAGCTATAGTTGTATCAAATAAAACAGACTTTACTTTAAGTTAAAAACAGTTTAAAAAAAAGACTAAGAAGGTTATTATATAATGATAAATGGAACAATCCAACAAGATAATATAACAATTTTAAATATACATGTACCCAACACTGTAGCACCCATATTCATAAAGTCAATATTAATAGATATAGAGAGATAGACTTTAACATCCCACTTCAAGCATTAGACAAATTATCTAGCCAGGAAGTCAACAAAGAAGCATTGGATTTAAACAGTACATTTAACCAAATAGACCTAACAGTCATTTATAAAACATCCTATTCAACAATAGCAGAATATATATTCTTTTCAACATCACATGGAATATTCTCCATGATAGAACATATATTAGTACACAAAACTAGTCTCAACATATATTTTAACATTAAAATTATATCAAGTATCTTCTCAGACCACAATGGAACAACACTAATAATCAATACCAAGAAGGACTTTAAAAACTACATGAATACATAGAAATTAAACAACCTGCTCCTGAATTACAAGTGGACCAACAAAAGAATTAAGATGGAAATCAAAAAAATTATTGAAACAAGTGAAAATGGAAATACCACATACCAAAACTTATGGTATATAGCAAAGGCAGTGTTAAGATGGAAGTTTGTAACAATAAACAACTCAACAGGAAAATAAATAATGTCATTAAAAATGTAGGCAAATAACAGACATTTCTCAGAAGAAGATATACAAATGGCCAATAACTATATGAAAATATGCTGAACATCACTAATCATCAGAGAAATTAAAATTGAATCCAAAATAATAATCTTACCCCAGTCACAATGGCTATTACTAAAAAGACAAAATATAACAGATGTTGGTGAGAATGCAGAGAGAAAAGTAACTCTTATATACTTGATATGGTTTGGCTGTGTCACCACCCAAATCTCATCTTGAATTCTCACATATTGTGGGAGGGACCTGGTGGGAGGTAATTGAATCATGGGGGCAAGTCTTTCCCATGCTGTTCTCATGATAGTGAATAAGTCTCATGATATCTGAGGGTTTTAAAAAGAGTTCCCCTGCACAAGCTCTCTCTTTGCCTGTTGCCATTAATGTAAGACGTGACTTGCCTTCCACCATGATTGTGAGGTTTCCCCACCCATGTGAAACTGTAAGTCCAAATAAAACTATTTCTTTTGTAAATTTCCAAGTCTCGGGTATGTCTTCATCAGCAGCATGGAAACAAACCAACACAGTAAATTGGTACCAGTAAAGTGGGGCACTGCTGAAAAGACACCTGAAAATGTGGAAACAACTTTGGAACTGGGTAACAGGCAGAGGTTGGAACAATTTGGAGGGCTCAGAATAAGACAGAAAAATGTAGAAAAGTTTGGACTCCCTAGAGACTTGTTGAATGGCTTTGACCAAAGTGCTGATAATGATATGGACAATGAAATCCAGGCTGAGGTGGTCTCAGATGGAGATAAGGAACTTGTTGGGAACTGGAGCAAAGGTGACTTCTTGCATGTTTTAGCAAAGAGACTGGCGGCATTTTGCCTGTACCCAAGAGATTTGTGGAACTTTCACTTGAGATGATTTAGGGTGTCTGGTGGAAGAAATTTCCCAGCAGAAAAGCATTCAAGATACGACTTAGGTACTGTGAAAAGCATTCAGTTTTATAAGGGAATAAGAGAATAAAAGTTCAGAAAATTTACAGCCTGACAATGTGATAGAAAAGAAAATCCCATTTTCTGAGGAGAAATTCAAACTGGATGCAGAAATTTGCATAAGTAATGAGAAGCCAAATGTTAATCCCTTAAGACAATGAGGAAAATGTCTTTAGCGCATGTCAGAGGTCTTCACAACAGCTCCTCCCATCACAGGCCCAAAGACCTAGAAGGAAAAATTTGTTTCATGGGCCAGACTCAATGTTCCTGTGCTGTGTGTAGCCTAGGGACTTGGTGCCCTGTGTTGTAGCCACTGCAGCCATGGCTGAAAGGGGCCAACAGAGAGCTCAGGCAGTGGTTTCATGGGTTGCAAGCCCCAAGCCTTGGCAGCTTCCACATGGTATTGAATCTGCCAGTGCACAGAAGTCAAGAATTGAGGTTTGGGAACCTCTGCCTAGATTTCAGAAGATGTACAGAAATGCTTGGATGTCCAGGCAGAAGTTTGCCTCAAGGGTAGGGCCCTCATAGAGAACCTCTGCTAGGGCAGTGCAGAAGAGAATTGTGGAGAGTCCCCACTGGGGCACTGCCTAATGGAGCTATGAGAAGAGGATCACAATCTTCCAGACTCCAGAATGACAGATCCACTGACAGCTTGCACTGCACACCTGGAAAAGCTACAGACACTCAATGCCAGCCCATGAAAGCAGTTGAGAGGGAGGTTACACCATGCAAAGCCAGAGGGGTAGAGCTGTCTAAGACCATGGGAAACTACCTCTTGCATCAGCATCACCTGGATATGAGACATGGAGTTTAAGGAGATCATTTTGGAGTTTTAAGATTTCACTGCCCCCCTGGATTTTGGACTTGCATGGGGCCTGTAGCCCATTTGTTTTGGCCAATTCCTCCTATTTGGAATGGCTGGATTCACCCTATGTTTGTACCCCACTAACTAACCTGCTTTTCTTTTTACAAGCTCATAGAGATTTGCCTTGTCTCTGAGGAGACTTTGGACTATGGACTTTTGAGTTAATGCTGAAATGAATTAAGACTCTGGGGGATTGTTGGTAAGGCATGATTGGTTTTGAAATGTCAGGATGTGAGATTTGGGAGAAGCCAGGGGTGGAATGATATGGTTTGGCTGTGCTCCCACCCAAATCTTATCTTGAATTACCACGCGTTTTGGGAGGGACTCAGCGGGAGGTAATTTAATCATGCAGGCAAGTCTTTATTGTGCTGTTCTCATGATATTAAATAAGTTTCACAAGATCTGGTGACTTTAAAAATGAAAGTTCTCCTGCACAAGCTCTCTCTCTTTGCCTGCTGCCATCCATGTAAGATGTGACTTGCTCCTCCTTGCCTTCCACCATGATTGTGAAGCTTCCCCAGCCACATGGAACTGTAAGTCCAATTAAACCTCTTTCGTTTGTAAATTTCCCAGTCTCAGGTATGTCTTTATCAGCAGCGTGAAAGAAGACTAATACTGTTGGCAAAGTCAATATATCAAAGGGATACCTGCACTCACATGTTTATCACAGCACTATCCACAATAGCAAAGATATGGCATCAACCTAAGTGTCTACAAACAAATGAATAGATTTTTTTAAATGTGGTATATATACACAATGGTATATTATTGATCCATAAAAAATGTGTCATTTTCAGTAAAATGCATGGAACTGGAAGTCACTCTCCTAAGTGAATAAGCCAGGCACAAAAAGACAAATATTACATGTTCCGACACATATGTGAGAGAGAAAAAATTTCATCACATGCAGAAAGTGGAAAAGTGAATAAGATACTAGAAAGGGTGAGTGGGGGAAGGATAAAAAGAATTAGGTTAAAGGGTAAAAACATACAGTTAGAATAAATATATTCAATATTTGATAGCAGAGTAGGGTGACTATAGTAAACAAAAAGTTATTGTACTTGGGTGATGGATGCCTTAAATACCCTGACTTGATTACTATGCTGTAAGTATATCCACATAATGAAATTTCACACATCCTCCATAAAATTTATATAAATTTTAAAATGTAAAATAAAAGCAGTTTAATTTAAGAAAAAAAGGGAAAAATGACATGGAAAATGACATTCATTACGGTTTTTAAAAACCTCACAAAACATACACAAAACTCATTTTGTTTGGTTTTTATTGTTTTTATAACATTATAAAAGGTTATGCTCAAAACAATATAAAGTTATACATTAATATAGAGGAAAAGCTAAGAGTATACGTAAAAATAATATGAGTAGTAGTTATGTTTGGGTGATGTCTTCTCTCCCTGTTGCTCATTCAATTTCTAAGTTTCTTTCAATGAGCATATATTACTTTTATAATAAAAATGTATAAACTTTAACAGCACATAGTATATTCAAATATATTTTACTTACAAACAAAGAAAGGTTAGTTATTGAACTAACACTTTAAACATTTCGGTAAATGTCGGTTTATATTACAGCTTTAACTGAGAGTTAAATTATTACAGTTAAAGAATTAATGTCCCTTGTTTATTTCCTCTCTCTTTCACCCCACCTCCCCATCATGTGTGCTTACAGGCTGCTATGGTCTGAACATTTTTGTTCCCCCAGAATTTATATGTTGAAATCCTAAACTCCAAGGGCATGGCATTAAAAAATGTTTGGGCACTGGGAAGTAATTATGTCGTGAAGGTGGGACTCTTATGAATGGGATTAGTGCCTTTATAAAAGAGGCTCCAGAGACATCCCTTGCCCCTTCCACCTCGTGATATTACAGAGAAAAGGCCGTTGTCTATGAAATTTCTGTTGTTTATAAGCCACCCAGTCTATGGTATTTTGTTATAGCAGCCCAAAAGGACCAAGATAGAGGTGGTCGCTGATAATCCCAGTCATTTTCACTATATAAACTTATTTAATAAATTCTGCATGTGTTAACTATCTTACTGTTTAATTCACTGCCTGTCAAAGGCTGAAATTCCAAACAGGATGCTTTTAGATTTTTTAACATAGTTCAGCATTCTTTATATCTTTTCCTTATCTACTTTCTAGGCTGCTCAACTGAATATTCTTTGTCCAGAAATAGAATTCATTTAAGTAAGGCTTGCACAGAATAAAGTAAAACTAATTGTGTCTGCTCTGGTCTTCTCTAGATTTTTTTCTGATACCATAAGAAGTAACTTTTGATTACACATATTTTACTAACTGGATTATAGCGGTAAATGCTTATGGCTGCTCTGCTTTTTCCATTCCCATGACAAAACACAATTCCAAAACCGCATATTCTCCTCTGACTCTGAGGGCCCTCCAGCAGTGGTTAACAAAGCTGAGTTTATCCTTTATGTTGAGATGAATAATGCATGGCAGTAAAACACCAGTCTCCCTGCACTACCATTGAAGGCAGACGACTGACAAGGTTTGACTGATGGGAGCCCTGTGAACCTAGGACATGCGAAGAGATCCCTTGTCAGGGCTCCTAACACCAGGTTCTCACTGCTTCTAAAACACAGGTCTGAAGTGTTTTTGCTGTTATGTTATTTTACCATGTCCTCATGCTGAAATGCAGCCTCCATGACTCCTTTACTGTGGAGAGCACAAAAGTTGATTTACTCACTCTTATCTATTTTTTTTTTAGTATTAGAGATGTTTGAATAAGTAGGATAATCCCAAGTAACTAAATAGCATCATCCTACCCATAATAATAGATAATTTCTGGTAGTTGTTTAACTTCTTAATATCCAGCTGATTTTATACTTTCTACTTACCATTTTCTCTAACTGAAAGTCACATTCTATTTTCATCTAATAAAACAATACATGTCCACCTAGTATTCTTCTTCTCCAAATGATACATTCAAAAATATGCAGATCTTACAGCAAAATCTTTATTCTAACCATACTCCAGTCAGGCTCAGATTCTTTGATGACTTTCTGAATTCTGTCAGATAGTCTCTTCAATCGTCTTATTTTCATTCCTTTCCATTTTTGCAGGATATGCACTCCAAGAGCATATTTTTGCCACCACATTCTCAACATAAACCTCAACACAAAAGACATAGTTTAATGAAAATAATACTAGAAAATATTGGTTGAATAATTTCCATGTGTTATACACATTGTTAAATTTTAAAAAAATTTCACATGATAGACTCTAGTATTATCCACGTTTTACTAATAAGAAAACTGAGTCTTAGCCTGTCTCGTTTTCTCTCTTTCACTCTCTCAATTGCTTGTACTGATGGACATCAGCTACTATGTTGTGAGCTGTTATATCACAGTGGCCCATGTAGCAAGGAACTAAGGGTTCCAGCCAACAGCTAGTAAGAAATCAACACCCTCAGTTCAACAGCATATAAAGAACTAAATCCTACCAACAACCACATAAATAAATTTGGAAGGGAATTCTCCACTTGTTGAACATTCAGATGAGACTACAGCTCCTGCTCACAGCTTCACTATAACTTTTTGACCTAAGCCACACCAGACTCCTGATCCACAGAAACTGTGAAATAATAAATATTGTCTTAAATCACAAGATTTTGGGGTTGTTACATATAAATTAATAACTAATATACCAAATGTTATAGAAATATAAAAAAATGAAAATCTTTTTACACAGTCATTAGAAATATAATTTGTACAGTCATTCTGGAGGATAATATAGCAATACTTAGTAAAGGTATGAATACCTACATGATATGATCCAGCAGTTCCACTCCTGGGTATATGCTCTGAGAAACTGTTACAGACATCCAAAAAAGGCTGTATGTAAAAATGCTACAGCATGCTGCTTAGACAAGAAGTTGGGAGCAGTCTAGAAGCCCATCATTCAGGGAACAGATAAGTCAAATGTGATGGATGCATACTATATAGTACTATGTGGTACTCTGTAGTGGTTTTAAGCAATAATCCAGCAAGGTACAAGGTACATACATCTTTAAAACAGAATGTTGGCCGGGTGTGGTGGCTCACGCCTGTAATCGCAGCACCTTGGGAGGCCGAGGCGGGCAGATCATGAGGTCAAGACATCCAGACCATCCTGGCCATCATGGTGAAACCCCGTCTCTACTAAAAATACAAAAATTAGCTGGGTATGGTGGTGTGCACTTGTAGTCCCAGCTACTCAGGAGGCTGAGGCAGGAGAATCATTTGAACTTAGGAGGCAGAGGTTGCAGTGAGCTGAGATTGCGCCACTGCACTCCAACCTGGTGACAGAGCGAGACTGTCTCAAAAATAAAATAAAATAAAAATAAACAGAATGTTGATGAAAATAGTAAAAAATAGCACTAGCACAAAATTATACTACTACTTAGGGAAAATAAAAATATATGCTAAATAATACAACATATTTCTCAAGAATGTATATATGTCCTAGTACATGCATCAAATACATTAGACTAGGTGCCTATACACAGGAACAAGAGTGTGAATAAATAAGATACACTGAAAAGACAAATTGTAATAGTGTACTATCAAATATGAGATGTGACTAATTCAGCTCTGTTCTTAAAATATCACAAACAAGCAAAGAAAGTGTGTGTTACCTCCGTTTGTTTAGTTTTCATTTAAAATTCAGTTATGGAGTCCCTTCCAGTAGTATACCACATTATTACCCCCCTTCCAGTAAACTGCTGCAGAAATGGGGTTCATTTGAGGCACAGAGGTACCTTTACTTTAGAGGAACAGCTTCACCAATAGCTTCCTTTAATCTGAAGTTTCATTTGAAGAAAATGAAAAGTTTTCCTAATGTCAGATTGCCAAAAGTACTAGATCTAAATCAAGGGAGTTTTGCATGACTACTGAGGAAATTTGGACAAAAGATACAGATGGGAATAAATTGTGGTAAATTAGTGAAAAATGGTAGGATTGTTCACTTTCCAACACGCAGAAGTTTGGAAAATGACAGATTTATCAAGTGATACAACATATACTTAATTGCTCTGCCCAATTCAGTAAGTATTTATTAAATAACCCAATGTTTACAGTTTTTACCTCAGACACTTAAGGAAATATAATTGAGGTATGTAATAAATATGATACCTTCCCAAAAGTAACTTATTTTAATTTTTATGTTGAAAACCTAAGAGATATTGACCTAAATACAGCAACAGTAGAAGAAACAGAATTAAATAGGTAACAAATTACAAAACATTACCAAATGTGAAGACAAATTATTATCCCCATGCAAAAACACCCCTCTGAGTATTAAAAAGAATTTATAAATAATGAGATCGGTAATCCTATTTCACGGTTTGGCAATACTTTTCAGATGTGATAAGTAAACTGAGAAGAGCAAGAGACATACAAAATCTCCATATGACCAACTTACACCAGGAAATTCTAACTTAATTCCCAGGTTTAGCCGTTAGACAGAATTTCTTTTATCAACTGTACTTTCTCTAGAGCTTAATTTGTCAAAAGATAAGAAGTTCTTTGGCCAATAGATGGTTTTGAATAGAGCAGAAGGAAATAATTCTGCGCAATCGCATCAGAAAAGACTGTCATTGTGTTGGGTAATAATATCCTGTTGGGAGATACATTCTTTTCAGAAAAAAGGTTTTAAAGACTCATCATGTATGTGTTTCTAATTATTTGCTTCTCCATTCACTCTCTTAGAAGAGTGAGTTATTTCTGACAAATAGCAATTATCAAGTATTCTATCAGTCCTGGGAATCTTTTCTTTAAAAAATAATTAAAAGAAAGAATGAGAAAAAAGAATGAGTAGTATGACTTGAAAACGTTAGAATAATGATCAAAGAAATCTGGTTTTGAGGGAAATAATTTAGAAAAATATAAAATATTATTTTTATCCTATGCTATCATATAGAACATAGGCTAAATCTTAGAGAGATATTCTCTTTTGGTTAAAGGTAGATATGATATGACTTTTAGATTTAGGGTTTTTATTTTCTTTTCTCCCCTTTCCTCTTCCTATTGTATTGTTAAAATTGAAAATAAGAAAAACTTTCAAACTTGGGTTAATAATGCTGGTTGTTCCAACCTCGAAAGTGGTAGAACCACACGGGCTGGCTCAGGGTCTGGCAGCTGTGGCCATGACTACAAGGCAGATGAGACAAAGGAAATCTAACGAACATGATATATTTCTGAAACAGGCTCTGCAAAGGGAGTAGAAATAATATCTGGGGTTAATACCAGATAAAATTGGATTAGCTAAGTTCCCAAATGTCTGATTCTCTTAAATGTTAGTACATTGAGAAAATGAACTAAAGATTTATTTAATAAATCTGATCTAATCTGATGATTCGCTGCTCTAGCAGTATTATTTTATACTGCAGGGCACATTCCTTTCCTAAAAGAACACACATAGATTATATTCATTGTGAGCAGAACAGTCTCATGTAGTTAAATGGGGCATTAAAGACTGCTTGTCTCTGTCTGTACTAGGGAGTATCATTCTTTGACCATCATCCATGGTAATGATAGACTTATTTGTACTGAACCATATTTTTCACAGCTACATCACTGTTAAGAAAAAAAATCAAGATTACATTCATCTACAAAATATTATTTCTGTAAATTTACATTTTCCTGGAGCAAATTTATATGTTATTGAATCTTTAGTAAAACAATTGTGATCAATTGAAAAACAATACCAGCCACTGTTTCCATTTTGTGTATACATGTTTATGTGGGTGTGTATATGTGTGTGTGTGTGTGTGTGTGTGTGTGTGTGTGTGTGTATGGTTTATTCACATCCATCTGGGACAATACTTTTTGATGAAGCCAACTATCTAAATTGAGTGCCTATATTTTCCCTGAAAGGAATGTTTATTGCTGCTGTCGGTTCTTTTATGTTGGAGAGAGCAAACTTGCAATTTACACGGACACTCTCTGAGGTTGAGAGCACAGAAACAATCTTGAATATCTACTTAATAATTTGCTCTTAAATAAATAGCTATGACTTTAGCTGTGATCTTTTTATTTCTACTGGGCTGCTAATTACTATGATAGATTATTAATTCTAAGCTGAATGTTTCAGGGTGTCATGGCCTACTGGGGCAAAGCAGGCCAATCTAACAGGGGCATCAAGGTCATTAAAGGTTGCATGTTGCCGACAAGAATGAACATGTAAATTAGTTCAGGGAATGACACTTACGAATAAGTGGGTCTGACAATTATATTGGGACTTATTTACATTTCCAGGCTATAAATGGGCTATGTTCCAGAAGTTCATAGGCAGTTTAGTTACCGGTTGAAAACCCAAAATGCATAGAAACAATGCAATGTAATGAAACTTAAAGTCGGACTCGCCTACAAAACCTTTTTTTCATAAATAGTAACCTGAGTATAGGTTTACATTTAAAATACATATAAAAGTAGTGTCATAATCCTCAAAATTAAGCAAAATAGTGAATACAAATGAACAGTGACTGTGTACATATATATGTAGGTATATATGTATATGTATATGTATGTGTATATGTATGTGTGTGTATATATATGCATATATATGTGTGTGTATATAGCATATGTGTGTGTTTGTGTGTGTACATGTGTATACATATATATAAAAAATTATATATAATATATATTATGTATAATATATATTATATATATATGTATAATATATATTATATATATATATATATAAAATTCCAGAATGGAAAATCACTTTTTGGTTATTTGTAGGCTCTATCAATTTGGACACAAACTACTCTGATACTCTGCAGCAAGAGAGATCAAAGATAGCATTCAGAGATATGTCTGCCACATAGTAGCAACTGATGCTATTGAAGAAGCCCTGAAGTGATGGCCGCCAACAATTTCTCTATCTAGGACCCTGTTAGAGCTCTACTCCTCTCCCACTGAACCATGGGAGAGAATCTCTGGCATGAGGGCCAACCAAACCCTTCTACAAAAATCTAGAGAGAAGAAAGAATTCAGTGTGTGTGCGTGTGCGTGTGTGCAGGTGTGCAGGTGTGGGGGATAATCTATTACTGTGGTCTCTTTATTCTGGAAGTCAAGAAAATCATTTACGAGATACCAGTTGCACTCTAAAGGGAGTTCATATCCAAAAAAAAAAAAAAAAAGACTAAGCTCACGTCAAGGTATTTACCGTCCCTACTCATTCCTGTCCCATCATTTTTCCTCTCCAAGCCCCCACAGTAATATCCTAGGACACAGTAGAATTCGTGATTAGCTATTTCTCCATTTCACTCTCCCATATACCTCTGGAAGGAGAGTGGACCACAAGCAAGGTTTCTACTCCATCTGACACTTCAAATCTATTCTATAAAAGAATCCATATTCAAGCCTACAAATCAGTTTTACAATAAAATTAATCCCAGATTTGTCCGTGATTTTAAATGTCACAGATATTAAAGCTTTATACATAATCATAACTTTAGCATAACTTCATAGAAATTAAAGACGCCTTAAAAATTGAAGATCATACTTAAACATATCTTCTACATTATCTTTTTCCTTCCAACTTGTCCTTTACTAGCTACTAAGGCCCTTTTCCTCTTTGGGCTATGTCAGTAATAATAGTTGCCACAGTTGTTACTAAGTATCAGGTGAGAGAAAGGAATTTAAGCCACTAGCCAATGATCTATTAACTGACTTTACTGTAGGTGCAGCTTCAAGGTAAAGAAAACGGATGGACTAACCTACGTAGTTTCCATGTCAACTGAACTTATGGGTAATAAGACTATCAATATTTTCTAAGGAAAAGAAACCTACAGAATGCCCTTGGCAGGATATCCATGGCTAAAAGATTATTTACAATAAATAAACCCATTTGCTAATTACAAGTAAACGAGTCATGGCTCCCTGAAGAATGTCACACTTGCTATACAATGGCTGGGGTTTAAATCTATAATGTTTCATAATTTAAACAGTCTCTACTGTGTAAAACCTCCA
The DNA here is from genome assembly GCF_000001405.40 of Homo sapiens. Lineage (NCBI taxonomy): Eukaryota > Metazoa > Chordata > Mammalia > Primates > Hominidae > Homo > Homo sapiens. The sequence goes on along the minus strand of NC_000002.12, from coordinate 75,980,303 downwards.
CAAGATGTTACTTGAGACCTCGTCTATTATTCTGGTCAAAGAGGGTGTTTGATCTGAGAAAGGACTTGAGAAACCACCCTTGATGGCTTAGACTTCTCTTTGCTTCTTGGTGTCTATATACTTGAGGCTATTAGCAAAGTTTGACACAGGGATAGATCTCTGGTTCATGTGAGTATCATCTGATAATCTAATTTTGTGTGTTCCCTCATCAGGCTGTAAACTCAGCTCTGCAACAGTTAACGTCCTTAATTTATTTTACTCCCATCTCATTGGTTTGGAAAAAAAATCATCTCAGTCATTTCAGATCTCCTCTCTTCATTTATTTTTAAGGATTAGATATGTTTCTGAGATGTTCTAAAAATATTAAGGTGCTAGAGGAAAGAAGTAAAGGACAAGAAATTAGCATCACCTTGTGACATTCCCTAGTCTTCTCTGCATGGTACCTTCAAGCCTGAAGCTTTTTACAGCTTCCAAGGCATTCTTCAGTTCCATTCCTGATCCTATATATCTAGACTTATTGTGCAGGCATCTCACCATCATAATCTCACCATCTTCTTCTCTCAGAGTCATGTCCTCTTTGTACTCATAGCCTCCATGTCTTCTCAAATTCTAGGGCTATTTTTCCAGGCTTGGGGTAATACCTCTCTTTCACTGTATCCCTCTCTATCACTTCATGAAAAGAAACAGAATTAGTTTTCTATAGTCGTTACAATAAATTGCCACAAAGATAGTGGCTTAAAACACCCCAAATTTATTTATTTTATTATACTTTAAGTTCTGGGGTACACGTGCAGAACATGCAGGTTTGTTATATAGGTATACACGTGCCATGGTGGTTTGCTGCACCCACCAACCTGTTATCTACATTAGGTATTTCTCCTAATGCTATCCCTCCCCTAGCCCCCCACCCCCCAACAGGCCCTAGTGTGTGATGATCCCCTCCCTGTGTTCATGTGTTCTCATTGTTCAACTCCCACTTATGAGTGAGAACATGCAGTGTTTGGTTTTCTGTTCTTGCGTTAGTTTGCTGAGAATGATGGTTTTCAACTTCATCCATGTCCCTGCAAAGGACATGAACTCATCCTTTTTCATGGCTGCATAGTATTCCATGGTGGATATGTGCCACATTTTCTTTATCCAGTCTATCATTGATGAACAACACAAATTTATTATCTTGCAGTTCCGCAGGTAAGAAATTCAAAACAAGCCAAAATTAAGTTGCTGGGGAGACTCTTGTGGAGACTACAAGAGAGAATCTACCTGTTTGTTTTTATCAAGATCCTAAAGGCCATTCACGTTCTTTGGTTTTTTGGCCTCTTCTTCCACATTCAAAGGCAGAAATATCTCTCTCTAAACATAGTAGGAAAGTTTCTTCATTGTCAAGGGCCCTTGTGTTACATTAGGCCCACCCAGATAATCCAGGATTATCTCATCTCAAGGTCTTTAACCTGAATCATATCACAAGTCTCTTGCCACATCAAGTAACATGGAATAGGATATGGACATTTTTGCAGGAGCACCATTCTACCTACCAAAGGAAATTAGTAGGATATCCTTAATGGGCTTAAATTTTTATAAAGCAAATCCAGAAAGGCTAACAGCATCCCTATATTTGAAAACACATGAAAAAATGCTCATCATCACTGGCCATCAGAGAAATGCAAATCAAAACCACAATGAGATACCATCTCACACCAGTTAGAATGGTGATCATTAAAAAGTCAGGAAACAACAGGTGCTGGAGAGGATGTGGAGAAATAGGAACACTTTTACACTGTTGGTGGGACTGGAAACTAGTTCAACCATTGTGGAAGTCAGTGTGGTGATTCCTCAGGGATCTAGAACTAGAAATACCATTTGACCCAGCCATCCCATTACTGGGTATATACCCAAAGGATTATAAATCATGCTGCTATAAAGACGCATGCACACGTATGTTTATTGCGGCACTATTCACAATAGCAAAGACTCAGAACCAACTGAAATGTTCAACAATGATAGAGTGGATTAAGAAAATGTGGCACATATACACCATGGAATACTATGCAGCCATAAAAAATGATGAGTTCATGTCCTTTGTAGGGACATGGATGAAACTGGAAACCACCATTCTCAGCAAACTATCGCAAGGACAAAAAACCAAGCACCGCATGTTCTCACTCATAGGTGGGAACTGAACAATGAGAACACATGGACACAGGAAGGGGAATATCACACTCTGGGGACTGTTGTGGGGTGGGGGGAGCGGGGAGGGATAGTGTTAGGAGATATACCTAATGTTAAATGATGAGTTAATGGGTGCAGCACACCAACATGGCACATGTATACATATGTAAAAAACCTGCACATTGTGCACATGTACCCTAAAACTTAAAGTATAATAATAATAAAATTTAAAAAAAAGAAAATATAATCTTTGAACATGGCATTTCAAATATGTGTGAATGTGCTATAATTAGCAATACACTCTTGTTATACTTTATTTTAATTTTTTTTATTTTCATAGGTTTTTGTGGAGCAGGTGGTGTTTGGTTACATGAGTAAGTTACATGAGTAAGTTCTTTAGTGGTGATTTGTGAGATTTTGTTGCACCCATCACCCAAGCAGTATACACTGTACCCAATTTGTAGCCTTTTACCTTTCACCTCCCCCATTCCATCCTTTTCCCCAAGTCCCAAAAGTCTATTGTATCATTCTTATGCCTTTGCATCGTCATAGGTTAGTTCCCACTATAAGTGAGAACATATGATGTTCGGTTTTCCATTTCTGAGTTACTTCACTTAAAATAATTGTTTCCAATTCCATCCAAGTTACTGTGAATGCCATTATTTCATTCCTTTTCAAACTTGAATAGTATTCCATTGTTTATATATACCACATTTTCTTTATCCACTCATTGATGGGCATTTGGACTGGTTCCATATTTTTGCAATTGCAAATTGTGCTGTTACAAACATGCGTGTGCAAGTATTTTTTTTCACATAATGACTTACTTTCCTTCTTTTCCAACTGGATAGATACCCAGCAGTGGGACTGCTGGATCAAATGGTAGTTCTGCTTTTAGTTCTTTAAGGAATCTCCACACTGTTTGCCATAGTGAATATACTAGCTTATATTCCCACCAGCAGTGTAAAAGTGTTCCCTTTTCACGACATCCCCATCAACGTCTATTTTTTTTATTATGGACATTCTTGCGGGAGTAAGGTGGTATCACATTGTCATTTTGATTTGCATTTCCCTGATCATTAGTGAAGTTCGACTCTTTTTATATGTTTGTTGGCCATTTATATATTTTCTTTTGAGAATTGCATATTCATGTCCTTAGCCCATTTTTTGATGGGATTGTTTATTTTTTTCTTGCCAATTTGTTTGAGTTCCTTGTAGATTCTGGATGTTAGTCCTTTGTCGGATGTATAGATTGGGAAGATTTTCTCCCACTCTGTGGGTTGTCTGTTTACTGATTGTTTCTTTTGCTCTGCAGAAACTTTTTAGTTTAATTAAGTCCCACCTATTTATCATTGTTTTGTTATGATAATGTACCTGAAGACCCTAAAGACTCATCCAAAATGCTCCTAGAACTGATAAATGAATTCAGCAAAGTTTTGGGAAACAAAATTAATGTACACAAAACAGTAGTTCTGCTATACGTCAATAGCAACCAAGCTGAGAAACAAATCAAGAACACAACCCCTTTTACAATAGCTACAAAAAAAAAAATACTTAGGAATATATACCTAACCAAGGAGGTGAAGGACCTCTGCAAGGAAAACTACAAAACACTGCTGATAGAAATCATAGATGACAGAAACAAATGGAAACACATCTCATGCTCATGGTTGGGTAGAATCAATATAATAAAAATGACCACACTGCCAAAAGCACTCTATAAATTCAGTGTAATTACCATTGAAATACCACCATCATTCTTCACAGAACTAGAAAAGACAATCCTAAAATTCATATGGAACCAAGAAAGAGCCCACATAGCCAAAGCAAGACTCAGCAAAAAGAACAAATCTGAAGGCATCACATTACCTGACTTCAAACTATACTGTAAGGCTATAGTCACCAAAACAGCATGGTACTTGTATAAAAATTGGCACACAGACAAATGGAACAGAATAGAGAACCAGGAAATGAAGCCAAATATTTATAGCCAACTGATCTTTGGCAAAGCAAACAAAAACATAAATTGCAGAAAAAACACCCTACTCAACAAATGGTGCTGGGATAATTAGTAAGCCACATGTAGAAGAATGAAACTGGATCTTCATCTCTCACCTTATACAAAAGTCAACTCCAGACAGATCAAGAATTTAAATCCAAGACCTTCAACCATAAAAATTCTAGAAGATAACATCAGAAAAGCCCTTCTAGACATTGGCTTAGGCAAAGATTTCTTGTTATACTTTCAAGAAATGTCCCAGTTTTCACCATAAATCATTAAGTGATATACTTTCCTGCATGTAAGTCATTCTGTGAATTTTTAAGTCAATGGCTTACAATAATCTCTAGAAGTAAAATAACTGAATTATTAGTGACAAATCTTTCCAAGACATTGGCACTATTTGTGATTTTCTCCCATACATAGAAGATTCTGAAGGTCCTTGCTGTTTCATCTGCTCTGAGGAGCAGGAGTGCTGGGATTGATCATGCTTATTCTTGGTGGTGAGTCACTTGGGAAAACTTAAAACTGAGCCTTGAAAAAAATTGCTTACCTTTTCTGATAAAATTGTCCTTGGAATTCTCTTTTTGCCAGTTACATTTTCTAGAAATAACTTCTACAATTGCTTAAATAATATTTTCATTTAACTTTTAAATGTAAATTTATTAATTCCCCATAGTTCCACCAAACACTGTAAATTTTTAATATATATTCTTTTACACACCATGTGTCTTATGTGTGTGCACATATATACATATAGATAAAGTATTACTTATGTTACTTTGTGTATGTAGAAACAATTCTTCACAAACAATTCTTCAAAGAAAAGCTTTGTAGTGGAATTATTCCATATATAAACTTAACTATTTTCTTAAGGCAAATACCCAGAAGGTGACTTGCTAGAATAGGTATTTAAATTTAAAAAAAAGAAGTATTGCCAAATGGATTGCACCAATTAACCCTCTCCCCAACAGATAAGAAAGCCCTCTTCCCTCTGCTGATGATTATGCTATTACTTTTAAAAATTGCAAATTTTATAAATAAATATAGTACCTCATTCAAATTTTGGCTTCTCTAATTTTTCAAAAACTTAAAAATAAAACTACCATTATGACCCAGGAATCTCACTACTGGGTATATATCCAAAGGTAATGAAATCAGCATCGTGAAGAGAGATTTGAACTCCTATGTTCATTGCAGCATTATTCACAATAGCCCAGATATAGAACCAACCTAAGTGTCCCTCAGTGGATCAATGAATAAAGAAAATATGGTAGTTATACAAAATGGAATGCTATGAAGCCTTTAAAAAGGGAAATCCTGCCATTTGCAACAACATAGGTAAATATGAAGAACATTATGTTAAGTGAAATAAATCTCACTTATACATGGAATTCAGAAAGGTCTAACTCACAGAAACAGAATAAAAGGTGGTTACCACAGAATGGCACCAGGAGAGGATTGTGGGTAGGTTGGTCAGAGAACACAAATTTCAGTTAGACAGGAGGAATAAGTTCAAGAGATCTATTTTATATCATGGTGACTATAGTTAATAAGAGTGTATTGTATTCTTTTTGTTTACTTTTTAAAATTTTTATTTCAATAGTTTTGGGGAAACAGGTGGTCTGTGGATGCATGGAAAAGTTCCTTAGTGGTAATTTCTGAGATTTTGGTGCACCCAACACCCAAGCAGTATACACTGTACCCAGTGTGGAATCTTATAGCCCTCACCCCCGCCCCATGCTTCCTCCCAAGTCCCCAAAGTGCATTATATAATTCTTATGCCTTTACATCCTCAGAGCTTAGCCCTCCCTTATAAGTGAGAATATATGATGTATGGTTTTCCATTTCTAAGTTACTTCTCTCAGAATAATGGTCTCCAGTTCCATCCAGGTTGCTGCATATGCCATTATTTCATTCCTTTTTATGGCTGAAGAGTATTCCATGGTGTATATATATCACATTTTTTAATCCACTCATTGGTTGATGGGCATTTAGGCTGGCTCCATATTTTTGCAAAATTTTGCTGTTATAAACGTATGTGTGCAGCGTTTTTCATATAATGACTTCCTTTCCTCTGGATAGATACCCACTAGTGGGACTGCTGGATCAAATGGCAGTTCTACTTTTATTTCTTTAAGGAATCTCCATACTGTTTTCCATAGTGGTTGTACTAGTTTACATTCCTATCAGCTGTGTAGAAGTGTTCTCTTTTCACCACATCCATGCCAACGTCTTTTTTTTTTTATTTTTTGATTGTGACAATTCTTGCAGGAGTAAGGTGGTATCTCATTGTGGTTTTAATTTTCATTTCCCTGATAATTAGTGAAATTGAGCATTTTTTTCATATGTTCTTGACCATTTGTATATCTTCTGAGAATTGTCTATTCATGTCCTTTGCCCACTTTTTGATGAAATTTGCTTTTTTCTTGATTATTTGAGTTCCTTGTGGATTCTGGGTATTAGTCCTTAGATGCATGCTTTGCAAATATTTTCTCCCACTCTGTGGATTGTGTGCTTATTCTGCTCATTATTTTTGTTGCTGTGCAGAAACTTTTTAATTAGGTCCCAACTATTTATGTTTGTTTTGTTGCATTTGCTTTTGGATTCTTAGTTATGAACTCTTAGACTAAGCCGATGTCTAGAAGAGTTTTTCCAATGTTATATTCTGTAGTTTTTATGGTTTCGGGTCTTAGATTTAAGTTTTTGATCTTGAGTTGATTTTTGTATAAGGTGAGAGATGAGAATCCAGCTTCATTTGTGTACGTGTGGCTTGCCAATTATCCCAGCACCATTTGTTGATTAGGGTGTCCTTTCTGCGATTTATATTTTTGTTTGCTTTGTCAAGTATCAGTTGGCTGTAAGCATTTGGCTTTATTTCTGGGTTCTTTATTCTGTTCCATTGATCTATGTGCCTATTTTTCATACTAGTACCATGCTGTTTTGGTAACTATAGCCTTGTAGTATAGTTTGAAGTCAGATAATGTGATGCCTCTAAATTTGTTCTTTTTGCTTAGTCTTGCCTTGGTAATGCAAGCTCTTTTTTGGCTCCTTATGAATTTTAGGATTGCTTTTATAGTTCTGTGAAGCATGATGATAGTATCTTGATGAGAATTGCGTTGCTTTTGGGAGTATGGTCACTTTCACAATATTGATTCTACCCAACCATGAGCATGGGATGTGTTTCCATTTGTTTGTGTCATCTATGATTCCCTTCAGCAGTGTTTGGTAGTTTTCCTTGAAGATATCTTTCTTCTCCTTGGTTAGGCAATATCCTAAGTATTTTTTTTTTTTTTTTTTTTTTTTTGCAGCTGTTATAAAATCAAGGACTGAGTTCTTGATTTGTTTCTCAGCTTGGTCATTGTTGGTATATATCAGAGCTACAAATTTGTGTACATTAATTTTGTGTCCTGAAACTTTGCTGAATTCATTTATCAGTTCTAGGAGCTTTTTGGGTGAGTCTTTTGAGTTTTCTAGGTATATAATCATATCATTGGTGAACAGTGACAGTTTGACTTCCTCTTTACCAATTTGGATGCCCTTTATTTTCTCTTGTCTGATTGCTCTGACTGGGCTCTCCAGTAGTATGTTGAATAAAAGTGGTGAAAGTGGGCATCCTTGTCTTGTTCCAATTTTCAGATGAAATGCTTTCAACTTTTCCCCATTCAGTATAATGTTGGCTGTGGGTTTGTCATAGATGGCTTTTATTACCTGTAGATATGTACCTTCTAGGCTGATTTTGGTGAGGGTTTTAATCATAAAGATATGCTGTATTTTGTCAAATGCTTTTTCTGCATCTATTGAGATAATCATATGATTTTTTGTTTTTAATTCTGTTTATGTGATGTGTCACATTGACTTGTGTCTGTTAAGCCATCCCTGCATCCCTGTTATGAAACCAACTGATCTTGATGTATTATCTTCTTTATATGCTATTGAATTAGGTTAGCTAATATTTTCTCGAGGATTTTTGCACCTACGTTCATCAGGGATGTTGGTCTGCAGTTTTCTTTTTTTGTTGTCCTTTTCTGGTTTAGGTATTAGAGTGATACTGGCTTCATCAAATGATTTAGAGAGGATTCCCTTTTTCTCTTTTGGAATAGTTTCAGTAAGATTGGTACCAATTCTTCTTGGAATACCTGATAGAATTCAGCTGTGAAGCCATCTGATCCTGGACTCTTTATTGTTGGCAATTTTTTAATTACTGTTCCAATCTTGCTACTTGTTATTGGTCTGTCTAGAGTTTCTATTTTTTCCTGATTTAATCTAGGAGGGTTATATATTTCAAGGAATTTATCCACCTCCTCTAGATTTTCTAGTTTGTGCCCATAAAGATGTTCATAGTAGCCTTGAAAGGCCATTTGTATTTCTATGGTATCAGTTGTAATATCTCCCATTTCATTTCTAATTGAGCTTATTTGGAACATCTCTCTTCTTTTCTTGTTTAACCTCACTAATGGTCTATCAATTTTGTTTATCTTTTCAAAGACTCAGCTTTTTATTTCATTTATCTTTTTCATTTGTTTGAATTCCATTTAGTTCTGCTCTGATCTTTGTTATTTCTTTCCTTCTGCTAAGTTTGGGTTTGGTTTGTTCTTGTTTCTCCAGTTCCTTGAAGTGTGAGATTAGATTGTTTACTTGTTCTCTTTCAGAGTTTTTGATGTAGGCATTTAATGCTATAAACTTTTCTGTTAGCACTGCTTTCTCTGTATCCCAGAGGTTTTGATAAGTTGTATCACTATTATCATTTACCTCAAAGAATGTTTAATTTCCATCTTGATTTCGTTGTTGACCCAAAAATCATTCAGGAGTGGATTATTTAATTTCTATGTACTTTTATAGTTTTGAAGGTTCCTGTTGGAGTTAATTTCCAATTTTATTCTGCTGTGGTCTAAGAGGGTACTTGACATAATTTTGATTTTCTTAAATTTGTTGAGACTTGTGTTCTAGCCTATCATATGGTCTATCTCAGAGAATGTTCCATGTGCTGACAAAAAGAATGTATATTCTGCAGTTGTTGGGTAGAATGGTCTGTAAATACCTGTTAAGTCCCTATGTTCTAGGGTAGAGTTTAAGCCCATTGTTTCTTTGTTGACTTTCTGTCTTGATGACCTGTCTAATGCTGTCAATGAAGTATTGAAGTCCCCTACTATTATTGTTTTTCCATCTATCTCATTTCTTAGGTCAAGTGGTAATTGTTTTATAAATTTGGGACCTTCTATATTAGGTGCATTTATATTTAGGATTATGATATTTTCCTGTGGACTGATCCTTTTATCATTACATAATGCCCCTCTTTGTCTATTTTAACTGTTATTGCTTTAAAGTCTCTTTTGTCTGATATAAGAATAGCTACTTTTGTTTTCTTTTGGTTTCCATTTGCATGGATTTTTTTTTCACCTCTTTACCTTATGTTTATGTGAGTCCTTATAAGTTAGGTGAGTCTCTTGAAGACAGCAGATACTTGGTTGGTGAATGTATCCATTCTGCCATTCTGTGTCTTTTAATTGGAGCATTTAGGCCATTTACATTCAACATTTGTATTGAGGTGTGAGGTGCTGTTTTATTAATTGTGCTAGTTGTTGCCTGAATAACTTTTTTTTTTTCCTTTGTGTTATTGTTTCATAGGCTCTGTGAGATTTATGCTTTAAAGAGGTTCTATTTTGGTGTGTCTTTTGAGGTTTTTTTTCAAGATTTAGAGCTCCTTGTAGCAGTTCTTGTGGTGCTGGCTTGGTAGTAGCAAACTCTCTCAGCATTTGTTTGTCTGAAAAAGACTTAATCTCTCCTTCATTTATAAAGCTTAGTTTTGCCAGATACAAAATTGTTGGCTGGCAATTATTTTGTTTTAGGAGGTAAAGATAGGATCGCAATCCCTTCTGGCTTATAGGATTTATGCTGAGAAATCTGCTGTTAATCTGATAGGTTTTCCTTCATAGTGTTCTTTGAGCTTCTTGTATTTGGATGTCTAGATCTCTAGTGAGGCCAGGAAAATTTTCCTCAATCATTCCCTCAAATACGTTTTTCAAACTTTTAGATTTCTCTTCTTCCTCAGGAACACCAGTTATTCTTAGGTTTGATCATTTAATGTAATCTCAAATTTCTTGGAGGCTTTGCTTTTTAAAATTATTTTTTATTTGTCTTTGTCCAATTGGGTTAAATTGAAAGCCTTGTCTTTGAGCTCTGAACTTATTTCTTCTACTTGTTCAATTCTATTGTTGAAACTTTCAATTGCATTTTGTATTTCTCTGTGTCTTTCATTTCCAGAAGTCATGATTGTTTTCTCTTTCTGATATCTATTTCTCTGGAACATTTTTCATCTATATCCTGTATTTTTTTTTAATTTCTTTAAGTTGGCTTTCACCTTTCTCTGCTATCTCCTTGATTAGCTTAAAAATCAACCTTTTGAGTTATGTACGTGGCAATTCAGAGATTTCATCTCAGTTTGGATCCATTGCTGGGAGCTATTGTCTACTCAGGGTGTTATGAAACCTTGTTTTGTCATATTACCAGAATTACTTTTTCTGATTCCTTCTCATTTGGGTAGACTATTTCAGTGGAAAAATCTGGAACCTAAGGGCTAACATTCAGATTCTTTTGTCTCATAGGGTGGTCCCTTGATGTGGTGTACTCTCCCTTCCCCTAGGAATGGGGCTTCCTGCAAGCCAGACTGCAGTGCTTATTGTTGCTCTCCTGGGTCTAGCCACCCAGTTGGGCTACCAGGCTCTGGGCTGGTGCTGGGGAATGTCTGCTAAGAGTCCTGTGATGTGATCCATCTTCAGGTCTCCCAGCCATGGTTACCAGCACCTGCTCTGGTAGAAGTGGCGAGGAAGTGAAGTAGGCTCTGTGACAGTCCTTGGTTATAAAGATGTTTAGTGTGCTGGCTTTCTCGAACACTGAGTATGCTAGCAGTGAAGTTGTCATGTGGACAGACTCTGGACCACTGATTAGCCAGGATGTTGCAGGCAGTGGAATTAGCTGTTGCTTTCTGCTCCCTTGGGGCAGGTTGTTCTGTCATGAGTTGCTGTAATGTCCTGAGTTAATTGGCCTCCAGCCAGGAGGTGGCACTTTCAAGAAAGCACCAGAGATTTTCACCTGTCTCGTGGAATTTGCAGTGGCCTGCTGCTTCTTTCAAAGGATCTGTGAATTCTTTTCACGTTCCTGGTATGCTCTTGTGGTGGTTCCTGAAGCAAAAGTCCATGGTGTGAGTCTCCACATGCTGTTTTGTCCATCCAAGTGGGAGCTGTATGTCAGTCCTGTATCCTATCCACCATCTTCCTTGTCTATGTTCTTGAAACTTGCTAAGAATGTAGGTTTTATGAATTCTCATCACAACAAAATAAGAATGTGAGACAATGCATATGTTAATTAGCCTTATTTAGCTATTCTACAACGTATACATATTTCAAAACATGTTATACACAATAAATATATACAATTTGTATTCATCAATCAATAAATGTTTTAAAAGAGGTGTGCTGAAATAATTTAATGTACTAAGACATTAAAGGTGGTTTGGATAAAATAAATTACCATATTACTGAAAAAAGACAAAATAAATCTATTTTAAAAATAAATTTAGACTTCTGTAGATGGCTAACTAGGTGAAACATGTTTCCATGTGTGTACTTATATTTTTATATTTCCTTCATGTTAATTGTTTATTTATACCATTTGAGTGTTTTTTTCTGGGTAGACTATTAAATTTTACACTTAAAAATATTGCAGGATAACTACAGAAAGGACATGAAATTTTCATTCATCTTTTCATTATATTACCCATATTTTACTAACAGAGACTGTAAGTTTTATGAACAAATTTAATAAGTTTTCATTTATTCTTTCTACTTTCATACTTGTGTTCTGGGAATTCAAGCAAGATAACTTCAAGTTACCCTATCCTTTTCTCGGAAGCCTGAGAACCTCTGCATACCACAATCTCTCCCTGAAAGGATCCTTGGACACAATTCCGTTCACCAATCTCAGGAAGGTATGACTTTCTACATAATTTGTGGCACTCAATGCAAAATAAAAACTGAACAAAGTTTCCTCATTCAAACGTTATGAAAAATTTTCATACAGGAAATTCAGAGCATTAACCCTAGCGTGAGACCCTTCTAAGCACTGAGCCATGTGTGACCGCATAGGTCACATACTCGTGGATCCAACCCTGCCCAGCTACAACTAACAGATCAGAAATCTTTGAACCGAATGCCATGGATCCAGGCTGATCAGTCCCTATAACATCTGGTGTAAAAGCTCTACTCAGTAAAGTACCCTGCTCTAAGTAATAACTGGTGATATTAATCAGAATCACAGTTTTGAAGAGTTTAAATTTCACAGAAAGAGGGAGAGAAAAAGATGAAAGGAAGAGAAAAAGAAAATATAGAAAAAAGAAAGATGGAAAGAAGGACAGAGAGAGAGAGGAGAGAGACAGAGGTAGTAAAAACCTATACTTTTCTCCAAATATTTGACTACTTGATATATCATCATCACTACAGAAATATTCTTCCAGATACTGACTTCTTGCATATATATTTGGTTGTTTTCTTAGATTTTAAGTTGTAATTAGTTTCATAAGAGTTCTTCACTGATTTGAATGACCTTTCATTTTTTGGTATCCTCATTTTTCCAAGACAAATTCTAGATTCTTGGATTGAGTCAGTAAATATGTGGTGATATATTCACTGGAGAGTAGAATGTTTGCCAAGGAACAAAAATCAAAGGTTTTATTTTGGTGATGTTATATTTGAGATATACACTGGACATGCAAGTAGGAGATGCTAAGTGGTCTGGGAGTCAAGGAGAGGTAAAGAATAAGATAATAAATTTGGGAATTGCATATGTACGATCAGTGTTTATAGCTGGGACTGGATGAGCCTACCTAAAAAGATTGAGGAGAGATGCCATAGGAGGGACCAGCATTGGTGTCTGGACACTCAGGATTAAGACTGCTGGGTAGCAGAATCCTTCCCTGCTTTTTTTTTCTTGTTTGGTTTATCTGTATTCCACATTATTTTAAAACTATAAATAGGTATTATGCTTAAAGCTATTAAAAAGTAATTAAAAATTGAGGGCCATTTACCTAGCTTCCAAGTACTTTAGTTTTCTTAGTCTGTTTTCTGTTGCTTATAACAAAATTCCTGAAACTGGTAACTTACAAAGAAAAGAAATTTATTTCTTACAGTTATGAAGACCAGGAAGTCCAGTGTTGAGGGATTGCATCTGGTTAGAACCTTCTTGCTAGTGGTGAAGTGGTGACTCCTTACAGAGTCCTGAGGTGGTACAGGGTATCACATGGTGGGGAGGCTGAGCATGCAAATATGCTAGTTTGGGTCTCTCTTCCTTGTCTTATAAAGTTACCAGTTCTCTTCCCATGATAACCCACTAATCTATTAACCCATCAATCCATTAATCCATGAATTCATTCATTTATAGATTAATCCATTCATGAGGGCAGAGCTTTTATGATCCAATCACATCTTAAAGATTCAACACCTCAATACTACCACACTGGAGATTAAGTTTTAACATGAGTTATGGAGGGGACAAATATTTCAACCATAGTGAATGCCGAACACTTAATACTAATATATTATATTATATATAAAATACATTTCAATAAAAATGCAAATGTAAAAACACATAATTTGTAAGGATTGTTCTTGTACAGATATCATGGTTTCCATTGCTTTGAGAACAGGACACGTGCATTAAATGTAAAAGCACTTTATAACTAACATGCCAATAGGGCTTTAATTTTTTACCCCCTTACCAAAAGAAAAATGCCTAAAAACAGGTTCTACTTCCCCTCAGCCTATTCTAAAAGAAAGCACATGGGAGAATACAAGCTTAAAACAAAAAGTTACTTCAAATGTATCATTGTAATAAATTTAACTTGCTTAAGGAAACCAAGCTGTGCTCTTTCGCGGCAAATATAAAAATACATTCCCACATCACCAGTTTATGTTTTCAACAATAATAAATGAAACAGACATGTTCTTTGACCTCTTTGAGTTTAAAGTCCTGTGGGAAAGGCAGGTGTTAAACTGGGAACTGAGATAAAAATGAAGAGAGAGAGTTTGATGAAAGAGACAGCCTGAGGGAGCACATGTAGATTGCAGGGCCAAGCTGTTTTCTCTGAGGGAGAAACACCAAAACTAAGATCTGGAGGATGAGTAGTACAGTAAGCTGAATAATGACCCCCAGATGTAACCATGTTCTAATTCTGAACCTGGAAATGTTAACTTATAAGGCATAAGAGACTTTTTGGATGTAATTAAGTTTAAAATGAAGATGGGAAGCTCTTTCTGGATTATCCAGGTAAGCCCTACATGTAATTACAAGGCTTCTTATAAGAGGGACACAGGAGGAGTCAGGAGAGGAGGTCATGTGATGATGGAAGCAGAGATTAGAGTGATATACATTGAAAACAGAAGAAGGATTCCCAAGCCAAAGAATACAGGTGGTCTGTAAAAGCTAAAAAAGTCAAGGAAACAGATCTTTCTCTCAGAACCTCCATAAAGAACCCATCCTGCCAACCCTGACTTTAGCCTAGTGAAGTTGATTTTGGAGTTCTTGTCTCTGGAACTATAAGTGCTTTGGTTTGAATATTTGGACCCCCCTAAAACTTATGTCAAGATTTCATTGGTAGGTCATGAGGGTTCTTCCCTCAGGAATGGATTAATGCTTTTATTTGGAAGTGGTTTAGTTATCATGAGATTGGGATTGTTATAAAAACATGTTCAGCTGCCATTTTCTGTCTCATGTTTTCTCTCCATGTGATGCTTTCTGCCATGCCCTCAGTAGATGCCAGCACCATACCCTTGGACTTCCCAGCCTCCAGAACTGTTAGCCAAATAAACTTGTTTTCTTTATTGCAAAAGAAAATTAACTAAGACAGAAAATTGGTAGGGAAAAGTCACGCTGTTGCTATAACAAATACCTGAAAATGTGGGAGTGGCTTTGAAACTGGGTAATGGGGAAAGGCTATAAGAATTTGAAGGAGAAGGTTAGTAAAACCCAGCATTGTTGTAACTGAGGAATTAGGGTGATTCTCATGACGGTCCAGTAAAAGACAAAAGCCATAGGGAAAGTCTTAATTTTCTTAGAGATTACTAAAGTGGTTGTGACCAGAATGTTGGTAGAAATATAGAAAGCAAAGACCATTCTGATGAGATCTCAAACAGATCAAGAACATAGTTTTGGACACTAGAGTAAAAGCCATCTTTGTTATAAAGTACAAAGACCTCAGCTGAATTGTGTCCACGCCTGAGGGCTTTATGGAATGCCTTAAGAGTTCATTACTTAAGAGTAATGAACTGAAATGTCTGTTGGAAGAAATACCTAAGCAACGAAGAATTCAGACTGCTAGATGGTTACTTTTAACCACATACAGTGAGATGCAAGAGCAAGGAAATGACTTAAAGATGGAATTGATAATTTTTTAAGATGTAGAAAAACAGAAAAATTTGGAAAATTCACAGCCTGGCCATGGAAAGAGTGAAAAAGCATGTTCAGGAGAAAAAAATAAGAGTTTAGCCAAGCGACCACTTGTTAAAGAGATTAATATATATAGAAGAAATCCAGGTTCTATTCATCAATACAATGGGAGAAAGACCCCAAAGGTATTTCAGAGATCTTTGAGGCTACCCCTCTCATCACAGGCCCAGAACTGTAGGGAGGCAGAATGGTTTTGGGGGTAAGCCCAGGACACCTTCCATGGGCTTGGTACCCAGAGTCTCTGCTCCACACATTCCAGTGAAGCACCCCTCAACTACCCCAGCCATGGCTCAAGGAGTCTTAAGTGCAGTTTAAGAAGGCCCAGGTATAGCTTGATTCCCCACTCTGGAAGGCAGAAGCCATAAACTCTGGTGGCATCAAATGATGCTAATTCTGCTGGTGCACAGAATAGCAGAGCTGTGGAGGCATGGCTTTCTCCTGCTAGATTTTAAAGGATACTGCAGCTAGCCTGGAAGACCAGTCAGAAACCTGCTGAATGGATTAATGCCTTTATAATGGAAATCTCTTTGTTACCTCCAGACTGGGTTTGTCATAAAAGAAAGTTTGGCTGTCATTTTCTGTCTCACACGCTGTCACCATCTGATGCCTTCTGCCATGCTGTTAGACTTCCCAGTCTCTAGAGCCATCAGCTAAATAAACTTTCATTTATGAATTAGTTTGTGGTATTTTGTTATAGCAACAAAAAACAGACTCCGACCATAAGAGAATAAATTTTGGTTGTTTTAAGCCACCAAGATTGTGGTAATTTGTTACAGTGGCCTTAGGAAACTAATTCAAGGAAGGATTATCTAGAAGAGATGGTGAGATACCTTCTAGGGAATCACACATGCTTAGCTCTTCAGGGGAAAATGATTTAAGCTGTTAACTACTTTATAACTAACATGTTTTACCTATCATCTGTCAGCTGCAAGGTACTCTGGCAAGTTACCACCTCAGAGCTTTGTTCCTTAACAGATTTCAATGGCATGGCTCTAGAGTGGGCATCCAGTTTTTAGAAAATGTGCTCAGCCAAGAAGGTCCAAGTTCATGCAGGTGTGGCAAAGCTATAGTTGTGTGATTTCATGTTACTTACTCCTTTATAGTTACTGTGCAATTAGTGTCACTTAATATATGTTACCAAAAGTAAGTATATCTATCCAAACTAGATATAGGACTCAGGGTATAATTGGATTTCCTAATACTGATATTTGTCATACCTCTGGAAACATTCAATGTATTGAGGAAATAATAAATATAGGGGGAAAATCATGAGGTGAAACTGGGAGGAAAAGACAGCCCTAGATCATGACAGGCCCTGCAGGTCATGTAAGAATTTTTTGTCATAAAGGTAGTAGAAGAAACCAATAATTTTAAAGAGGTGAATAATTTTTTTGAAGGTTACTCTGGTTCTTGCATGTAAACTAGATTGTAATTTGTAATTGGGACAAAGGGAAGATCAGTTTGAGGCAACTGGAGAAGAGGGGCTGTCAATTAGAAACAGATTTAGAGGAAAGCTAAATAAAGTGGTAAAAACTGGCTGCTTGGGAGTGGTACATAAGGACAGTGCTAATGCCAACCATCCATAAGACATATACTGAGGGGCTTTATTTGAATAATGACAAGAGTCTATATTTATTTTGTCTCCTATATCTTACTGTTCCCTTTTTAATAGATGCCCCTGTAGTTTAGGATGGCTTTCTGTGGCTTGGCTGCAGGAGAGAAACAATTTGGTTTACTTTAGAATCAAACTGACCACCTTTTATCAGTGGTCAGCAATCTAAGCATATGACTTAAATTCATCCACTGCCTCTTTTTTATTTTTAGATTTTTCTTCTAATATATGCATTCAATGCTTTTGCTACATCTCACAAATTTTGAAAAATTATATTCATTTTCATTTAATTCAAAATATTTTTAAATGGTCCTTGAGACCACTTCCTTGACCCATGTGTTATTTAGAAGTGTGTTGTTTAATGTCCAAATATTTTAGCATTTTTCAGCTGTTTTGGATTTCTAGTTTAATTTCATTGTGTTCTGAGTGTACTTTGTAGGATTTCTATTCTTGTAAATGTGTTGTGTTTTATGGCCCAGAATGTGGTTTATCTTGTTAAATGTCCCTTGTGAACTTGAGCAAAATGTGGATTCTGCTGTAAAATAATCTGGATAAAATAATCTATAAATGTCAATTAGATGAGTTGATTGATGATACTGATCAGTTCAAATATGTCCTTACTGATTTTTCTGCCTGCTGAATCCATTAATTACTGGTAGACAGTGGATTTGTCTATTTCTTCTTGTAGTTCTGTAAGCTTTGCCTCACATATTTTGATGTTCTGTTGTTTGGCACATAAGCATTAAGGATCATTACGTATCCTTACAGAATTGACCTCTTTTTAATTATGTAATGATTTTCTTTATCCCTGATAATTTTCTTTGTTCTGAAGTCTGTTTGTTTTGCCTAGAATTAATAGGCTACTCTCAATTCCTTGATTAGTGTTAGCATGGTATTTCACCATCCCTTTCATTTTTAATCTATGTGTATTATTTAAATTATTTTTTGCATAGACAACATATAGATGGGTTCTGATCATCTATTTTAATTGATGTATTTCACTGCATGTTTTTGAAAACAAATTATTCTTGGAATACAACTATATATTAGGCTGTTTTTTGCACTGCTATAAAGAACCACCTGAGACTGGGTAACTTATAATGAAAAGAGATTCTCTTAATTGGCCCACAGTTCTGCAGGCTATACAGGAAGCATAGCGCCAACATCATTCAGCTTCTGGGGAGGGCTCAGGGAGCTTTTACTCACAGGGGAAGGTGAAACAGGAGCTTTCACATCACAAAGCAAATGCAGAGTGTGTGAAAGGAGTGGGGAGTGCCACACACTTTTAAATGACCAGATCTCACTCATGAGAACTCATTATCATGAACAACATTTGCCTTTGTGGCAAAAATATTTACTATCTGGCCATGTATAAGAGAAAGTTTGCCAACCCACATAAAATCACAATCCTCTAAGCACTGGTTTTTATATTTTAAATGATTTCTGATAGTTTGGCTTTTGTTCTTTCTTGTCCCCAAATTAGAACCATTTACAAATCAGCTGATAAATACTGGAGATAATAGGAACAATTTACTTGGTATGTTAAACAATAGTATCAACACAACACATGGCCTCTATCTAGCCATCAACAGGGGATGATGTACAATTACTCTGGATGGTATTAGTAAAATTCATTAGATATATATTTTTAAGGAGTCTCATAGTATACGAAAGAGTTTCTATCTAAATGCAGTATATTAAAACCTACTGAGTTCTGTATCACGTTTTCTTCTCACCTATTAGATATAAGCCTGCATGAGTCTGCATGTAGGCTTAAACCAGCTGACAAATTCTGGTGTTGCATTAATTATATGCTGGCAATGTAAATGTATAGACCTTTAAAAGAAATTCATGTTACTTTAGCAAGACAAATGATGAATATAATTTTGTGAATATAAAGCTGACATCAGCTTTCATGAAAGAGCTTATGTAGGCATCCATGTTCCTCCTAACCACAGCTGTGACTTAACAGAGACCTAACATTGCTACCCATTAATATATTATTGACCCATGAATATTGATGGTGACAGGACCAGCCATTATTCCACAATTAAAATCTTCTTTCAAATGAGAAAAGAACAATCACACAAAATATAAATTTTAAAATGCAGCATTAAATATTTATGAGAAATGCCCCCAAGATGCTGAGTTTAGTGGTTGCATAATGAAAGTGCCACATATTTTAGCGAAGGATTATTCCCCACTGTTGCACAATCAAGGAATTTTTAAGTGACCTATGAGTAAAAGAAAATGGAGGGGGTAAGGGTGATTACAAATTAATAAAGCATGGAGTACCATTTGATTACCAGCTACTGCAGTGTGAAATGAGTTGGTTTAGTCCAGCTGTGCCTACTGATAGTGATCATCAACTTCCCTCTATGCGGGCCTGATGAGTTGGCCCCAACAGGAGTGGTGTGTGAAAGAGGTGGAGGAGTAGATGAGGATAAAGCAGGTCAGAGCTCTGTGTGGGAGCAGATAGCAGTCTCCGTGGTCAGCCTGCTTTGTGGCCCTGAAAGACAGAGTCACTGCAGAGACTAGCTATCAAATTAGAAAAACTTTCTGAGAACAAAGTGTACTCTTAAAAAATAAAACTCCTCATTTTATAGAATCAAATGAAATGGAGTTGCAAGTAGCCTTAGAAATCTAACGGAGTGAGTCTCTGTGCTGGCTGGTCATTAAGATGGTTAAGCACCTACATATTTCTGAACTCAGTCACCGGCCTGCTGAATCAGTACCTTTCACAATGGGGCCCAGGAGCGTAATTTAAAAAAAAAAAATTCCAAGTTTGATAGGTTAAGTGACCCTCTATCTGCTTTCTTGCCATGACTTCACTGTGCCACCCTTTGACTTTGAGACAGTCCATGTGACTTGCTTTGGACCATGACACATGGGCAGAAGTAACATTGTCATTGTGCCAATTTCAAACTTGGGCCTTTAAGAAGTTACCTGTAATTTTTTTTCTCACACTCTTGTGCATCTACCTGGAAAGAGCTTCTATAACAGCTTCAGAGTATCCGTAAAATGAATACCTGTGGAAGAGAGCCATCCCAGTAGTCCCAACTGATTCACACACATACAGCAGGAGGCAGAGCTTCCCCAACCCCTGTGACCCACACCAGCAACCCCAACTGACCTGAAGACACATGAGCCAGCCCAACTGAGAGCAACAGGACCACCTGAGTGGAATCACAGGCACTTGATAAATAAATGCTTAGTGCTGAATGCAACTGAGATTTTCATTTGTGACTGCAGTAAATAGACTGTGGTGCCAGGAAATATGTATTGATACATCCAAGAATTTCAACAATCACTAAAATTTGGAAACTATCTAGTATACAGATTAGTATACTACAGACCTGTGGGCCAAATCTGGCCAGCTGTGGGATTTTTGTAAATAAAATTTTATTGGAATACAGCCACACTCATTCATTACCTATTATTTACAGCTGCTTACTTGCCACAATGGCAGTGCTTGCTGAGTCCTATCTACTCTAAAGTCTTCAATTTCACCATAATAAAAAGTAGACTCAGAAAGAATACCTATATTTTCCAAAGTTACAGAGTAGAGATTCTGTTAGTACTCAGGCCCTTATATTCTTAATGCAATATTGTTTTCACAGAGACACAAATTTTTTAACAATATTTGAAAGTTATTATTTGAAAAAAAGAAGTCTCAGGAAATATTTTCATTTTGTTCCCTATTTTCAAACCTGCTCTAAACTAGTTTTCTGGTTGAGAAAAAATTAACAGATTTATGTCAAGGTTATTAATCAAAAAAAAATTTTTTTTTTGCTCTTTCTCCAAGCTTTATTTAGCCCCTCCTTCCCTAAAATAGAAAACCTTGGTGTTTTACATGCCAATAGCTGGCCAGTGTTGAAAGAATGTGGTCGTTGCATGCAGGCAGGTATAAGGCTGACTTTGTCGTCTGTGCCTCAAAGAGGAAGAATTGCAGCCAATAAATATATTTTAATGGAGTTAGAAGGTCCTCCAGCCCAGTTAAGTGAACTCCTCAGTGGATAATCTTTCCATTCAAACACATTTCTTCTAGAAGAATATGTAATTCAACATAAGGCAGTTGCCTTTGTGTTCAAAGCTGCATGCTTGTTAATTGTAGGGCATCAGCACATATGCATGAGGATATAACTTATGTATATGCTTGAGGTTATAACTAAGGTCAATATATCAATATGTATACTTTATAGTAGTTGATTATAAAATCAACTATTAAAAATTGCCTTAATGACTCCCAATTGAAAGAAAATGACTATGAGAAAATGACTACGAGATCAAAAGAAAATCAAAATTTGAGCAGGGAATTTAAAGGACAACATAGGTCAATCCAAGCAGCATGTATAGAGTTGGAGGCTATTTGGTACTTTGTATTCTTACGAGGAGGTCCTCATTTAAGTATTAATCAGTAATACCCATTAATCTCCCTTTAAAGACTTCAGGGGGCTTATTTATATCATAGACTGAGGGGGTAAATACAAATAAGGCTTACATTGCCCCCTAACTTTCTGGGACTCCCTCCACATTTCTTTTAGCTGCTGATCAAAAGACAAGAATAAAAATATCAGTTAAACCAATGATGAGTTGACAAGCTGTTTTTTTAAAAAATTTGTTTTAGTCCATTTGTGCTGCTATAACAGAATACCACAAGCTGGGTAATTTATAAAAAACATACTTACTTATCACAGTTTTTGAGGCTGGGAAGTTGGAGATCAAGGGACCTGTAGGTTTGATGTGTGGTAAGTGCTGCTCTCTGCTTCCAGGATGGTGCCTTATTGCTTTATCCCTTGGAGGAGAGGAACATTGCGCCCCCATAAAGCAGAAGGTGAAAGGGCAAGGCAGCCGAATGCTGCCTGAGGCCTCTTTTATAAGGTTCTTAATCTCGTTGATGAGAGGAGCCCTCGTGGCCTAATCACATTCTAAAGGCCCTACCTCTTAATACTATCTCATTGGCAACAGTTGAATTTTGGAGAAGTCACATTCAAACCATAGCAAAACTCAAATTCTAAATCCAGTCTAATTCCTAAAATGTGTCTTCTGGCAGCTGGGTGTTCTTTTGTAATTATTCAAACCCAAGCAAAGAGGAGCCTTTTCTACTATTCTGACACAGCATCAGATCATAATGTGTCTTAATGTCCTAGAGCCAAAGTCATGACTCAAGATTTTTATTCCTTTAAGAGACGACCTCTTGCATTTGCAATTTTATTATCCAAAATGTGACTAGTATCTTATTTGATTCTCAAAAAAAAAAAAAAAACAGCGAGAGGTATATACTAAGTGCTGAAACTAAGGCTCAGAGAGTAAATTTGCCTTACCCATGTGTATGCAGTGATAGATGCTAGCGTTGTGTTACAGAAAACAAATGACTGAGGTCTGTGTTGTGAATGCAGAGCAGCTCAACTTCTCCTTCTGCTCAGTCTGCTTCTCTCGCCCCTCAGGACACTGTCACTAAAAGCACTATCAATAAACAGTCGGCATGTAAATCTCTCCCCAGAGTCTGTGTCCTAGGGAACCTAACCTACAGTGGTCTAGTTCAAGTCTCAGAATAACAGAGTGTTGTGGAAACTAACAACCTAAAAATACTTACATTTGCTTTAAAAAATAACTGGTTTATAGAATCTAAGAATTTGAGAACTGCAAGTGACTTCAGAAATTAAATAGACAAGTGGTTCTCACAAAAAGAGATGAATAGACATTTATATTCTTTATATAAATTTTAAATCTTACAGTGATAGCCAGTCACTATCAACCATCTTCATTTATGAAACATTCATAATAGGAACTAATATTAGTATATGTTTTACACTTATAAAAGACTTTTGGCCGGGCACAGTGGCTCACGCCTGTAATCCCAGCACTTTGAGAGGCCGAGGCGGGTGGATCACATGAGGTCAGGAGTTCAAGACCAGCCTGACCAACATGGAGAAACCCCGTCCCTACTAAAAATACAAAATTAGCCAGACGTGGTGGTGGGCGCCTGTCGTCCCAGCTACTTGGGAGGCTGAGGCAGTAGAATCGCTTGAACCCAGGAGGCAGAGGTTGCAGTGAGCCAAGATCATGACGTTGCACTCCAGCCAGGGCAACAAGAGCAAAAATCCATCTAAAAAAAAAAAAAAGACTTTCATATTTGTCTTTTAATCTTCACAATCATTCTATGAGTAAAATAATTATTAAGCCATTTTACAGGTAATGTCACTGAGTTTGAAGGAGATGAAGTAATGTGCTTCAAGCCACACAGAATAGAGAGGATAAGAAATAAAATTAAATTTTTCTAATTCTAATTTGCATTCTCTTCCTCACAAGTCACAGTGGTCTTTGGAGAGTCAGAGGCCAGAATATGTGGATGTGCCTGAACTTGCAAAGAATTTGAACTCAAGCCCAGGCAAAAGTGAAAGTTTTACAGGATAGAAGAAAAGCAGAGAAATAAGTCAATATTTTCGGTTGAGCAGAGCTGACATTCCATTTGTCAATATAATTTTTTACCTAATCTCAAAGTGCCATTTTAGCTACTATTACTCAGTTGCTAAATATACTTTTTAACATTATAAGTAAAGTCTTAAAGTTTCTTGAATTATTGGATAATTACCAGCCCTTAATCTCTGCAGAAATAATCTTTATGGTATTTCCCCCAAGAAAATTCATTCAGGACTTCCCAGCAACATCCATGTGATTGTGGGTATTTAGCTCCCCCATCCCAAGATTCTATTGAAATCACCAGGAGAATATTACAACAGAGACAAACATGCATGTGATATAAAAGGGAAGGAAAAATGCAGCCCAAACAGAAAACTCTGGAGAATGCATGTTAAAGTACAAATATACCTGATTGACAAAAATCACTGAGGTACAATCTGCATTTACTCTTCCTGAGAAAGCTGTGCAGTGTAGCAGGAAGATATCAAGGAAAATGGAACCAAACCTTCCTAATTTGGAAGGCTATGTATCAAAAAGAGTGTTGACCGTGGTAGAGAAGGACATGGCTCAACTTATAATTCAACTCAACACTGCATAAAGCATGTAAGTTACAGCTTATTAACAGCACTCAACAGATGCTCCAAGGCCCCAGGTTTGTAAAAACTGCTCCTGTCAGCTGAAAGACAGCAGGGATCCACAGAAAGAAGACCAAGAAGAAGGCAGATAACTAGTACAGCCAAACACATGAATGCCAAGCTGGACAGAAAGAAAGAAAGAATGGTGGTCTCTTCTGCTGAGTTTCTGTAAAGAGAAAGATAACTACACTGAAAAATACACGTCATTCATACACTGGTAATGAGACAGATGCTAAGAAGCCAGGAGGAAATGATAGAAATTTCTGCTTCATTCAATAAGAGAAAAATTAATATTATAAGGAATGACTGCTTGTTTTAGATGTGACAATAGTAATGTGGTCATATCATTTTAAAGAGCCTTTATCTTTTACAGATTCCTAAAGAAATATTTGCAGATGAATAAGATGACGTCTAGGATTTGTCTCAAAATAACTGAGGGTAAAGTGGATAGGGGTATAAATGAAACAGAATTGACCATAAATTTATAATTGTGAATCTGGATTGTAATGTACATGAAGGTTCATTATACTATTCTCTACACTTTTATAACAAGAAGTTTAAGAAAAAATAATTCTAGAAGAATTAAAGGTTTAAATATAAACAACCCCATAAAATATTAGAAAAATGTTGGTAAACATATGTGTATATCTAATGCATTGTCATATAGACAGAACCCATCTGAAAATAATTAACATATTTGACTAAAGTGGAAATCTACCTATAGTTATACACATAGATCAATAAAACAAATATGTATAGATTCAAAAATATTTAATAACAAGGGAAGTTGATTGTAATATGTTAAATTATAAACAGATTATAGAACTAATAGAGCATAATTCAAAATTTTACATATTTATGTTTGTTCATTTTACTAAGAGCTGGACCACTGCAACTAAACAACTCACAGCCTATGCCTTAGATGGAGACAGATAATAATAAACAATTCATTACATCTGCAGTGCTTATGAAATATGAATGAGAAGCATAGAAAGTTATCTAACAGGAAACCAGATCCAATTGGGTTAGGGAGGGGGGATAAGGAAGAATGACTTGATTGTTTTAGCTGACAACTCTAAGGAGTGACTGGGAGTTAACTAAAAGAAAAATGAAGTAAAACTTAGATAAGAGTATATTTTTCTCATTCATGGGATGGCAGGAAATTTTTATTTTATTCAATATGCTTTTCCATAATTTCAAGCAGAATATTGAATTACTTTTATCATTGAAAAAGTGGATGGTATAATTTTATACCATCCACTTTTTCAATGATAAAATATGAACTGGAAATTAATTTTTTTCTTATTATAGCTTCTTTCTCAATAACACAAACATATTTTGTTTGAAAATCCTTCAAACCTCAAATTAAAAGGTAATTATTTCTTAGGAGTTTATCTGGTAAGGTGCTGGTTTTATTAATAAATTGTAAAGTAAAACAAGATTTTTGATGAAATTATAAACATTATTTTTTATTTATCAAAACCTGGCAAAATGACTAAACATTATGCATATTGAAAGGAGGTGAGGGTAGTTGGCATGGGCACAATTCACAATGAATATAAGTGGGTATTTCTAAGTTGCAAGCAAGAAGATTAGAAATATAATGCAGAGTGACAGAGACAAAAAAGTGAATGGGAGGAAAGTAGAGAAGAGGGAAGGGGAGGGTGGAGGAAGGGAGGAAAGAAGGGAATAGGTATGTTGGTCCACAAGTTGTAGGCTCACATACGCCTGGTCATACATAGTGCCGAAATGTACAAATTGCCAATGCTGCAAAATAATGGAACATTTAAAACCTTTCTACTTTATTTATTTGTTTTTTCTAACACTGCTCTTGTTCATCAACATAGGAAGAAAACCAATAAGCACTTGGGTTTGCCAGCATAACTCAAGGCACATGGAGTTTTTAAGCTTACAAATTCTTCTAAGAAATATAATTTTCTCATCATAATCTCCTAAACAAGAAGTGGGAAATATTTCATTTGCAAAGAATCTTCTTTTGTTTTTGATGCAAAGGAAAATCTAACAATAATTCTTTTTTTCATTTTTCTTTTAGAAATTAAGAACATTTACATTTTCTGTCACTTTAACCTAATAGGGTGAGATTTATGCCAATATTGGGCATCACCAAGGACCATATTTCTGTACCTGCTATCATGGAAGGCTTAATGAGTAGGATGATAGAAAAGAAAAGGCAGGATTTCAGAATTAGACTAGTGTGGCGGTTTCTAATATTATGGAAAGTTACTTAGTCTTCCAGAGCTTTCATTTTCACCTGTAAAATCAGCTATGTCAAAGTCATATGGTACATGTATATAAAGTTTCAGTTTCGGGTATACAATAGATAAACCAATAAAAGAAAACCAGTTAATGTAGTGATGAACTCTTAGGTAAATATAAAAATTTTTAAACCAAACTTACTTTTGCTGTTTATTTCATCATCCTGCTTTTTGGTTAAAACTCTAGAAATGGCAAGATTTTTTCTGTCTTTAAAGTTCTTATCTTTGTATTCTAAGGAGATTTTCACACTACCGTCTTTCATATGTTTTGATTTAAGATGACAATATTCTATTCAGAATTGTAAAGAATAGTCTTTAAATGAAAACATAATTCTATGTGTCTGTCATATTAAATAAATAGGACCTCAAAAAATGTCACTCTACCTAAAGCCAGGAAAACCTGTGAGTCCTCATGTTTGGTAGCTAATTTTCTTGCAATGAAATACCCTATGGTTGAATTACAGGAAAGTCTGAATGGGGAAAAGCATTAATATTAACTGAAGGAGCCCAGGCTGCATTTTACTCATGAGATTTAAGCTTGAGCTGATTAAAGAGCACTTAATAAATTCACTTGGGCAAAGTTATGGCACTTGGGGGAGATTTGAAATAGGACTATAATTGTGAAAAGTTCATGGGATGCCAATTCATACCAGCGACGATAATAAAAGTGGCCAGAAGTAACAGGTCTGAGGCCATGGTTCAGATAAATTTTCCAAGGTAAAACAGCACTAAAAAGGTGATATACACAAAGACAGAATTTTCTTTCATGATTCACAGCAGCAGAAGCTTTCAAGAGACAAAGAACCTAGCAACTGAATGGATAATAGTGTGTTTGCTACTGGAAAGCAGAGGAAATAAGGGGCTGAAGATGGGAGGCTTGGAATAAAGTAGAAAGGACTGAACTGCTATCTGCTTTAATATTCACTAAGAAAAATTAAAAATTTAGACTGTGTGTGGAGACCTTAGGACTACAGAGAAAGGGATTTTTTTTCCACTTCACTTGTTGCATTATGTAGAGCAGAAGAGCCTTCTGCTTAAATGGTTTGCTGCACATTCATCTATTTTGGGGCAGAATGTGAACATTCTAAGTTGGATAAATCTATCCTGTCTCAATGGCGTGTCTGATGTAATATTTATAACCCATTACATTAAAAGCAACTTCTGTATCCTTTATCCACAATTTGCAGGTGTTAGGCATCCTTAAACCAAAGGTCACTTGACTCTTATTAGAGCAGTTCTCTATATTTATGAATCACCTGGAAATCTGTTAAAAAGGAAGGTTCCTATTTCCCAACCTCCAGGAATTTTGATTGAGTAACTCCAAGGTTGGGCATAGTTAAGAAATACCCAACCTGAAGTGACTCCAAAACCAGACGGTCCACAGACTGAGGCCAAACCCTAGAGAACAGCAGACTCTTTGCTCATCCATTTTTTAAAGAGAAAAATTAAAAGTTCATTTGGATCCTAATTGTTCAACTTTTATTTTACCCCATAATTCTGCAATTAAATAATAAATTAAAAATAATCAATAATGGATGTTCAAATCAATGGGTAAAAGTGTGATAAGGAAGAGTTTATTTTCATAATCTCAAATCATCTCTGTAGGAAATATAATAATAATTAATAATTTATAAGTGAGAAATAATTTTAATTGACTTTACAGTGAAGAATCTGGCAGACACCACTTTTAAACTTCTAAAATTTAACATTAACATTAATGAGACAAATAACATCATATTAAATAGCATCTCAAGTCTGATATTTCTGCCAAAATTGCATAATGTGAATTGAATCATCAGGAAATATTTAACAAATAGGTAATAAAATTAACCGGCCTCCACACTTCAAAAATATTAAGTCATGAAAGACAAGGATAGATTGATAAATTGTTCTAGACTGAAGAGACTGAAGGAGGCTAAGAAGACTTGACAACTAAATCCTATGCATGATCCCAGATTGAATGTTGTACCAGAAAGGAAAGAGATAAAAAAGGAGGTTTTGTTTGATTGACTGATTTTTTTGTTTGCTTTGTTCAATAAATGACTGCATTAGGATAGTAGAAAAAATGCGAATGGAGTTTTAGGGTAAGGTGGTTGTATTTTACCAATGTTAATTTTCTGATTTTTATGGATATACTATGGTAACGTAGGAGAGTATCTTTTAGAAAAATATACACTGAGCAATTTAAGGATAATGAGATATCATATCAAAAAACATTTTCAAATGGTACAAAAATATAGAAAAAGCTAGACAGACAGACTGATAGAGACACAGAGAGAATGTAAAGGAAATGCGGTCAAATATTAACACAGTGGAACCTGAGTAGACGGTATGCAGGTGTTATACTGTTGTACAACTTTTCCATGACTCTGAAATTACTTCAAAATAAAAAGTAGAGAGAGAATGAGAGAGAGAGAAAGCAATTTCAAATTCATCATTATAAAACGGCAACATGACTCCCTAGTGGAAGCAACAGCACCAGGTTTTATATTTATTTAACCTTATGAAACATAAAAGAGATACATCTAGTAAATATACGTATAAAGTCACAAACATTGAAAGTCAAAGATATTATCTGGCAAATACTAAGCAAAACAAACAAGCATAGGTATGTTAATGACAAAGAAAGCATTAAATAAAAAGCATTGTAATAAGTAAGGGGAGTTATAATAGAATGATTGATTCCTCAGTTCTAAATATATATATGCACCTAATTCCATAGCATAAAAATATAAGACATAAAGCAAAAACTGCATAACCCCAGGTAGAAACAGGTAAGTTCACACTGAAAGAGATTTTAACATATCACTCTGAAACCAATAGGTCAAGCAAACAGGAGTCAGTAAGTACATGGAAATTTGTACAACACTGGCAAGTTTGATGTATGAAGTTACATGAAATACTGTACTCCATGCCTGTAGAATACACATCATTGTGAAGCACATATGGAACATTTATAAAAATTTCCTTAATATTATGATACCATACATATAACAAGTTTCATTACATTTTAAAGGACTGGTATCATCCAGACCACAGTCTCTGACCAAATTGCAACTAAACAAAAAATCAATAACTATATGATAACTAGATAAATTATATATACTTGGAATCCCCTTTATGTGAGAATTCCCGATCTAGTTTACCACTGTCCCCATTAATCCCTATTGAGCCAGAACTGAAGGCAGAATGAAGTGGCTATTCATCATTATACCACTAGTTCTGTTGGTTTCTTAGAGTAAACAGTCTTTCTTGATACCCATTTCACTATCTAAAATGGGGTGAAGAGGGACAAACCAAGGGGAATATGTGTTTTTAAAAAATGTGAATATAATATGTTCATTATGCAAAGAAGGTATCAGAAGAATATGACTAATGCACCATTATGAGATGACCCAAGGTAAGAACTATTATCAATATACAGAAATGATGAGTGATGAAAAATAAGTCAACTTTAAAGGACTGAAATTTCTAAACATTTTTGGTGGATAAAATAAGCAATGCTATCATGCAACGTCATTATGTATTAAGTGAATGTTTCCTGGGACTTCAAAACCTTTTTCAGGTGGTAAGCTTATTTTTATAAACTGTCTACAAAATGCATTAGAAAGTATGTGCATCAAACAGAAATAATCAATTGCAAAAATATGTCTAGCCAGAAATGCTGTAGTTCAATGTATTGTAGACTTAGCTAAGAACTTACAGGACACAATGCATGAAAAAGTTAAATCTTTTGTGGCATATTCTATGGCAGCTGATGAAAGCACAGATATAAATAATACCACCCAATTAGCTATATTTATTCATGATGTCGAAGAGAATTTTGATGTGACCGAAGGACTTTTGGGCAGGATGCCCATGCTAGAAATAACATCAGGAAATGACTTGCTTTTGTGTGTTAGGAAAATGTCCATGTTGGACTACTCAAAATTAGTAGTCAAGACTACAGCCAGTGATTCTGTAATGGTCAGTGATATACAAGTTTAATTCAAGGTAACAACATGTTCCTAGGTTACAGAACATAAGCCTGACCAATGCATCACTCACCAGGGAGATCTTAAAAGTTAAAAATGAAACTCATCGTCAAGGTAGCCATTACCATATGGACTGTCTGAATCACAGGCAATACGGTGATTGGCTTGATGAATTAGAGGCTGCACTACTTGAAAACAGCTGGCTTAGTGGTGACATGAGGCTAAAGAGAAGTTTTTAACTATTCAAAGAAACTTGCCTGTGTTACTCAAGGAAAACTTCCAGCCTCTGTTCCCCAGTCAAAACTGGATCAGACTTGATCTTCTTGGTTGATACTACAGCCAATCTAAATCCTAAATATTTCTTTGTATCAGTGTTCAAATATACTTTCCACAAAATGTATGACTCTATTCACATATCTGCAGAAAAATTGTGGCTTTGGGAAGATCTTAGCTAAGGTATAATAATTATAACTAGCCCACCTTTCTGCCCTAAAATTGGTTTTCAGAAATGAAAGTACAGCCTCAACTACATTCTCAAAATTGTACAGTTAAGAACTGACTTTCAAAATATATTACCTGACTCTACATTTTATAAAAATTACCTAATATTTTGCGTGAGCTTTCCTCTGCGAATGAAGAAGCAAGTGAGAGATAATGAGCTGGAGCACAACAAAACTGAAAAACAAATATGATGATATTAAAAAATCAGAAGTCTACAAGTGTATCAGATAAAGTTGTGCTAAATGCAAAAACAACCATGCCAAAATACTATCCATATTCAGAATTCCCTATTTTCGTTGTTTTTAAATTATGAAAATGAATAAAACTGAACATTGCCCCATTTAAAAATATCACAGTTGAATGTTTTTTGTATATTGAAATTCAAAATGCAAAACTTAGTCACATTTTTGTTCATTAAAACAACACTGTAAGGGTGGTTCCAAGTCAACAAAAATAAAAATTATGAAATATAATACATGAGTATAATGTTCTATTTGCAATTTTTATTTTGGAATTTAAGAAAAATTATCTCAATTTTATATGTGTCTATGTTATGTGTTTTCATCTTGCATCATTTATGTTACCTATACGACTCCTTTAACCATACCAGTAGTCTCAGTCACTTTTTTTACCTCCTCATCTACATTTTCAACTACCTATTAGACATCACTATTTTTAGATGTCTATGGCATATCAAACTCAACATCTCTAAAACTGAACTTAGAAGACTTGCCTCAGTAATTCAAGTTCCTTAGATAGCACCTTTAACCAGACATTACATTCAAACTGATTCCAAATCTGCATTTCAACTAGAATATACTTCCTTCTCTATCACTCAGTGCAGCTAACTTTCTTGACAATGGCTTGCACATCTATGTTCTCTTTTCTGTTCACATTGCCTTTGTTTAGTTACCAGACATTCTCAGATTAGGTTTTTGCAATGTCTTCTTTGAAAGACTTCCTGCCTTTAAATTCTCCAATCTCATTCCGTCCTGTACACTATTCCACAGTAAATTGTCTTCAGTGTACTGATGATCAGGTCCCTACTCTGCTCACACACTGATATTGACCTTGCACTGTTTTTGACCACCTACAGTATAAAGGTTGTGCTTCATCCCTACCAGAGTCACTGTGGTCAGCTCCCACCTAGTTCTCATGGTGCTGATGCCCACAGCTCCTCACCTTGCATATTTTTAAGTAGCTAGCTCATCACATGATGCATTGCAATGGTATTGTACCTTTTTCTCAAATTCTTATCTTAGCTCATGACTGGAATGCTCTTGGGCTCCATTTCTACGTGTCAAAATATTAGCCTCCTCTGAGATTCATCTCAAAATGCCTCATCTATGAAGTCTACATTGACCCACCCACTGAAATAGTTATCTATCTCTTAGGTAATCCTATTATCACTTATCCATCAATTTAGCAATTACTACTCACTGTGTTATAATAACTTGTATCAATTTCCTCTTGTCCCTACCAGACCAAAAATTTATTATAAACAAAAATTGTTTCTGACTTAACTTTGAGTCTCAGTGACTCTCTCTTCAAAATTTTTCAGTGAATTTGCTGAATTGAGGTTGGATGTTAAAGTAGGAGGAAATGGACCTTTAAATGATCAATAGAGGCAGTTTTTGGTCAATAAACTGAAATAATTTCCAAAATTCTACTGGTATTTTCGGCATGTGAATAAAGAGGACATTTGCCATTATTTGGCTACTCTGCACCTTCCCCCTTCCTACCAGCACTTTGATTGTTCAGAGGAATCACTGAGCCTCCCATTATATGTAGTCTTCATAGGTGGGTAATTCAAGATTTTGGTTTCTCTGCTCCTCCTAGCAGTATCTGAGCAAGGGCAAATGGCCTAATGTTAGGCTATTGGATGCTTACTCCTGGTGCTTAAATCTTGATTCAGTGATGAAAGAATGGAGAGGACTGGAAGTTATTCATTGTGTGGTTGTAGCAGAAGCAATGAAACAATGGTGATAATACTGGCATCCTGGCAAGAGTGCTCAGCCCCAAGGCCATTGCTATGCCCCCACTACCTTTCCTGGTTCTCCAGATTCTCCTAGGTTCATGCCTCCTTTTTCAAGTACCCAGGACCTCTGTAAACCTGCTAATATCCTTCCAATAAATTTATTTGTTCTTATTACCTAGGGTTGGTGTTTATAGCTTACACTAAGAATCTTTCCTAATACACCATATATATTCTGACTCTTACAAGAATATATGCTGCCTTCCAAATAATAACTATTATGTTAAAGTTTCCAGGCTGTAGTTTGCAAAGGGAGGAACCAATGATGTCATGATTCCATGCACATCACAGCTATTCACTAATTCTTTTTTATCATATTCTGAGTACCCATTAAAGAAGCTTTATAGAAAGTTATCAGTAACAGCCAAGAAAATGAAGATGATTTCAAATAAAATATCTCCATTTCTTAATTATTTTATAGACATAATTATTCCTTACAAAGTAAGTACAGACTGCTGCTAATTCTATCTGGTGACCTAGAACAGTAAAGACATGTAAGAGCACTATCTTTCCTTGATAGTTCCCTTTTCCCTCTGCCAATGACAACAAGGAGGAAGTGAAAGCAGAGCATGTAGGATTTTTAGGGCAGTGAAACTAATTTTTATGATACTATAAAGGTGCATACACCATTATATATTTGTCCAAACGCACAGAATGTACAACACCAAGAGTGGACCCTAATGTAAACTGTGGACTTTTGGTGACAACAATGTGTCAATGTAGGTTCATCAGTTGCAATAAATGTACCACTCAGGTAGGGGATGTTGACAATGGGGGAGGCTGTGCATGTTGGAGGGCAGGAGAAATATGGGAAGCGAAATCTCTGTATCTGCTGCTCAGTTATGCTGTAAACAACTGCTCTAAAACATAAACCTTATTTAAAAATACAAAAGAAGTGAAGCAAGTACTCTCTGAGACAGAACTCCTTGAGTTTCCCTTTGAAATTCTTATTTCTTTCTCCTCCTTTTCACACACCTTGTCATGCTGTAATGTCACCTCCTGAATGGAAGTTGAAAACTGCTAGGATATTAAAGTGAATCTGCAAGATCCAGGTGAGCTTAAAATTTCACTTTTTTAACCTATTTTTATTTCCGACTCAGGAATATTATAATATTTGACTCATTTGGAGATTTTTCATACCTCTTTTGGCAGGAAAAAAACTGATTTAAAAAAAGAGATTTTATGAACTGAACCTCACAGTTGTAAAACATGTTTGACAGACTCTTAATAATTTGGTTTCTTATCAGTTCCTTTTAAATATTGTTTTTTCTCACAATTGAAATGAAAATTTTCATAAGACATGATTTGTTTCTTAGCACTTTGATATAGAGTCTAACAACTTTTTGCCAAAGTGTGACAAAACATGGGGACTGAGTACTCGTAAGTAATCAGTATATGGCTGACTGATTAACTGATCATCTTGTCATCTTGATTATGATATGAAAGTCTTGCATGTCTGGCTTGAGGGAAGCCATATATGGGACCTGAATACTTCCTCAGAATGGTGATGAAATGAGAGTATACCTATATTCTTGCATATTTTAACCAAGTTATTTTCATGCCGTTTGTTATACCTAAAACAGGGAACCGTAACCATTAGTCCATGGGCTAAAACTAGCCTGCCACCTGGTTTTATAAATAAAGTTTTATTAGAACACAGTGACACTCCTTCATTTAGATATTGTCTTATGGCTGCTTTCACACTAAAATGGCAGGGTTAAGTAGTTGCAACAGGGACCATGTGACCCACAGAGCTGAAAATATTTTTCATCCAGCTCTTTACAGAAAATTCTTGTTATACCCTGGCCTAGAGTATAGTCCCCCCATCAAGAATAGCACGTGGAAAACCTAGATTAGCACAATGCTTCCTGACAATTCATATAGAAGACCATTATTTCACCCAAAAAAAACCATGAATCAGGTTTCAGTGAAGTGTCACAGCCTGTGCTAGTCACTGAGTCCACACGGTAAAAAAACAAAACAAAACAAGAACTTGATTCTTACCCTCATGGAGCTTATGGTCGAGGGTGGAATCACTGATATGGAGGCAGTGGTCAGCAAGAAGCTCTTCAGAGCACAACGGCGTTCTAAGGAAACATCTACAGGCAGCTTGTTCCTTCTAATGAAAATATTGGTCTGCAGTTAAGTCCTGCCATGCTGTCCTGAAGGTGAAAGGGGAGAGAAGGGTGGGACAACACAGCCAGCACCAATTCTCCTTTCCTCTGAATTAAGTTAGTGGGTTGGTGGCAGGTAGGAGACACAAGTAAAGTATTTTGTTCGAGAATGGCAGAGTTTAAATTCAGGCACTAGCAGGAAGGTAGTTTTTCTAAAGTATTTCCATGGCTGCTTTCAGTAAAGTCCTCATTAGCCTTGATGTGGATTTCTTCTGATGATGCCCTTTACCCTGACTTGGAGAGACTGCAGCTTTTAAAGAGGCAGTTCAGTCCCCACTGTGGCTCAGTCCTTGGCCTAATTTAGGTAGTACAATAATTCTCCCCAACTGTGAAGATGATGAGATAGTTTTTCTGTGATTTCTTGTTTGAGAATTGGTGACCAAAACTTACAAGAAAACCACCCAGCCTGGGAGTCTTTTGGACTCTGCTGCAGCTAAGCTGGTGTCTTGTTGATATTACAGGCTCATAAGGGGGCTAATCCAGAAGCTAAACACTCCTGCTGCCCCCATACCTACCTGTTTTGAAAAATTACAGAGTTTAGAATTTGAAAGGTCTGATAAATAGTCTGACTTAACCCTAATACTTGTTAAAAAAAAAAAAAAAAGAAAAAATGAGACCCTAAAATGCTCAATAGTTTACATTTGACAAATGTCATTTAAGGGATGTAGAAATGGAATTTCAATGCAATGTGATTTATTAATGAGTGAAACTTGTTTAAAAGTTGAGGACATGAAGTATACTATTTTTTTTTTTTTTTTTTTTTTGAGACGGAGTCTCACTCTGTCACCCAGGCTGGAGTGCAGTGGCGCAATCTCGGCTCACTGCAAGCTCTGCCTCCCGGGTTCACGCCATTCTCCTGCCTCAGCCTCCCGAGTAGCTGGGACTACAGGCACCTGCCACCACGCCCGGCTAATTTTGTTTTTGTATTTTTAATAGAGACAGGGTTTCACCATGTTAGCCAGGATGGTCTCGATCTCCTGACTTCGTGATCCGCCCGCCTCGGCCTCCCAAAGTGCTGGGATTACAGGCGTGAGCCACCGCGCCCGGCCTGAAGTATACTATTTTAAGATATATGGAAGAGTACCTCCTGAGGTGTGTATATTCTTTCATGAACTTGATGCCACGTGGATCATGGCATTACAAACCACCTCAGAAATATCATTTTTACTCAGACAGAAAGCTCTTTACCCATGGCCCTAGCCACCTGTCTGGGCTATCTCATTGAGAGTACACACTTGGAAAATTTTAACACTGAATATTATTACTGAAGAAATACTGAAAATATCCATCCTGATGTCAGATCTATACTGCAACCTTAACAACAGGATATTTGAGACTAAGCCATCCAAAGAATCATCTGTGCCCTTGAACATTAAGTATGCCTTTTACAAAGTAATGTAATGAGAATAGTGTATAGTCATTGGTACTTTTGTCCACCAAGAAATATTACTTTTGTGTATTCATGTCCTTAGCCCACTTTTTGATGGGATTGTTTGTATTTTTTTCTTGCTAATTTGTTTGACTTCATTGTAGATTCTGGATATTAGTCCTTAATCAGATGCATAGATTGTGAAGATTTTCTCCCACTCCTGGATTGTCTGTTTACTCTGCTGACTGTCCTTTTGCCATGCAAAAGCTCTTTAGTTTAATTAAGTCCCACCTATTTGCCTTTGTTTTTATTGCATTTGCTTTTGGGTTCTTGGTCATGGAATTCTATGGCATTCACAGCAACCTGGATGGGATTGGAGACTATTATTCAAAGTGAAGTAACTCAGAAATGGGAAACCAACATCATGTGTTCTCATTCATAAGTGGGAGCTAAGCTATGAGGATGCAAAGGCATAAGAATGACACAATGGACTTTGAGGACTCAGGGGAAAATGGAGGGAAAGGGGTGTGGAATAAGATACTAAAAATTTGGTTCAGTGTATACTGCTCAGGTGATAGCTGCACTAAAATCTCACAAATCACCACTAAAGAACTTACTCATGGCTGGGTGTGGTGGCTCACGCCTGTAATTCCAGTACTTTGGGAGGACAAGGCAGGCAGATCACCTGAGGTCGGGAGTTCGAGATCAGCCTGACTAATATGGAGAAACCCTGTCTCTGCTAAAAATACAGTAAATTAGCTGGGTGTGGTGGTGCATGCCTGTAATCCCAGCTACTCAGGAGGCTGAGGTAGGAGAATCACTTAAACCTGGAAGGCAGAGGTTGCAGTGAATGGAGATCACACTATTGCACTCCAGCTTGGACAACAAGAGCAAAACTCCAACTCAAAAAGAAAAAGAACTTACTCGTGTAACCAAATACTGCCTGTTTCCCAAAAACCTATGGAAATAAAAAAACTTTCTTAGTTATTTGAAGATTATGTGTATCTGTCAGTTTTGAATGGTGGAGAAAAGACTTTATGGCTATGCCTCTTTGCAGAGGGATATGAGCAGCAGACAACAGTCCCTTCAGCCTATAAGCATGTAAAATAAAAAACAAGTTAGTTACTTCCAAGATACAATGGGGGCACAGGCATTGTGTAAAAAGTTCCTGTTACAAATGGGAGAAATTGACCAAAACAAAGGGGCCACAGACCCCATGAATATCTGAAACCCAGCCAGTCATTCATTAAATCTTAAAGCTCCAATATCTTCTTTGATTCCATGTCTCAGATCCAGGCCATGCTAATGGAAGAGGTGGGCTCCCAAGGCCTTGGGGAGCTCCACCCCTGTGGTTCTGCAGGGTACAGCCCCACAGCTGCTTTCATGGGCTGGCATTGAGTGCCTGCAGCCTTTCCGGGCACACAGTGCAAGCTGTCAGTGGATCCGAGCTCTGAAGCATGGTGGTCCTCTTCACACAGCTCCATTAGGCAGTGCCCAAGTGCGGACTCTGTGTGGGGGCTCCAACCTAACATTTCCCTTCCACATTGCCCTAACAGAGGTTCTCCATGAGGGCTCTGCCCCTGCAGCAGACTTATGCCTGGACATCCAGGCATTTCTATACATCCTCTGAAATCTAGGCAGTGGTTCCCAAACCTCAATTCTTGCCTTCCGCACACCTGCAGGCCCAACACCATGTGGAAGCTGCCAAAGCTTGAGACTTGCACACTCTGAAACAATGGCCCAAGCTTCAAGTTGGCCCCTTTTAGCTACAGCTGGAGCTAGAGCAGCTGGAACACAGGGCATCAACTCCTGAGGCTGCACAGAGCAGCAGAGCCCAGGACCTTACCCCCAAAACCATTTTTCTCTTTTAAGCCTCCAGGCCTGTGATGGGAGGGGCTGCCATGAAGGTCTCTGACATGACATGCCCTGGAGACATTTTCCCCATTATCTTGGCTATTAACATTCAGCATCTCTTAGGCAAATTTCTGCAGCCGGCTTGAATTCCTCCCCAGAAAATAGGTTTTTCTGTATTACTACATGGTCAGGCTGCAAATTTTCCAAACCTTTATGCTCTGCTTCTCATGTATACATAAATTCCGATTTCAAACCATGTCTTTGTGAATGCATATAACTGGACACTTTCAGGAAAAGCCAGGTCATCTCTTGAATGTTTTGCTGCTTACAAATTTCTTCTGCCAGATACCCTAAATTATCTCTCTCGAGTTCAATGTTCCACAGGTTTCTACTGCAGGGGCAAAATGCTGCCAGTTTCTTTGCTAAAGCATAGCAAGAGTCACCATTGCTCCAATTTTCAATAAGTTCCTCATCTTCATCTGAGACCACCTCAGCCTGGTCTTCATTGTCCATATGAATCAGGATTTTGGTCAAAACCATTCAACAAGTCTCTAGGAAGCTCCAAACTTTCCCACATCTTCCTGTCTTCTGTTAAGTCCTCCAAACTGTTTCAACCTCTGCCTCTTACCCAGTTCCAAAGTTGCTTCCACATTTTTAGGTTTTTTTTTTTTTTTTTTTTGAGACGGAGTCTCGCTCTGTCGCCCAGGCTGGAGTGCAGTGGCGGGATCTCGGCTCACTGCAAGCTCCGCCTCCCGGGTTCACGCCATTCTCCTGCCTCAGCCTCCCAAGTAGCTGGGACTACAGGCGCCCGCCACTACGCCCGGCTAATTTTTTGTATTTTTAGTAGCGACGGGGTTTCACTGTTTTAGCCGGGATGGTCTCGATCTCCTGACCTCGTGATCCGCCCGCCTCGGCCTCCCAAAGTGCTGGGATTACAGGCGTGAGCCACCGCGCCCGGCCTGGTTTTTTTTTTTTTTTTGACAGTCTTGCTGTTCCCAGGCTGGAGTGCAGTGGTGCGACCTCAGCTCACTGCAAGCTCTGCCTCCCGGGTTCACACCATTCTCCTATCTCAGCCTCCTGAGTACCTGGGACTACAGGCGCCCGCCACCACACCCAGCTAATTTTTTGTATTTTTAGTAGAGACAGGGTTTCACCATGTTAGCCAGGATGGTCTTGATCTCCTGACCTCGTGATCCGCCCACCTCGGCCTCCCAAAGTGCTGGGATTACTGGCGTGAGCTACCGCGCCCAACCTATTTTTAGGTATCTTTTATAGCAGTTCCCCACACTATCCCAGTACCAATTCTCTGTATTAGTCTGTTTTCACACTATTATAAAGATACTACCTGAGGCTGGGTAATTTATAAGCAAAAGGTGTTTAACTGACTCACAGTTCCACATGGCTAGGGATGCCTCAGAAAACTTGCAATCATGGTGGAAGACAAAGGAGAAGCAAGACGTGTCTTACATGGTGGCAGGAGAGAGGGGGAAGCACCAGACATTTATCAAACAACCAGATCTCGTGAGAACTCACTCACTATCATGAGAACAGCAAAAGGGAAATACACTCCCATGATCCAGTCACCTCCCACCAGGTCCCTCCCTTTATACGTGGCAATTCGAGATGAGTTTGGGTGTGACACAGAACTAAAGCATATCAGATAGATTGAAGGAGGAGAGTAGAGAGAAACTGAAAACGACTCCTAGGTTTAGAGCTTGAACAACTGGGTAGATGCTAGTGTCCTTCACCAAAATGGAGAAGCCTTGAGGAAAAAACAAGTTGGGTAGGAAGTGAAAGCAGGAGGGTTTTTTATTTTTAATTTGATAGCTTCATTTGTTTTGTTTGTTGGTCATTATAAATATGAAACACTAAAGAGATATCCAATGAAGATAAAAACAGTTATATGAGTTGAAATTGGAGTCAAGAGAAGAAATATAAATTAGAGCACTGTCAACATCATAAAAATTATACTTAATGCTATGAGATTGGTGAAGTTCACCTAATTTTTTGATAAATAAAGTAAACCATAAGTTGTTTTTATGTTAGTGGCAGTAGATCTTTCATCCATATATTCTGATCCCATCTAAGGGTTTATTGAGGTAACTGGTCCATAATCATAAGACAACTTTCTGGGGTTAAAAGTGTAATTGAGGCCATATACCAGAGCAAAGGTTCTGGTGGATATTTGCATCAAACCTGTGATTTTGGCTTCATGAACATTACCCTCTAGCCAACCAACAGTGCTAAATGCAGACAAATTTCTTAAGGGAAGTATTTGTCCTTTTTAGCTTTTAAATAACCAAAACCAACGGAAGAGCAATTATCATTAAATAGGGTTTTCAAATAAGCAAAAACAAGAAAGTATTAATTTCTGAATTTATAGAGGGACCCTGTTGCTTTTAAATAGAAGTGACATAATTTTTAATAAACTACAAATGTTCCTCAAATCTTGATCACAAGATCTAGACGTACTTTACTCTATTTTAATTCTTTGCTTATTACTTTAAATTATAGATGACATTTCACTGAGAAAAAGCAACAGAACTGGGCCACTGCAGACTAACCTGAACTAAAATGATTTGAGACTTTATAACGGGCAAAAAAGAGACATTTTTATTAGCAAAATTGCCACATTTTAACTCTGCCTGCCCTGAATTTTATTCATGAGCCTTTGACCATTAAAGCAATGCTTGTCAATCTCTCTTCACTGATGATGTGATTCTATACAAAGAAAATCCTAAAGACTCCTTCAAAGGCTCCTGGAAGTGACAAATGATTTCAGTAAAGTTTCAGGATACAAAATCAATGTAGAAAACTCAGTAGCATTTCTATACACCAATAACATTCAAGCTGAAGGCCAAATCAAGAATGTAATCTCATTTACAGTAGCCACACCAGTAATAATAATAATAATAATAATAATAATACCACCTTGGAATATATCTAACCAAGGAGTTAAAAGGCCTCTACAAGGAGAACTACAAAACAACACTGAAAAAAATCATAGATGACATAAACAAATGGAGAAATATTCCATGCTCATGGATTGGAAGAATCAATATTATTAAAATGGCCATACTGCCAAAAGTCATCTACAGATTCAACACTATTCCTATCAAACTACCAGCATCATTGTTCACAGAATTAGAAAAAACTATTCTAAAATTCTTATGGAACCAAAAATGAGCCCAAATTGCCAAAGCCATCCTAAGCAAAAAAGAACAAAGCCAGAGGCATACATTACCCACTTAAAACTATAGCATAAAGCTACAGTAACGAAAACAGCATGGTACTGATACAACAACAGATACACAGATGAAGGGAACAGGTTAGAGAACCCGGAAATAAACTGCACTTCTACAACCATCTGATCTTTGACAAAGTCAACAAAAATAAGCAATGGGGAAAAGACTTCCTATTCAATACATGGTGCTGGGATAGCTGGCTAGCCATATGCAGAAATATGAAAGTGGACTCCTACCTTTCACCATATACAAAAATTAATTCAAGATGGATTAAAGATTTAAATGTAAGAACTCAAACTTTAAGAATCCTAGAAGAAAACCTAGGAAACACCATTCTGGACATTGGCCTTGGAAAAGAATTTATGACTAAGTCCTCAAAAGCAATTGCAACAAAAACAAAAATTAACAAGTGAGACCTAATTAAGTGAAACAGCTTCTGCACAGCAAAAGAAACTATCAACAGACAACCTACAGAATAAGAGAAAATATTCATAACCTATGCATCTGACAATAGACTAATATCCAAGATCTATGAAGAACCCAAACTAACAAGCAAAAATCAAATAACCCCCTTAAAAAAGGAATTAAAGACATGAACAGATACATCTCAAAAGAAGACATACAAACAGCCAACAAACATGAGAAACAAGCATGAAAAACAAACATGAAGAAAGGTCATCATCACTAATCATCAGAAAAATGCAAATCAAAACCACAATGAGATATTATCTCATAACAGTCAGAATGGCTACTATTCTGACTAAATCTAAAATAAAGTTGAAATTATAAGAAATAAAATACAATAATTTCTGTGTCTCAAAGAAAAACTGAGCTTTATAGATTAGTGCTGAGATTTGAAAGGACGTATATGTAGTAGTTGTCTTCTACTCCCAAATTTATAACCAACTGGGAGATAGAAACGGAAATCAGTAAATAACAGGTATATTGCTTTAAAAATTCCACCGCACTTAAATGGCGGCAAGGGAAATGGTAGAGCTCCTTACAATGATAAGGAAAATAGTGTGTACAGAGGGAGGGTGTAATCAAACCAAAATGCAATCAAGTATGTACTGAAAAGTTCAAAATTGTATTTAAGATTAAAGGCTGTGATGTAAGGTTAGAAATGTAATATGTTTAGAAACATAAAAATTAATATAGTCACCATATTTTGCCAACAAGACTGTGCACTCTGTACTTCAGAGAGTATAATTCACATAGAATAGGATGTGGGTGACAAACATAAATGAGTATTGGTGTGGATATTTCTAAAGAATATCCTGAAGACATGACACCTCAAGAGAGTGGTGCCTAACTCTTTCTAGAGAGGTTAAATAAATCTTCATAGAGGATGTCGAATTTGTGCTGATTTTTGAAAAATGAATGGATGTTTTCTAGAGTAAAAAGACAAAAGGGTTAACAGCTTTCAGAAAAAAGCCATGAAATGAACAAAGTGGTACAGAAATGAGAGAACATGAGGTTCATAGTCAGTAAACCATAAATTTTGCAAAGTCTCCAGAGTAGTTTGGAAAAGATGGGACAGAGGTTTAAAAAAAAATGAAAAGCTGAATAGTTAAGATCTGTTTTACAGGGTACCTTGTG
This sequence comes from Homo sapiens, assembly GCF_000001405.40. Classification (NCBI taxonomy): domain Eukaryota; kingdom Metazoa; phylum Chordata; class Mammalia; order Primates; family Hominidae; genus Homo; species Homo sapiens. Next base: position 75,936,942 of record NC_000002.12, on the reverse strand, counting down.
AGTGATATGCTAATGGTAAAAAAATGTATCCCACATGAAAGGGGAAAATGATGAAATTATTTTAACCAATACGTAAACTGAAGGATGCCACAAGCAGGATATGCTGGTTTAAGTTAACCTATGAAACAAGGAAGAAAAGGCTTCCGTTATTGAACGTTTAAGCCTATCTTGTGTCTAAGCCTGCAACCTACATAATCCTAAAAGAACAAAGATCACAGAGTGAATGGAGTCTTTAAGGTCATCAAGCTCAATACTAACCCAACCCCATGTTGCAACCTCGTGTACAGCACACTTGCACCGACATATATACACAAAGGAAAAAAAATCAACATTCATCCTTTAGAGTTAATTAAGGTTTTGGGGCTTTTTTTCACATAATTTTTACTTTTCTTATCATGTAGACATAATTGGACATATGGGAAAGACAGTTGCTAGGCATAAATATGTGAGGGAGGTGAGAATTTTCTCCCAACCCACCTGGTCTGTGCAGGCTTCCTGCATGAGATAGAAAGAAGATTTATGAATGAGGGCAGAAAGGTGGCGTGGAAGATAGGAGGATGGAAATAGTCTTAGGTTTATCACACGCTAAAGAAAAAAATGGAATAAAAATGCCTTACTTTAACACCTTAATATTTTCCAAGGTGATTGGCCTATATAATTTTATTTGACCCTCACGTTCACTTCATATAGGCCTCTTTCCTCATTTATTATTTAATTCATTCATTAATGAATATTTATAGAGTGACTAGTATATGCCCAGAAATGAACCAGGCACCAAGGAAGAAACAATAACAAGACAAACATGTTTCTGCCACAGGAAGCTTAGATACTAGAGGGGAAATAATACGGAAGATAGGTTAAGGGGCCAATAAATCACTATAGCACAACCGTTTTGGCCGAGTGCAGTGGCTCATGACTGTAATCCCAGCACTTTGGGAGGCTGAGGCGGGCGGATCACCTGAGGCCAGGAGTTCGAGACCAGCCTGACCAATATGATGAAACCCCATCTCTACTAAAAATACAAAAATTAGCCAAGCCTGGTGGCATGCACTTGTAATCCCAGCTACTTGGGTGGCTGAGACAGGAGAATCGCTGGAACCCGGGAGGCAGAAGTTGCAGTGAGCCGAGATTGCGCCACTGCACTCTGGCCTGAGCAGCAAGAGCAAAACTCCATCTCAAAAAAAAAAAAAAGTTTTATCATTTTTCCATGAGGAAAAATAAATTGCTAAGACAGACAATAATGGAATTGGGATGAAAAGTACATTTTATTTCAGATATGGCAGCTAGAAACACCCTTCTGAGGAGATTTGCTTAAGCTGAAATCCAAAGGAAAAGGAAAAATGATTACAAAATAAGTGACAGAAGAAATTCCAAGTCAACAGAACATGACAAGGTCCTGAGGTAGGAAATAATTTAGCATGATCTAGGAAGTAAACACAGATCAGCATTCCTGGAGCATTACTGGATCTGGGAAGACAATGGTGTGACATTCAGTGGGAGAGCTAAATAGTGTTGATCCATTAATTGACCATGTTAAATAGTTTGGGTTAATCTCAGGGCAATGGAAATTCTTCAGCAAGACAGTGACATGGATTTACTGAAGGCGTACATTCATATATATGGTACCTAGGTTTTGATCTGAGCAACAGGGAAAACGATATTGCCATTTATTAAGAAGAGAAGTTACAAAGTTACAGCACTGTTGAAGATGAGAGACAAGGGTTTAGTTTTTCTGATTTACTTTTAGAGTTTAATGTTCCTGTTATATTAAGGATATCTCCAAGACATTCAAGTTGAGATGAAAAGCAGAAAGCTGACTCTGTAAACCTAAAATTTCTGCTGGTAATTTTGAATTTATCAACACAAATATGGCAGATAAATGCAAGGAAGGGGGAAAATCACCTAGTGAGAAAATACCACTATAAGAAAAGGGACCAGGATGGAACTCCAAATCACTCCCACATCTGGAGATCAATGGGAAAAGAGGAGCTAACAAAGGAGCCTGGAAAGAATAGTCAGTGAAATGGAAAGAAAAGCATAAGGCAGAGTCATAACCAAAGCTAAGAAAGGAGAGTGAATCCACGAGAATATGGTTAACTGTTGCGAATTCTAGAAAAGATGGAGCAAAGTGAGGAAAGAAACATGTCTGTTGAATTTAGCAATTAAAAAAAAAAATTAGAATGATCCCATAGAGAAAAGAGAAAGAATGGACTTTAAATAAGATAAGATGGTAAAGAAAAGAAAAAAGTAATTTTATGAAGGTTTATAGGGTTTCTGGTGGGAAAATATGAGAGTTTGCTTCTTATGACTTCTACTTTCTCCATTAAGTTTGAGGCAAAGTCTCCAGTTGAATGTGAGAGTAGAAAAGAGCTTTTGGCGGTTTTAGCAGATAGATATTCCCAAATTGAGAATTGAGATGATTAGAGTGAAGCCTTAACCATGTGATTTTTCCCCAGCAATGTTTAACTTGCACAAGTGTTGACATGAAGAATATATATAGAAAGAGTAATGTTTATCCAAGGTTTGAGTTTTTCCCAAGAAATAAGAAGAAAAATAAGAAATAGAAGGAAAAGGATGCAATAGAACTATGATTAGTTGCAAGAGAATGATTCTAATAGTGGAATTTGATCTAAGCAAGGAGAAAAATGAATTCAGTAGAGTATGGATAGACAGTAGAAAATGGCTGAACTAAAGGATGAGAGATCTTGCAAACCACAAAGAGAGTAGAGGAGAGATTTAGGAGTGCAGAGTGGGGAGACAAGGGAAGGTAAAGAACAGCATAAGAATGAGGTTCAGAATGATGATGGATGACTGAAGTGGCCTGTGTCCTGGCAGTGAATGACCAAGGTAAGCACTGATGTGACACGTGGCAGAATTAGTCTAATTTCTCCATAAGGACATATTGTTAGGGGTGGAATGCTTCTTTGGTGGTGTAGCAGACAATGAACAGCAATTCCCTGATGTGTGGTGAGAGCCAACAGGGCAGGAGGGCAAATGAGGAAATCAAGTCTTAAAACAGTTCTGTGATGGTGTCAAGGTTGTGTGGCCAAGTAAATGAGAGAACCAGTACTAATTTGAACATCATCTAATCCTAATCAGCTACTCTTTCCACCATCCTAAACTTTCCTGAGAAAAATGCAGCCAGGCTTGAACATGAAAGGGAGATAAAGGAAGTAAAGTGTGCATAGGTTTTCTTAATGAGAATGGCAATATATTTAGAACCTAAAAGGGGAAGATTTTGTTCACTTTAATGTACCATTTTTTATTTTTGAAGTTTAACTGTCAACAATCCATTTTGCAAAAAGAGAAACTGAGGCATAGAACATAAAATAATGTGCAATCCATTGTTCAGCAAATTAATTTCAGAAGCAGGAATAATGATTGCTTCTTAGGCCTGTATCATAAGCGCTTACTCCCAAATAAAGTGGGCGAAATAAAAGGCAAGGAAAATTAGTTTTGCTCTCTGTACCTTGTCTGGTAATGAAATATCCAATTAAAAGAAATTATGAGCCTTTAAGGATGATTGCTCTTGCATAAAGTGAACTGAAATGGAAATTCATAACCACAATCCCATATCCATCATATGAGACTATTAATTGGAATAATTTTCATAAAAGCTTAGGTTGAACACTCTCATTAGGAAGGCATACCTTGTGAAGCAATACCCAGCTTCAAGTTTGGAAAATGTTCCAGGGCTCTCTGCCCTTTGAGCTGCAGGATTCAGAATTGCTTTAGAGATGTCATTTATAGCAGTGCTTACTGCTGTAAACAGCTGAGAGCTTGTCCAGGACTTGTTATGTAACATTTCTGGGATTTTGCCTCATAAATAGAAAACTTGTTAAAGCCTTCAAGAAAGGAAATTAGGCGATTGTGCCCTTTATTTGTGTACATGTAATTTTCTGTAGCACATATTATATATACATCATACGTATTCATATATATATTATGTCTGACACATTATTAGGGGTTAATAGATGTCCAATTTCAGTTATCTAAATTTTTGAAGTAAATTTTGAGCTTCTGACTCTCGAAGTCCTTTTATAGCATACCCACACAATATTTCTGAATCAAGGCTTACTAACTAAATGTATTCACAAATATGCCATGAAATTTCATTTGGCAGCTCTAATATTTGTCTTCAATTCAGTGAATATTTAATCTCTGCTGTTCTGTAAAATGCATAAGGAAATTCAGAGTAGGAGGGAGTCCTTAAGCTCACTGAATACAAAGTGACATTTAATTTTTTCTCTCCGTTTCCTATGTACCTTTCCACACAGAAGTATTGTTTAATACTTAATGATTTATCCGTACCATTATGTTATTCTCCAGGATTTTAATGTATTCTCATACAGGCAGTTCTGACAAAGGGATAGAGTGCAAATTTGACTCTAAGTCTGTGTATACTTGATGGGTTTTGGCTCCTGTTGAGAAATATGTTTCAGTATTTGCATACCAAAAATAAAAATGAACAGCTACACGGAAGGATGAGAAAAATTAACCACCACCTTTGGCACCAATCAGAGAATCTGATATAGCTGTAACAATAATAATAATAATAGTAGTTAATATCTCTTGAGTTCCCATTATGTTTCCGGAGTTCTTAGCTCTTATACGTATTAACTCCTTAAAAATAACCCCACACTCCCATAACGATGCAGCATCTTTAGGGTATTCTTAGGCAACCTACAAACTCTAAAATAGTTTCTGGCACCCCTTAAGCCAATAGGCAAATCATTATAGAATTTGTTAGTTCTATATACTAACATTATTATAAGAGCATGAGTTTGTATGTTGAAATTGGCACTGTGCAGGCAACATAGGGAGTAGGAAAAATTACATTTTGCTCCAGATACAATAGATTTAATTCAAGGAAATGGTCTACTAAGAAATTACGTAGCAAGCAATTTTAAAATGACCCACCGCATTTGCTGAACTGTTAATATGCAATTGAATAACAGGAGTCTCATGTAAACATCACAGAAGCTGCAATCTTGAGGGCATCACACGATAAATGTGGACTTAGGAATTGTGTGAGATGATTTCTGCTCTGGACTCTATTTATACACCTTTCTATTTTAATTACTACCAACTATACAAATAGTTGAGTCCAGTAGTCACTTCTGAGAACTAACAACCCGGCAACACGAAAAGGATAGAAGCATCCTAAAACCCCTCCCCAGCAAGAGTAATCTAGAAGAAAGTAACTAAATTCAATCCATTTGACCTAGCATAGGTAAAAGAAGAACATAGAATGCAAATCTGGAAACAAAAATAGAGTTAGAAAAATACTTTGAAATGGCTCTGAGACTGAGTGATGTTTTTCCTTATCTCTTTATAGAAAAAAAAAAAGGTTAAGTCCCAGCAAAGGCCCATGGGTGAGAGGCTCGGCGTGAGTAGAGGATCTTCATAGATGAAGGGATGAAGGAAATTGTATGAGCAAATTTTCTGAAGCCAAGTGGAACGAAATGATCCTCTGGCCATACTGGGTGAGATACAGTTCTCACAGTGGGAGCTTGTGGGTTGCCATAGAGACCTATTGCCTTGTGGAAGATGGTGATTTAACATAAGGGATTAACCACAAAGAAATGGTGCTGTCAATTACTATGAAATTGAACAACATCACATTAGAAAAGATATATGTATCCACTTTAGAGATTTGAAGTTGACTCATAAAATTTACAAAATCAAGCAGCAAAAATATTATATATCCTTACTTCTTTGTAGAACACTCACTCTCCTTATGATTGCTTTAGGATTACCACTGAGTACCCCTCCCCAACCCAGCTTAGGAAGGAATGTGTCTCTGGACCTGAGGGAAGAAGAAAACTATAAAAAATTGTATACTACCCATGTAAAAAGCAGGCAAAGTAAAAGCTAAATTTTCAGAGAATTGCTAATATCAGGGACTCTGCAAATATAAAATTTTCTCTAAATATTCATATAATTTTTGTCTTTAAATTGGGGTTAGAATATCGAGGATGAAGATTCTGTCCTTTGAAAAGAAGACTACAAATGAAATTTTATGATTGTGTTTAGCCAAATACAAAGATATGTGTTTAGGAGTTACTTCGATGGCTTATTTGCTTACAAATTTAGATGTCTGGGGGAGGGATAGCATTAGGAGAAATACCTAATGTAAATGCCAAGTTGATGGGTGCAGCAAACCAACATGGCACAAGTATACCTATGTAACAAACATGCACATTGTACACATGTATCTTAGAACTTTAAGTATAATAAAAAACAAAAGAAACAACGACAACAAAACAAATTTAGATGTCTCCTTCAATAATAGAAGCAGTGATTGGGTAAAACAAGTAATGCCTGGTAGTGTTCACAGCAAACTTTGGGGTTTGGGAGCTGGGGAGCCCTAACCAGGAATCTACATAATTTTAATTATTACAATAATATATTGCCTGTGGACAAAAAGGTTAAAGAAAACTGAGAATTTGTTAAAAAAAAAAAAAAAAAAAAAAAAAAAAAAAAATTCCAGAAATTTTTATTCTGTATCTACACTGGTATCGGCATTAATGTCTTAAATATATGTATTCCTACAACACACACACAAACATATACAAACATAAATATATACACACACTAATATACACACATGCAGTGTTAGATGTACTGTTTTCTATGTGCTTTCAAATACCATATGTTTTACTAAAGATCTAGCTAAAAAAGAAAACTTGGTGACTGAATATAAATTGCTATTAGAAGTTCAATATTCAGGAAAACACAGGTTTCTGGCTAGTAATCAGATATGCGAACAAATGACACAGGCACAAGGACTTTGGAAGATGATGACAACCAACTATCTTCCTTTGCCAACTTGGTTTATCAAATATTTTCAGATGTCTTTTTAAAATATTTTTTACATCTCTGAATTCACACTTGCTAAAATGTGAATTTTTTCTTTTTTCTTCCAAAGTTTCCTAGCCTTATTCCAGTAAGTCTAGTGAACCTGAGGGACCAGCTCTGTCCAAGAGTTTATTCTGTTTTTGTATTGCTGCCTCATCAGGTTGGTATTATACCAGTGAATCCCACAGAGTCTGATAACTTCAATGTCCTCTTGATGCAATGTCTGAGGCATGCCTCCAACTCTGGTCTAGGAGCCAAAGAGAGAAAGAAGAGGTCATCCCCACTGCACCCGCTTCTACAGTTAGCCCACATTGTGATGCTTGGTTTCCCAATGCAACTGAACCTGCCTCTTCAATATACCCATCATGGCAGATTAAAATGGCTACAACTTGTTTGCTACTTCTCTCATAGAGGCACAGTCAAATTCTCCCCTTTCTTTTTTTTTTTTTTTTTTTTTTTTTTTTGAGACGGAGTCTCGCTCGGTCGCCCAGGCTGGAGTGCAGTGGCGGGATCTCGGCTCACTGCAAGCTCCGCCTCCCGGGTTCACGCCATTCTCCTGCCTCAGCCTCCCAAGTAGCTGGGACTACAGGCGCCCGCCACTACGCAAATTCTCCCCTTTCCCCTTAACTCTGGCTGGCCTGGGTTACTTGGTTGACCAATAGAATGCTGCAAAAGTGATGTTTTGAGACTTCCAAGACAAGGTCATTAAAAGTCTAGCAGCTCCTGTTTGGGTTCTCTGGATGCTTTTGCTCTCAGAAGAGCCAATAGTTGCATAAAAGGTCCAGCCATTCTATGGCTGTCACACTGCAGGGAAGTCCAGGTAGCTACATGGAGAAGGCATATTGGAGATAGAGTGATGTCAACTATCCTAGCACAGGTGTTGGATACACGAGTGAGGATACCACCTTGGACATTCCAGTCCCATCAGTTATGAGGGAGAGAATTGGGGCCCACTCATATGGCCCTCATTGAGCTGTCTCAGCTACCTCCAGCTGTGTGAGGTAGCTTAAGCTACCTCTAGCTACCCTCATCTAATTTTGGAACAGAGACAAGCCATCTCTCTTATAAGCTGCCCAAATTTCTGATCCACAAATTAATGAGCATAATAAAATGACTTTTTTACTCCAGTGAGTTTTAAGGCTATTTTGTTATCAGGAGTAGATAACTGGAACGAATCCATATGCCCACACACAAATACACACACACATACACACACACAGACGCAGTGATTTCCCAAGGCATGCCCATGATTATCATTCAGAATATGCCTTGTTCTCCTATTAATTCTAACACACATTTCTCTCCGCAAACAATACAGTATCAGAAGACTTTTAAATGTCTATAATTTAATCTATAATTATCTTTTTGTATAAGTGCTATTTTTTCTTACCTACTCAAAAGGGAATAAACAGCCTTCTGACAAATATCAAAAGATGAGCAAAATTTCCAACTGACGTAACTCCTTCAACCACAAGAACTTGAGGGCTGAGATGGATGAGTGCTGTAGGATGGCTGGAACTTCTGCTAGCAGAGATCTAAATTGGGTGGGGGGATTGGGAATCTAAATTTTTCAAAGCCATAACTAAAGTAAATTGTCAAAGCATAAATAGGTGGTTTGAGACCTAGCTATTTCCTGGTATTTTCTCTGCGCTTAGAGGAGAGCAAAAAAATAGCAATCTACTTCTTTTGACCTGTTTGCCCGTAAGTGGGTGTTTCTTCCCTAGCCAGTCAAGGCAGCAGTTAAATACTTTCAAAAAGTCACAGGGAGGATCATGCTCCTTTAAAGCACAGTAAAACAGCATTGCATAATGGAAATTGAAGACTAATTGTTACATACTTTTTCAGTGACTGTTTAAAATTGGCTCTGCTCTATGTTGTAGCAAAAAGTATAAAACAACAGAAGAAATAATGCAATTAAATTTGGAGTTTTGAATAGTGTAACATTTAAATAATTCCTCTTTTATGCTCTTTAAGGGATTTCTTTGCTCATGTTCATTTACAAAGTAGAAAAATTTTTTATTACTAAATATATGTTCTTAGAGGAAAGCATACAGGTGCCTTAAAATCTAAGGGTTGGAATTTCAGCATAGTATGCTACCTATATGACTATATGTACATACACTGCAATGGATTTGATAAAGAAAGGCTAAATAATAGTCAGGTTGTAATTTTGGTGTTTCATTATGCTCGGCCAATATATCTGAGATTATGTCATGCTTCACTAGGAATACTTCACTGCAATTTTGGGTGACATCTAAATGTAACATGAGTGTAAACCTCGCCTATAGATATACTGGCTGAGCACACAATTTCCAGTCAAGATTGCAGCTGCACTTTGTGATCTTCTCTGAAGGACAAGGATTTCCAATCTGGGTTTTAACTAAATTTTGTGCTTTGATCCTAAGTGATGTGAGTGATAGCATTAAAAAAAATGAGTTTCTACAAACTGTGAACTTATTATGATTGGTTCAGTGCATTAAATATCTATGCATAATTTTTTTGTATTTTATTTGGTTACAGTTTCCATTTATTGTCTATAGGTAACCACCACAAACTTGTAGGGGCTTGAAACAACAATTTTATTTCGGTCACAGTTTTGTGGCTAAGGAATTCAAGAGTGACTCTTCTGGGTAGATGATGTCCAATTTATATGACATCCACTGAGGCAACTGAGGCTGGAGGATCCCCTTCCAGTCCAGCTTTTTCACTCATGTTTCTGGAGCCTTGAACTCAGCCTCAGAAATTCCAGAATAGCCTTTCCATCATGTCTTATTAATCAAGCAAATCACAAAGTTTAGCCCAGATTCAAGGGGAAGACAAGTTGATTCCACTTCTTAATAGAAGTGTATGTAGCAAAGAATTTGCAGTCATCTTTAATGTACCAGTTATATTTTATATTTACAATTTTATCTTTCAAAATATTTATGAGTGCTAAATTGAGATAAGGGTATCTTTCCCACGATCCGCTAAAAAAAAACTGAAGTCATGTGAGAAATTTATCTATGAACATTCAATGTCCAGAAACAATTCATCTATCATTGATCTGATGTGAACTGTTGTTTAACTCCAAAGAGAAACCATTTCAGGGAATCCCTTGATCTTGATTCAGGGAATCTCTGGCTGTTACCCTTTATGGCCCCTTCTGCTTACTAAAATCTTCCACAGAGGAAAACTTGTCTGTGTGTTTCTGAGTGTAGATTTTAACCTTTGCAGGATTCTTTTCTTCAAAGGACCAGAAATCTGGGAAAAGAAAGTAGTATTTAATCCCAAAACATAGGGAAAAAATTACTATGTCCAGGAATATACTAAGACTACTAAATGCAGTTTGTCTTTTAAAAGAATAAAATGAAGAATGTTGAAAGACCCTGTAATAAGATTTCCAGAGGTGAAATGGGGATGTTCAGTAACAGAACATCCAATCACAGAGGGGTGGGAGATGCCTCCTGTTAGATAAAGAAAAAAAAGTAGGATGCAAATGCAAGATTCCAATGAGAGGGCTTGGTTTGTATAAGTCTTGACCTGCCTGAAAGAAGAATGAGAGCAGGATTTTGGCAATTCCTCAAAACTCATCTTTTCCTCCAGGATATTTTCAGTGTTCCTTGTGTTTTGGGAACCTTTATGTTTCTTTAGGGAAAGGTTGAGTGTTTGGGTTTTTAGGACTGCTTGTGTTACTGTGTTTGCTGGATGCTGCATGAACACAAACACCAATTGAATCAGCCCTGAGACACTTTGCAAGGTTTATTAAAAATTAATTCATAATCTCCTGAGAGCCCACCTCTGTTCAGGATATACCCTAGGAGTCACTTATACATTAATTCTCATTGGAAACCACATTAGTCTTTCCTGAACGCAACAATAGATTGGGAAATCTAATGTGTTTATAATTTAATGGACTTTAATATAAAGAGAAATTGTCTGAAAGGTTGTAGCCAAATCAGAGTACATATTCCCAGAGAGAAGGAAGAAACACAAAATGAGAACAATGCTGATCCTAAATCCAACCCCTTAACCACTATACTGTGGTTGATAGGAAGTGAACTCACATAGAATGGAACTAACCCAAAGAAACATGAGGGTTCTGTGCCTGCACGTGTTTCTGCTAGGTTTCTATTCAGAAGTATGTGATAGAATAAGCATGCCAAATTTAAAGATGGACACTTTATCTTCTGAGAGTGTGTGAGGAAATCAATGACCATACTAGGCACCCATCTGAAAACATAATGAAAGGCAACACAAAGTAGAACATAGATCTGCTTCAACTCCGTGACTCATAGCAACCATAAATAACTACAATGACTTAGCCACATGCATGTTGGAGAAAGACACTTGTATCAGGTTTTGAAGGGATCCATGAACTTTACAACATAATAAATGAAACGATGAATTGTGATCAAATATTAAAAATTCTTTATGTGTCTTGAGAGACAGGGCATTGGAAGATTTGAGCAAATAAAGGTGGACTTAGATTTGAAGCCTCAGAATTCCTCCTTCAGAATGGATTTGCAGCAGTATGGGCTCTTCTGTTAAAATAACTTTCTGTTTGAGCTTAGAACATTTGAATATGAAAAGAAATAAGTTATCCAGTGACTCCATTCCAGATTCCAGCATACATAATGCATTTCATATATTACAAAATTGCTAATTTGGTAGTCACAAATGAAAATGGATTTGAAAGACACATTTAGTTCTTCTGGCTAAAGATAATTATGTAAGCCTCTGAGTTTAAATGTCCCTAAAGAAAGGGCATTTTTGAAAAAGAGGAATAGAAACAGAAAATAATCTGTATTATCCTTGGAAAATGGAGAAAGGCCTATACATTCCCAAGAAACTTCAGAAAATTTCTATAAAAATAAATAAACATAAAAAGGGACTAAAGTCAGAGAAGAGTCAAACCAAATTCACTTCAAAAGAAGACACCAGCTTGGAAATCATGCTCAAGTGACTTTCCATAAAGTAGTGAAAAGAGAAAATGCTTGGTGGCCTTTTCTAAGTGGTCAAACTCAATTACAATTGACCCTTGAGCAACCTAACTTTGAACTGTGTGGGTCCATTTATATGTACATTTTCTTCTGCTTCTGCCACTGCTGAGATAGCAAAAACAACCCTTCCTCTTTCTCCTCTTCCTCTGCCTACTCAATGTGAAGACAATGAAGATAAAGACTATTATCTTGATAATAATCCACTTCTGCTGAATGAATAGTAATTTTTCTCTTCCTTATGATTTTCTTAATGACATTTCCTTTTCTCTAGCTTACTATATCATAAGAATACAGGATATAACACATATAACATATAAAATATGTGTTAATTGACTATTTATGTTATTGGTAAGGCTTCCAGGCAACAGTGGGCTATTAATAGTTAAGTTTATGAAAAGTCAAAAGTTTTGCACAAATTTTTTACTGAGCGGGGAGTCAACATCCCTAACTCCCCTATTGTTCGAGGATTAGCTGTGTATCTAAATGCAATGTGGTATTATGAATTGGATCCTGGAAAAGAAAAAGGGCATCAGTAGAAATGACAATAACATTCAAACAAAGTCTGAATCATACCAATGTCAATTTTTTGGCTGTGATGAATGTACCATAGTTAGGTATAATGTTAACATTAGGGGAAGCTATGTGAAGAGTATACAAGAACTCCCTATTACTAGTCTTACAATTTTTGTAAACTTAACATTATTCAGAAATTAAAAGTATATATTGATTGGGTGCAGTGGCTCATGCCTGTAATCCCAACACCTTGGGAGGCCGAGGTGAGTGGATTGCTCGAGCCCAGGAGTTTGAGACCATCTTGGGCAACATGAGTGAAACCTCGTCTCTACAAAAAATACAAAAATTATCTCGGTGTCGTGGGTGTGTTTGTGGTCCCAGCTACTCTGGAGGCTGAGGTGGGAGGATTACCAGAGTCCAGGAAGTCAAGGTTGCAGTGAGCCATGATCACACCACTGCACTCTAGTCTGGGCAACAGAGTGAGACCCTGACTCAAAAAAAATTTTTTTTAAAGGAAAAGCATATATATTTTTAAAAACCTAAATCATATGAGCACATCTAGAAGGAGTTAGTTATAGATACCCAAAACAACATGAGGTCAGGATCCATCCTTGATACTCACTCCTGACTATAATTGTCCCAAACAGCAGAGGTAGAAAATGTAGAGGCACTGCTCATTCTGGCTCCTAAAAAGCATTTTCATTCCAGTTAGAAAATTGTGAGCACTCAACTAGCTAACTTACCTCAGAGAAGCCACAACAATCACAGAAATGTAATCACTGAACAGAGAGGTGAAGCTCTTTGTCAGGGCAGCCACCATCTATAGTCCAATCACCCTCTCCTCTCCTTCTATTCAGATAATCTGATCTAGCTAAGGATAACTGAACTACAGCTAAACATCATCTATTCTGCTTCATCTGGACTTTCAACACTCAAAGCGCAAACCATACAATCATAGATGCAACCAAACTTAAAATCAAGTACTAAACTGTGCCAGAATGAGCAAAGAAAAAATAAAATTATTAGGGATATGATAAGATTCAACAGTTCCAAAGAAAAAGACCAATTTTAATAATGACAACGTTTCTAATAAGCTCAGCTACTACAAATACAGAAGTAAATTTTGAAAAATGTTTAATTCATATTCTTATACACATTCCAAAAAAACTTTCTATTAATAGAACAAAAGCAAGAACTCATGGAGCAAGGAAAATTGGATATTGATTATTATTGCTATGAGATGAATAACATAAATGCAGAATTTAATATTTTAGGAGAGCTGGTAAGCAGAAGATTAAATATTACAGGAATTGACTTAGCAAATTAGAACATAAGTAAAAGATATTCAATAATTTGGAAGAAGTGTTGTTATGATAGTTTAGAGATTAAAGCCAGTAAGGGAGATTACCGAATATCCAGAAGAGAATATATACATATATGTGTACATACACATACATACACACACACACCCCCAAATATATATGCACACTTGTTTCTTTACATCCTTAAAAATAATAATTTTTGTTAATTTGCTCGGTAAAAAAAATATAGTTTTGATCTTTGGTAACCTATTTTCTTTCACTTATGCATTCATAAAATTTTTCAAAATATTCTTTAAATTCAATGTTTATCAAAGTATATCTTTCTTTTAGTTTGGTCATTATTTTTCTTTTATTAGAGATAAAGTTAGAAATAGAGACAGACTGAGATAGGTGAAGAGATAAAAGTAAACATACTGGAATACAAATGTATACGTGCATACATGTGTATATATATTAATATATACACACAGATTACACACACATATATATATAAATATATCTAGTGTGTATGTATCTATATATGCCTATGTAGTTATTACTTCTATTGACCTCGTATATGTTAATAAATATATGTGTGTATTTGTTTGTTTATATGTTCAGTTTCAAAAGAAGAGAATGAGAACAATAACAAAGACATATTCTGGTGTAACTTTAAATATAAAATATAAATTTTAAAATGTTATGAATATATAGAAAAAAATCAAGCAAGTCACCAGCAATTAGATATGAATTTTCACCCAGCAATTCACTTCTAGGACTTATCGTAAGAAAATAATGGAATTTGTTGCAACATTATTAGCAACATCAAAAAATTTAGAAACCAATTAAACATCCAACAATACAATATTTCTCATGCATATTATGGTCCATTCATATGACGAAATACTATGCAACCATTAAAAATGATGAAGTAACTATAGGACATAAAAATGAGTATACAACATATTTTATTGAACAGATTGCAAAACAACATAAACTGAATATTTTAATTTTATAGTATGTGTATGTATGTATTATGCATATTGTATGCACATAGAAAAAGTATTTAAAATATAGAAAAATTTTAACTATGATTATCTGAAAAGTAAGGTTAGACGTGTTTGTTTTTTCTTTATCTGTACGTTCTAATTTCACTGCAATGAATAGATGTACTTAATTAAAAATATATGTGCATTTGTCAAAAGAAAATAAAGTATCAAAATGTATCACCTGCAGAAGGACAGAATCTCTTGAATCCCGCTGTGTTTGCTTATTATATTTAAGTCCTAAGTTCCCTTACCTAAAGGATAAGAGAGAAGCTCTGGGAAAAAGTTGGGCATTTGCATGTCCTTTTCAAAGTGTAATTTTTATTTTTGACACAGGTGTATTAGGTTGCTGTCTAAGAATAAGCAAATATTTTTGTTCTTACCATTTTATCCTTTCTTTCCACTTTGGGATTTATATAAACATTTAAGAGTTACTGGGTGTTATGTGGTTTTTCTCCCCCCCTAAGCTTGACTATTCAGATTATATCCAACAGCGCATCTCAAAAAGCCTTATATAATTCAAAACTCTTATGTGAATAAAATGTCAACAGAGTTTCTCTATAAGCTCTAGCAAACCAGTGTCAAACATGTTGGCACTGTCGGGTAGAGAGTAAATGATTTTTACACGTTTTGCGCTTTTATTCTTTAACAAAGGCTAGGAGAGGAGACTGTTTTCTCCCCCTCCCCTTTTCCCTTCCCCAGGCATTTTTCTCTTTCTTCTGCCTCCAGTGCCCTTGAAGGCTGTATTGAATCTGACAAAGGATAAAGTAGCAGGGAGTGGGAGAAACTAAACATACCACGGGGCTCCAACTGCCTGTCTGAAAATCTGTTTATACAGCACCTGGGTCACTCTCCTCTCTGTTAGGCTTTTCTCTATGTGTTATTGTGTTTATGTCAAGAAAAAAAACGCCAGCATCCCTTGTTGTTGAGCGCTGCTCTATAGAATTCGCCGCCTTCATTTTCCACTTAACTACCTCATTTTGTTTGAAAGAGGCTGCCTTTCCAGCTTCATCTGTGATCACCAAGAATACACAATCTCCCCTTTGTTCACTGAGTGACCTTTATATTTGACTGAGGGTGAAACGTGACTTGAAACCTAAACTAATTTTGGCAAAAAGGTCTTTTACAAAAATGTAGCTGAGACTGCCACGCACAAAAATAAATGCTGCTGGTTTCATTGTTATTCACCTGGTGTTTCTCTGTGCATTTTGTTTGGGAATTTCAAAGTACAATGCCAGCATTCAGAAATGAATGCGACATCACAGACAGGAGCTTCCCTGGAGTCTGGTGAACTGGTGACAGCCCAAGCACAGTGGAGTTATTTTTATTTCTTGGAAGGGGAGTGGGTTGAGGTGGAGTCACACACTCCTGCCAAAATCAAGTGGCTTCAAGAATCAGGCAGCTGGATTGTCACCTGGGGAGGCAAAGATGGGGAGCAGTTTGGCACTGAGACCTGATACAGGGGATGATATGAAGCGTACATGCACATTCTACAACTAGTCCAGAAGCCCCAACAACCTCCCTTACCTTGGACGATTGAACAGAATTGCCTTTTACACACATACACTCTGCCTTGAAGGAGGGCATTCTAGAGGAGAACAAGTACCAAAATGAGGAGACAGGGCCTTCCTAAACAGTACAGGCTCTCCTTTCTTCCATGGCACTCCCCACTCTCCTACCCACCATGTATTTGTATGCAGTAGAAACCAGGTAAAAACAAATACAAATTTGAGATGGATAAATGGTCACAGAGGGGCACTTACAAGGTATTTGGGCTTAAAAAGTAAAAGGACTGGCACAAACTCTGATTTACTCTTATTCCATGCTCCCCTCTGGAAAGATCTTGAACTTCACACTTTGCCGGAACATAGCTGAAACAAGGGTGCCCTTCCTCTTAGGAGTATACCAAAGCAACCCAGTTGGTAACTGAAACATCAAAACAAAATATTAAACTACATAGATTAAAAACTTGTATTGAGATATCCTGTCAAAGGACGATAAATTAAGATGGCTCTGTAAAATCATTCTAGTGCATAATAGGTGAGTATTTTGAATAGTGTCCAGGTAATGGTTTATTAAATTTCCTTCATTTTTGCTCCATATGAGGAAAATTTGCTCCATATGAGGAAAAGTGTACCTGAAAATACAGTTAGTTGCTTAAATTCTGCTATGATGCGTGAATAAATAGAACTGTGCAGTTTTAAAGAATGTGAAAAAAATGTCTAGCTGATATAATAGATAAACTTCAAAATTTTACATGCAATAGAAGTCATAAGTAGTAATTGGAGGTGCCTCGTGTTGTCATTCAGAGCATGAGGATAATTTCAGCCATTATCAATGCATGGCTTCTAAAAGTACTCTGGCATCAACATCTAGCTGACAGATAGGGAGAATAATGTAGAGGGTCTCAGAGTGTTGGTTATGGGCCAGGCCTGGTAGTGGTGATCATCCCTCTCACCCACATGGCATGGCCTCACCTAGATGTAAAATAAACTGGGCAAAGGAGTCTATGGCTGGCAGCTACATCCCTGCCACACTCTACATTATGGAAGAAGAACCCTAATCAGAGCCGCTGTCTCTGCCACTGGACTCAAGGGATCATCTCTTTCAGTGCTTTTCAAAATGAGTTTCTCATTGTCCTGAACCTATGCTCCCTACACTCTTTTTCAACTGGAGACGTTTTCCATCAGTTTTAGTTGCTTAAGTTTCTTGAAGATAGTTTCCATGGCTTTAAAAGTTTTGAAAGCTATTTTTTTAGTGAAATTATGCCCCAAAAATGAGAGTTCACATCCAAAATGATACAAAGAATAGGTAAAAAATACTCTAGACTTTCACCAACAATGATGCCAGTTTTTATGACTTTATCTCATTTTTTTATTACACAAATCCTACCTGCACATTGGAATGAAGGTAGAATTTTCAGATTCACAAAAAGAATTAAGTAAAAATTAGCTATAATCTCATAGCCCTGTGGTAACCACAATTAGCACTATGCATATTTGCTCACATCTGCATGCAAATAATACCAGACAATGCATACTGCTTTGTAAAATTATTTTAATCATGCAACATTCCCTTTAAATGAATGTACTTATATCATCATTTTTATTGGCTGAACAATATTATATCATATAAATGCACCATAATTTAACTAATTTTTTAATGTTGAACATGTAAATATATTCTAATTATTTACATTTATAAAGTATAGTGACTTCTTCACTCATTCATTTATTCATTCAACAAATATTTATTCTACATGCAAAAAATACCAAAGTAAAAAAAGGTTACAAAAGAGAGATAAAACCCCGCCCTTGAAGTTCTCATGTCCCAGTGAAAGAGGCAGACTATTAAGATAAATTAATAAAATATATGGCATATTAGATAGTGCTAAGAAGAACAATAAAAAGGTAAGAAAGAAAGGGAGAAAATAAATGAGCGTGAAAAGGAAAGTCAGAGAACGTCTCATTAAGAAAGTGACATTTGTAAAAGGCCTAAAGGAAACAAGGGGGCAATTTGTGAACAATTTTTAAAAAGAACATTCCAGAAAAAATAAACAGTAAATGCAAAGTTACTGAGGCAGAGCATCCCTGGCATGTTGAGAATGCAAGAGAAGCTGGCACAGAATGAATAAAAAGAAGAATGGTAAAAGATGAGATCAGAGGAGTAACAGAGTAAAGGAGCAGTTTGCACTGATTTTTCTAAAATAATTATGGATAGTGCTCCACTTTTATTCTGAAACATATCCCAGTTGGAATGATAAATTATAGTTGCCTCTCTTATAGACCACATAAGGTCTTTGAATTTTTTGTTCAATAGAAAACCATCTGAGAAAAAGAATAACATCTTACTTATGTTTTTATATGATCACTTTGTTTGTTGGATTGAGAATGATTGAAGAGAAAAGCAGGGACACCAGAAAATCCAATAGGTGGCTGACTGCATTAAGCCAGGCTAGAAATGATGATGATTTGGACTTAGGGAGTGCATGTAGAGGGTATGAGAAAGGATCCAATTCTTGATATATTGGGACTGTATAGCCTATGATACTTGCTGACAAATTGGATATAGGATGAGAAAAAGATAAAGGAAGAGTCAAGAATGACTCCAACATTTTCAGCCTAAAAACTGGAGCATCCTGAATTGGAGAACACTGCAGGAAGAGCAGGTTGAGGGAAAGAGATGTTGGAAATACAGTCTGGACGTTAGGTGTGAAGAGTCTATCAGATATGACACAGACATGTTGATTCAAATTCAGAAGAGAGAACTGGCTGGAGTTACTTACCTAGAAACTATCAACATGAGTGATATTGAAAGCCATGAGAAAGAATGATGTCAACAGGGAATAAATGAGAAACACTCTTGGAAGGCAATACAAATAAAACAGGAAAACAAAAACAAAAATCAAAAACCTTTGTCAACCCTTATTTCCTCGCAAGTCCTTGGAAGCTGAATGATTAGATCAAGTTTAAGGAATTTGATGCATCCTGCCTAATTGCTATTCAAAACCAATTGCAAGGGAGGTGAACAAGATGGTGGAACAGAAGCCTACACTGTCCATCCCCCCAGCAGGAACATCAAATTTTAACAACTTTTCACACACAGAAAAGCACCATCCCAAGAACCAAAAATCCAATGAGCAATCACAGGACCTGTTTTTAACTTCATATTGCTGTAGAAGGCATCGCAGAGGATCGGAGAGACGGTCTGGAATCACCTACACTACCTCTTTCCTATCCCCAGGCAGAGGCCATGCAGCACAGAGAAACTGCGCATTTGGGGCAGGGATAATACAATGACTGGTAGACTCTACACTGAACTTAGGGCTGCCCTGCCATACAGAGAGCAAGGCCATGCTGAGTTCAGCCAGTGCCCGTGCATGGAGGGAGCATTTGAACCAGCCCTAGCCACAGGGGAATCACCCATCCCAATGATCAGAAATTGAGTTTCTTGGCAAGTCTTGCCCCAGCAAGCCAAAGTGCTTTAGGGTCCTAGGTAAACTTGAAAAGCAGTCTAGGGCACAAGGACTACAATTCCTAGGCAACTCCTAATTCTGAGCTAGGCTTAGAGACAGAGGACTAAGGCAGCACATGACCTAGGGAGACATAAGCTGAGGCAGTTAAGGGAGTGGTTGTGCCACCCCTACCCCAACCCCAGGCTGCCCAACTCCCAGCAAGGAAAGTGACTCCTTCCTTCTGCTTAAGGAGAGAAAAGTAAATAGTAAAGAGGACTTTGTCTTGCATCTTGAATACGAGCTTAGTCACAGTAGAGGGCACCAGGCAGAATCATCAGGCCCCCATCCCAGGCCCTAGCTTATAGATGACGTTTCTAGATACACCCTGGGCCAAAGGGGAGCCCACTGTCCTGAATGGAAGGACCCAGTCCCAGCAGGATTCATTACTTGCTGGCTAAAGAGCTCTCAGGCCCTGAATAACTAGCAGTGATACCCACGTAGTACACCGTGGACCCTGGGCTCTGAGACATGCTGACTTCAGATGGGACCCAATACATTCCCAGGTGTGGTGGCTACAGGCAAAAGATTCCTGTTTGAGGAAAGCAGAGGGAAAAATAAAGGGGACTTTGTCTTGCACTTTTAGGTACCAGCTTGGCCACAGTGGGGTAGAGCCACAAGCAAGTTCTTGGGGTCCCCTAGTCTAGGCCTAGGCTCTTGGATGGCATTTCTGGACCTGCCCTAGGTCCAGAGAGGAGCCTACTGTCCTGAAGGGTGAGTCCCAGGCCTGGCAACATTCAACACAAGCTGACTGAAGTGCCCTTGGACTTTAAGTGAACATCATCAGTGGTCTGGCAGAACCCCTCATGGGCCAGTGGGTGTGGTGGCCACAGAGAGAGGCTCCTGTGCCTGAGGAAAGGGAAGGGAAGAGAGGACAGGACTTTGTGTTGTGGTTTGAGTACCAGCTTACCAACAGTAAAACAGAACATCAAGCAATTACCAAGGTTTTTAACTGTAATCCCTGGCTCCCAGACAACATCTCTTGACCTGCCTGGGGCCTAGGGAAACTCACCATCCTGAAGGGAAGCACATGAACCTGGCTGGATTTGCCATCTGCTGATTATAGAGCCGTTGAATGAACATAGGGTCTTGAGTGAACATAGGTGGCAGCCGGGTAGTGATTATAGAGGGCCTCAGGTGAAATCCAGTGCTGTGCTGCCTTCAGGTCTGACCCAGCACGGCCCCAGTGGCGGTGGCCAGAAGGATATTTGCATCACCACACCCCCAGTTGCACAGAGAGAGAGCCTCCATCTGTCTGGGAGAAAGTAAGAAAAAAGAACATGAGTCTCTGCCTGATAATCCAGATAATTCTTTCAGATCTTATTCAAGACCGCCAAGTACTTCAATAAGTCTGCAAAAACCACAGTGTTATTAGGCTTGGGGCCCACATCCCTTCAAATACCTGGAAAGCCTCCTTAAGAAGGGTAAGCACAAACAGGCCCAGACTGTGAAAACTCCAATAAATACCTAACTCTTCAATTCGCAGACACTGATAAACATCTGCAAGCATCAAAATCACCCAGGAAAACATGACCTCATGAAAATAACTAAGGCACCAGGGACCAATCCTAGAGAAACAGAGATATATGACCCTTCAGAAAGATAATTTAAAATAGCTATTTTGAGGAAATGCAAAGAAATTCAAGATAACATGGAAAATAAATTCAGAATTCTATCAGATAAATTTAACAAAAAGGTTGGAGTAGTTAAAAAGAATCAAGCAAAAATTCCAGAGTTAAAAAATGGAATTGACATAATGAAGAATGTGTCATAATCTGTTAGTGGCAGAACTGATCAAGCAGAAGAAAGAATTAATGAACTTGAAGACAAGCTATTTGAAAATACAGTCAGAGGAGACAAAAGAAAAAAATAAAAACTGAAGCATGCCTCCAAGATCTAGAAAATAGCCTCAAAAAGGCAAATCTAAGAGGCATTGGCCTTAAAGAGGAGGTAGAGAAAGAGATAGGCATAGAAAGCTTATTCAAAGGGATAATAACAGAGAACTTCCCAAACCTAGAGAAAGATATCAAAGAAAGTACAAGGAGGCCATAGAACTTGAAGCAGATTTAACCCAAAGTAGGATACCTCAAGGCATCTTAAAATCAAACTCCCAAAGGTCAAGGATAAAGAAATAATTCTAAAAGCCACAAAAGAAACGAATAACATACATGACAGGAGAGTATCATGATATATTTAAAGTGCTGATGGAAAAAAATTTTATTCTAGAATAGTATATCCTGTGAAAATATCTTTCAAACACGATGGGGAAATAAAGACCTTCCCAGACAAACAAAAGCTCAGGGATTTCATCAACACCAGGCCTGTCCTACAAGAAATGCTAAAGGGAGTTCTTTCATCTGAAACAAAATAATGTTAATGAGCAAGGCCAAGCATATGAAAAAAATGGTCAATGTCACTAATCATCACAGAAATGCAAATCAAAACCACAACGAGATACCATCTCACACCAATCAGAATGGTTATTACTAAAGCCAAAAAATAACAGGTGCTGGCGAGGTTGTGGAGAGAAAGGAACATTTACATATTGTCTGTGGGAGTATAACTTAGTTCAGTCTTTGTGGAAAACAGTGTAGTGATTCCTCAAAGATCTAAAAACAGAACTACCATTTGACCCAGTAATTCCATTGCTGCGTATATAGCCAAAAGGATATAAATTGTTCTATCACAAAGACATATGCGCATTCATGTTTGTTGCAGCATTATTCACAATAGCAAAGACATGGAATAAATCTAAATGCCCATTAATGGTGGACTGGATAAAGAAAATGTAGTACATTTACACTATGGAATACTATGCAGCCATAAAATGAGATCATGTCCTTCGCAGGAACATAGATGGAGCTGGAGGCCATTATCCTTAGCAAACTAACACAGGAACAGAAAACCAAATACTGCATGTTCCACTTATAAGTGGGACCTAAATGATAAGTACACATGGACCCATAGAAGGGAACAACAGACACTGGGGCCTATCAGAGGGTGGAAGGCGGGAGGAGGGAGAGGATCAGAAAAATTTTATAATGGATACTAGGCTTAATCCCTGGTGGCAAAATAATCTGCACAACAAACCCCATGACACAAGTTTACCTATACAACAAACCTGCACATGTACCCCTGAACTTAAAAGTTAAAAAAGAAAAAAAAAAAATCATCTGAATGTACAAAACTTACTGCTAATAGGAAGCACACAGAATATTATAACACCCTAATTATGGTGTATAAACTATTCTTATTTTAAGTAGAAGGACTAAATAATGAACAAATCAAAAATAATAACTACAACTTTTCAAGACAAAGTACAATAAGAAATAGAGAAACAACAAAAAGTTAGAAAGGTAGGGGGATGAAATTAAAGTGTAGAGTTTGTATTGGTTTTCTTTTGCATGCTTGTTCATATGTTTATGCAATCAATGTTAAGTTGTCACCAATTTAAAATAATGGGTTATAAGATAGTATTTGCAAGCCTCATGGTGACCTCAAATAAAAAAACACACAATAGATACACAAAAAATAAAAAGCAAGAAATCAAATCATACCACCATTAAAAAATCACCTTCACTAAAAGAAAGACAGAAAGGAAGGAAAGAAGGAAGAGAAGACCACAAAACTACCAGAAAACAAAAAATGCAAAAGTCCCTACTTACTAGTATAACATTCAATGCAAATGAACTAAACTGTCCCATCAAAAGACAGAGTAGCTGAATAGGTGAAAAAAAACAAGACTCAATAATCTGTTCCCTAAAGAAACACACTTCACCTATAAAGATACACATGGACTGAAAATAAAGAGATGGAAAAAGATATTCTATGCCAATGGAAACCATGAAAAGAGCAGAAGTAGCTATGCTTATATCAGACAAAAGAGATTTCAAGACAAAAACTGTAAGAAGAACCAAAGGAGGTTATTACATAATGATAAAGGGGTCAATCCAGCAACAGAATCTAATTATTGTAAATATATATGCAACCAATATTGGAGCACCTAGATTGTATAAAGCAAATATTATTAGGGCTAGAGAGACATAGACCTCAATACAATAATAGCTGGAGATTTCAACATCCCACTTTCAGCATTGGACAGGGCTTCCAGGCAGAAAATCAACAACAACAACAACAACAACAACAACAAATTGGACTTAATCTGCAGTATAGAACTAATGGACTTAATAGATATTTACAGAACATTTCATGCAATGGCTGCAGAATACACATTCTTCTCCTCAGCACATGTATCATTCTCAAGTATAGACCATATGTTAGGTCACGAAACAAGTCTTAAAACATTCTAAATAACTGAAATAATATCAAGCATCTTCTATGACCACAATATAATAAAACTAGAAATCAATGAGAGGAATTTTAGAAGCCATACAAATACATGGAAATTAAATAATATGTTCCAGGATGACCTGGCAGTCAATGAAGAAACTAAGAAGAAAATCGAAAAATTTTTTGAAACAAATGATAATGGAAACAAAACATACAAACCTATGGGATACAGTACTAAGAGGGAAGTTGATAGCTGTAAGTGCCTGCATCAAAAAAAGAAGAAGAATTTCAAATAAATAATCGAATTACGCATCTTAAAGAAATAGAAAAGCAAGAGAAAACTGAACCCAAAATTAGTAGATAAAAAGAAATAATAAAGATCAGAGTGGAAATAAATGAATTTGAAATAATGAATACAATACAAAAAATCATTGAAACAAAAAGATGGTTTTTTGAAAAAATAAACAAAATTGACAAACTTTTAGCCAGAATAACTAAGAAAAAAACAGAGAAGACCCAAATGAATAAAATCAGAGATGAAAAAGGAGACATTACAACTGATACCACAGAAATTTTAAGCATAATTAGTGGCTACTAGGAGCAACTATGTGTAATAAACTGGAAAACCTAGAAAAAAATAGACAAATTTCTAGACACATACGATCTAACAAATTTGAACCATGAAGAAATCCAAAACTTTAATGTACCAATAACAAGTAACAAGATGGAAGCTGTAATAAAAAATTCCCAGCAAAGGAAAGTCTTGGACCTGATGGCGTCTCTGCTGAATTTTACCAAACATTTAAAAAAGAACTAATACCAACCCTACTCAAATTTTTCTGAAAAATAGGAGAAGCAAATACTTCCAAATTCATTATATGGAGCCAGTGTTACCCTGATAACAAAACCAGACAAAGACACATCAAAAACAGAATAATCGCCAGCCAATATCTCTAATGAATATTGATGGAAAAATCCTCAACAAAATACTAGCAAACCAAATTCGATGATAAATGAAAAAGATTATTCATCATGACCAAGTGGGATTTATCCCTAGGATGCAAAGATGGTTCAACCTATGCAAATCAATCAATATGATACATCATATCAACAGAATGAAGGACAAAAACCATATAATCATTTTAATTGATGCTGAAAAAGCATTTGATAAAATTCAGCATCCCTTCATCATAAAAACCTTCAAAAAACTGGGGATATAAGGACCATACCTCAACATAATAAAAGCCATATGCCATAGACCCACAACCAGTATTATCATGAATGAGGAAAAACTCATAGCTTTTTCTATAAGATCTAGAACACTACAAGGATTTCCACTTCCACCACTGTTATTCAGCAGAGTACTGGAAGTTCTAGCTAGAGCAATCAGACAAGAGAAAGATATAAAGGGCATCCAAATTGGAAAGGAAAAATTCAAATTATCTTTCTTTGCAAACGATATGATCTTGCATTTGTTGAAACCTCAGGACTCCAAAAATAAACTATTAGAACTGATAAATTCAGTAAAGTTTCAGGAAAAAAATCGACATACAAAAATCAGTAGCATTTCTATATGCCAACAGTGAACAATATGAAAAAGAAATCAAAAACTAATCCCATTTACAATAACCACAAATAAAATTAAATACCTAGAAATCAACTAAAGAAGTGAAAGCACTCTACAATGAAAACTATAAAACAGTGATGACAGAAATTGAAAAAGACAAAAAAGAAACATGGAAATGGAAAGATATTTCATGTTCGTGGATTGGAAGAATAAATATTGTTAAAATGTCCATACTACCCAACACAATGTATAAATTCAGTGCAATCCCTATCAAAATACCAATGACATTCTTCACAGAAATAGAAAAAACAATCCTGAAATCTTTATGGAACCACAAAAGACCCAGAATAGCCAAAGCTGTCCTGAGCAAAAAGAACAAAAGTGGAAGAATGACATTACCTGACTTCAAATTATACTACAGAGCTATAGTAAACCAAAGCAGCATGGTACTGGCATAAAAACAGACACACAGACCAATGGAACAGAATTGAGAACCCAGAAACAAATCTACACACCTACAATGAACTCATTTTTGACAAAAGTGGCAAGGACATACACTGGAAAAAATACAGTCTCTTCAATAAAAGCTGTTAGGAAAACTGCATATCCATTTGCAGAAGAATGAAACTAGACCCCTATCTATCTATATATACAAAAATCAAATCAAAGTTGATTGACAACTTAAATCTAAGACCTCAAATTATGAAACTACTACAAGAAAACATTGTAGAAACTCTCCAGGACATTGGTCTAAGCAAAAATTTCTTAAGTAATACCTGACAAGCACAGTCAACAAAAGCAAAAATGGACAAATGGGATCACATCAAGTTAAAAAGTCCTCTGCACAGAAAAGGAAAAAGTTCACAAAGTGAAGAGACAACCCATAGAATGGGAGAAAATACTTGCAAACTACACATCTGACAAGGAATTAATAACTAGAATATATAAGGAGTTCAAGCAACTCTCTACGAAAAAAAATCTAATAATCTGATTTTCTAAAAATTGGCAAAAGATTTGAATAGACATTTCTCAAAAGAAGACATACAAATGACAAATAGGCATATGAAAAGATGCTCAATATCATTGATATTATAGAAATGCAAATCTAAACTACAATGAAATATCATCTCATCCCAGTTAAAATGGCTTTTATCCAAAAGACAGGCAATAACAAATGCTGGCAAGGATGTGGAGAAAAAGGGAACTTTCTTTTTTTTTTTGAGACGGAGTCTCGCTCTGTCGCCCAGGCTGGAGTGCAGTGGCGCGATCTCAACTCACTGCAAGCTCCGCCTCCCGGGTTCACGCCATTCTCCTGCCTCAGCCTCCCGTGTAGCTGGGACTACAGGCGCGCGCCACCATGCCCGGCTAATTTTTGTATTTTTAGTAGAGACGGGGTTTCACCGTGTTAGCCAGGATGGTCTCGATCTCCTGTCCTCGTGATCCGCCCGTCTCGGCCTCCCAAAGTGCTGGGATTACAGGCGTGAGCCACCGCGCCCGGCCGAAAAAGGGAACTTTCATACACTGTTGGTGGGAATGTAGATTAGTACAACCACTATGGAGGACAGTTTGGAGGTTCCTCAAAAAACTAAAAGTAGAGCTACCACATGATCCGGCAATCCCACTGCTAGGTATATACCCAAAGGATAGGAAATCAGTATATCAAAGAGACACTTGCACTACCATGTTTGTTGCAGCACTATTCACAGTAGCCAAGATTTGGAAGCAACCCAAGTGTCTATCAACAGATGAATAGATAAAGAAAATATAATACTTATACACTATGAAGTACTATTCAGCCATAAACCAGAATGAGGCCCTGTCATTTGCAACAACATGGGTGGAACTAGAGGTCATTATGTTAAGTAAAATAAATTAGGCACAAAAAGACAAACATGGCATGTTCTCACTTATTTGTGGAATCTCCAAATTAAAACAATTGAACTCATGGACAAGCAGAATAGAAAGATGGTTAACAGAGGCTAGGAAGGGTAATAGGGAGTTGCGGAGAGGTGGGGATGGTTAACAAATACAAAAAAAATAGAAAGACTGAATAAGACCTAGTATTTGACGGGACAACAGGTGACTATAGTCAAAATAATTTAATTGTACATTTTAAAATATCTACAAGAGTATAACTGGATTGGTTGTAACTGAAAGGATAAATGCTTGAGGGGATGGATGCCATTTTCTATGGTGTGATTAGACATTGCATGCTTGTATCAAAATATCCCATGTACCTCATAAATATATATACCTACTGTGTACCTGTGAAAATTAAAAATATTATTTTAAAAAAACCAATTGTATGTTTCAAATTTTTTGCCAATACTAAACATTATTATTTTAGTTTTTTTCTCAGTTAACAGGCAAAAACAGGATCTTATAATTGTTTTAATTTGAATATCTGATTCCAACAAGATTTAACATTTGTCTTTTTTCACATGGAACACTTTCATGTCATTTTAATTGAATTAGTGGTACTAATCTTTATTTACCTTTCTATTGGTCAATTTGCATTTTTCTCATTGTTTTAGAGGACTTTTTATGTATCAATGCTAGCAATACTTTATTATGTGTATTGCAAATACTTTTTCAGAAAACATTTTCTTAATTGGCCATTATATTTTACCTCTAATTACAATGCATTTTCTAAATATTTTATTTTTATTTATTTAGTTAGTTACATTTATACATAAATTCATTCAACCTTGCCTTTAGGGATTCTGCCTTGGATGTTAGATTTTAAAACAAACAATATTAGAAATTCCATATTTTTATATATATATACAACTATATATATAGTTGTAGGCTGAAAAATGGCCCCTCAAAGATGCTCATGTCCTATCCCTTGAACCTGTGAATATATTAACTTGTGTGTCAAAATAAAAATTTCAGATGTGATTAAGTTAGAAATATTGAGATCAGGAGATTATCCTGAATTATTCACGTATCAGTCATGGTTCAGCTAGAGAACAGTGGCAGTAGGTAATATAAATTAAGAATACATTGCAAGAAATTGGTTTATGCTATGGTGGGAGCTGGCAAAGAGAGTAGGGAATCCATAGGGTAAGGGCAAGTTTAGGCTAAAATTCTGAATGCAGGGTAAAGTTCCTGTCCAAAGATGGAATTTCTCTTCATCAAGGAAGTCTCTGCTCTGCTTTCAAGGTCTTTCACCTGATAGAATAAACCTCATCCAGATTATCTGGGCTAACATTCCTTACATAAAGTCAACTGGTTATGGACCTTAATCACATCCGCAAAATGCCTTCAGAGCAACAGCTAGATTCATGTTTGATTAAAGCGGGAACTATAGCCTAGCCAATACTCACATAAAACTAACCATCGCAATTCAGCTGAGCCCAATATAATCACAAGTGTTCTTATAAGAGGGAGGAAGAATTGTTAGGGTCAGAGAAGGAGATGTGGCAATGGAAGCAGAGGTCAGAGAAAAAGAGAAGTTTGAGGATGGTACTTCGTTGGCTTTGAAGATATAGGAAGGAGCCGTGAGCTAAGAAATGCAAGTAGTCTCCAAGAGGTGAAAGGCAGGGAAACAGATTCTCTCCTAGAGCCTTCCAAAGGAATGCAACCCCCTGATCCATTTTGAAGTTCTTGCCTCCAGAACCAGAAGAAAATAAATGTGTAGTCTTCAGCAGAAAACTAACATAGGTGGGTATAGAGTGTGTGTGTGTATAGGATAGAGGTAAGTGGTAGGAAGGAGGGGTAGAGAGGTGTGTTTGTGTGTGTTTATAATCTGTTTCTGAATTTCTTATTTAGTTCTACTAAGATTAACTTAACCTATCCATTTCCATATCAATATGATGTTTTGTTAATTATTTTGCTTTTAAGAAATATTATAATATTCAATGGAGAAAGTGCCCTCTAATCATTTTTTGTCCAATTCCTTTGGCTTATTTGCATTTGTTCAATTTTAAGTTCTCATGTTGGAGTTCTCCTTTTGGAGGGCCTCCTCCAAAACACATATCATTGTTATTTTAATTTTGATCAAATAAATATATACATTAGGATAGTGAGAACTTTTAAAACATAATTTTTCTCTCCATCTATTCAAGTATTCAATAGGTTAAAAAAGTGTAAAGCAAATATGTATGTTTTTATATCTATGTACAGTCATGTGTTGCATAATGACATTTTGGCCAATGATGAAACTCATATACAACAGTGGTCCTATAAGATTACAGTGGAGCTGAAAAAATCCTGTGGCCATGGAAAGTCATGGCAAAACACATTACTCACATGTTTGTGGTGATACTGATGTAAACAAACCTGCTGCATTTCCAGTGGTATAAAAGTATAGCACTTGCAATTATGTGCAGTCCAAATTTGAAAATAATAAACAACTCTGTTACTGGCTTATGTATATATTATACTATACTTTTAATCATGATTTTAAGGTGAACTCTACTTATAAAAAATAAGTTAGCTGTAAAACAGCCTCAGGCAGTTTCTTCAGAAGATATCCTAGAAGAAGACATTGTTATCATAGGAGATGACAACTCCATGCATGTTAATTGCCCCTGAAGGCTTTCCAGGAGAAGATGTGGGCATGGAAGGCAATGATATTGATGATCCTGACCCTGTGTATGCCTAGAGTAATGTGTGTTTGTGTCTTAGTTTTTAACAAAAAAGTTGAAAAAGATAAAAAAGGAAAACTTCAAAAATAGAAAAAAAATTATAGAATAAGGATATAAAGAAATAAAATAATTTTGTATAGCTGTGTGCCATGTATTTGTGTTTTAAGCTAAGTATTATGACAAAACAGTCAAGAGTGTTTCTTAATTTAAAAGTTTATGAAGTAAAAAAGTTACAGTAAGCTAAGGTTAATTTAGTATTGAAGAAAGAAAAATTTATTTCATAAATTTAGTGTAGCCTAAGCATACAGTGTTTATTGTCCACAGTAGTGTATAGTAATGTTGTAGGCCTTTGTATTCACTCAACACTCACTGCCTTTACCAAGAGCAATTTCCAGTCCTACAAGTTCCATTCATGGTAAGTGCCCTGTACAGGTGTAGCATTATCTTTTATACTGTATTTTTACTGTACCTTTTTATGTTTATATACGTTTAGGTACTGTATTAGTTGGGGTTCTCTAGCGGGAAACTATACATATATAGAATGTACGTATATATGAAAAGGAGCTTTTATTAAAGAGAATTGACTCACACGATCACAAGGTGAAGTCCCAAGATGGGCCGTCTGCAAGTTAAGAGGCAAGGAAGCCAGTAGTGGCACAGTCCAAGTCCCAAAACTTCAAAAGTAGGGAAGCTGGCAGTGCAGCCTTCAGTCTGTGGCTGAAGGCCCAAGATCCCCTGGCAAACCACTGGTGTAAGTCCAAGAGTCCAAAAGCCAAAGAACCTGGAGTCTGACATTCGAGGGCAGGAAGCATCCAGCAGCCAGCACGGGAGAAAGATGAAGGACGGAATACTCAAAAAGTCTTCCACCTTCTGCCTGCTTTTTATAGCCACACTAGCAGCCAATTGGATGGTGCCTACCCACATTGTGGGTGGGTCTTCCCGAGAATGGGTCTTCCTCTCCAAGTCCATGAACTCAAATGTTAATCTCTTCTGGCAACACCCAGAAGCATCCAGACACACCCAGAAATAATACTTCGCATCCTTCAATCAAGTTGACATTTTATATTAACCATCACAGGTGCACAAATACTCTGTTACAATGGCCCCCAGTATTCAGAAAAGTAACATGCTGTATAGGTTTGAAGGCTGGGAGCAATAGGCTATACCATTACATTTGCATAAGTATACTCTATGATGTTCACAAATGATGAAATCATCTAAGGACGCATATCTCAGAAGGTATTTCTATCGTTAACTGATATGTAACTATATAGGTATATACATTTCAACAATGGGTATGTCTGAGCTATGGTATGTTCTGGATAGATTATATTTTCTTTAAAATTTTATGTATTTTCCAATTTTTACGCAGGTTCATGTAGTAGGTTGAATAATGGCTACCCAAAGATATTAAGTCTTAATCCCTGGAATTTGTAAATGTTGCTTAATTGAGAAAAGGATCTTTGCAAATATAAATTAGGTTAAGAATCTTGAGAGATTAACTTCGATTATCTAGGTGGGCCTTAAATACCATCATGAATGTCTTTATGAGAGAGACAAAGAGAGACACATGGAGAAAGAAGAAAATGTGATCACAGAGGCAGAGATTGGAGTGATGAGACCACAAGCCAAAGATCACCTGGAGTCATTAGAAGCTGAAAGAGAAAAAAAAAAAAATTCTCCTCTGTAACTTTGAGAGGGAGTGTGGCTCTATGGACACTTTGATTTCAGACTTCAGGCCTCCAGAACTGTGAGGGAATACATTTATATTTCAAGCCATCTAAGCTCACAGTAATTTGTCACAGCAGCCCTAGAAAAGTAAGATACTATGCATCATCTTTATCTATTCCAGAATCCATTTATGACTTCTCTAAAGCCATGAAGTTAGAGAACTGCTGTTTTAAATAACCATTATTTGGATTTGTTTTTGTTGTAATTAAAACCACACCCAGCCCTCCAGAAAAATTTGGTATAGCTCTCTAAATTATTCTTTCACATTTATTCTCCAGTCATTCTTAAATATTTTGCTGTTGTAAATTAATATATTTTTATTCTATATGATAGCTTCTAACGAGTTATTGCTATAAAAAATTAACTTTTGTATATTTTATGATAATATTTTTAAAACTCTAATAGCTTATTTTCGTGTGTTTTCTAGGTAGACAACATATCATTTGCAAATAAAATAATTTGCTATCTTTCCAATGTTTATGCAATTTATGTCCTTTTTGCCTATTGATTTGCTCAAAATGTCCAGAACAATAGAAATAATTATGGTTATTTTGCCTAATTTTAGGCACTTCTAGTGTGTAATATTTAAAGGTGATGTTGAGTGACTATTTCAGATGTGCCTGTCATAGCAATGAAATATTCTTTTTTCTAATATAATAAGATCTTCCTTTTAATCAATGATAGATGTTTAATTTTATTTAATGTTTAATAAAAAATGATTTTTTTTCATTTTTCATCATGTTCATTCTTCCTTGCTTCCTGGATGAAACTCAGCTTGGTCATTGTTTATCATTAGTCTGTAAATTGTATTGGTTAGTATTTTATTTAGGACCCATCTCTAGATGAGATTATGTGCTGTTATCTATTTTGCATTATCATTTTCAAGTTTTTAACTGAGAGGTTACTTCCACAAAATGAGTTAGGATGTATTCCACCTTCTTCAATGCTCTAGAACATTTTCTATTCATTTCCCTTGTTCAAGTTATTTTTATCTTTATCAAATAATGCATATATATAATTCAAATATATTAAAAAATTGTTAAAAGCCTTCTAATTAAATAAAGCAGCCCTCTGCCCAGTCATTTTGCTACATCTTAGTCCCATTCCTTTCAGCTTTTTTAGCTGTTTTTCTGGCACATATCTTCACATTTCTATATAATTATTTAAGCTATTATTTCTTAATTTACCAAAGGTAGACATTATTTATAAAGTTCTAGTTATGGAAAGTATTCTTTACAAAACTTTTCAACTTTCTCTTCCCTTCAACTGTCAATATAATTATAGCAAAATTAATTGGCTAAGTAAATAGACTATGGTTGTACATGGTTTATAGCTGAGATAGAGCGTTCTGTGAGTATGCTTATTTTCTAATGTAAGTTTTCCTGTTACCAATAATTGTGTTTTTATTACTGATAACAGGAAAATCTTAGTCTTCTCTACACTTCCCACTATTTTTTAAATGTTCCCATTGACCTATCTATATTTTTTAAATCCTTAAATACAGATCCCTGACATATGTCTTTGTAGGCCTGTTGTACAGTTGTCATCTGCAGATTTTTTTTCACTGCTCCTCTGTAATTAATAACCTGTTCCTTATCTTGTATTCTCCTCAGTTATATTTTCCCCCATCATTTTGCTAAATAACTCAATAGCTTTGGAAAAGGAGTACAAGAGGTTAATCTTTTAAGTATTCTCATGTTTTAAGACTAGATTGGTAGTTGTCTGGATACATACTTATCTACTAAAAATAATTTTCACTCAAATGTGAAAGCTTTGCTTAATAGTCTTCTAGCATTTAGTTACATATTTTAAATTTCCAGTATTATCCGATTATCATTTATTTATAGGTGATTTTTTTCTCTTAAGTAGAAGCCTGAGGTTTTTCTCTTTACTACTGTTGTTCCATAACATAATGATGATGTATGTTAGGGTGCTCTTTTTTTACTCATTGACTTAGATACGTGGGTCCTTACTATTTGAAGGCTCGGATCCTTAACTTCTGAGAATTTTTCTCTGTATTATTTTTCAACAGTTTTCTCAGTCGTCTCTTCTTAAACCACCTATTATTTAGATGTTGGACCTTATGCATTGATTCACAAATTTCCTTTCTCATCCTCTTGTCAATTTCTTTGTGTCCTAATTTCTATAAATGACACTTGATTTAGCTTTTAACTATGTAATTAATTTAGTGGGGCTTCTTTATTTGAAATTTCTAAGAGCTCCTATGTTCTAACAATCCCTTTAACATACTCCATTGGTTTATGAATGCAGTGTTTTCTCATACGTGTTTTTTTCTGTCTCTCTGAGCATATTAATGACTATTATATATTTTGAGAGGGCAATATAGTTTTCTTCTGCTCCTTGAAATGCTTTTTATTTCTTCCAAGATTCTTTTCCTTCCAAGATTCTTTTCTTATTCACTCTTTTGTTTGCATTGCTCTCTGTCCTTAACATTATAAACACCCTCCACATATCTGGTATTCTTTGGCTGTCTCTTTATCTATGAGCAAGTCTATTAAAAATTGATTGGAAGCTCTGTGGGCACAGGCAGGCTTACTGAGTGGTGGTCACTATAATGCAATGGAACAACATTCCAAATTTGTCACTGAGGGACACTGGAGTGCAGTGGTGCGATCTCGCCCCCTGGGTTCAAGCAATTCTCCTTCCTCAGCCTCCTGAGTAGCTGGGATTATGGGCATGTACCACCATGGCCGGCTAACTTTTTTTTGTTTTGTTTTGTTTTGTTTTGTTTTGTTTTGTTTTGTTTTTCAGTAGAGACGGGGTTTCACCATGTTGGCCAGGCTGGTCTCAAACTCCTGACCTCAAATGATCCACCCGCCTTGACCTCCCAAAGTGCTGGGATTACAGACATGAGGCACCAGGCCTGGCCTGTTTTTAAGTATTATAAGAAATAAATTTTACTTGAATGTTTGCTAGAAATTAATCACTATATAATTTAGGCAAAATGCTCATTTTATATAGTTGGCTACATTGACAGTTTTTTCACTTTATTTAGATTTTATGTTTTTGATTCCATTTCTGTCATTACTATTTCCTCAGAAAATCTTCTATTTCTTCAACATTGTTGAACTTCTTATAACACTATAGCCATAGCCCTACACGCTAGTATTCGAAATTCCACTATTTTTGCATATTATATTTCTAGTGTACATTTGTTCCCCATTTTTGATTAGCTATGTCACAGGTTAATATATAATTATTGACTGTTTTAAATAACTAGGTCTTAGACTAAATGCATATAAACATTTATTTAGTTTTTTATTTTTATTTTCTCATTAGTTTAAATCATTGTAATTTTTCTTACATTTCCTAAGGTTATTTTATTGTCATTTTTATGACTTCTTTAGTAAAAATGTCTGGCTTATTTATTTTCCTTCTCTCTTATTTAATAATAAAAGCATTTCAGGCTACATGGATTATGTGCCATTTATTTCTAAATAGTCTATAAATGAAGTTTTGATTTTTTGACTGGAGAGCTATGAACAGTTTTTTTTATTTTAAATTCCAAAAGTGTTAAAATTTTTAGTTTGCATCATCTTAAGTACTTGTCATTGTTTTATATTATGGTCACAGAATGTGTTTTTTATGAATTCTGATTTGGAACTCATTTTAAGACTTTATAACCCAAAAATTATTGTTGTTGTTAAGTATTTGATAGTAAATCAAATACACGTCTTCTCTTTGTAGAGTCCATAATTAGATGTATTTATTAAGTTAACACTATTGGATTTCCCTGTCATTTTGCTGAAGCACATGTACTATAGCTTCTTGAGAATAAAGGCATGAAAAGAAAATGCATTGAGTGTTTGAGTATCTGAAAATGACCTTATTTACCACTTGACTGTTAGTTTGCCTGGGCAGACAATTATATATTAGAAATAATTTGAAAGCATTGTTCTATTGTGTTCTAGCATCCAAAGTTATTTATATGCTCTCCATGCAGATTTATTTTTGTCTACTTCATTTGGCAATGACTCAGAGAGAGGTTTTAGAGTATCTCCAGTTATTGCATTTCTGTCAAATTATCCTTGTATACCACATTTTTTCTTTCTGTTTCAATGTGATCTTATTTGCTGAATAAAAATTGATGGTGCTTCATTTATTTATTTATTTATTTATTTATTTATTTATTTTTTTTTTTTTTTTTGAGACGGAGTCTCGCTCTGTGGCCCAGGCTGGAGTGCAGTGGCGGGATCTCGGCTCACTGCAAGCTCCGCCTCCCGGGTTCACGCCATTCTCCTGCCTCAGC
The DNA here is from genome assembly GCF_000001405.40 of Homo sapiens. NCBI lineage: Eukaryota > Metazoa > Chordata > Mammalia > Primates > Hominidae > Homo > Homo sapiens. The sequence goes on along the minus strand of NC_000002.12, from coordinate 75,900,781 downwards.
CTCCCAAGTAGCTGGGACTACAGGCGCCCGCCACTACGCCCGGCTAATTTTTTTTGTATTTTTAGTAGAGACGGGGTTTCACCGTTTTAGCCGGGATGGTCTCGATCTCCTGACCTCGTGATCCGCCCGCCTCAGCCTCCCAAAGTGCTGGGATTACAGGCGTGAGCCACCGCGCCCGGCGGTGCTTCATTTATTATAAATGTTGCTGTTTATTATAAGTAATAGTCACTGTTCTGTTTAACACTTTTTCTGTAAACTTTATCTTATATGTTTGAGTATTTTCCTTTGCATTTATTTACCTAACTTACTTTTGGCAAGCATTTATTGTAAACAGTTTGTGTTAAGTTTTGCTTTGTTTTAAATATATTCTCTTCTGTGAGGCAGATATAGTTAGATTTTGCTTTTTAAGCAAAGAAACTTTCTATTTTAGTAGATGGGCTTTTCCTACTTTTATTTATTATTATGTTATGTTATATATTTATTCATTTATTTGGTCCCACCTCTGACATCTCTTTAAAGTGCTTTCATCCTTTTGCATTTTTAATACATCCTTGATGTTGTGTATCTTTTATTCATTTAATTTTCTTTCATTTTATCTACTGATTTAGAAGGTATATATCGTATCCATCTTCAATTCTAATATTAAATTTGAATGCTTTTTACTCTTAAGGCTTTATTTAAATAGTTTTTTTAACATATATTTATTTACTGAATTTTAAGTCAAAGCTAAAATTTTGCCATTGTTTTCTTATGTAGTTGTGCTTTCCTCCTTACAAATATTAGACAATAGTTTTCCTTAGGTACAGCTATAAGCCCACAATTCAGGAACACCATGCTTGATCAGAGTACTTGTTACTGTGACGACTCTGAAACAGTCACCTTCTTTTCAATTCTAAAAGAATCACTAAATGCAAAGTTGTTGGTTTTTTCCTCTTACTCCACAGAATAAAAGATGGAAAATAATGGCCATTTTTATAACAAAAATATTTGTGTATTTCTGCCTATTTAAAAGTCTTTATTGAATGTCCTGATTCACTATGGATATTTTAATGGAAAAATTACTAATAATATTTACCCAGCAACATTTCATCTCTTTTTCCATTGAAAAACTATTAATTTGTCCTTATCAAACATGTTTTAAAATAAGTAGTTAGGGTATACTTTCAACAATGTAAAAACACCTGCAAAGCAAAAACAATGTAAGGATATATACAAACATGTTAATAGTAGATATTTCTGAGTGGTGGTGATCTATGAGCTATTTTCCTTCTTTAAAGGGTTGTATATTATCCAATTTTTACTTATTACCTATCACATTATAAGAAATTTTCACATTGTACCACACAGCAATTATGTTTAGTGAAAAATAAATTCATATAGCACTCCAACTTTGAGGCAGAGAAACATGAAATTTCTTTATTTAGTCTAAATTCTACCTAGCAATTCTCTTATTTCTCCCCACAAATTCCAACCTATAGCTAGTAAATGAGAAAAATATAGAGAAAACACTGAATTGATTTCTGCTTCTCACTATGATGGAGTTTCATGAGGCAAACCCATGTTTCTACTGAGAAAAGCTGGATAAAATTTTTTACTGTTAAAAAAAATCTGTTTCAAAATATCAGAAAGCTGTTAAGAAAATCTGGTCATAAGAAGCCAAAAATCAGAAACAAAAGGGAACCATAGAGATTGTATGGACATTATATAAACTGGTTGTTGTTTTGGTTTCTATTTTTGTTTTTTCCTAACTTTGCAGATTCTTGGTAGCAAACAACTGAAGAACGCAGGAATAGGGCTGTGTCTATAGGGCATACAAAATTTTCCAGAACTTTTGTTAATTTCACATAACTGAAGAGCAAAAATTGGAGTCATGTCAGGACAGCCAAGACTTCAGAGACCAAGATTCTGATGAAAAGGAAATTATTAAGTAGTCAATGGGACACTTGGTGGTTTTCTCTTCCAACACTAGCAGAATTCTTAAAATTAACAGGGAAAGAAGCTAAGAAGAAAGTTCTTGAAGTGTAGAGAAAATGTTCAAACTCTCATCACAGATCTGAGGAGATAAAAACTGGAGATCAGAACCCATCGAGGAGGAGATACAAAACTAGAATTCCTGGAGGGCTAGAGATTAAGACTAGAAGCATACTGGAAATGAATGGAGATGTAGTTGCAGCTCAACCTTGAGTCAGTTCTTTACCTGACTGGATTGACACCTGCCCCCTCTCTATCTGCCTATAAGAACTCTCTCAGGAGGAAGATATCATTCAGGACCTCTACAGTTTTTCATATGCAATGTCTGAAATTCGACCAAAAATTACAAGTACAGAAAAAAAAAACAGAGAATAGAAACAAATTCATGGATGACTACAAATTCATTTAATTATCAGGATAACAAATAGGTACTTAAAAGTAATTACAACTAATATGTTCAGTAATGGAGAAGGGTTGACAAGATCAGAAATTTCAATTGAAAATAAAATTAAACTTTCATAAGTAAAAAATAAAATTGAGAATTTAATAGATGGTTATAATGGCAGATCAGACCCACCAGAGAAGATGAAAGATACAAATATGTGATAGTAATTATTTATCATTTATAATTTAAATTAATAATGATCATAAATAATTAATTATTAAATTACTATCATCTCTGTCTCCCAGTGGTCATTAATTCACTCATCCTTTTTTAAATATATAATCACCAAGCTAAAGTGCAGAGACAAAGGTGCAGAAAAGAAGATAATAAATATATGGGACATAGTGGAAAGGTCTAACATACAAAACTGGAGTTTCAGAAAACAGAAAATGAACAAGAAGCAATATGTGAATAGATAATGATTTAGAATTTTCTGAGCCTGATGAAAAACACTAATCCACAGTGTGAAATTTCATTGTAACTCTCACTAGTGTACTGAAATCCTCCATATATTTCCAGGGATGCCTGGAGCCATAGTAGTAATCCTTGGCAAAACCACAATGGAATATACTACATAGGAATTAATGTAGTTTTTTGTGCTAATGTAGTTTTCCAAAAGACATCAAGTGGGAAGTCTGTAACATCTTTCCAATATTCCTTATAGAATGTGTACCAATGAGTGGTTTATATCTGGGTGTCTGTTATGTTATCTTGGTTTCTGCTATTGAACATGGTCTCACAGCCTGGTTTTAGCTATGTGTACAGCTGAAAGACACCTACTGAATGAGCTGCGGCTTCCCCTGCTGGCTCACTTGCTGGAAATAAAGCACAACCTTATGACTGAGAAAGGACTCTGGAATCTGTGTGTGGACAATGTGAACCTACTTTCTTACCCGTTGCTTTGTATCTGTTGTCTGTAATAAATCTTGCATGAGTGTGTGTGTGTGTGCGTGTGCGCGCGCACATGTGTGCATGCATGTACAGGTCTAGGTTACACTGTATTTCTAAAATTATCTCTAATAAGCTTAGAACGTTTGTACATTTTAATAGGAAAATAATGAAATAAATGAGTAATCCCCATCAGAGGAAAAAATATACTTTAATACATACGTTTCCTTTACTCTCTACTTCTCACTCCTCCCTCCAACCCCAACACACCTTTGTGTTTTCATTAATATAACCTGGAATCAAGTGTAGTTTTGTAGTCATGAAATGTTCAGTATTTCAGATTTTACTCTTTCATTTCTTCTCCCCAAGATGGTTGCTGAATAAAAGACGGAAATTCCAAAGTTCTCATGGCAGAGAGGAGGATGGTAGAAAGAGGAACTCACCAATGCACTTAGCGTCCTGTTTCCTACCTGGGTCTCTGCTGCCAAGATCAGGGGCTGACACTCCCTCTACTGGTAACCAGAGAGAGACAACTGGCCCCGTCTGCTAATGAGGTCTTGAAGTCTGTAGCTCCAAACATTTGCCTCCAGTCTCAAAGAGAAGGGAAATCTATCAGAGAATGTCTGAAGGCAATGATGGGAAAAAATACCTATTCCTGATTATTCCTCCCCTGACTTTAGCCTATACAATAAAATGGTAATATGCTGAGAGTCAAAACAAATGTATGTTTTGTTAATCTTGTAGACAGTCAAAGTTTTATGGCTGATTTCATTATTGAGTCATGATTGTTAAACACAATCACCATAAATTTACAGATTTTTGAGAGACCGATTTCTGTAGAAAATATTTTATTCATGGCTTTTTCTCATTCCTGATTTATTAACTCTTTACATTTCCTTCTTCTGTGCCTTTTCAAACTGATTAAGAAAATAGCTCTGATACAGTATAATATTTTTTAATAAAATAATATTAATTTATTCTTAGTCATATTGATTAAGTTGGCTTGAAACAAGCAACACAGTTGGACAGTTGTGGAGCAAGGCAAACCCTTCTTAGACACTTGTCCCCAAATCTGCTAAGTATGAGAACAACCGGATTTGTCTAAGACAAATAAGAAACAAACAAACAAACAAAAAACCTTGACATTCTGATTCACCAGGTCTGGATGGAATGTAGACTAAGAATCTGTAGTCTCAAAAATACCTCCAGATGTTTCTAATGTGCGGCCAGGTTTAACAACAACTACTCTAGAACTCTTCTGTTTTTTAACAATGACCTTGAGGTAGCAGGCCAAGAAAAGAAAAATAATGTTTTATTCACTGTGCTGATTCATTCTTGCTCACTCAGCTAAGACTTTTTGGTGCAGGTTCTATGTATGTTGTCACTTTGCTTGATGAAACTCTTAAGATATAAGATGATCAATAAAAATTAAATGCACTCTTCCTCCAGGGTTTTTCCCTCTCATTATTATTGGCAGCCTTTGTGGTAGAACAAACCAGCATGCAGGCAATCCTGAGCTAATATATAACAATTTCTGTTCATAAAAGGCAGTCTGCCCAAGCCTTTTAAAACATATTCTAAAATAAAACGTACACATTTTGCTGCTAGAAAGTAAAAATACCAATTTGTACAAAAATAAAACACAGGAGAAAATTGCATGCTATACCCCACCTACCTCTGTCTTATAAAAGTCATCAAAACCTCTCACAATTCTGTGACTTTTCACCTGCCATCCTTTCTGCATGTCTTCACTTTCCTTGTCCAAGAAACCATATATTATCCTTTAAGATCTGATTGAAATTTCACAATCTCTATGAGGCCTTTTATAACCCCTTATTATTAATCTATCACCTAGTGGATTCACTCAGTCGTCCTTTTTTAAAAAAATCATTTATCCCTTGTTTGATTGCTGTATCTGTCTGCGGAGTTAAATGTATGCTCCTGTGGAAATTACCATATTTTGTGACTGTACACAGAGAGTGCTTAACCACTGCTAAATAAATGCTCTTCTCTACACAATGACAGTTAAAATGCATATTTCTTATTGTGCTTTTGAAATAATTTAATGGGGCTATATGGGATCCATTTATACTTCCTGGAAGTTTTCTTAATAGATTGTTCTTTGCAAAGGGAAAAAATAGAATGAGAAACTAAGACTTTAGAAAATATTGGGTTAAGCAATGAGAAATCACCAATATTATACCCTTTTTGATCTACAAATATAGTAATTTCATGTACTTCAATGGATATATAAAGGTTTAAATGTACTAAAACACTTCTGGGTTTTTTTCATGTCTGACCTTTTTTGAGACAGTAACTAATATTTGACCAAAAAAAAAACTTGCTTTATAAATATTTTCAAGCTAATAAGCCCAAGGTCTACCTACTGAATCACTGATCAGAAATTGAGGGGAAACGTCTGTGAAAATGGCAGAGTAAGGACCTTCAAAAACTCTCTTATCCATAAAAGCAACAAGAAAACTAGCAAAAATTGTCAAGATCAACTTTTTTTCAGGACTCTGGAAATTAATCAAAGGCTTGCAGCAATCCACAGAGCGTTTATTCAAGAAATATGGCTGAATCTTGGGAAGAACAGTCAATTTTCTGGCATTTTTACTTGTCCTAGTCTCATCCCTATTTCTCCAGTTCTGGAGTAGCCTTGAAAACATACAGCGCCTGGCAGCTACTTGACAGTGTAGAATAAGGTTATTGCTCCTTCAAAGCCTTTTTCACAGAGAATTGGCATTATTTGACCTATCTGGTGGTTCCCAAGAAAAGACATCAATGTCTATTTGACTTGGCTCAGAGCTCACCCAGTGTGAAAAGTCTTTTCCCTGGGGGCATTTGTTGAAAAAAATTTCATTAATTGCTTAATTTTATGGCTGCCTGAGGTGGTGAATAACTGTTGGGGCAAATAGGCTAACTAAAATGTTTAAAAGGAAAAGCTAAGGAATGAGATTGGCTTTGAAAAGCTCCCAAAATCTACAGGGTCATACACATGAGTAGGACTGTACATATGCCCAGGGCTATGAGCATGATAAAGAAAGATCTGAGAAAGTCATAATGTCTTATCTTTGGGTGACGTTGAGGTTCATGCAAACAGAAAGTGAAGGCTAAGACAAAGATATCAATAGACTGAGTACTGAAGCCATCTCCTATCATGCACACAGAGCCCCTTGTCAAAGACTGAAAATTTATTGGTTTCAGGTATTTAAGGAGTCTCTGTCTAATAATTAGCTAACAACTAAACAAAGCAGAGACTTCAGTGGTAGAACCTATCAAAGACTACAGACTGAAGAGACTTATTCCAGAAAAGTTACTAAACAAACAACAACAAACAGCCACATTGATAAGCCCTGGTTAAGGAGAAAAAGATTGGATTCCTAGAGTTGACATGTAATATTATTTTAAACACTTATTTTCAACCAAAAAAAAAGTATAAGGTATACAAAGAATTAAAAAAAATGGCCCATACACATGAAAAAAAGAGTAACTAGTGGAAAATGTTTCTGAGGAAGCCCAGATAATGAACTTATTAGGCAAAGACTTTAAGTCAGTTATTTTAAATATGTTCAAAGAACCAAAGGAAACCATGTCTAAAGAACTGAAGTAAGTATGAGAATGATGTCTTCTAAGAAATCATAATAAGAATATCAATAAAGAGATACAAAGTTATTTTTAAGACCCAAATTAAAATTCTGGTGTTGAAAAGTACAATAAATGAAAAATTTACTAATGTTGTTCAACAGAAAATGTGAACATACAGAATAGAAATTCAGCAATTTCAAAAACAGATCAACTAAGATTATTATTCTAATGAACAAAAAAAATCAAGAAAAATGAATAGAACCTCATAGACCTGAGGGACACTATTAAACATACCAACATATGCATAATAGGAGTTTCGGAAAGAAAAGGAGGAAAGGGCAGAAAGAATATTTGAAGAAATAATGACTAAAAGTATATCAAATTTTATTAAAAAATGTTAATCTACATCTAAGAAGCTCAGTGAAGTGATAGTAGGATAAACTCAACAAGAACCACACTTTGACATACTATACTCAAACTGTTAACAGCCCACGACAAAAAGAGAACCTTGAAAACAGCAAGAGACAAGCAACTCATCACATGTTAAAGATCTTTAATAAGATTAACATGGGCAATTGATTTTCAACAAGGGTACCAAGAAATTTCATTGGAAAAAGACTAGTCTTTTTTAACAAACAGTCCTGGGACAACTGGATATTCACGTGCAAAATAATAAAGTTGATCTATATATCGCTGTCTTCAAAAATTAATTCTAAATGGACTAAAGACCTAAACACAAGAGGTAGTCCCACAAAACTCTTAAAGAAGACATAAGTGTAAATCTTTGTGACCTTGGATTAGGAAATGGCTTCTTAGATATGACAGCTAAAGCACAAGCAACCAAGGAAAAAAAAATTAAAAATTGGACTTCATCACAATTAAGACTTTTTGTGCTTCAAAGGGCACAATCAAGAAAGTGAAAAGATAACCTGCAGAACAGGAGAAAACATTTGCAAATTACATACTTGATAAGAATCTAGCATCCGGAATATGCAAAGAACTATTAGAACTCCACTAGAAAAAGATAAATAGTCCCAATTTTTAAGTGACAAAAGATATGAATTGATATTTCGTTAAAGAAGATATAAAAATGACCAACGAGCATATTAAAAGAAGTTCAACATTCCCTTCATAATAAGAAATGCAAATCAAAACCACAATGAGTCACCACTTCACACTCACTAAGTCTATAATCAAAAAGATGAACATTAACAATGTTGGCAAGGATGTGGGGAAGTGGAAACCCTCACACCATACTGGTGGGAATGTAAAATGGTATATACTTGCTTTGGAAAACAATTTAGCAGTTCCTCAAAAAGATTCACATAGAGTTAGCCTATGACCCAATAATTTCACCCATACATATATGTGTGCATGTGTGTATTTACACTTTAATGTGTGCATACACACACTTACACATATATATTTATACACATACACACATACACATATCCCCAAAGAATTTAAAAGAAATGTTCAAACAAAAACTTGTACATGCATGTTCAAACAACCCAATGTCCACGAATTGATGAATGGATTTTTTAAAATAGACGAAACAAACATATATTCATACAATAGAATATTATTCAGCCACTAAAAGCCACTGAAACATGCTATATTATAGATTAACCTTGAAAACATTATACCAAGTGAGAGAAGCCAGACGCTAAAGGACACATATTGTATGATTCCTTCTACATAAAATGTCCACAACAGGTAAAATCCATAAAGACAAAGAGTAAACTAGTGGTTCCTAGGGTTTGATGGGACTGAGGAGTAGATATTAAGTTTCTTTTTGGGGTGAAGAAAATGTTCTGGAATGAATTCTGTGGCTTACTAATTACATATTTGCTTAAAATAAAAATTAATTAAGTGTCCACAGTGTTTTTCAGGTATGATGGTAGGCACTTAGGTTTCATTTGAAGTAATTTTTCTTTGTTTTTTATATGTGTATTCGCTATGTCTGCAAGTTTGTTTTTAAGGTGACGTGTGTGTCCTTATTCTAAATGTTGCTCATATGAGTTCCCAAGGAGTTCAGGAAGATATTTACATAGTATTCAACTAACATTAGAAGAAGGGAAATAAAGGAAGGCTGAAATGGTTTTGTCAGAGCTCAGCTGTACTAACTCCTTGAAGTCTCACATGGAATGCTACTTAGATTTCAACAACTTTCTTTTTTTAATCATGCAAAGGCAAAGAAAATGTAAGGGGAAAATCTTACCTTATTTCTTGCTGTGCCTCTTTTGAAACTGTGAATTATGGTGATTCTGCTGTAATTTTTCTGTTGAAACCACATAAAACAACACTTCTACAAGTTGTTGGGGAAATGGTGGCATCTCCCCTCTCAGGCAGTGGGCATTCCTGTGTCAGTCACTTCAGGAACAAACAAGACCCCAGACAGAAAGCCAGCATCTGCAGAGCAAGTCTGGGACGGAAGGACATGGGCCTTCTATTCCTCCATGTGACTTGCTGTTGCTGTCCTGGTGTGGTACTTCACGAAGCTTAGGCAGGTTTGAAGACACTCCAGAAGGTATGGCAAAAAGAGCTGCTTCTGAGCCACTAAGTAGGTCTGGGACGCATGTGGAGTGGTCCCTTCCAGCTAGTCAGTAAAACAGCCCTTTCACGGGTATGTTGAGTTAAGAGTCAAGACCCAGATACACCAGACAACCAGAATTTTTTATTGCATGTTACTTTCTATGTTGGCTCTCTTGCTTAAGTTTGCCCTGACCTCAAGTAAAGACTTTATTAAACATTAAGCCATGATCTTCTCAACTATTCAAAAAGAAATTAAGGAAAGTATGTCCACACTTTCCAGAATGGGGAAAAAGAAATTAGCATCCCCCTGAAACCAGTATCATGCAGAGAAAGTTCCCAAGAGAGTTAAGGATCATCTGTAGAGTTACCTCTTCCCATGAGAAGATTCTCCCTTCATTACAAAAACTGCAGATTCACACTACTATTTTACTAAAGGAGCCAAAGGGTTTCCCTACAGAATCCATGAAAAGCAAGAAATCAAAGAGTTTCAAGACAAATGCTAATGTGAGAAATTGAAAATTTCCCTTGGAAAAGATATCCTCTAATCCTGTTGATTTCACTTTTCCACACCCCAAACATAGTTTAAAAACATGTAACAGGTTTAAGTCCTGGTCACTTTTTTTATTTTTTATTTTATTTTCTTTTATTTTTATTATTATTATTTGGGACGGAGTCTAGCTCTGTCACCCAGGCTGGAGTGCAGTGCGCGATCTCGGCTCACTGCAAGCTCCACCTCCCGGGTTCACGCCATTCTCCTGCCTCAGCCTCCGGAGTAGCTGGGACTACAGGCGCCCGCCACCACGTCCATTTAATTTTTTGTATTTTTAGTAGAGACAGGGTTTCATCGTGTTAGCCAGGATCCTGACCTCGTGATCCGCCCTCCTCAGCCTCCCAAAGTACTGGGATTACAGGCGTGAGCCAACGCAGCCGGCCAAGTCCTGGTCATTTTTTGTATCATTGTTAATGAAGTCCACATTCTATTGCATCTCTCCCCACCCCCATCACAATGTAGCACACCATCCTCTTTTACTTTCTACATAAATCTGAATATCTGAATCTCTCTTTCCCATTGATGTATTTACTACTTCCCCTCTAGAGAATGTAAAATTCTTGAGATAAGATCTGTAGTTCTTCTTCATTTCTGTACCTGCTGTACCTAGAGCATAGCAGGTACTCAATAAATGTGGACTAAATGAACGAATGAGTATCCTTTTGTCCTATATTTTTAGAGTGGCACTGACCTAAAGAATATGTTCTGTCCTACAAATTTGCAAGAACTGTGCTGTGTGTCGGACCACTTTGTTGCTGGTAGAGTGTTACATATTGCAAACTATTGTTGTCTGCTGTTCCATCATCACTATTAACTGTTGTTAAGGAATGGATTTAAAAGGATCTACAACACTTTTATCCCCTTGTCACCAACGGCAAACATCAGAGGCAGCATATTGCAGTAGAAATGTCATTTCCTCTAATAAGCCTCCTATGATCTCCCCTAGGCAGGTACATGTAGAATTTTTCTATCTTCAGTGTCTTTTGTATGAAACACCATTTTGGCAATTACTATACAGTATTGTTATTAGTTGTTTTCTCCTCACTTTTACCACAGACTGTATTTTTCTCTACATTTCTAATAGTTGATGCATGGCAAGAAATCAATAAATATTATTGTAATAACTGACTAAATGTATTAAAGTGGGAATAATACTTTTAGAAATATATTGTTTTTTCTTTGACATTTCCTGCTCTGGATCAGCCCCTTGTTATGCTACAGGTCCCAGAAAAGTAAGGATTATCACCCCAGGAACTGGAAAAAAGTGGGGTTCAATTTTTGACATGTAGAATAAGATTATTTTTGAACTCAGGATATGCAATAAGAAAAAGTATTTGCTGTATATAAAGGAGAGCTATCCCAGCCTTCTATATCAGGGAATTGTGGAAAGGAGAAATGGAAAAGGCAGGGCAATGTGTTCAAACTTTCATAGGGTTTATCCTTAAAAAGGTACAGAGACTTATATAAAAGCACTTAATAGGAGTGGGGAAATTAGGTATAGAGATCCACTTCTCTGGGTGTAGCTAGGGAAAGTCTTCAAACCTCTGGAGGAAGCGCTGCATTCAGTTTGTTGCCAAATTCCATGGCATAGATAGAGGAATGTGGTCTACATAAATCATCTGAGATAATGCTGTGGTACCCATAGATTTTGAACAGTCTGCAAAGGATCCAGAAGTTCCAGGAGCCCCGGGGAGGGGACACAAAGGTGATGAGAGGCCAGTGGGAGTTGAAACAAAGATGTTTTGGTGACAAGAAGCAAATGGCTGAGAACCATGAGCTTAATAGTTGGTGCCCAAGTAATTCCCCTAAAGGCCAGATGGTTACTGTGGAACCCAGGCAGATTGCAGAAGAGGAGTGAGAACAGACCTGTCTTCTCTGAGCAGGTGGCAGCCAAACAGCTTCTACACACAACTCTGAGGCTCCCTGCCCTAGCTACACTAGCTCACGGGAGTCCCTTCCCTGTTAAAATCCAGATGCTTTATCAGAGAAGGGCAGGGAGAGGGGGAAGAAATCTGAAAAGTTAAAACATTTACCTGAAATACATTGAAGCTATTTAAAGAGACTAGATCAGGAGAGGGATTGAGATAATGCCATTTGGCAAATTTAAGTTTTTTTTCCTTTACTCAACAGAGTTGAGTCATTTAAAGTGGAGTTTGTTCAATTATTAAAAATAAAACTTTTAAAAAAAAATTATTGGAGGGGCAGTGTGCCACTCATCCTACTTCTCTCTAAATAAATGGACCAAAAACCAGAAGATCTGACTTCTATTCCTGAATCAGCCAGCACAGACTGCACCATCCTTGTCAAGGGAGGGCTAATACCTGAGGCTACTTAATGTCAACCTGTTATCTATAAAGTAAGCTAAAATGAAGAGGTAGGATAAGGGACACTCTAAGGAGGTAATCCTTTTTAACATTCTGCAATTCTTGAGAACAATCAAGTTAGTGAAATGCCATCTTCACAAAAATGGTTTGTAAGATAGGTGGTTGCTCATTTGTTTGTCAGAAGAATGACACTCTTTGTGATTCACAAATGGTTCGAACTCCAAGTATCAACTTTACTAATATGCTACCTAATGAAAGTAATTACTTGGTTACTTAAATTAAGGGTTATTTACCATACTTCGTCCATTAAAGAGATTCAACAGCATCTGATCTCTACAAGAGCCTCAATTCAATGACCATGGGAAAAACCGCAAATCTTAGAATACATTTTGGGGAAAGCAGTATAAAATTCTGTTTAAATAATATGGTAATCATCCATATGCTATACAAGTGACATTAGTGAAATATTTTAATGTATCTCCCAGAAAGACGCTTTCTACATAATGAACAGTTTGGGATCAAAAAATGTGATTTTGCCTCATGTTAATAACCAAATTTTCTCTCAATGAAGGGAATGCTGGTCCCTGCCCACCGCAATATCTGAATGAGGAGAAGGAAATGAGAAGGGCTAGAGAGAGAGAGAATAAGAGTATGAACTCATTCTAGGAGTCTTTGCCACAAATGAAACATTGAAACAAAATCCACCGTTAAGTGTTAAATGGAAATTCAGAGGCAAAAAAGAAAAACATCTATAAAAGAAGATGAAATGAGAGCACACACCTTCTACAATCACACCACTAACCATCTGTTTTTCTTTACAGTATGCCCTTTAGAACTTTTCTCCCTCAAAATCAAATGAATACCAGCGTGGAAAATAGAAAAGATTGTGGCAGCAGAGGAAAGAGGAGGGCACCCAGTAGACATCATCTGTTGTCAAAGAAGTCATTTGGAAAGTAATCAGACATGAAGCCCAATGGATGGAAAAGATGTGATATTGATTTAACTTGATTGCAATTTATTGTACATTATCGAGGAGATAGATTGTTGGTCTTACAATATGTTATATTGTAGATCAACCCAGTGTGAAAGATTAAAACGTGCATGCGTGTGTGTGTGTGTGTGTGTGTGTGTGTGTGTGTGTTGGAAGGGGGTAGGGGAGAAGGCAGAGATTATGTGGACAAGCAAAACTTTTGTAGCTGAACTCTCTAACCAGACATAAAATTAGTTGCCCACAATTTTACTCCTGGTTAATTCCAACAAAAAGGAAATTGTAACAGCTCTCCAAAATAACATATTTGTCTGCATGTTTACTTAACATTTATCTTACACGTTTCTTTTGAAGAATTCAAGATAGAATTAGCAATGTCTGGAAACTTACATAATTAGCCAAAGATCTTGCACTTTTGGTTTCAGTGCCTTTTAAGTCAGGCTTGCTTTTTTTTTGTTTTGTGTTTTTTTTTTTTTTGCTTAAAATAAGTATTATTATGTTATGTACTTATTGCAAAAATAAACCATCTGTCTTAGTCTGCTTGGGCTGCCATAACAAAACTATAGACTGGGTGAATTAAACAACACAAATTTCTTTTCTCACAGTACTGGAGGCCAGAAAGTCCAAGATCAGGTTCCTGTAGGGTTGGATTTCTGGTGAGGGCTGTCTTTCTGGCTGGCCTTCTCACTGTGTTCTTACATGACAGTGAGAGAGAAGCCAGGTATTTTCTTAGAAGGACTCATCTTATTGGGCCAGGACACCATCCTGATGATATTATTTGATCTTAATTACTACTTTAGAGGTCTTATCTCCAAATATAATTACTGGGGGTTAGGGATTCAGCATATAAATTTTAAGGCAGGGGTGCAGACCTTCAGTTCATAGCACCATGTTCCTTGTAGGAGATTTTGAAAGTACCAATAAGCAAAAGGACACAAAAGCTAACAATAATCTCGGCAACTACTGATGACTACTATCAACATTCAAGTATGTTTACTTTCAGCTTTCTTTTTCACCTATACACATATACAATTTGTAATACTATTATTATATTGAAGGTAATATTTTCTAAATGCTTCTTTTATTTAATAATATTAAGACATTGTAACTGGGGAAATTACTAGTAGAGATGTAGCCTAAAGTGAAGGTGGCAATGGAAGGAAAACAGCAGCTATTGCACAGATTTAAGCATGTCATGTATCTCCAAGCTGAAATTATGAGGTGTCTTAGAAAACTCACCAATAACTGAAATTGCCTTCCCTGATAACTCTGCCAATCTGTTTAAAGGAAATTGCCTTCCTTGATGACTTTCAGCCATTCATTTTACCCAGGGACAACCTGTTTCTAATTTTTAACAGAGCAAAAAGCAGTTTAATGAAAAAAAAAAGGATAAGTATATTAACCCTAACCAGAGAAACAGAACCAGTAGGAAATCTATCTATCTAGGAATTTGTTACAAAGAATTGTCTTATACAATTATGGGAGCTGGAAAAGAAACCCTGAAGTCCACAGGCTGGCAGGAAGGAAAGATTTCATGCAGTCTAGACCCCATAAGCATGAGTGGGAAACTCTACAAAGTTGGACTGAAACCAGTGTCTACTCTTGTTGTCTGTAATCTCAGTGATAAGACTGTCCTGCAAAAACCAGAGCCCTTCATCTTGGAGCTGAGCACACACACCTGGCCCTGGGAGTCAGAGAAATTGGAGAAAGATTGAGGGCGAAGGTACTGCAATTGCAAGTCCAGTGCTGCTTAAGTATATCAAGGAAATCAGCAGATCAGCCCTAAAAGTAAGTGTGGGAGGCTCAGAAGGTAGATCATAAGTTATCTTTCTGCTCTACCTTGTGGAGTCCCTGAATCTCATGTGGAGGGCCTTAGTCCCTATTTAAAAGGCCCTCACTTGATTAAGTCAAGCCTACCCAAGATGTTCTATCTTTTGATTAACTTAAAATCAACTGATTAGGGATTTTAATCACATCACAAAATCCTTTTATAGTTGCACCAAGATTAGCCTTTGACTGAATAAGATGTGTGTATGCTCACACTTTATTCAAAAATTAACTCAAATGGATTATAGGTCTAAAAATAAATAAGAAAGCTATAAAATTTTAAGAAAACATAAGAAAATCTTTGTGATGTAGGGTTGAGCAGAGTTCTTACGTGATACAAAAAGCACAATTCATAAAAGACAAAACTGATTAATTTGGACTCCATCAAAATTTAAAATGTCTATGCTCCAAAAGACCCTAATAGGAGGATAAAAATGCAAGATAGACTGGAAGAAAATATTTGCAAATCATATATCTGACAAAGAACTGGCATTCAGAATATATAAATAATTCTCAAAACCCAACAATGCAAAAACAAACAAGTCAATTAAGAAATTGAAAAAGAACCTGGACATAAACTTTAACAAGGAGGAGATAAGAATAAACAAGGCCTGAAACCATGGCTTCTACCTGTAATCCTAGCACTTTGGGAGCCCAAAGTGGGAGGATTGCTTGAGGCCAGGAGTTTTAGACCAGCCAGGGCAACATAGCAAGACTGTCTCTATAAAAACCTAATTCCATTTTTAAAAATTAGCTGGGCATGATAGTGCGCACTTGTAGTCCTAGCTACTTGGGAGGCTGAGGTGGGAGGATCTCTTGAGCCCTGGAATTTGAAGTTGCAGTGAGCTATGATCATGCCAGTGTACTCTAGCCTAGGCAACAGAACAAGCCCTTGTCTCTTAAAAAAAAAAAAAAAAAGAAGAAGAAAAAGAAAATAAAAAACACATGAAAAAATATTCAACATTATTAGCCATCAGGGTGATGCAAATGAAAACCATGATAAGATAGCACAATACATCTATCAGAATGGCTAAACGCTAAAAAATATTAACAATGCCAAATACCGGGGGTGAAAAAAAAAAAAAAAGATCATTGGGAACTCTGATACAATGCTGGTGGAATGCAAAATAGTACAACCACTCTGGAAAACAATTCGGCAGTTTCTTATAAAGCATACACTTACGATTTGCCATTTCCATTCTTGAGTATTTACCCTAGAATAATGGAAACATACTGTGTTAGTTTGCTAGGTCTGTCATAACAAAGTATAACAGACTAGATGGCTTAAGCAAACTTATTTTCTCACCATTCTGGAGGCAGAAGTTGGAGATCATGGTATCAGTAGAGTTGGTTTCTTCTGAAGCTTCCTTCCTTAGCTTCTAGATGGCCATCTTCTCCTTGTATCTTCGCATGGTCTTCCATGCCTGTCTGTGTTCAAATTTCTTTTTATAAGGACACCAGTCATATTGGATTAGTGTCTATAGCCTCATTTTAACTGAGTTACCTCTTTAAAAACCTTATATCCAAATACAGTCACATTCTAAGTTACAGGGGGGTAAGGACTTCAACATACAAATTTTGGAAGAAACAAAATTCAGCCCATAACACTCCATCCTCTACCCTCTCCCACCCCAAAATAATTTATGTTCTTTTCACATGCAAAATACATTCACCAGATCCCAATAGCCCTAAAAGTCTTAGCCCATTCTAGCATCAAGTCTAAGTCAAAAATCTCATCTAAATATCATCTAAATTAAATATGGGTCAGACTGGAGGTATGATTCATCGTGAGGCAAATTTCTTTCTGCTGTGAACCCATAAGCCCAGGCAACAAGTGATCGTCTTTCAAAATACAATGGTGAGACAGGTATAGAATAGACATTCTCATTCCAAAAGGGAGAAATCAGAAAGAAGAAAGGGGTCATGGGTCCCAAACAAGTCCAAAATCTTCTGAATTCCTGTAGATTTAAAAGGCTTGAGGATAAAACTCTTATGCTTAATGCTCTGTCCTCAGGGCCAATCAGTGTGACCCTGCCTTCTGGACCTACAAGGGTGGCAGCCTTGACCCCTTTGCCCTTGGCAGTGGCTGTCTGGTCTGCTAAAATAAGGAAATGGCCCAGCCTTTGAAACCCAGGAGGCCGCCCTACCCGTTGACCCCATGGTAGCAATGGCAGCCCTGCCAACCTTTTGGCCTCTCTTGGGGGTCCTACTTCCCTTTTCTTGGAGGATAACACATTAGATAGCTGTACTGGCCCATCCTGTAGAATCCTGGAAGTCTGACAGTCCTCCTTTATTTCATCCTGTCTCCACACCCTTCAATTCAAGCTAGCAGTGTGTTCGCTGATATATAGTTTTCAAAAACCCATTTGCCTCCAATGCAATCCCTGGAGATCCAAGCCATCAGACAAGAGGATTTTCCACAGATCTTTCCTGGTTAACTGCATCTTTATTCACGGTTTCTGCTGACATGGTTGATTGGATCCATGAGTCACATTTTTTTTTTTCCAGGAGACATATTTTACAATATGGTTAGGATAAGAATTTCCCAAATCTTTAAGTTCTGGTTCCTTTTTACTTAACGATTTCTTTTTCAATTTATCTCTCTGCTCTTGCATTTTCTCATAAGCAGCAAAGGAAAAACAGGCCATGTCTTCAACATGGCTAAGACACCTCCTCAGGTAAATATCCAAGTTTATCACTTACAAGTTCTACTTTCCCACAAAACATGAGAACACAATTTGGCCAATTTCTTTGCCACTTTATAACAAGGATCACCTTTCCTCCACTTTCCAATAACATAAAAATCCGTACATACATTTTTATAGGAACGTTATTCATAATTACAAAAAACTGAACACAATCTAAATGTCCTTCAACAGGCAAATGAGTAAACTAACTGGTACATCCATACCATGTAATACTACTACTCAGCAATAAAAAGGAATGGACTATGAACTACCACAGCAACTCTGATGAATCTCAAAGACATTATTTCAGAAAACAATAAAAGGTTACATATTGTATGACTGTTTATATGACATTCTTTTAAAGACAAAACTACAATGGTGGCCAAGGATAGGGTGGAGCAAAGGTGTGACAATAAAGGGATGGGATGAGGGAGTTTTTTGGAGTGATGGAACTGTTCTGTATCCTGATTGTGGTGTTGGCTACATGAATCTACACATATGTTGCATAAATGATAAACAATAAGAAAAAACAGTCAAATTTCCTGTATTTATCAGATAGTATCATACAGTATTTTAAAAATGAAACTGTCAAAGTGTTTAAAAGAACATAATCACTCATAGCCTAAAGTTCTAACTCTACCTTAAAGAAAATGTGATTTATATCACAAAATTTCCTTAAACTCACCATATGTAGTTATTACAGGGGAAAAAAAGCCTATGAGACTTAAAGTGACACAATCTCTGACAGATTCTACCTTGCTGCATTCTAACCTTTCAAGTTTCTAACAAAAATTAATATCACAGTCATATGCCGAAGGGGCATGCTACACGCCCAAGTATCCCCAGACATACCCCTTCATGATATTCAATAAGAGAAGGTATATTGAAAGAGAAATGAACAAAAACCTGCCTTAAAGGGACCATCTTAGGTACTTTTCACCACAAATCTTGCTCTTACACTCCAGGTCATACATAATACATTCTTATTTCTTGATGTAAACACTGCTCTAGATCCTATAACCTAGGTGTCTATTCCCTCTGGAAGTCAAACTCTAAGGCTCACTAAGAAGGCCAGAAGGAGAAATGGAGAGCTGCCACAAGAGTGAGTTGTAGGCAGCTTCTTCCAATGACTTTCAAATAAAAATGCATGCTTAGAACTAAGGACTTCAATTTTACTTGTTTTCTCCTCTTACTGCCAGCCTCTTTCCTTTATTTTGGTTCAAGATAAGAGTGTTATGATTTCCCTCTCCCAGTTTTTTCTGTTGTTCTCTTGATTGTCTTTGTTCCTTAAATACTGTGAATTCCTAATTCACTTTTTCCATCAGTGTTAGCTGCCGACTTTTACAACCGCTAGATTTGTTATCCAGCTTAAGATCTCCCTAGTAAGAATTGTATAGCCACATACAAAAGTCCAGATGGAACTACACTTCACCCCAAAACTAATAATCACATTCCCTTTTATACTCAGCATTAGAATGTTATTAACCCTAACACACCTTAATTGGACCTTTGGCCCCTACAATTAACTGCTAATATCTCCCAGAGTCTCAGAAGAAGTTAAGAAACATCAGGTATAAGAATGGTTATAGTCCAGTTATTTTCTGAATCAGTAATAATCTATTTACTTCCATCTAAGGTGTTTGTCCTCCTTAATGAGACTAATTACATCCAGAGAGTAATTGGTACTGACCTGTTTTCATAAGCAATACATTTATGTCACCTTAATGTGTAACCCCAGGAATATTCTCATGTAATCAGATGTTCCTCTCATGTTTAGTACATACAATTTAAACCACCATCACCACCCACTCTTGGTGTTCATCTTTCACTAAAACTTAACATATTAATTCAACAAAAGGGGTCTGAGATTTTGGATTTCACCATATTATAAAAGGATGTCTACTGTGGTAGGAATTCATAAACAAAAATGTATGATCTAAAGTGTATCTCTGATTACCACCCAGAGAGCAAATGAAATGGCTGAAGCTTTACAGACCCAATAGACCAGCATAAACTTATAGACTATACATATATACATGTACACAGTACATGTATAACAAATTTTATTCAACTATGCCCTAATGTAAAATTAGGCTACTTTCACTATTATAAAAAAATATTGTGAGAAATGTTTTTTACAATTATGTTTTTCATGATTATTTCCTTTAAGAAATCTTTTAAAGTGGACATACTTGATAAATGAATATCCAAAACGTGAAGAATTTGAAATAAATTACAATTTGTTTTCCAAAAAGATTCTGCCAATTTCTTTCTTGCCAATAATATATAAGAACCTATTTTACTACTTGCTAGAAGTAGAAATGTTGGCTTGCTTGTAAAAAAAATTTTAATGTTGGCTGCTTGTAAAAAACAAAATAGTGCCGATTCTTTTTACTTTAATTTGTATTTTATTGATGATTCTTTAGCTTGAAATTCCTTTCTAAATTGTGTATGACACTAGTCTTTTGATTTCTCATTGTTTAACTTGCCTGCTTTTTCTACGTTGCATGTTTTTATTATTGATAACTTTGCACATATTAAGTATATTAAGTATACTAATTTAATAAAGTGAAATTTTACAAAATTATCTACTTATCTCACATATAATCTCAATCAAAATCACAATGGGAATTTTTATAGAACTCGATAACCTGATTATAAAACTAATCTGGAAAAATAAATATATGAGTTAAAACATTTTTTATAAAAAGAATGCACTTTCTCTACTGAATATATGTTATATAGCAGCACTTAAAACCAGAACAATTAATTATCAATAAGGGGAATTTAAAAAGTTTCTCTACTTCACATAATACAACAAAGTGATTCGAATGTAGACTTAAAATCTAAAACTAAAATAGAAACCATAAACAAGCTTAAAGACAAGATAAATTTTTTTTAACTTTTTTTTAAGTTCAGGGGTACATGTGAACGTTTGTTATATAGGCAAACTTGTATCATGGGGGTTTGTTGTACAGATTATTTCATCACCCAGGTATTAAGCTTTGTACATATTAGTTATTTTTCCTGATCCTCTTCCTCCTACCCCCCTTCCACCCTCAATAGTCGCCAGTGTGTGTTCCCCCACCTTGTGTCCACATCTTCTCATCATTCAGCTCCCACTCATAAGTGAGAACATTTGGTATTTGGTTTTCTGATCCTGCATCAGTTTGCTAAGGATAATGGCCTCCAGCTCCATCCATGTTCCTGCAATGGACATGATCTCGTTTTTCATGGCTGCATAGTATTCTATGGTATATATGTACCACATTTTCTTTATCAAGTCTATAATCGATGTGCATGTAGGTTGAATCCATGTCTTTGCTATTGTGAATACTGCTGCAATGAACATATAAGTGCATGTGTCTTCATAATGAAATGATTTATATTTCTTTGGGTATATACCCAGAAATGGGATTGCTGGGTCAAATAGTATTTCTGATTTTAGATAAGAAAAGATAAATTTTTAAGTAAACCTTTTGTTACCGGGGGATCCTTGTTCACAGAGCTTCCAAGATGGTGGCAAGCCGCTTCCAAGAGGATGGTGGGCTGCTTCCAAGATGGTGGCAAGCCTCGTGTTCTCTGATCTGGGGTTCTTGGCCTCATGGATTCCAAGGAATGGAATCTTGGGCTACGCAGCAAGTGTTATACCTCTATTAGAAGCCATGGGTCACGGAAGAGAACCATGGAACCCAGTGACTAGTGTTCAGCTGGATTAGAATGAACCCGGGCACTTAGCCATGCAGGAACAATGGCAAGCCTTTAGCCCAATCAGGAGTGGCAATGGGTGCCTCTCTGGATCAGGAGCACAGCGGACACCCTGACGGATCCGGAGGGATAGAACTCAGCAGTGGGTCTGCCATGGCGGCAAACAGCAGTGGTAGACGGCTAGCGAAAGCTCAGCTCGAGCTGTAACAAACATGGACCAGAAGAGTGCAGTTGCAAGATTTAATAGAGTGAAATAGAGTGAAAACAGAGCTCCCATACAAAGGGAGGGGACCCAAAGGGGGTTGTCAAATGCCTGGGTTTATATCCCGATCCTTGTCCCTCCCGCTGTGCTCTCAGGCAATAGATTGGCTATTTCTCTACCTCCTGTTTTTGCCTAATTAGCATTTTAGTGAGCTCTCTGATTGGTTGGGTGTGAGCTAAGTTACAAGCCCCATATTTAAAGGTGGATGCAGTCACCTTCCCAGCTAGGCTTAAGGATTCTTAGTCGGCCTAGGAAATCCAGCTAATCCTGTCTCTCAGTCCCCTGTCTCAACAGGAAAACCCAAGTGCTGCTGGGGAGGTTGGCCGATGACTGCTCTAACTGCTTCTGGCTGAATTGGGGCGTAGTAGGGGTGGTGCAATTGAGATTTCCTCGGGAGGGGTGCTTTCGATGTCATTGACATCGGAGCATGGGCTAGCAGGCTGGTCCAGGGGTCCGCGGTAGATCTTAGTCATAGACTGCATCTGGGGCTCCATTTGAAGAATGATTTGTAGTTTTGCAGCTTTGATTCCAGAAGAGACAAACTTAACAAGGAGGTTAAAGATATAGGGATTGAAATGTATGGCCTGCAGTGCAAGGGATTACTTCTTTGGCACACTGTACAGGCCCTGACTATCTGCTTGATAGTTTTGAAAAGGCCTGGTCCAGTAAATAATAATTCGGCCATCTGATGGGTGCTGTCAATGCCTAAGTGGAAGGTTTGGTGAAGGGATTTAAGTAATTTCTATTGGTTAGCTGCAGGCAAAAATATTTTCCTTCTTTGGTGGCTAGCCATCTGGAGGGGAGGAAAGTATGTCCTTGTGAGGTTCCTTATTCTATTTTTCCTGCTGAGTACTGGGGCTTGGTTTCCTGGAGGGGATTACCCTATACTAGGGGTCCTTCTATAAGCATTTCTAATGGAGCCTCCTGCCTTGCGGCTCTTTTGACTTTAATATCCACTTGGCGGTTTTCTTCTATTTTCCTTTCCTTTCTGATGACCCTGGCAGTGTAAGACTGTCACCTCTTTAGGTTTCTGTGCAGCCAATAATAATCTCCTAATGGCTTCCTGATGTTTGATAGGTGTTCCCTAGGAAGTTAGGAATTCCCTATCTCTCTATATTGCTGCATGGGCATGGTGGACTAGGTAAGCATACTTAGAGGCTGTATATATATTTACCCTTTTTCCTTCTCCTAATTTTAGTGCCTGAGGGCTATTAGTTCTGCCAGCTGAGCACTAGTTCCTGGAGTGAGGGGATTACTTTTAAGTATTCTATTATCACTGACCACTGCATACCTTACTTTTTGAAGTGCTTTTTTTTTTTTACAAAGGAACTTTCATCAGTATACAAGTTGAGGATGGGATCAGTCGAGGGAACCTCTAAAAGGTTCCCTCTAGCTGCACAGGTTTGAGCAATTACTTGTTGGCAGTTATGTTCTATCTTTTCTTCATTGTCTGGAAGAAATGTGACTGGATTAAGAGGTGCACAAGTGCGCAGTCGCAGCACTGGCCCTTCAAATAATAGAGCCTGATATTTAAGTAAATGGTTGTCTGACAGCCACAAGTCTCCTTTAGCAGTGAGTACGCCATTCACATCATGAGACGTCCACACAGTAATATCCCTTCCCTGTATTATTTTAACTGCTTCAGATACTAAGACTGCTACTGCCGCCACTACCCGTAAACAATGAGGCCAACCCTTTGCCACTGCATCAATTTCCTTACTCAGGTGGCAAGCTCATCCTTTGGACCTGTGTAAGGACTCCTAGAGCTATTCCTATTTTTTCTGTGACATATAAAGAAAAGTCTTGCCGCGTTGGCAAGCTTAACACTGGGGCTTGGGTTAGGGCCTCCTTTAGGCCCTGGAAAGCTGCTTCTGCTTCAGGTATCCATCTTACTAAATGGGTATTGGCTTTCTGAGTTTCTTTAATTAGTGTATATAATGGTCTGGCTATTTCGTTGTACCTGGAAATCCACATTCAGCAGAAACCTGTTATGCCAAGGACCTTCTTAGTTGCTTTAGGGTTTTGGGATGAGGATAAGCCAGTACAGGTTGGATACATTCCTCACAGAGGGCCCTGGTGCCTTTGGATAATTTTAACCCTAAGTATTTAACCTGCTGTGAGCAGAGCTGAGCCTTTGGTTTGGAAACCTTGTAGCCACACGGAGTGAGGAAATTTAAGAGCGCTTGGGTGGCTTGATGGCACAAGGTTTCTGAACGGGTGGCTAAAATTAAATCATCCCCATACCGAAGGACAAGACTGTCCAGGTATGAGAATTGGCTCAAGTCTTGGGCTAATGCCTGGCCAAATAGATGGGGGCTATCCCTGAACCCCTGGGGTAAAACAGTCCAGGTGAATTGAGACATTGGGTTCAAAGGATCTTCAAAGACAAACAAGAATTGAGAATCAGGATGTACAGGGATGCAGAAAAAGGCATCCTTAAGGTCCAGGACTGTAAACTACTCTGCTTCCTCTGGTATTAGGGAAAGCAGAGTATAAGGGCTAGATACAGCTGGGTATAGAGGAAAAACAGCCTCATTAATAATCCTGAGATCTTGCACTAACCTCCACTGTCTGTTGGGTTTCTGTACTCCTAAAGCTGGAGTATTGCAGGGGCTATTGCATGGTTTTACTAGGCCTTGGGCTTTTAGGTCCTTAACAATCTTTTGGAGTCCTTGCTGGGCCTTGGGTCTAAGGGGGTACTGCCTTTGGTAGGGAAAGGAGGCAGAATCCTTTAGTTTAACTTGAACAGGACGGGCATTTTTTGCTCATCTATATTGTCCTTCTGTTGCCTAGACTTTAGGATTAATTCCTTCCTCAAGCAGGGGAAAACAAACGGGTGTTCCTTCTCCTATGTTCAGATGTATAATGGCCCCCACTTCTGCTAGAATGTCTCTCCCTAACAAGGGAGTGGGGCTTTCAGGCATAATTAGAAAAGCATGTGAAAAGAGTAAAGTTCCCCAGTCACAACTTAGTGGCTGGGAGAAGTATCTAGTGACTGGCTGTCCTAGGACCCCTCGGATAGTGACAGATCTGGAGGACAGTTGTCCAGGACAGGATAGTAAGACTGAGAAGGCCATGCCAGTGTCCAGGAGACAGTTAACCTCCCTGGCCCTCAATGGTCAAGCAAACCGGGGGCTCTGTGAGGGTGATGGCATGCGCTGGCGCTTGCCCCGGGCACCCTCAGTCCTGCTGCTGGATCATCTGGTTAGTGGCTTCTGACTCAGAAGATCTTCGTCCCCTGGGGCAATGGGCCTTCCAGTGATTCCCTTGACATAAGGGGCATGGACAAGGGGGCGGCTTATTTCTACTTGGACAATCTTTTTTAAAGTGTCCTTGTAGACCACACTGGAAGCAAGTCCTATTAGGTTTGATTTTCCCAGCTTTTCCCTTTTCCAGAGCCTCCAAAATCCACTTGCCTGAGGTTCATGACTAAAGTGGTGGCCTTTTTTTTAATCCCGTTTGTCCCGATCCGCCTGCTCCTCCTGATCTCTATTATAAAAAAACCAAGGTTGCCAAGTTCAATAGGGTTTCTCAGTTTTGCTCCAGGCCTAAGGCGGACTTTTGAAGTTTTTTTCTAATGTCTGCAGCTGACTGAGTGATAAACTTATCCTTTAAGATTAGTTGGCCTTCAATAGTCAGGTGACAGAGAGGTATGCTTCCTCAATGCCCCCCTTAGTCTCTCCAGAAAGGCAGTAGGATTTTCTTCCTTTTCCTTTGTTATAGTGGACATCACTGAATAATTCACAGGCTTCTTCCTAGTTTTCCCTAGTCCTAGCATGCAAGTTAGCAAATGTCTGTGGCACCAATCTCCATGTTCTGATTCTGTGTCCCAGTGAAGGTCTACACAGGGAACTGCCTGCTGGCCTTTGGGGAATTGTTCGCTTTCCTCTGTTGTCATCCTATAATTGACCTGACTGAGATACCAGAGATAGCCAAACTCTCGGGCTGCAGTTGTGGCGGCACTTCTCTCATTTGGGGTTAGTGTCTGATTTAACAGTAACATTATATCTCTCCATGTCAGATCAAAGGATTGTCCTAACCCTTGTAAAACATCAATATAGCCATCAGGGTTAGCTGAGAATTTACCTAGGTCTATTTTAACTTGCTTTAAGTCTGAGAGAGAAAAAGGTACATGCACTCTGGCTGGGCTGAATTCTCCTCCCACTGCTTGGAGGGGGCATAATCAGGGAATATTGGCACTGTTTGGCTCATTGTTTATCCCTTTGTCTATCTCCTATGGACCATTTGGGTAAAAGGGGGGTCCTTATTAGTTGGAGAAGGAGTCGGGGGGACGCTGGGATAGGGAGGTAGACTCTTGAGGGCTTCCTGTAGGGCATAAACCACACTTTTTACATAATTGCGAGTTGTCTCTTAATGAAAAGAAAGTTTGTACATATGGCACTTCACTCCATTTGCCCTCCTTTCTACAGAAGAGGTCTAGCTGTAAGATGGGGTCATAATTTATACTTCCCTCAGGAGGCCAGATTTCTCCCCATTGAAGAGGATATCGTGGCCAGGTGGTACTGCAGAAGAGTATCTTTCTTAGCGTCTGAGGGTCAAATTGGTCCTAATTCTCCAGAATACATCTCAGGGGCGTTTTTGCCTTGGTGTTGGGGGGAACGTTTCCCATCTGAAAAAATAATATAGGGATGCCAACACCCCTAGTCATTTTCCGATGAGCATTAGTCCTAGAGCGTCCTCTAAGGGCCTAATGCTTATTCTTTTCCAGGGTGCATAACCACCCATGGACCTCTGTTTATCGGATTAGTTACACTCACCGATGTAGCAGTCCTGCACCTGTTTTCCCGCCTCTCTTGACCACAAAGAAAGGGGTTCGGGCTGCTGGATTCTAGTGGTCCTTTACCAGCATACCCAACATTGCCTTTGAGCTCAGGGGTGAGTCCTAGAGCTGGGCTGGGTTCCCGAGTATTTCATAACAACCCAGCTGCCCCATCAAGATGCATTCCCATAAACAATAGTTCTTATGCAAATTCATTTCAGAGAGGGTGTAGCGAAACTTTTGAGTCAGGATTGAAATAGTCTTTTGATTCTGTAAGTACTTTAAGGCTTGGCTGAGTGCAAACAGCTCGTACATTTGAGGAGACCAATTATTAGGCAATTTTTCTAATTCTGCTTCCACATGAGTCTCTGTATCAATTACTGAATACCCATTGTGGTTTTTTCCTCAATCACCTGGGAGGAACCATCTGTCGTCCTGTCCTGAAGGGAGTTCCTCCTAGTTCTGGTCGGACCTTTGTATGGTAATTAAGATTTAAAACCCCTGTTAGGAAATCTGCTGGGTTAAGGGAATTATCAGTGGTTGGAGTTACATTACCCTTTTCTAATATAATAGCCCTATACTTTAAGCTTTTTGAGTTAGTAAGCTACCTTTTTGCTTTTTTTTTTTTTTTTTTTTTGACTTAGAATAATTCTGAACTGGTGAGGTGTGCTCACAACGAGGTTTCCTCTAAAAGTTACTTTTCTACTTTTAGCAAAGCAGTTGCCGCTACCGAATGAATGCATTCGGCCTATCCAAGGGTTACTGGGTTAAGGATTTTTGATAGGAAAGCCATAGGTTGTCAGTGGCCTCAGTGCTTTTGGGCTACGCCCTTATTTACACTCACAACAAAGTGGCATTGGAGTGTTATAGGGTCATGGAGAAGACCTTCAATTATCAATTACAGGTTTTAAATTTACCCTGGCTTTTAAAGGAATAGGGCACACTTTTTTTCTACTATTTGTCTTTTTTTTTTCTCTTTGACTCGCTCTATCTCTTTCTCCATCCCCCTCTCTCTCCGTCTCTCTATCTCTCTTCATCTCTCTCTCTCTGTCTCTCACTGTCCCTCTCTTAGCCATTACAAACTTGGGGCCCTGGCAAGGATGGTGGGGAATGGGTCCTACATAACTGCCCATGTCCAGAGCTGTATACCTAAATCAGGAGGGACTCCAGGGATAAAACTCCCTGGGTTATAGCCTAGGTGCCTAAGGACACAGCATAGAGCTTCCTTAGATCCCTTTGGAGATACAACTTGCTAGAGGAAATGAAAGTCTGAACCATTAGTACCTAGGAGGCAGGGATCAGAGGAGTAGATTCAGAGGTAAGGAGAATTTTGGGGTTACACTTTCAAGAAAGTCGTGGTTGGGACCCAGGAGGTATGGGTCAGAAGGAAAGGTAGGGGCGCACACATGGGCGACTGTTGAGTAGAGACTTCTGGCTGCGCCGTGATCTCAACCGGCTACTGCCAGGAGTTCGGGAGGACAGCTTTCTGCCTCTAGTCAGCCCTTGGCTTCCCCAAGAAAATTAAAAGTGGAAGCTGGCTCCAGCGAGACCAACATCCCCAACCCAGAAGGGTTGGGAGTTGTTAGAAAGCCCTTCCCCAGATAGCCTCACACGTGAGTCTTAAGTCTGGCAGCCACGCTAATCGTTTTTAACTGACCGACAGGTGCCCGGTATTTTCCTCCAATTGTAAGGAAGGATAGGACAGAATAGCAAGCAAAAGGGTCAATATTACTCACCACTTTGGAGGTCCCTTCGTGGTCGCCAAAATGTTACCGGGGGTCCTTGTTCACAGAACTTCCAAGATGGTGGCTAGCAGCTTCCAAGATGGTGGTGGGCCGCTTCCAAGATGGTGGCAAGCCTCGTGTTCTCTGACCTGGGGTTCTTGGCCTCACGGATCCCAAGGAATGGAATCCTGGGCCATGCCAGGTGAGTGTTATACCTCTATTAGAAGCCATGGATCACAGAAGAGAACCATGGAACCCAGTAACTAGTGTTCAGCTCGATTAGGACGAACCCAGGCACTTAGCCGTGCAGGAACAATGGCAAGCCTTTAGCCTGATCGGGAGCAGCAATGGGCGCCTCGCTGGATCAGGAGCACAGCAGACACCCTGCCGGATCCGGAGGGATAGAAGTCAGTGGCGGGTCCGGCACAACGGCAAACAGCAGTGGTGGATGGCGAGCGAAAGCTCAGCTCAAGCTGTAACAAACATGGACCAGAAAAGTGCAGTTGCAAGATTTAATAGGGTGAAAACAGAGCTCCCATATAAAGGGAGGGGACCCAAAGGGGGTTGCCATTGCCTGCTGGAAGGCCTGGGTTTATATCGCAATCCTTGTCCCTCCCGCTGGGCTCTCAGGGGATAGATGATTGGCTATTTCTCTACCTCCTGTTTTTGCCTAATTAGCACTTTAGTGAGCTCTCTGATTGGTTGGGTGTGAGCTAAGTTGCAAGCCCCATGTTTAAAGTTGGATGTGGTCACCTTCCCAGCTAGGCTTAGGGATGCTTAGTTGGCCTAGGAAATCCAGCTAGTCCCGTCTCTCATTTTATTTTAGAATAATTTTAGATTTACAGAAAGGTTGCAAATAAACCTCTTACTCTGTTTCCTCTACTGTTAACATCCTACATTACTATGGTACATGTCAAAACTAACTACCAAACACTGGTAGGTTGCATTAATTAATCATCAGCCTTCATTCAGATTTTACCTGTTTTTCTGCTGCTGTTCTTTTTCTTTAGCATGATGAAAAATTTTATTGTTGGAAAAATTTTCTAAGGAGGACATGAAACTCAGACACTGTAAATGGAAAAAGTAATAGATTTAAGGTACAGAAAAACTATTTTTTTCTTATGAAAAAACCCTTTGTGCACAGTGAAAAGTCAAATATATATTGAAAGATACCAAGATATATTTATTAGTTAGTTATTTTAATTCATTTCAAAAATAAAATTTAGAGCTTACTCAGCCCTGGAAATAGAGGAGTAAACAAAGTAGACAAAATATTGGGTATTCCTGACTACCTTCTAGTGAAACAGAGAAGACAAACAATAAATAAGCTAGTCTAGCAAGAGGTGATAAGTGCTATAAATAAAAATAGGGACGGAGGGAATGGGAAGTTCCAGGTGGGACTGGTGTGGCAGGGTGAATATATCACGTTAAACAGTGTAGTTAAAGTAACTTTCAGTAAGAAAGTGGCATTTAAGAAAATAGAATTGAGAAGGAAGAAGACTGCACACATATCTAAGGGGCACTGGTCCAGGCAAAGGCAACAGTCAGACCAAACCCCTGAGGTGGGCTCCCCTGCGGCTGGAGTGGGGAGGCCAGGGAGAATCATTCCATTCGAGATCTGAGAGGTAACAAGGGCCAGACTAGTAGAAGCTTGGAAGGCCAGAGTTAGGTTTATTTGATTTTGTTTCTATTTTGTTTTACTTTCGTTTTACTGAGTATAGAGGTCTTGCTCTGTTGCCCAGGCTGGAGTGCAATCATAGCTCATTGCAGCCCCAAATTCCTGGGCTTAAGTGATCCTCCTGCTTCAGCTTCCTATAAGTAGCTGGGACTACAGGCTTGCGCCACCACACCCAAATAACTTTTTATTTTTATTCTTTAGAGACAGAGACTTGCCATGTTACCCTAGCTATAAACTAAAATGTAATATTCCTAATATATAAAGCACATGCAGACAACAAAGATCATATTATCAGCAACTGTGCAGACAAATACAAATTAAAACTAAGAAGCTTAATTCTCCGTTGAAAACAAGGAAAGAAATTTTCCTGTCTTCCTTTTGTTTTACTTAAAACACGTACTATAAAGGCACTTTCTCATCCCTTTGAAATGTATATAAACCTTTTGAAAACTAGATAGGCCTCTTGTCAGCTTAATGTCCCAGGAATGGCTTTGTCAAGGACCTGGGAGCCATCTCTTTGAAAACGAATTATAAAGGAAGTTAGCGCCCCTATTTTCCCTTACTGTGGGAGGCTAGAAGCCTAATTTTGTCAGGCACCTTGCTCCAAGTTGCAAAACTGCCTCTTGTCAAAAAGCTATTAAAAGTTTGTTTTTCCTCTGGATAAAGCCAATGAGCTAACACAGATGGTCACCCCAAGTACCAGATGAATCTAGGATGAACTATGTTTAACAAATGGTGCTATCCAGTCCGCTTACTTGAAGACTAGTTATTATTTATCTTGAAAACATTTTGTGATGGGTTTTATTCTCTTGCCTGTATAAAAGGATGAGATTCCTTTTTATCTTCACAATTTCTTAGTGGGTTGCCTGTGAGGCGCACCACATTCTGTCGTGATGCTTATTCAATAATAAAACCATTTTCTTCCTCTACTGCCTTTGTGAAGACGTTCCTGGGTTGGGAGAAAATTTTGTTTTTAATTTTATTTCTTTGACACAACCTATATTGAGTTATTGCTATGTATTAGACGCTGTATTTATTAAGTGCTTAACATGTAGCATTGATTGTATATTAGCTCACACAATCAATAAGAAATTTAAATATTTAAGAAAAGTGAAACAACTCAGTAGGAAATTATGAAAGGACGTTCACATGCCGCTAACAAAAGAAGAAAAATAAGTGACAAATAAACAAGAAAAGATGCACAGTCTTTTCTAGTGGTAAGAAATGGAAACTAAAACAAATTAGACATATATTTATTAAGTTAACAAAAAGTAAAAAAAAAAAAAAGTATGTCCATTGTTTGGCAAGAGCATGAAAAAAAGAGCCACATTCATGTACTATTGAAGGAACTCTAAAGTAGAAAATCTTTTTTAGATTAAATTAGCAAGAACTGTCAACATTTTAAATGCATAAAGTTGGGGATATACACATACATAGATATATAATTTTTAGTGTGCTTTTCTCTTTTGCCTTTCCAAGTATAAGATTTTTGCCATTTTTCCTCCTTAAGCGTCTATCTGCCTGGGAGAAACTCACATTTGTTCAGAAAAGAAAGACTAAGGAAATATAATGCAGCTATCTTTCAAAATAGAAATATGTAACAGACAATAGTTTGGCATGTCTTGCTAAGTATTTCTCAAATTTCTTCATCTCCATCTTTAACATAAAAGCAATCAAAATAGGAGAAGTTTGTTCATAAAGTTCTTTTCTAGTC
Organism: Homo sapiens; assembly: GCF_000001405.40. NCBI lineage: Eukaryota > Metazoa > Chordata > Mammalia > Primates > Hominidae > Homo > Homo sapiens. The sequence continues at coordinate 75,869,112 of NC_000002.12, read as the reverse complement.
TAGAGGAGATCTATTTCACCACTGGTAAGGCTAAGCATGAGTCAGAAAGATGGAAGATATTATACATGGAACATGAAAGAAACTTGCCCCCTCCCAGGAAGAACTTTTAAGCAAGAGAGAAAGACAGAGTGGAAAAAGGGGGGATTAAGAAATAAAAAGAATAATACTTAGATGGGGGACCAGATTTGCCATTTCAGGGCTCTAGTTCAGTGAGGGGAAGGTATATTATGTCATCTGTAGTAGTAGTGAAGCCAAAAGGGGAGTTATTGCCCCATGCCTGTTTAGAAAACTGGAAACAACCTCTCAGGCTGCTTTCTAACCCTACCCAGGGTGTTACCACAGCAATCTGGTAGTGCAGCATTATCTAGAAGGGAGCTTAGCCTTCTCAAACCACTTTTTTTCTTTTCTTTTTTTTTTTGACGGAGTCTCACTCTGTGGTGTGGAGTGCAGTGGCTCGATCTCGGCTCACTGCAACCTCCAACTCCCGGTTCAAGCGATTCTCTCATGCCTCAGCCCCCCGAGTAGCTGGGATTACAGGTGCCCACCACCACGCCCAGCTAATTTTTGTATTTTTAGTACGGACGGGGTTTCACCATGTTGGCCAGGCTGGTCTCGAATTCCTGACTTCAGGTGATCCACCTGCCTCGGCCTCCCAAAGTGCTGAAATTGCAGGCGTGAGCCACCGCGCCCAGCCTCAAACCACTTTTAAGTCAGGTGGTATAGACAGTAAGTTAATCACCAGTCTTGCCATGGAGGCTACCAGAGCAAGAAAAGGTGACCCTGAGAAATTTTAGCAGACTCCTAAAGGATACTGCATTCATACAGGAGCTTCTAGCCAATGGAATCTGAAGTAGGGCTGAGTTAGCCAGGGGCTCCGCTGGGCCCCAACCAAGCCAAGAGGGGAAAATCTTGAATTATACCAGCTGCAGACTCCAGCCAACCATAAATACCAGCAGGGCAAGAGGCTGCCAAGAGAACCACTTAGAACACTTACCTCTGACCCCCCCTGATCTCCAGAGCTCAATTTTGCAATCCCTATATGCATGCCTTTACACCAGAAATTCCACACCTAGAATAATCTAATCTATAGAAATTCCTCCACATGTGCATATAACATTTCACTATAGAATTATTTATAATAGCCCAACATTAGGGAAAACATGTAATTCCCACATAGAAGAAATAATTCAATATATTATAGAGCTGTCATACTATAGAATACTATTTGAAAGTTAAAAATAATGTGTAACTTTATATATTGGCATGGAGAATGACTAAAATATATTATTTCATGTAAAAATCAAGCTCAAAACAATATGTATAAGATGATCTAATTGTCATAAAAATATGATATGTTTAGATTGTAGTTTGTCTCCACAAGGATAATCCCATGTATTACTTTAAGCACAACTTTTCTTCCTCTCACACCACCTACATAGGTCAGGGTAAAGCTACTCTACTGTAGCAAAAAGTTCCAATGACACAGTGACTCAAGAAGGAAGTTCATTTCTCACTCACTTAAGAGTCCATATGTGAATGGTCCGGATCAGCAGGACAGCTCCTTATGTAATCAGGAACCCAAGTTCCTCCCAAGACATCGTCCCCCACCCACTTGGGCACTGTTGCCATCTCATACTTAAGGTTCAGTAAGACCTAGAAGTGGAAATCATCACTTCTGCTCTCATTTTATTTATAAGAAGTACTTATATAGCCACATATATTGGGGAGCACTAAGTATACAGTAGTCTAACTGGATTACCATTTATAAGAAGATAGTCACATGGCCATTATATCAGCAAGCACTAGCTGAGGCTAACTGAACAAAAACCATTGTCTAACTAACTCAGCCTCAACTCTACTTCTGGGGCAGGAGGGCAGAATGGATTTCTGTGAACAATGAACACCCTTTATCATACCACCCCATCTCCTAGCTTTTATGGGAATAATCTGGGATTTTTTTAAGATGCTATTTACTATTCCTCCCATTATATTTTTATTTTTTCAATAACTGTATAGTCATGACAATAATCATTCAGCTTTACCTCTGTGTTTTACTGGCTTAGTTTCTCTCTGCCATTTTTTTTCCATCTTTCTCATTCATAAGTTCATGTCAATGCATTTCTTAGTTGGTAACAAATACTTTATTGATTTATATTTTCAAGAACAGCACATTGGTAATTTGCTTTCTGATTTCTTTCATGCCTGAGAGTGTCTTTCTACTGCTCTTGCACATGAATAATCTTTAGCAGGATGTACAGCACTTGGGTCACAATGATTTTTGCTGCAAAACTCTAGCTGTTTCATTGTCTTCTATTATAGTATTGAATACTTCCTAGGAAAAGTATCATTGGCAGCCACAATAATTTTCTTCCTGGATACTTCAACAAGATTATCTAAATATGGATCATTTTAATTAATTTTGTCCAGTTATATAACTGACATGGAGATTCAAGTCTCTCTTGAGCTTGGGGAAATTTTGTAATTTTTTGGTTTATTGTTTCTTTGGTATCATCCTTCTCTCTCTCCTTCTCTGGAGTTCCCATTATATTCTATCTCCTAAATAATTCATCATGAGTCTTCTTAAATTCATGGTAAATATCTCTACATCACTGTTAACTTTCTCTGCATTCTGGTGTCCATGTCTACCTTTCTTCTGTAGCATGCATTTGCTATATCTGCACAGTATTGTATGCTGTGAAGAGGAAGATTTTTATTTTGATTATATTTAAAGTATAGAAAAGATTCATTGTGGTATTTTTATATTATAAAGTTCAAGGCTGTGGTTTTTTATTCTTTTATTTATCTTAAAGTGTTCCCTTTTCATAGATGCAACATCCTTCTAAGTCTTCAAAAATACAAAATAGAGTTTCTGAAGTTACCTCTAGTTCTGTGTAGTAAGTTGGATTCATTGGGAGATTTTTGCTCTGATTCTTTAAATCTCTTTCTGATGAAGGACTGATGCTTTTTCATATGTCCGTTGATTTTTCTCTATTTGTTCATTCTTAAAGTATAGGTGGTTGTTGGTGGTTGGCTGGGAGAAAAAGAACCATCTATTGTTCAGAATTAGGAAAGGAGACTTTTTAAAAAGATTGTCATGTTCCCTCTATTTCTTTGTACTCCATATAAGGAAAGACAGCTGCTTTCAACTTTGCTGGGGTCTGTTTCCACAGGTCGGAGTCGGATTGTCGGTGAGGAGGCAAAGGTGGAGGTGGGCAGAAGCGACCTCAGGTCAGGGTCTCCACTGTGGTGAAGAGTTGCTGTTCAAAGTTTGCCCGTGAGTCTCAAAATAAACAAGACTATTGCCCTCCCTTTTCTAACTGACATGAGTTCTCTTACTAGAAGCAAGTCGTGGGCAGGGCCATGGCTATACTTAGCTCACTCTTAACGGGGGTCATCGGGAAAATGCCCCCAAAAGACACAAATTCCCCTTGGTGCCATCCATAGAATGATTTTTCCACTTTATGAAAAAAATATTGTTTAAAATGTTTTTGTAAAATATTTTTAGGTTTAACGTAAAAACCATTGCTCCTAGACAAGATCTGATGTAGTTCCCATAAAATGCTGCACAGATGTACTGAAAAGGAATAAATAGGAAATACAAATCCCATGCATCTAGTGTTTTCAATAGGAAACTTTTAGATGTAGATAAATTCCTATGGATTGAGAGAGAAGCTGGAATTTTGTCTAAATTAAATGGAATCCAACCAGGCAGGTTTAATACGTTTTTACCTAAAAAGAGTCCTTTGGGGGTATAGAGCTCTAGAAGACTATGAACAGATTCCAACATCAGTGAAGAAACTCTGCTCTCTGTGCCCCCTGTGCCCTGGGCAAAGGAGCTAAAGTTCAGGGCAATGCTCCCAACATGCTGGAAGAGAAGCCAAGCCCAACCCACTGAGACTGAAATTTAAGGCCGGACACCCTCAGCTATTACTACCCCATCCCTCTCCTAGCATTCTGGGAACATATACTCCTGTGGTGAAGAACATTCAGACATGTAAAGACACCCACCTTTAAGCTGAGGAAATATAGGATGGGAAACAGAATTTGTAAGAGATATAAGTGTATGTGAAAATCGTGAAACAGGCTCTGATTTTGAAACCCAGAAATTACACTCTGAACTCTATACAAGATCTTAGGTATATGGTCCAGCCCAGAGAGGAAAACATCCCATATTGGCAGCACCCTAAAGCTCATCCATTCATCAAATGCTAGCTGAGAATGCATGCAGATGCCTGCCACTATTTGTTGGCATCTGCACATCCCCAACAGTTTATGGAAGAACTGGGATTTACTGTCCGCCCTAACTTCTCAAAGACTTGCTCCTTCCTTCACCTGACACCACTTCCAATGCAGTACTCTACTTGGGATTGCATCTGCTTACTTCTCAAGCCAGCTGTAGCTCCCACACAGCAACTCACAGGCTGGCCAGAGCCCTTTCTGGAACTTATTGTCACTTGCACTGTATCTTACCTAGATTCCTCTGGCATACAGGAGACAGGCTTATTTGTTTTGAAACTCATACAGATTTTTTCATGTTTTTATATTCCTTTGGCCATGTCAGTGGAATTTAAGAAGGGAATAAGAATTGAAATTAGAGGATCAATTTGCCTTTTTGAAGCAAGCTCCAGATTATATACTGTAGCTTCTTGTCCTGCAAGTCCTGACAGCTCATTTACAGGGTGTTAAGTGCCAGTGTTTGGCAGTCAGCATTTGTAGTATGCCCACTGAGCCTGATTTAGAGAAGATACTATGAAGCTGAAATGAAGAGAAAATAAAAGCTGATGTTTCACAGAACTGGGAATTAAAAAGCCCTGAATTCTTGTCTTTGGTGTGGTGTCAGGCCATACCTCAAGGCCAATGTCTTCATCTCTGCATCTCAGATTCATCACTATAAGGTAAACAAAGGAATGCATAGTCCAGTTTCTCATGCCACTTGCAGAGAAGCAGCTGTGAATGGGGAGAGGAGGGACTGGTCTGTGAATTGACACTAGGGTCAGCAATGAATTGCTAGCACGCAGGATACTAGACATTCATGAGTGCACCAGAGGTTGTCTGCCACCTGGCACAAAGATGGATTGAAAAAGAAGTGAAAATTTAAAAATGTTTACAAATTTTCAAAGTTTCAATATAATTAATGCCTCAGTCTAATGAACACAATTTATTTTTATTTATTTGTGTATTATTTGTCTATCTTCCTTTCTTCTTAGAAAGACCTTTAACAATACCCAACTATGCAGAATGTACCCATGTAATTGATCACATACTTCAAATCACAAATGAACATTAAAGAGGGAAGTATAATTCCGAAATTAGAAGTCTGACTCTTCCTGGTTTGAGAGAAAACATTAAACACACATTCATACACGGTCAGTCCCTATTACACTAAGATCTGGATGAGTTATAAGAGGCTACAACTGGAAATTGAACCCACATTTCGTCCCTGACAACATAGCATATTAGACTCTAATCACTCAGTGTTGTGTTATTTACTATGCTCCTGCCACCCACATTCATGTATATTTATGTGAAGTCCAAAAATATCCAGCAGCACTTACTTCAGATGATTATCTATGTCCTAATCAGAAATACTAATCAGGAAACACATAACATACTCAAATTCTATTGTGTAAGACAAACAACATCCGGAATACAGAAAACTTCTGCTTTGATAAAAGTGCTCTTCAAAGTATCTTCCACTTTTTACAGCAATAAGAAGAGAAAATAATGACCGTTTGCTGCTTATTTTTGAAGTTTGAAAGCAACAAAGTGTGAAAAATGGGTCTCCTGTAGGATCTACTAACCTGAGAAGAGCAGAGATCATGTGCTAATTTAAACACATGTTTTCTCCATGTTTTCAATCATAGGGAGTAGAAGGTAAATACAGAGGTTCTCAGATCCTTTCTTCTGTACATAAATCTCAGCTTCAAAATAATATCATAGAATTCAAAAGAATGATTCAGTCATTCTAAAGCATTTTACTGCTGCTGACAAGAACTATGATAACCTAAGGATTTTCTTAATAAATCTGCTTCAAAAGGAAAAATATTTGAAAAGAGAATTATGGAGTTTTATATATTGCAAAAGTTTAACCAACTGAGTTTTTGTTTTTTTTTTTTTTAGCTTTCAAAGCAATTCTGTATGTCCATTTAATGTTTCCCTTTCTTAGATTGAGTAATTTTTTCTCTGACAACTTGTTGCTTAGAAAAGGCTTTTATATGATTCACAGTCACCTCTTCAAAGTTTTCTTCAGGTGTTGACAAATGGTCACATTTGGCTTTCTTTCTCACAGCAACAGAAATGGAAACATCTGTATCAGAGAGTGTTAGCACCAGACCACGTACTCAGGTTTTGCAAGGCTCCCCTCCTCTGTCCACCCACTTTCCGCCTGCTCCCCTGAGACTATGACTTAGAGTTCTTTTCTCTGTATTGTATGTCAGCTAAAAGAAGGTTTAAAAAAAAATGCGTGTTATGTGAATTCAAAGTGGTTACTGTTTGCACACCAAAATCTATAACAAATCTTCCAATGGTCTTATTATTCAGAGTACATGGTCATTTAGTTAACAGTCCAGCTGAAGAAAAATGCTTTTGGAATGGTGCACTGTTCCTTCAGGATGGTATTTAAATAACATTGAGTTATATTTATCAGGAGTTAGGTTACAGGTGATCACATTTTAAGAGGAAATTGTTGCATGGTCAATCTGGCTATTTGGGGCTGACTCTGATCCTTCAACTCTCAGCCAATCCAGTTGGCTTCCATGCAACTGCTCACTGATAAAATTGAAAAGCTGACCTTGACTGTTTCATAATAAGTAATGGTCAAGGCAAAAAAAGAAAAAAAAACAGCCATAAAGTCTGTAGTAATTTATGGTGAACATGCTAAATTGAAAATGGGGTAAATTCAGCTCCATCCACACCAAGTCATTGTGTGACATTGAAAATAATGAGGAGAGTAGCTAAATCTCTCTTCGGTGCCATTTATCATCTTAAAAAATGGTTTTTATAATTTTATTTCTCCCATTGGTTGGGAGCTGTGTGAAGACATTAAGGTAAAGTCAACCATTTTAAAGGTGATATAGAAAGAAAAACATCTATCTAATGTTTGTGAGAAAACAAGAATATACCTAATTCCCCAAGTACCTCTAGTAGTTATGAGCCTCTATTAAAGCTATTAGTGTCTCCGAATAGCTGTAAGTTACTTTAAATAAGCGATTTCATTATTTTATAATTCAAGTAAATTTGGAGGATAAGTATATTAAGGCATTATTTAAAATGGCATATATCCAGTTCAACATGACATATAGTCAAGAAAGTAATGCTGAAGGAATAGGACACATGGCCTGTTTGCTTGGTTAGAAATAGAATATGTAAACATATTTAGAATATAGAACCTCAGACAACATGAAGAGACTGAATTTCTTTGTACAGTTTTATGAAAGGAGAGGGGGAAATAGAATAGGTAATGAGAAGGACATTGACAAGAAATTTGTCCTATTTTATAGCTTTGTTTTAGAATGATTCTCCATGTAGGCCAAAGCATTTTGTTTGGTTGGCTGGTTGGTTGGTTGGATGGTTGATATTTGTTGTTTTTTTTCTCTATAGCCCAGGCCTATTTACTTAACTGTACAAGAATTTGGATCATTGCAACTTAAAAAAAAAAATACCCCTAGTGTAATCTAAAACAAAAGAAAAGTTAAATTCTCAAAAACCATAGTTGCTTTTTAGCCTGAAATCTAATTACCTCAGTCCTTGGCTCTGGTATACCCAGGACTAGGTAGTGACTTGGGAAATGTGAGATGATTACAGCTGACCCGGGGAAACATTGTGATGACATTGAAAATGGACAGCACATATCAAGAGCATTCCAGGTTATAAAAATAGAAGGCTCCATGAAAAAATAGACATGCAGGCTGGGCACAGTGGCTCGTGCCTGTAATCCCAGCACTTTGGGAGGCCAAGGCAGGTAGATCACCTGAGGTCAGGAGTTCGAGACCAGCCTGGCCAACATGGCAAAACCCTGTCTCTATGAAAAATACAAAAATTAGCCAGGCATAGTGGTGCGCACCTGTAGTCCCAGCTACTCAGGAGTCTGAGGCAGGAGAATTGCTTGAACCTGGGAGGCAGCGGTTGCAGTGAGCCAAGATTGTGCCATTGCACTCCAGACAGAGCGAGACTCTGTCTCAAGAAAAAAAAAAGAAATGCAAATGATATCTTCAGGATGCCAATCAGTAATGAATATATCTCAGTCCCCAAATACTTCTAGTAGTTATGAGCCTCTATTAAATACATAAATACATAGGCAGGCAAATATATAGTTAAGAAATTGGTGAAACGCAGTCCTCCAATAACTGTTACAAATGATTTGAAAGTAAATGTTGGTATTTGAATTGTATTTTTAGATACTTTAATGTCTGATCCTTCAAATTAACTAACAAAATCACCCCAGTCTTGCTGGTTCATTACAGAAACATACTTTTAGTCATGATTGAAGACTGCCTGAAAATACAGTCTTCCATGTACTGATAAAAGTGTGTTTTTCATACTAGTATCTTCTGAGGAGTGGCCAAAAAAAGCAAAAAGCCTTTTAAAAATGCCACTGCAAAGGCTGTTATTAAAGTCAGTGATTTCTCCAGATAATAAGAGTTTTTTGGAACATTTATTAGAAATATTTGGGGTTTAAACGATTTTTCTTAAAGAGATTCTACCTAGTTACGCCTTCAAATTTTTATTTGTTGAGAAGGTTGACTTCATGAAGATAGTCCTTTTTCATATTACATTCAGCTGCTTTGTGAAATTGCTAAGAAACAAAAACTAAATATCTATTTGTAGACAGGAAACTTGAATAATAATGAACCATCGCCATATTTTACTTTTATGGCTGCTTTCAACTGCAAATAGCAGGAAACCCAACTTGCAGTAATTTAAACAGATAAGGGTTTCCTTTTCCCAGGTAACAAGAAGTTCGAAAGTAAATGATTACAACATGTTAGCTGCTTGAAGATGCCATCAAGGACACAAGATCTTGCATTTTCCTCTCTTCTTCCATCCTTAGTATGTTGGCTTTTATCCTGTACTTATCACTCAATGATTACAAGAGAGCTGCTTAAGCTTTGGATATCACATCTGCATTCAAAGCAGAAAGAATTAGGAGGGAGAGGGATAGCAACCAGCTCATTATCCTCTTTGTCAGTGTCTTTGCTCAGGCTGCTATTAATACAAAAAAATGCCATAAACTGTGTGACTTAAACAAGAGAAATTTATTTATCTAGAGGCTGGGCAGTCCAAGTTCAAGGTTCTGAGTCCTGGCATATCCGTGTCTGGTGAGGGACCACTTTCTAGACAGCCCTCTTCCTGCTAGGAGCTCTGATGGTCATTACTCTTTGAATGCTTATGGAAGAACCATCTTTCCCCCTGTTCTTAAAAGGGCATTAATCCCATCACAAAGGCCCCATCTTCACAATCTAATGTAAACCTAACTACTTTCCAAAGATCCTACCTCTTAATACTGTCACATCAGGAGCTATGACTTCAACATATGAACTTTACTAGGGGACTGATATAGTTTGGATGTTTATTACCTCCAAATCTCATGCTGAAATATGATCTCCAATGTTGGAGGTAGGGCCTAGTGGGTCGCTTGGGTCATGGGAGCAGATCCTTCATAAACGGCTTGGTACCCTCCCTGCAGTGATGAGTGAGTTCTAATTCTTTGACTTCACACCAGAGCTGGTTGTTTAAGAGAGCTTGTCTCCTCCTCCCTTTCTCTTGATTCCTCTCTCTTGTTCTTTCTCTTTCCATGAAACATGCCTGCTTCCTCTTCACCTTCCACAATGAGTAAAAGTTTTCTGAGGTCTCGCTAGCAACTGACCAGATGCTGGCACCATACTTCTTATGTAGCCTGAAGAACCATGAGCCAAATAACCCTCTTTTCTTCATAAATTGCCCAGCCTCAGGCATTCCTTTACAGCAATGCAAAACAAACTAATACAGGGACACATACATTCAGCCCATAACAGTAAGGAAGGCAGAAACTGAGCCAGGAATGCTCAGCAGAATTCCACTTCTTATTATTAACAACTGGTTCACATGTATGCCTAGTGCAAGAGTAGAGAAGGTAAATATTTAATGGAACCTATTTCTACCTTAAATAATATTAGGGATATCCAAACAAGGAAACAGGGAAAAGGAAATAGATATTGCATAGCTAATCACCACTGTGTGCTATACTTGCCTAACCCAGCATAGTATGCAAAATTCTAGGACCTTCTTTAGCTCTGGCGAAAGTAATACCAATATGATTTGGCTGTGTCTCCATGCAAATCTTATTTTGAATTGTAGCTCCCATAATCCCTATGTGTTGTGAGAGAAAGCCAGTGGCAGGTAATTGAATCATGGGGGTGTGTTTTTCCCATGCTGTTCTTGTCATAGTGAATAAGTCTCATGAGATCTAATGGTTTTATAAAGGGCAGTTCCCCTGCACATGCTCTCTTGCCTGTCACCATATAAGACGTGCCTTTGCTCCTCCTTCACCTTCCACCATGATTGTGAGGTCTTTCCAACCATGTGAAACTGTGAGTCCATTACATCTCTTTTTCTCTATAAATTACCCAGTCTTGGGTATTTCTTCACAGCAGTATGAAAATGGACTAATACAAACACTTTCCCCACAACTTTGCAATATTTAAAGAAAATAGCTGACAATATAATCTTGGAAAAACTGAAACTATTCAGTAACACAAAAAGTTTTTTCCCTCCAAATAAAAAAGTTTACCTTATCTTGACCTGCTGTGGTATTTCTAAATCTCATCTTAGATACTGTAAACACCAGAGCTATATGTTGGCCTCAGGAATTATTAAGCAATTTTAATGACTTCAAATTTATATTAGTGTATTGAATTTATAAAGGTTATATCATGAGACAGAGGGCAGCATTTAGTAAAATGCTGTGTCTGAAGGAAGCAATAAAAAATATTTCTCATTTATAATGAGGATAACAGTGATTAAATAAAACCTCTACTAGCAGTAAGTCTTTTTTACTTGTCCTTAAATCCTCTGTTGTAGAGAGCTTTGTAAAAATAATTCTAGAAAAATATATTCTAATTCTAGAGTTGAGGATCAGGACTAACACTGGCCATCAGGACAGCTGTACTGGCCTTTTATTTCATGCAGTTGTCATGTTTCAGGGGCTAGAATTAGGCAGTGTTGTATCTCAATATATGTAATAAGAGCCTCCTTTATAATAGTGTTACATCTATATTTATTTTAAAGTAATTCCTTGAAAGAAATAAAAATATATTTCAGAGGTGAAATAGGGAAATCAGATTTTATCACGGTTCCTAAAGCAAAGCAGAGTACATCATTGTGACACTGAGTGTCTTCCTTGAAACACATTTGAATTCACTCTTCTGGCCATGTGTTATCCACAGGAGAACTTGTTATGTAAGAAACTGGTTCTCATGAGCACATTTGGCTTCTGTCAACAACAAATTTCTTCATCACTTTCATTCATCCATCCATCCACCCATTTCTTCATTCAAAAAACAGTTACTGTGTATCAACTATGTAATTAGCTCTGTTTTGGCATCTGAAGATACAGAAATAAATCAGAAATTACCAGTCTTTAAGGAGCTCAAAATCTGCCGTCTGTGGGGCGGCAACAGACACATAAACTATCCAAGCCAATAGTCCTGGTTATAATCACATTCCACAACCATTCTATTATACAGCCTCTTTCTCTTATGCATAACTGTTCATGGATGAGAGAAACTTCCAGGCAGGGACACTTCCCCACCTTCCCTGAGAATGTTCTAATTTCAAATGAAGTTCATAATATTTTGCTAAATTACATTCAATATTCTTCAGGCAGCATTTGATAAAATATTACAATGTGCTAGCTACTTTCTCACGTAATTTTATTTAATTTTCATAATGGCTCCATGAGGTAGGTATTAGCAACCCCTTTTACTTTAGCCTCTGAATGAATACAAGCTCACCCTAACATAAACAGCAGAAAAGAAATCAAGGCCAAATTCACCCAAAATCTAGAACTCTTCTTGTCTCACTCACATATAACTTTCTATTCAACTTGTATTTTTCTGTATTTCTCAAGTTTGAGAAATGTCATGTCTTCAACTCTTAATCTTTGTACATGAAATAGATGGTGTATTAGTCTGTTCTCATGCTGCTATGAAGAAATACCCGAGACTGTGTAATTTATAAAGAGAAGAGGTTTAATTGACTAATGGTACTGCATGGCTGAGGAGCCCTCAGGAAACTTACAATCATGGTGGAAGGCACCTCTTCACAGAGCAGCAGGAGAGAGAATGAGGGCAAGCAAGGGAAGTGCCAGACGCTTATAAAACCATCAGATCTCATAACACTCACTCATTATCACAAGAATATCATCAGGGAAACTGCCCCCATTATTCAATTACCTCCACCTGGTCCCTCCCTTGACATGTGGGGATTATTACAATCCAAGGTGAGATTTGGGTGGGAACACAGAGCCAAACCATATTATTCCACCCCTGGCCCCTCTCAAATCTCATGTCCTCACATTTCAAAACACAATCATGCCCTTCCAACAGTTCCCCAAGGTCTTAACTCATTCCAGCCTTAACCTAACAGTCAATGTCCAAAGTCTCATCTAAGACAAGACAAGTCCCTTCCGCCTATGAGCCTGTAAAACAAAAAGCAAGTTAGTTACTTCCCAGGTACAAAGGGGATACAGGCATTGGGTAAATACACCCATTCCAAATGGGTAAAATTGACCAACACAAAGGGGCTACAGGCCCCATGCAAGTCCAAAATCCAATAGGACAGTCATTAAACCTTAAAGTTTCAAAATGATCTTCTCTGACTCCGTATCTCACATCCAGTTCACACTGGTGCAAGAGGTGGGTTCCCATGGCCGTGGGCAGCTCCACCCCTGTGGCTTTGCAGAGTATAGCCCCACTTCTGGCTGCTTTCATGGGCTGGCATTGAGTGTCTGTGGCTTTTCTAAATGCATGGTGCAAGCTGTCTGTGGATCTACCATTCTGGGGTCTCAAGGTTGGTGGCCCTCTTCTCACAGCTCCACCAGGCAGTGCCCCAGTGGGGACACTGTGTGAGGGACCCCCACCGATATTTCCCTTCCTCACTGTCCTCACAGAGTTTCTCCATGTGGGCTCTGCCCCTACAGCAAACTTCTGCCTGGATATCCCAGCATTTCCGTACATCCTCTGAAATCTAGGCAGAGGTTCCCAAATCTTAATTATTGACTTCTGTGCACCCGCAGGCTTAACACCACATGGAAGTCTCCAAGGCTTGGGGCTTACACCCTCTGAAGCAATGGCCTGAGCTGTACCTTTCCTTGTACCTTTTTAGCCATGGCTGGAATACAGGGCACCAAGTCCCAAGAGTACACAAAGCAGCAAGACCCAGGACTCAACCCATGACACCATTTTTTCCTCCTAGGCCTCTGGGCATATGATAAGAGGGACTGCCATAAAGACCTCTGATATGCCATGGAAACATTTTCTCTATTGTCTTGGCAATTAACATTTGACTCCTTGTTACTTATGCAAATTTCTGCAGCTGGTTTTGATTTCTCCTCAGAATATGGGTTTTTCTTTTCCACTGCCTCATCAGGCTGCAAATTTTTTAAGCTTTTATGCTCTGCTTCCCTTGTAAACATTAGTTCCAATTCCAAACCATGTTTCTGAATGCATAAAACTGAATGCTTTTAAGAGCACCTAAGTTATATCTTGAATGCTTTGCTGCTTAGAAATTTCTCCTGCCAGATACCCTAAATCATCTTTCTCAAGTACAAATTTCCACAGATCTCTAGGACAGGGGCAAAATGTCACCAGTCTTTTTTCTAAAGCATAGCAAGAGTCACCTTTACTCCAGTTCCCAACAAGTTTCTCATCTCCATCTGAGACCACCTCAATTTGAAATTCATTGTCCACATCATTATCAGCATTTTGGTCAAAGCCATTCAATAAGTCTCTAGGAAGTTCCAAACGTTCCCATATCTTCCTGTCTTCTTCTGAGCCCTCCAAACTGTTCCAATCTTTGCCTGTTATGCAGTTCCAAAGTCACTTCCACATTTTTAGGTATTGTTATAGCAGCACCCTACTCTGCCGGTACCAATTTACTGTATTAGTCCATTCTCACACTGCTGTGAAAAAATACCTCCTGCATGGCTGGGGAGGCCTCAGGAAACTTCCAATTATGACAGAGGGCACTTCTTCATAGGGCAGCAGGAGAGAGAATAAGTGCAAGCCGGGGAAATGCCACATGCTTATAAAACCATTAGATCTCATGAGACTCACTCATTATCACCAGAACAGCCTGGGAAACTTGCCCCCATGATTCAGTTACCTCCACCTGGTCCTGCCCTTGACACATGGGGGTTATTACTCTTCAAGGTGAGATTTGGGTAGGCACACAGAGCCAAAACATATCAGATGGGCAAGGCAGTAAAAAAAGAGACAAGTTTAGCAAGCTGGAATTGAAAGTAAATATTAAGAAAAAATTAGGTTATGGGTACTTTTTTCTAAAATATACCTAAGATAAACGTGATAATGTCTCAATTTTCTCCAGCTCACTTGTCCAGGGATCTCAATTTTACAGAATAAAGTTAAGACTACTGAGAGGAATAAAAAATGTCTGTGACCAGCTGAAATAATTATGTTCCAGTCCTTTCTGTTGAGATCCTCACCCTGATCTAAAAACACCACCACCTTTAGACATAATTCTAGTAGGAGTGGTTGTCTGGTTTGGCAGTCATCAGGACATTAGACTGAAAATTAGAAATGGATAGTACTAGCTAACTTGAGAAAGGCAGTCACAGAAAGAGAAATAAGAAGTGACAGTCAAAAGCCTGTTGATAAAAATGAAGATCCAAAACTGATAAAAAAATAGACATAAGAGCTCAAAAAAACACTCCAGATGGGACCCCAAGACCAATATCCCTCATACTTCAAAAGTCCCTGTGGGGCTATGATTTATATGCCAACACTGGATTATCAAGAACAACTTGAAAAATATTTAACATCCTTTGTTAAGGTAGAAGAGTTTATGACAATACTTAAAAATAGGGCCATGCAAATGCAAACTTTTAAAATTAAGAAGGGTTGCATCAGACAACGGAAGCAGGTTGGGGTTTGGGTCAAAATTCTGCGCCCCCTCCCCAGCTTGTGATCTTGCACAAGTTACATAACCTCTCAAAACTGTAGTTTCTTCTTTTTAAAATTTTAAAATAACATAATACTTAGTCCTTACATTTATTGAAAGATTAAATAAATCAAAACTTATTAGGAATCTAACACCATGCCTGACAAGCCCTACATAATAATGTAGATTTTCCCCACTTCCCTTAACTGAGTCAGCTCTAGTTATCTGGGAATTGCATTCCTATGAAACAACCTATTCTACTAAAATGCCTCTTGGTGTTAGTAAAAAGATTTATATAAAATTGTCAATTAAGCCCAAAGTCCAAGAAAATGAGGTAATTTGCTTTCCTTTATCATGTTTGCCTGACCACACTGGGAAGTTCACTAAATGTGGATGACTACACAACTAATGACTTCTGCTTTACAAAAAAAAAAAAAAAAAAAAAAAACTGTTCCTGCAGTTTCCCTGGATATTGTGATTAGCTAAGTCCTGCATCTATCATGCTATAGTTATGAGGGCTCACTAATGAAAATTATCATCTATGCTTACTGTTATTTTATGGGAAGAAGAATGTGAAGAGAAGGGGCAATTTGGGGGCAAAGCTGACCAATGTGGAGTCCTTTTGTAGGGAATTCTGGATGTCTTAAAGACCCTAAGTAATTGGGGAAGAGGGTTGGAAAACCATCTAAAAGGTGGAAGGAAATATTAATAGAGTGGAAGTGAAAACATGAAAGTTACCACAAAAGGCAGGGAGTCTACTGGGCAAAGATCCCCTCCTGCCTCACTATGTGGGAAAAAAAAAAAAAAACCACTTCCGCTAATTCCCTTTCATTGTAACTTGTTACTTGAGGTGTTTGTCTTCATTCAATTTTGTCCATATTCCCTGGACATAATTTGCTCAGGATTTGCTAAAGATCTCTTGATTTGCTAAAGTTTTTGAGAGTTGCTAAAAGAAAGATGTCCTGCCATTTGGGAAAGTCCCTGTATTCTTCCTGCCACAAAGTTACAACTGCACCAGTCAGAATACATCTGAATCTCCCTTTATATCTTCTCATTAATTTTCAACACACAGCAGCTACCTCATTACCCTATGGGTGTGGGTGTCAGTGTGCGCATGTATGTATATGTGTGTGTGATTGAGAAACACAGCAAATGAATCAGAGACGGAGAGAAGGCTACATCAGCTTATCAATTAGCAGCATGAAAGTTGTGCAGTCCAATGTGATTTGTAAATGAGACTGCTGAGTTAAGCTAAGCCACCCCCTTCAAAGGCTTTTTTCTCAAGTCATTTTCTGGTAAATATGGGATTCATTATTTTATTAGTTTTGATCAAGCTCAGTATTCTCTAGATAACAAGTTGACAAACTATGATCTCCATTTCAAATCTGACCAAATGCCTGTTTTTGTAAATGAAATTTTATTGGAACATGGCCACGGTCATTTACTTTTGTATTGTCTATAGATGTTTTGGCACGACAGTGGCTGAGTTGAAGAGTTGCAACAAGACTATCTGGCTCACGAAGCTGAAAATATTTATTATCTGCCCCTTCACAGAAAAGATTTACTGACCCATGCTCTTGAAAGGGTGTCTCTCAAATTCAATGCAGGGGCTGAAGAGGTGACCAGTGGAATGTGAAATAAAATATGGGCAGTTCTACTTCTACTTATCTCTTCTCCCTGAACAAACAAGAAATTGCACTTCACAAGTATTTGATACATGGATTGACCAGGATATTCCCTGCTTGTCTACGAATCAGAGGGTTGCATTGACCTACTCTGGGTGAGGTGTCCTAAGGAAAGAGTGAGGTTCCACATATGGGAGAGGTCGATCCAGCATTCTCCCTCCCTGGCTCATTTCCACTACATGGTGACAAGGTGCACTTTGTGTGTGACTAATTAAGAGGATTTAAGAGTATTATCTATTGAAATTAACTTTAATGGGTAAGTCACTAAAAGATTCCTACAACAAAACCACAAACAAAATTCTAATCATGCAAGTAGAAGTGACTAATAGGAAATGGCAGAGCTGACACTAACTCCTTCTTTAAGAACAAACTTTGTTTTAGTATGCCACTACAGAAAACAATGATAACATAAACAGGAAAAAGTCAGCTCACATCCATCAAAAGTCTTAAGGAGGCTATTCAAAATACCAATTTGCATCCTCAATCATTTATAATAAAAGTCACCCTATGTGTATATTATGCCGTGAAAAAGTGGAAAATTATAATAGTGTGAAACCATCATGCTTACCAAAATATTTTTAAAATACATAGTTTAGTTCATCTTTCTCTCAATCTTTTTTATTTCTGTTTTAGGATACACTTTACAATGTGCATAATATGTAATATGGTGTGTGCTAATGTACCATATAGAACATATAAACGCATACGTTTACTCAAACAAGTAAAAGCTCAAATGTTCTTATTTTACTGCTGCAATACATGATTGAAAAGTTTTTGTGCCACCACTCCAGAAGGTAAAAGGATAGAGAAAGAGTCAGCCTCTGGATAGACCTCTGTTATTAATCTTTCAAAAGCAAATAGAACTATGGGAAGTTTACCCAACTGTGGGGACTGCTAAAGTCGAGAACACAGAAGTACATATGTTGCTTCCCTTATTAAAATAAAATAACTGGAGTCTTTTTTTTAACTTTGTTTTAACCAAATTGGGGAAAAATGTTTTACTGATCTCAGATTTAATTATTTTATTATCTATGAAAGAGAATTCTACTTTGAAGCCAAGAATATTTGACAAAGCTAAAAATCTATTGTTGTTAAACAAAGACTGATTTTAAGGAATTCTAAAGTATAATGCACTTAGCTAAGTCTAAGATCAAAAAGAAAATTGATAACAAGGATATGAAAGAAACTAAATTATATTTGGAACATGAAATACCTCCTTAGCATAAGACTAATCTGCATTGCTATGTAAGTTGATAAGCAATTTTTTTCCTACACAAACCTAAATACTCTTAAGTGATAGATCATATTAAGGGAATGAGAACCTGAGGATATGCACATATGTTAAGCACCTTATGTGTGCCTAGAATCCCGCAAAGCATGCCAGTTTCCTGCTCATCACAAGTTGCATTTCATAGATTAAAAAACTGAAGATGAGTCAAAGCAACTTGACGAAGGTCACCCAGCTAGTAAGTGGCAGAACTGAGATGTTAACTCACATCTGTCTGATACCAAAGATAGGGCTTTTTCTGCTAAAGGCTGCAGTCTCTCAGAAACAACATCAATGCTATGCTGAAGGCTTTTTTTCCAGCAATTATGAAAAATAATAATACCTCAAAGCTGATTCAGTAGTTCCAGTTATAACCTTGTTATGTGATATTTTTTTTTTTTAAGGCGGAGTCTCACTCTTTCTCCCAGGCTGGGGTTCAGTGGCACAATCTCGGCTTACCAGCAAACTCCGCCTCCCGGGTTCAAGCAATTCTCCTCAGGCTCTCAAGTAGCTGAGACTACAGGCGCCCGCCACCATGCCTGGCTAATTTTAGGGGTTTTTGTTTGTTGGTTGGTTGGTTTGTTTTTTGAGACAGAGTCTCACTCTGTTGCCCAGGCAGGAGTGCGGTGGCCTAATCTCAGCTCACTGCAACCTCTGACTCCCGGATTCAAGCAATTCTCCTTCCTCAGCCTCCCGAGTAGCTGGGATTGCAGGCGCATGCCACGACTCCTGGCTAATTTCTGTGTTTTTAGTAGAGACGGGGTTTCACCATGTTGTCCAGGCTGGTCTCAAACTCCTGACCATGAGTGATCCTCCCACCTCAGCCTCCCAAAGTGCTGTGATTACAGGCATAAGCCACCGCACCCGGCCCTAAAGTTGTACATTGAGAACCCTTTGTTATGTATGGTTGAGTTCTCTGATCCACACAAATCCATTTAGCTAATTGTATACTTGAACAATAATAGCAAGTACTTACTATTTGCCAGACATAAAACTAGTGTCTTTATATGCATTAAGTCACTTAATCTCATAGTAACTTCTATATGCATATTACATTTGTCAACATTTTGACTGCTTTGTCTCAATTGGCAAAAAAATGGAACAGTCCTGCTTTCCTTTAATATTTCCAGTTGTCACTGAAATGCTAATCTTCTACTGTAAACTGGTCTGGAGCAGAAGGTGGTCTCACCTCTGAAATCAAAGAAAGTTCAAAAATTCTCTTGACTTGACCAAGAACCTATATGACATAAAGTGGTATTTACCCTTCCCTCCAACAAAGTAGGTATCACAAGCAAGGAGATTTCTTTTGTGGTGCATGGTGGAAACATGATTGAGAAATCTAACAGAAATGACAGCCCAAGTACATGTTTGATATGCTTCTCAGTGACTTACCTAGCATCACACAGGTGGCGTGTGCACCAATATTTTACATAAGAAGCCAACCCCAGTCCCCCAAAATGGCAGAGTGTTATATACATTTCCTAAGAACCAAGAGGTAAACTTGTGTCTTAAAGCTTTTTTGTGGCTCCCATTGACTAGAGATCTCTATGGGTTACCTGCTTTTCTCTTACTCCTTTTAACTGGTATTTGGGGTTTAATTAAATTCTTTCTTTCTCTTATTTGTTTAGTTTACAACCTTTCCTTCTTTTTCTCTTTTTGAGATTTTTTTACTGTGATATTTCCAGCAAATTTATGTATTTTTCATTTCCTTTGATCTGTACAAAATTTCCCAGTACCTCTGAAAAAAGCAAAATGAGGTAGAACAATAAATAGATTTATTTTTTTCTAAATGTCATCTTTTTTTTTCTCCTTTCATCTTTAACAACAATCTTGTCATTTGGACAACTGATACTTTAGCATTTGCAATTATAATCATGCTTTTAAAACTGACAGAGTGAGATTAAGTAAATCAGTGCACTTTGCAGGTGGAACAAACTGAGTAATTTTTTTGGCGATTTAATTCTTTCCTCTCTTTAACAGTAAGCCTTAATTCAACACATTCAGTATGGTATAAATATTTACCGCTGGCGGAAACTCTGTGAACTGATAATTAAACCCAAAAACCTTCCCCAAATTGCTCAGTTAAAATCTTGTGTTTAATGGAAATTCACATTTAAATAAATAGATCAAAGAGAAAAGTGATGTTACCACTCTAGTTAAGATGAAAAGACTACATGAACTTTTGGTTTCTGAAGGCTTGACCTTTAAGACTTAAAAAACATTCTTCTATAGTCACATGGAACATCAAGATGTGTTATAAAATTTTATTTTACTTTGTCCAATAAAAAGACAGCAATTTTTAGATTTGTGTTATCTTTTTGCTATTAGCAGGTTGTCAGTAGGCCTTTCTAGTGCAGTATTTAACTTTGTTAGTCAATTAAAATCACTCATGTACAAACTCTCTTTTTCTGCATTTCTTCTTCAATACCTTAAATAAAATAAAGCTAGTGAGCTTACAGTTCTTTTTGTCCTGAGATTCTCAAAAAAAAATTCCAACTTCTGATAAAAATAACAAGCAACTGATCATTTCTCTTTATCCCAACTTTGAAATGAGATTTAAAAAGAAAAGCTCCAGAAGATGATATAATTAGATGTACTTTCTCTTCAATGATGAACCATTTATATTCCTCATTCTGGACATTTTTCCTTTACACATAGAAAAAAGTAGCCAGAAAAATATGTTTGGGGTGTCTTTAAAGAAGTTCTGTCATTGTTTCACAGAACCCCTTGATAATTCTATTTCCCAAATTCTAGAGAGCATTTTGTTATCACTGTTTTTAAAATTCAACAGAAAATGGCCCACATACTTGTATATGCATAACCACGCTCAAGTAATAAATACACACAATAAGCTCACACTGTATCCTCTACTGCTAAGCATCATGCAATCTACACACATACCCAGATATATTCAGCCCAAACCAAATGCATATGTGGGTGGGAAATCTTCTTGTAGTTTCCTACTCCTCTTGAGTCATAATTAGTTGACTGAATAATTGCTAAAGTTCCTAAAATTTTAGTTCACTTAAACTTTATTGTACATGATAATTACCTAGTGTGGTTGCTAAAAACAGATAAATTGCCAGGTAACACTGGGAAAATTCAAATTTCTTTCATCTCCTCTGGGACATCCCAACACTGACACATGTGGTCTACGGACTGTAATGAATAAACTTCTTTTTAGACATTTCCCCCCTCCTTTCCAGAAGGTATTTATAACTTAGGAAAAGGCAAGGCAGGTTTCTTCCCTAGGGCTTTCAGAAAACTCATGGCCCTCATGGTACCTTGATTTTAGACTTCTAACCTCCAGAATTGTGAGTGAATAGATTTTTGTTGTTTTAAGTCACCCTGTGTGTGGTACTTCATAAAGCCAGCCCTAGGAAATTAATATAGTACCTTATTTACTATCATGGTATGAGACACAACATTGCTTCTCACTAGGGGATTTGTTTTATATCAGAAAAGTGCAGCAGTGAACTCACATATAGAAAGTCCACTATTTTTAGTATGATGTTCTTGCATCCAGAGGTAGCATGGTTGAAACAATAGTAATGTGGCCTACTGACAACTCAATTATGTAACCCGCAAAGTTGAGGTGCTGTCCTTCAAGCTTTGGCATAGGCTTTGAACTGATAACCAATGTTTGAGGCTGTTTCTGCCATGACCAGAAAAGATGAGTCATGGAACTGAGTGGTGGAATTGGTAGGGGCTTCTCTATTACACCTGACAATCCACACACAGAATGTTTCCAAACCCCTATAATCTCAAGCTCTGCTGTGTTACAGGCCTTCATTCTCAGGAGAGGAATGGTTCCACTAAAGGACACAACACTGGTTAAATCAAACAGAAAGTTGAGACCACCAGCAGATGTTTCAAGCTTCTCATGTCACAAAATCAAATGACAAAAAGGATAGCTAATTATCAAATGGAAATTGTGTTGCAATCCCACAGTAAGAACAAGTAGGACTGTGTTTAGAGCCCCTGGAATTTCCTAACACTGTTCTTATCATTTCCATTCTGGCAATGAAGCTTAAAAGAAGACAATAGCAACCCCAAAAAAGAAAAACGAATAGTGATTCAGACATTTCAGGAATGAAAGTTTGGAAATTTGACCAGAAGAGAAACTGGCTGAGTGCCAAGAAAAAATGAAATGTGAAATGACAGGGGAAGAAGCAATTTGTGACTATCAACACAAATTTGTGACAAGGTACAGAAATTACCACTACAGCAACCATAAATGATTTTCTTCCTTGTAGATATATTTGTATACATTAACCAATTTCACCTCTCCCCTCTACCCCTGTTTTCCATTCAAAGAAGATTAGTAATGAGTACCTTAATAGTTTAGCTTATACATTATGTATTCAGCAAGAATTGCTCGTTGAATTAGATGAGGAAATAGCATCAGTGTTTGTCAAGGAGACACACACTTTATATCAGACAGAAGCAAAATGTTTTATGAAAATAAATTATGGGTAGAACGATGAGAAAGGATGCTACATAGACAAAAGCGCGGGCAATGTCCGTCATTTTTGCCTTTGCTCTTAACCCCTATCCTCACACTTCTTTGCTCAACTAGGTATGATAGGAAGCTTGAAAATGGCAAATTTTATTTCTCTATCTCACTTACCAACTGAATTCCAATTAGATTCTGCCACTTGGAGACAACATGTGATAAAAGAAGAGAATGGGAAGAAGTGACTCTTTTCATCTTCATTTATTAGCAGCACCTTTGGCAGCAAAACAGCATCTACAGTACACAATGATGACAACACTGGTGGAGGTGCCAGCCCTGGTTAAGAAAATCAAGATTTCTGGAAACCTTCAGCAAATCTGGAACCAATGGCTATAGAGTCTCTAATAGGGTAGCAATACATGTGGACACATGGACTCCAGCCAGTAACACTAGCTGCCTCCAATCTCGGAGCATCATCTTTGATTTGTGTTTTCTCTTCCAGTTCCTTTCTTCCCCTCTTTTGCACATCCAAGTAATCCATTAGTTCCATAGTCTAGTTCTCTATATTAAGTTCTTTCTCTTTGAAATGCCAATAGAGGCTTCTGTTTTCCTGACTAAACTCAGTGTGATATACCACTGTAGCTTCTGGAAACCTGACAGCCCTCTTGAGTATAACTTTACTAATTAATAGTCAAAGGTTCACATTTTTCCCAGGTGACCTGACCTTGGCTTTGAAGGTTCTAGACTTGTAGAAAAAGCAAAAGAGGGTGAGGCTGTTTCTCCTCCCAAGTCTTTTTCTGTGAGAAGTTATATTGTCTATTTCAACTGTGCCCAGAATTTCTTCTTCTGAACTTTCACTTCTTTATTTCCAAAACCCTCTCTCTCTCTTTTTTTTACTATTTTTTTAAACTAACTTCATTTCCCACTAATATTTTTCTTAAATTCAAAAGTGATAACTATTAATTGTAGAAAACACACAAATGGGGAAAAAAAGCCCCCTCAATACCAATGATACTAAAAACTTTCATATAACTCATCCAGGTAGTCATCTATGTATCTTTCTATCTTGAGTGGGTCATACTGGATATGGATAGGAGTGAGGACGCCAAACTCAGATCTCAGTTTGAACCCTAGCTCTACGGTCTTAGAGAAATTAACTTCTCTAAGACTCAATTTCTCTATCTGTATAAGGAGGCTAATAAACCTGCATATCTCATAAAGTTGTATCTAAAGAAGGTAATGAATGTAAAACAATTAGCACAGTGCCTGGTAGGTGCCCTTAAATGTTCTTTAACATCATGTTTAATGGCTGCATAGTAGCCTCTCCCATTGTATAGTACCAAGACCCCTATTGTTGGATATTTGGTTTGTTTACATATTTTTTTAATTAAATAAAACACAGTATGATAATTCTTATTGTTACATTTCTGCATATACAAATTGACTGTTTCCCTAGGGTAAATACCTATTTTTTATAAATTATTATTCCTCCCAGAAGGTTGTAACTGCTACAGAGTTAATATATGTAAAGTGCTTAGTGCCTTAAACATACCAGGCACTATAGATTAGGACTTGTGCAATTTCCTCCATCTTTCAGTGAGACTAAATTTTTGACAAAGTTTTTTTCAAATGATTCATCAGTATTCTATTTTCTAAGCCTTTTGATGTCTGCCAATGACTTTCTTACAGCCTTTCCACATGAAAGACATGCTGATTCATTAATAATTTTTTTGGTTTACAACCATCCCCACTGCCTCAAAACTGTGTGGCTGTAACTACTGTTTTCAGTAATTTGAGTAATACTGAATGTTTTTAATCTACCTGATTTTTTCAGTCTCCTTTTCCTAATCTGCTGATTTTCTGGTAGAAAAATGCAAAAAGGTCACAGACCATTTGCAAAACAAAACAAAAGAAATACAAAAGAAAATCCACATAAAGCAAATTATTGCGAATAAGGAAAAAAGTGCAAATTAAAACAGCATACCATTTTCTGTCTCTAACAAGATGCCAAATATTAAAATAAAATTACATGGGTCAGGCATGGTGGCTCACGCCTGTAACCCCAGCACTTTGGGAGGCCACGGCAGGCAGATCACAAGGTCAGGAGATCGAGACCATCCTGGCTAACACGGTGAAACCCCGTCTCTACTAAAAAAATACAACAAATTAGCTGGGCGTGGTGGCGGGTGCCTGTAGTCCCAGCTACTCAGGAGGCTGAGGCAGGAGAATCGCATGAACCCCGGAGGTGGAGCTTGCAGTGATCAGCGATCGCACCACTGCACTCCAGTCTAGGCAATAGAGTGAGACTCCGTCTCAAAAAATAAAATAATAAAATAAAATAAAATAAAATAAAATAAAATGATTCCGTGGCAAATATTTGGAAAAGTTTATATTTTTATTTCCACTGGTGAAAATGCAAATTGCTATGGCCCATCCAGATTATGCTTTGGCAATTTTCTATACCATTTAGCCATAAAATTTACTTTTAGGAATTTATACTGAAGAAATAATTATGGATCTGTAAAAACATTTTAGGTATAATAATATTTACCATGGGGTTCATTGCAATCAAAAATTGAGAAACTACATAAACGTTGGATAAAATGAAATTTAATATATAAATGATAATACATCTATTCACTGGATCACTATGAAATCATTAAAATACAATGGAAGTAGATATACCATTGCAGATAGATGTCTCTGTTGTATTGTGAAATGAAAAAAAATCAATTACCACAGAGGAAACTGGATATTATCCCATGTTTGTGAAGAAAGGGGGACATCTTCATCTGGTAGATTCCAAAAAAGGTGAAGAGACCTAGCTCAGGGGTGTAGGAATGGGAAGCTGCTATGTTCCGAATGTGTCCCCATAAAATTCATATCTTGAAACTTGATCACCAGTGTGATAGTGCTGAGGTGCAGCCTCTAGGAGGTGATTAGGTGATGAGGGCAGAGCTCTCATCAATGCAATTAGTGACCTTAAAAAAGAGATGCTTGGGAGCTGTTAATCCCTTCTGCCACGTGAAGACCCAGCAACAAGGGACCATCTTGGAAGCAGAGACTGGGCTCTCACAAGACACTAAATCTGCTGGTGCCTTGATCCTGTGGACTTGTCAGCCTCCAAAACTTGTGAGAAATACTCTGTTATTTGGAAATCACCCAGTCTAAGTCATTTTCATATAGCAGCAGGGACAGACTAAGACACAGTCTTTTGCTTGTTTGTTTTACTTTGTATGTTCTTATTTTTCTGAAGTTTATTTATTTACAGAATTAAAAACTTAAAATGACCATGATAGGGAGCTACATCTATTTATAGTTAGCATACAACTAAATTATTTTCCCTTCTATACATCTTTAGTTTACCTGTAAGACTTTATTTCTTTAGAAAAATATGTGCTTTTAAAATAAAACACAGATCTATAAATTATTTCAAACCTCGGAGCACTACATATTAGACAATTTATACATTGATACACTGTCTCCATAGAACTGAAATGTCTATAAATCTATGATGAGTGGCATGGCTATAGAAAGAAACAAAGTAGCCCCTTTCTGTTATCATGATGAATGTAACAGTAGCAATCATGGACATACCTGAGTTGTGTTTACCGTCCAATACCTTCATATCACAAATTAAAATCATTCTCTCAAGAAACAATCACAGGGTAGTTTTCATTGTATTTTCATGAAGACAATTTATTTAAATCATTTTTTGGAGAAAAAAATAGTAAAATAAACAAAACAATGGCAGAGGAAAGATAAAAGTGAAAAATTGCATTCAGCATGGAGAGAAACGAGGCAGAAGGAGACTTAAGTAAAGAAGTGTGGATCTTCACTTGGATGTTGGCCAAAAGTCAATATTTGCTAAAACTCTGAGCATCTTCTGACAGTATCTAAATTATGTAAAGCATTGCTCTGGGTTAGAAGTCCAAATCAATTCATATTCCCACTGTTTATCAGACACTTTAAGGATCTGTATGCTAGTTTAGCTAGTTTTAATAATGCAAGAATCCAGTGATCTATGCTGGGAAGGGAATTTTTTCATTCAAAGCCGACACTATTAATTTTTCAGTAGCCATTATTGCTCTAATGAGCCATTTCTTATGTTTAGATGCTCTAGATATGGGGTTAACTTATGATAACAATTTAAATACTGAAAAAAGTCAACCAAAATGAAATATAATTTCTAACACTTTTGCTTCTTTCTTTTGTTCTGTTTGTTTTCTTCAATACATGATAATGTCTAGACCAAAAAAAAAAAAAAGGGCTTTGACCTAGGAAATCATAAAGATTATTCAGCCTTCTAAATATATTCTCAGATGCTGAACTTTCTAATTCAAACCCCTTCTTCCTATGGTGAAATCACACATGAAGATATTGAATTAAAATGTTATGAACAATGGACTCCTCTTATGTGTGCTTCAAAGGTTAAACATTTCTGCATAGCAAAGAACAATTTTAAGAAAAAGAGTTGTGAATTTCCGGGGAAAATGGTAATTTGATCATAGTGATTTGACCCTGATTTCTTCTAAGAAGCTCACTAAAATAGCAAGACACACACACACACACGCATGTATTTTTTATTGGAAATATATTTAAATCATTGTTGTTATAGAGGAATCAATTCAATCTAAGGTGAGGGCAACTCACACTGTCCCTCCTAAGTTAGCATACATGTTTTTCAGGGAGTAAGAAAAGATCCTAGAAGCACACTACCACAAAGACCCTTAATTTGAACAATCAAACTTGGAGGCAAGAACAGGCTATGGGGCCAATGTGCAGCAATCCTCTTGAAGCTCACAAACACTCCTCCGAAACATTTATAAATATAAAATTAAAAATAAAAGCCCATAAAAGGAAAGAACATAAAACCAGCCTTGAGCATCTCCTCCCAACACATATCTCCAGAAAATAATGCCACAAAATTTTTAGAAAACATTATTGTGTCCCAAGATGCTATAGCTAGCCAATTCATCCTTTAAGTGATTGCTTCTCTTACCAATCTTACTTATTTTTGTTCTGAAGATTTCAGTTGATATGAAAAGATAGAGGGTATAGTTAGTGCTGGCTTTGCATTGCCATGCAGAACCGTAGAAATGACCAGAGAAGCTAAAAATGTACAAAGTGGTGTTTGTTTTATTACCTTTCAAAATTTTTGTCAAGACATTAAACACTCATTTACTATTGGTAATAAATTTATATGGGAACACAAAATTAGTGAAGGCTAATTTTTTTGGGACAATATAACTTGAAACATTAAAAGTGTTGAAAATTAAAGTGTTTTATTTCTCTGTAAAATAAAAGCTTACCAAGAGTAGTTTAAATAGTGCTTGCCTCCCTCTCATGATGTAACTTACTATAAGGAGGAAGCATCTTTACTATGCTTTGGTGAATTATGCTCCTTTCTAAATATGGATTATCTTCCAACATTCTTTGTACTTTCAACGTTGTGAAATAACTCTGAATGTTCCTTTGATGTGAAGTTTTTTCTCAGTATCACTTCTACTAGAACACATTTATTCTTTGCATACAAGCACTTTCCTAATTTATATCACTAAGTGAGCTAAATTGCTCTGGCTGCTTAACTAGAATAATTAGAACAGGGACAGTGTCTATAGTCCCATGGTCAGTTATTTCCTCTATAACTCCATTTATGTTCGGTGTATACTTTCCTTCCAGTATTATCCCTTTTTGTTTCTTTGCAGCACTTTTATCTTTGTTAGCTGATTCCTCTTTACAAGAATTATTTATTCTTGTAAAATGTCATGGATTTATACATAGGAGACAAGCAGCCAACATAACTCTGTGCTTTGCTGTCTGTGGGTAAACTGAGTACCAGGTGCACAGTTACTGCACAAATCACTGCAGACTTTGAAAGAAGTCATGTGATTGGTCATTAATTATGATGTGCATCTGTTATTAGGTAGTGATTTTTAGAATTGACAGCTAGCAGAAAACTTCATACTTTGTGCAAATACAGTTAATATTACATGGTAACTAAAATTCGAACTGTGTTGTTTGGGGACTGGTTTAATTTAAACCATGATAACTGAAATTCATGAATACTAAAGACATGCAAAGCAAGACCCGCTTTTTAAAATCTGTATTTATTTATTTATTTATTTATTATTTATTTAGATATATATTTATCTGTATTTATTATTTATTTAGATCTGTATTTTTAAAAAAGTAGCACTATTTTCCAGTGTTTTGATTTGAAATCACAAGAGAACAAATTGAAAATATACAAGAACTATTAAAATCTTTAGCAAGGTGCAATAGCACAAGATAATTTTACAAAAATTAATAGCAATCATATATTATAACAACCACCTCTAAAGTTAAAGAGTAAATGATCATTTTCTTATTTTTTCAGTTTTTTCTTTTTTATTACTATTATTATACTATAAGTTCTGAGATACATGTGCAGAATGTACAGGTTTGTTACATAGGTATACATATGCCATGGTGGTTTGCTGCACCCATCAATCCGTCATCTACATTAGGTATTTCTCCTAATGCTATCCCTCCCCAGCCCGCTACCCACTGACAGGCCCCGGTGTGTGATGGTCCCCTCCCTGTGTCTATGTGTTCTCATTGTTCCACTCCCACTTATGAGTGAGAACATGTGCTGTTTGGTTTTCTATTCTTGTGTTAGCTTGCTGAGAATGATGGTTTCCAGCTTCATCTATGTCCCTGCAAAGAACATAAACTCATCCTTTTTTATGGCTGCATAGTATTCCATGGGGTATATGTGCCACATTTTCTTTATCCAGTCTATCATTGATGGGCATTTGGGTTGGTTCCCAAGTCTTTGCTATTGTGAACAGTGCTGCAATAAACATATGGGTGCATGTGTCTTTATAATAGAATGATTTAGAATCCTGTGGGTGTACACCCAGTAATGAGATTGCTGGGTCAAATGTTATTTCTGGTGCTAGATCCTTGAGGAATCGCCACACTGTCTTCCACAATGGTTGAACTAATTTACACTCCCACCAACAGTGTAAAAGCATTTCTATTTCTCCACATCCTCTCCAGCATCTGTTGTTTCCTGACTTTTTAATGATTGCCATTCTAATTGGTATGAGATAGTATCTCAGTGTGGTTTTGATTTGCATTTCTCTAATGACCAGTGATGATGAGCTTTTTTTCATATGTTTATTGGCTGCATAAATGTCTTCTTTTGAGAAGTGTCTGTTCATATCCTTTGCCCACTTTTTGAAGGGGTTGTTTTATTTTTTCTTGTAAATTTGTTAAGTTCTTTGTAGATTCTGGATATTAGCCCTTTGTCAAATAGATAGATTGCAAAAATTTTCTCCCATTCTGTAGGTTGCCTGTTCACTCTGATGATAGTTTCTTTTGCTGTGCAGGAGCTCTTTAGTTTAATTAGGTCCCATTTGTCAATGTTGACTTTTGTTGCCATTGCTATTGGTGTTTCAGTCATGAAGTCTTTGCCCATGCCTATGTCCTGAATGGTATTGCCTAGGTTTTCTTCTTGGGTTTTTATGGTTTTAGGTCTTATGTTTAAATCTTTAATCCATCTTGAGTTTTACGTTTAAGTCTTTAATCTGCCTTGAGTTAATTGTATAATGTGTAAGGAAGGGGTCCGGTTTTAGTCTTCTGCATATGGCTAGCCAGTTTTCCCAACACCATTTATTAAATAGGGAATCCTTTCCCCATTGCTTGTTTTGGTCAGGTGTGTCAAAGATCAGATGGTTGTAGATGTGTGGTGTTATTTCTGAGGACTTTATTCTGTTCCCTTGGTCTACGTATCTGTATTGGTACCAGTACCATGCTGTTTTGGTTACTATAGCCTTATAGTATAGTTTGAAGTCAGGTAGTTTGATGCCTCCAGCTTTGTTCTTTTTGCTTAAGACTGTCTTGGCTATATGGGCTCTTTTTTTGTTCTGTATAAAATTTAAAGTAGTTTTTTCCAATTCTATGAAGAAAATCAATGGTAGCTTGATGGGGATAGCATTGAATCTATAAATTACTTTGGGCAGTATGACCATTTTCATGATATTGATTTTTCCTATCCATGAGCATGGAATGTTCTTCCATTTGTTTGTATCCTCTTTTATTTCATTGAGCAGTGGTTTGTAGTTCTCCTTGAAGAGGTCCTTCACATCCCTTGTAAGTTGTATTCCTAGGTATTTTATTCTCTTTGTAGCAATTGTGAATGGGAGTTCACTCATGATTTGGCTCTCTGTTTGTCTATTATTGGTGTATAGGAATGCTTGTGATTTTGCACATTGCTTTTGTATCCTGAGACTTTGCTGAAGTTGCTTATCAGCTTAAGGAGATCTTGGGCTGAGGCAATGGGGTTTTCTAAATATACAATCATGTCATATGCAAACAGAGACAATTTGACTTCCTCTCTTCCTATTTGAATACACTTTTCTTTCTGTTGGCTGATTGCCCTGGTCAGAACTTCCAATACTGTGTCAAAAAGGAGTGATGAAAGAGGGCATCCTTGTCTTGTGCTGCTTTTCAAAGGGAATGCCTCCAGTTTTTGCCCATTCAGTATGATGTTGGCTGTGGGTTTGTCATAAACAGCTCTTATTACTTTGAGATATGTTCCATCAATACCTAGTTTATTGACAGTTTTTAGCATGAAGGGGTGTTGAATTTCATCAAAGGCCTTTTCTGTATCTATTGAGATAATCATGTGGTTTTTGTCATTGGTTCTGTTTATGTGCTGGATTACATTTATTGATTTGTGTATGTTGAACCAGCCTTGCATCCCAGGGATGAAGCCAATTTGATCGTGGTGGGTAAGCTTTTTGATTTGCTGCTGGATTCGGTTTGCCAGTATTTTATTGAGGATTTTTGCTTTGATGTTCATCAGGGATATTGGCCTGAAATTCTCTTTTGTTGTTGTGTCTCTGCCAGGTTTTTGTTGCAGGACGATGCTGGCCTCATAAAATGAGTTAGGGAGGATTCCCTCTCTTTCTATTGTTTGGAGTACTTTCAGAAGGAATGGTACCAGCTTCTTTTTGTACCTCTGGTAGAATTTGGCTGTGAATCTGTCCGGTCCTGGGCTTTTATTTGGTTGGTAGGCTATTAATTACTGCCTCAATTTCAGACCATGTTATTGGTCTATTCAGGGATTCAACTTCTTCCTGATTTAGTCTTGGCAGGGTGTATGATATCCAGGAATTTATCCATTTTTTCTAGACTTTCCAGTTTATTTGCATAGAGGTGTTTATAGTGTTCTCTGATGGTAGTTTGTATTTCTGTGGTATCAGTGGTGGTATCCCCTTTATCATTTTTTATTTTGTCTATTTGATTCATCTCTCTTTCCTTCTTTCTTGGTCTGGCTAGTGGTCTATTTTGTTGATCTTTTCAAAAAACCAGCTCCTGGATTCATTGATTTTTTTGAAGGGTCTTTTCGTGTGTCTATCTCCCTTCATTCTGCTCTCATCTTAGTTTTTTCTTGTCTTCTGTTAGCTTTTGAGTTTGTTTGCTCTTGTTTCTCCTTTTAATTGTGATGTTAGGTTGTTGATTTTAGGTCTTTCTTGATTTCTCCTGTGGGCATTTAGTGCTATAAATTTCCCTCTAAACACTGCTCTGGCTGTGTCCCAGAGATTCTGGTACGTTGTGTCTTTGTTCTCATTGGTTTCAAAGAACTTATTTATTTCTGCCTTCATTTTGTTATTTACCCAGTAGTCATTCAGGAGCAGCTTATTCAGTTTCCATGTAGTTGTGTGGTTTTGAGTGAGTTTCTTAATCCTGGGTTCTAATTTGATTGCGTTGTTGTCTGAGACTGTTTATTATGATTTCCATTCTTTTGCATTTGCTGAGGAGTGTTTTACTTCCAATTATGTGGTTAATTTTAGAATAAGTATGATGTGATGCTGAGAAGAATGTATATTCTGTCGATTTCGGGTGGAAAGTTCTATAGATGTCTATTAGGTCCACTTGGTCCAGAGCTGAGTTCAAGTCCTAGATAGCCTTGTTAATTTTCTGTCTCATTGATCTGTCTAATATTGACAGTGGGGTGTTAAAGTCTCCCACTATTATTGTGTGGGAGTCTAAGTCTCTTTGTAGGTCTCCAAGAACTTGCTTTATGAATCTGGGGTCTCCTGTATGGGGTGCATATATATTTCAGATAGTTAGCTCTTCTTGTTGCATTGATCCCTTTACCATTATGTAATGCCCTTCTTTGTCTTTTTTGATCTTTGTTGGTTTAAAGTCTGTTTTATCAGAGACTAGGATTGCAACCCCCACTTTGTTTTGCTCTCCATTTGCTTGGTAAATATTCCTGCATCCCTTTATTTTGAGTCTATGTGTGTTTTTGCATGTGAGATGGGTCTCCTGAATACAGCACACTGATGGGTCTTGACTCTTTATCCAATTTGCCAGTCTGTGTCTTTTGACTGGGACATTTAGCCCATTTACATTTAAGGTTAATATAGTTATGCATGAATCTGATCTTGTCATTATGATGCTAGCTGATTATTTTGCTCGTTAGTTGATGCAGTTTCTTCATAGTGTCTATGGTCTTTACAGTTCGATATGTTTTTGCAGTGGCTGGTACCAGTTTTTCCTTTTGATGTTTAGTGCTTCCTTCAGGAGCTCTTCTAAGGCAGGCCTGGTGGTGACAAAATCTCTCAGCATTTGTTTTTCTGTAAAGGATTTTATTTCTCCTTTGCTTATGAAGCTTAGTTTGGCTGGATATGAAATTCTGGGTTGAAAATTCTTTTCTTTAAGAATGTTGAATATTGGCCCCCACTCTCTTCTGGCTTGTAGGGTTTCTGCTGAGAGATCCACTGTTAATTTGATCTAGGTTACCCCTTGTGGGTAACCCAGCATTTCTCTCTGGCTGCCCTTAACATTTTTTCCTTCATTTCAACCTTGGTGAATCTGATGATTATGTATCTTGGGGTTGCTCTTCTCCAGGAGTATCTTTGTGGTGTTCTCTGTATTTCCTGAATTTGAATATTGGCCTGTCTTGCTAGGTTGGGGAAATTCTCCTGGATAATATCCTGAAGTGTGTTTTCCAATTTGGTTTCAATCTCCCCATCACTTTCAGGTACACCAAACAGACATAGGTTTGGTCTTTTCACATGGTACCGTATTTTTTGGAGGCTTTGTTCATTTCTTTTCATTTTGTTTTCTCTAATCTTGTCTTCACGCTTTATTTCATTAAGTTGATCTTCAATCTCTGATATCCTTTCTTCCACTTGATCAAGTTGGCTATTGATACTTGTATATGCTTTACAAAGTTCTTGTGCTGTGTTTTTCAGCTCCACTGGATCATGTATATTCTTCTCTAAACTGGTTATTCTAGTTAGCAATTCGTCTAACCTTTTTTCAAGGTTTTTAGCTTTCTTGCATTGGGTTAGAACATGCTCCTTTAGCTCAGAGAAGTTTGTTATTATCCAACTTCTGTCAATTCATCAAACTCATTTTAAATCCAGTTTTGTTCCCTTGCTAGTGAAGAGTTGTGTTCCTTTGGATGAGAGGAAGTTTTCTGGTTTTTGGCATTTTCAGCCTTTTTGTATTGGTTCTTCCTCATCTTTGTGGATTTATCTACCTTTGGCCTTTATGTTCGTGAGCTTCAGATGGAGTTTCTGTGTGGATGTCCTTTTGGTTGATGTTGATGCTATTCTTTTCTGTTAGTTTTCCTTGTAACAGTCAGGCCCCTCTGCTACAGGTCTGCTGGAGTTTGCGGGGGGTCCACTCCAGATGCTGTTTGCTTGTATCACCAGCAGAGGCTGCAGAACAGCAAAGATTGCTGCCTATTCCTTCCTCTGGAAGCTTCAACCAAGAGGGGCACCTGCCAGATGCCACCTAGAGCTCTCCTGTATGAGATGTCTGTTGACTCCTGCTGGGAGGTGTCTCCCAGTCAGGAGGCACAGGGGTCAGGGACCGACTCAAGGAGGCATTCTGTCCCTTAGCAGAGCTTGAGCACTGTGCTGGGAGATCCATTGCTTTCTTCAGAGCCGGCAGGCAGGAACGTTTAAGTCTGCTGAAGCTGCGCCCATAGCCACCCCTTCCCCCAGGTGCTCTGTCCCAGGGAGATGGGAGTGTTATCTATAAGCCCCTGATTGGAGCTGCTGTCTTTCTTTCAGAGATGCCTTGCCCAAGAGGAGGAATCTAGAGAGGTATTTCAGCTACAGTGGCTTTCCCAAGCTGCGGTGAGCTCCAACCAGTTTGAACTTCCTGGCAGCTTTGTTCACACTGTGAGGGGAAAACCGCCTACTCAAGCCTCAGTAATGGTGGACGCCCCTCCCCTCAACAAGCCGGAGTGTCCCACGTTGACTTCAGACTGCTGTGCTGGCAGTGAGAATTTCAAGCCAGTGGATCTTAGCTTGCTGGGCTCTGTGGGGCTGGGAGCCACTGAGCTAGACCACTTGGCTTCCTGGCTTCAGCCTCCTTTCCAGGGGAGTGAACAGTTCTGTCTTGCTGGCATTCCAGGCGCCACTGGGGTATGAAAAAGAACTCCTGCAGCTAGCTTGGTGTCTGCCCAAGCGGCCACCCAGTTTTGTGCTTGAAACCCAGGGCCCTGGCGGTCTAGGCATCAGAGGGAATCTCCTGGTCTGCGTGTTGCAAAGACCGTGGGAAAAGCATAGTATCTGGGCTGGAGTGCACCGTTCCTCACCAAATGATCATTTTCACAATAACAACAAAATATAAAATGCATGGAATCATGGATGTTGTAAGCTGGCTCATTCTGCACCTCTTTCTACCCTCTTCTAATTTTCTTTCTTCTACTAGATAGGCCAATAGCCTTAAACTACATGTTCCAGCCTCTGTTGAAGGTAAAATTTGATATATTGCCTGGTTTCCACCAAGCAGAAGCATCAGCATGAAACTTAGGAAAAAAAATAAGTAGCTACAGGCAGGAAAGCCAGATCTTCTGGCAAGTTTCATGGCTGAGGAGTTTTATTCCTCCAGGGCATGTGTAGCAGGGTTTCAGGCATCCAGAATGTGTCAGAGGTGCTGAGCAGTAACACATCAGCAGCTAGTTTTGCTAGAATAGTCTCATATTGTGGTTAGGCAGTTTCCCCCGGCTGCTTTGTTTTTGGCTTTCTGGCATCTAAGCCTGGTTCTCCAACTTTCCCAAGGTTTCTGTGAGATACTCAGCTTTTTGGCGGGGGGCAGGGGTGTCTTCTTTCTGCTGGCACTAGCTAGAGGATTATTTGTCTGTAAGTAAGAGCCCTGACCAATACACTCAGGAATACACTTACCAATAAACATGTTGGATCCATATATAAAACTTTACTGAGGTTTACAACAGTGGAGAATTTAATAAATGAAAACTGCATTACATTTCTATTTCTGCCTAGCAAATTACCACTAACTTAATAACTTAAAACAACATCCATTTACTAACTCACAGTTCTGTGAGTCAGAAGTCCAGGCATGACACGACTGGGTTCGTGTCATTAGCTCAGGATCTCACAAGACCAAAATCAAAATCAAGGTGTTACAAGGATGTGCTCTCCTCTGGATCTCAAATCTGGTTCTCTTCCAAGATGATTTAGATTGATGGCAGAATTCAGTTCCTTGCTGACTGTCAGTTAGGGATTGCTCTCAGCTCCAACCAGCGACTCCCTGGTTTTTACTTGCATAGACCCTTCCCATCTTCAAAGTTATTAACGGAGAATCTCACTTGCATGAAATTCCCGTTACACTTTAAATCTCTTTTGCAATGAGGTCCAAGGCCCTTTTAAGGGCTCTCTTGGTTAGGTACAGCCCACTTGGAAAGTCTCACTTTTGACTAACTCAAAAATCAACTAATTAGTGACCTAATCATGGGAGTGATATCCCATAGTAGTCACAGTTCTTGCCCACACTCAATGCACTACCTATCACAGAAGCCATATCATGGGAGCCTTAATAATCCTAAATTATTTCATAAGGGTAATACAAATCCTACCAGAATGTTTATGTAGAACTTTAAAACATATTAATTTTCAAATTTAAAAAGTCACCAGGCAGAAGCAAGTGATCAATTTTGAAAAATAAAAAAAAAAGTAATGGATTTTGCAAAATCAGATTCAGATTATATTTATATGTTTTATTTAAATTTTCAATTGCAAAGACATTATAATTGAGAGTTTTGCACTAAATTAAGAATAGAAAGAACAGATCATTGGAACAGGAATAGAACAATAGAAAGAATAGAAAGAGCAGAAACAGACTCAAATATTTATAGATGATTACATATAATGAAGGATTTATGTCTAATTAGCAAGAGAAGAATAGATTATTCAATAAATGTTGTTGGTAAATCTGCTCAAATATTTGTGTAAAAATAATTATATGCATACTTTATACTATACACTAAAATAAATTCCAGCTGGATTATAAATATAATTCAAAAAATACAACTAAAAAAAAAGAAGGAACATAGATGAGTATCTCATTTGTCAGTAAAAGAGAGAAAAAATATAGAAAAGTAAATATTTCACCACAAATAAGACCTTTTTTGGCCCCCAAATCATCACTTAAAAAGCAAATGACAAAAGGAGAAAAAAGTCTCAAGTCTGATGCCTTACTAGTTCTTTAAAAGCAATACGAGAAAAGCAAAACACCACAATGGAAAATATAAACAATGGACAAAAATAGGCAACTTATTTTAGAAAAAACTTAAATTGCCAACAAGCTTTTTAAAAATGCTCAGTGTATTAGTCTGTTTTCAAGCTGTTGATAAAGATATACCCAAGTCTGGGCCGTTTACAAAAGAAAGAGGTTTAGTGGACTCACAGTTCCACATCAATGGGAAAGCCTCACAATCATGCTGGAAGGCAAAAGGCTCATTTCACATGGTAGCAGACAAGAGAAGAGTGATAGCCAAGTGAAAGGGTTTTCCCCTTATAAAACCATCAGATCTCATGAGACTTAGGCACTACCACGAGAACAGTATGGGAGAAAACGCGTCATGATTCAATTACCTCTCACTGGGTCCCTCCCACAACATGAGGGAATTATGGGAGCTATAATTCATTCAAGATGAGATTTGTGTGGGGACACAGCCAATATATATATATATATTTTTTTGCCTTGCAAAATGCAGTGTTTTTGATATATATTACCTCATGTTGGTAAGGAGGTCCAGAAACTAACCCTTTTGTTGACAGCCCATGAACACACAAGCTGGTGATATTTTGTGAAAAGCAATTTGGTATCACCAAAGGCTTTAAAATGTGTGTACTCTATGTCTTAGAAATTCTGCTTATAATCATTTGTATTTTATGTTTGTTTATTTAGCAAACATTTATATAATGTGTACTATATGAATGTCCTAGGCTGCATTCTAAGAACTTAGCAAATATTTACTTATTCAATCCTCACAACATCCTGATGAGGTAGGTACTATTAGTGTCATTATCCCCATTTTACAAATAAGGTAATTAAGGCAGAGACAAAGTTAAGATACTCACCCAAGGTTGTTGCACAGCCACTAAGGGATAGAGCCCAGGCAGCCTGCTCCACAGCCCATGCTCCTAAACTCTGTGCTATTCAGCCTCTCATGTAATTTATGGAGTTAATAATGAATGTTCCCAAAAGCTGTTCCACAAGAATTATCCCATCAGCACTCAAACTATCTTGATAAAGCCCTCTTCCCAATATCTTCCTTCAGCTACTACCAAATTTCTCTGCTCCCTCAAAGGACAACTTCTTGAAAAAGTTGTCTGCACACATTGTCTTCTCTTCTTACCTCCCACTTCAGCCAACTCTAATCTCACTTTCACACCCACTACGTTACTGACAAGGTCTTCAAAGTCACCAGTGACCTCCTGTTGCAAAACCCACTAGGCACTTTAAGGTCTACCGTTTTTTGACATCTCAGCAACATTCTACAAAGTTGGCCCCTCCAACTTTCTTGCTATATTTTCCTTTCTGGCTTCCATGACAGCATATCCTCCTCATTTCCTTCCTACTATTCTGGAAACTTCCTCATCATGTTTCCTGGGAACTCCTCCTTTAACCCACCTTTCTCCCTGCACTCTCTCCCTTGACAGTTTGAACCAGTCTCTTGTTTTAAATGTCATTTATGTGGTAACAACTTCCAAATTTATTCTTCCATCACAACCTCACCTCTGAGCTCCAGATTCATTTGTTCAACTACGTGTTTGGCATCTCCACCTGGCTATGTCATAAGCCTATCAAAGCTAACTTGTCAAAAACCAAATTCCTGAATTTACTCCCCAACCAAACCCTGCCACTCATTCCCCCTTTAAATATCTTGTCTCCACTACTGAATGCACTACAATAAATGGCACCAATACCTATCCAATTGTTCAAGGCAGAAGACTTGGAGTTAGTTCAATCCTCTACTCATACCCTCCATTCAGCCACAATATTCTGATCAGTAATCTCCAAATCTTTATGAATCATTCATTCATTTTGCTTCATCTTCCCTGCCACCCCTCTCGCCTAAACCACCGTCATATCTCTACTGGACTACTGAAATAACTTCTTATTTTCTTTGCTGCCACACTTAGCACCAACGATATAGTCTCTCCATAACAACTGAAGTGATATTTTAAAAACAAGTCAGGTAATGTCACTCCCTTGCCTAAAACATCAGTGTCTTCCTCTTGCACAAACAAATCCAATGCAAACTTCTTAATATTGCCTACTATGCCCTGCAGGATCTAACTCTTGCCTACCTCAACAATTTTGTCTCTCATCTCGGTGCCCACTCCCACTCTCTCATAACCCTCCTCAGACATGACAAACTGTCTTTCATTTTGTGTTGGCTGTTCCCTTCACAGGCTCCTGCCCCAGCTCTTTATCTGATTGGCTCCTTCTCACTCTTAACTTCTTAACTTGTATGTCACCTCTCAGAACAACCTTCCCAGAGCCCCCCAATTTAATAACTCAATAATTTTCTTCCAAGTTATTGTCTTCATGGCATTTCCTCAATTTCTAATTACCTGTTACAATAAACAGACTGACCTCTTTTTTTTGTTTTTTGTTTGTTTGTTTGTTTTTTGTTGTTGTTTTTTTTTTTAAGACGGAGTCTCGCTCTGTCACCCAGCCTGGAGTGCAGCAGCGCGATCTCGGCTCACTGCAAGCTCATCCTCCTGGGTTCACGCCATTCTCCTGCCTCAGCCTCCTGAGTAGCTGGGACTACAAGCGCTCGCCACCAC
Source organism: Homo sapiens (assembly GCF_000001405.40). Lineage (NCBI taxonomy): Eukaryota > Metazoa > Chordata > Mammalia > Primates > Hominidae > Homo > Homo sapiens. Next base: position 75,829,431 of record NC_000002.12, on the reverse strand, counting down.
ACCTGGCTAATTTTTTTTGTATTTTTAGTAGAGACGGGGTTTCACCATGTTAGCCAGGATGGTCTCGATTTCCTGACCTCATGATCCGCCCGCCTTGGCCTCCCAAAGTGCCGGGATTGCAGGCTTGAGCCACCGCGCCCGGCCTGCTGACACCTTTTTTGATGTAAAACTGTTGACAGCTTTTGAATCCCTGTTCCACTTTCCTGTCTGCCCAATCCTTGCTGCTAGCAGCAGTCCAAACCTCACAAGGCCCCACCCTACGGCCACTATAATGGCCCAGTCCACTTTTTCCACTTCGCTTAAGCCATCTGGATTAATTTACACCTGCCCTGCTCTCTCGGGAGAGCCTCATGATGTGAGTAATAAACCTATTCATACCTTCTTGGTGCATGCAGCATCATCAGTCTCACCATCATGACTAATTTAGGTAGGGGTTAATCCTGTTCTCCTTGGGGCAACCACAAAATACCTAAGCCTGTTGATTTACTTGTTTATAATTTGTATCTCCCACTACACTAACTTGCCTAAGGTTAGGAACCAAGTCTGTTTGTATTCAGCCATGTATGAGGCTTGACATATACTAAACGCTCATTAAATATTTGGAAATTGATCAAATGAGGTGCATTAAACCACTGCTAATAATGATAAAAAATAAAAAAACTGGAGAAAGAGATAACTTATTAACAATAGGAGATTGATTAAATAAATTACTTAGATAAACTGAATGAGTATAAATTATATTGAAAAGAATACTTAACGGCTTTGAAAAAAATTTTGCCGTGCATTAGTGAAAAGAGCAGTTTACAGAAATAATAATAATAGGGTAATCTTATTTTTCCAAAATGTGTGTGTATATTAATGGACAGTGAAATTATTGAAAGAATATACTCTAAAATACCAATAGGATTGTCTGTAGGCAGGTGATTTTATTTCATTTTTTAACTTTCATTTTAGGTTCAGGGGCATATGCACAGTTTTGTTATATAGGTAAATTGCTTGTAATGGGGGTTTGGTGTACAGATAAGTTTGTTACCCAGGGAATAAGCATAGTACCTGATAGGTATTTTTTCTGCTTCTCTGCTTCCTTTCACCCTCCACCCTCAAGTAGACCCCAGTATCTGTTGTTCCCCTCCTAGTATCCGTGTGCTCTTGCTGTTTAGCTCCCACTTATAAGTGAGAACATGCAGTATTTGGTTTTCTGTTCTTGTCTTAGCTTAGGATAATGGTATCTAGCTCTATCCATGTTGCTGCAAAGGACATGATCTCATTCTTTTTATGACTGATAGTACTCCATGGTGTACATGTACCACATTTTCTTTATCCAGTCTAACATTGATGGGCATTTAGGTTTATTCCATGTCTTTCTGCTTGTGAATAGTGCTGCAGTGAACATATGCATGCATGTGTCTTTATGGCAGAATGATTCATATGGTCCATTGGGTATATACCCTATAATGGGATTGCTGGGTCAAATGGTAATTCTGTTTTAAGTTCTTTGAGGAATCACCACACTGCTTTCCACAGTGGCTGAACTAATTTATATTTCCATCAGCAGTGTATAACTGTTCCTTTTTCTCTGCAATCTCTCCAGCATCTGATTTTTTGGTTTTGCTTTGTTTTGTTTTGTTTTTTAAGAGCCCTGGTGTGAGATTATATCCCATTGTGATTTTAATTTGCATTTCTCTAATGATCAGTGATGTTGAGGGGTTTTTTCACATAATTGCGGCCGCATGTATGTCTTCTTTTGCAAATTGTCTGTTCCTTTCCTTTGTTCATTTTTTAGTGTGTTTTTCCTTTCTTGTAAATCTGTTGAAGTTCCTTATAGATGCTGCACATTAGACCTTTGTCAGATGCATAGTTTGCATGTATTTTCTCCTATTCTGTAGATTGTTTACTCTATTGATAGTTTCTTTTGCTGTGCAGAAGCTCTTTAGTTTAATTAGGTCCCACTTGTGAATTTTTGCTTTTGTTGCAACTGCCTTTGGTGTCTTTATCATGAAATCTTTGCCAAGTCCTATGTCCAGAAGGATGTTTCCTGGGTTATCTTCCAGGATTTTTATAGTTTTAGAGCTTACATTTTTATAGTTTTAGAGCTTACATTTATATAGTTTTAGAGCTTACATTTATATAGTTTTAGAGCTTACATTTAAGTATTTGATCTATCTTGAGTTGATTTTTGTATGTTGTGTTAGGTAGGGGTCCAGTTTCAGTCTTCTGCCTACGGCTAGCCAGTTATCCCAGCACCATTTATTGAATAAAGAGTCCTGTCTCCATTGCTTGTGTTTGTCAACTTTGTCAAATATGAGATGGTTGTAGGTGTGCAGCCTTCCTTCTGGGCTCTCTATTCTGTCCCACTGGTCTATGTTTCTGTTATTGTACCAGTACCATGCTGTTTTTGTTTACTATAACCCTGTAGTATAGTTTGAATTAGGATAATGTGATGCCTCCAACTTTGTTCTTTTCGCTCAGGAGTGCCTTGGCTATTTGGGATCTTTCTAGTTTCGTATGAATTTTTAAATTTTTTATCTAATTATGTAAGGAATATCATTGGCAGTTTGATAGAAATAGCATTGAATCTATAAATTGCTTTGGGCAGTATAGTCATTTTAATGATATTCATTCTTCCCATCCATAAGCATAAAATGTTTTCTATTTGTTTGTGTCATCGCTGATGTCTCTGAGTAGTATTTCGTAATTCTCATTGTAGAGGTCTTTCAAATCCTTAATGGGCTATATATCTAGGTATTTTATTCTTTTTTTGCCAACTGTGAATGAAATTGCATTCCTGATTTGGCTCTCGGCTTGGATGTTGTTGGTATATAGAAATGCTACTGATTTTTGTACATTGATTTTGTATCCCGAAACTTTGCTAAAGTTGTTATCAGATCAGGAGCTTTCGGCCAAGGACTACCGGGTTTTCTAGAAATAGAATCATGTCCTCAGAAAACAGGGATAATTTGACTTCCTCTCTTCTTATTTGGATGTCTTTTATTTCTTTCTCTTGTCTGATTGCTCTTGCCAGAACTTCCAATACTATGTTAACTATGAATGGTGAGAGCAGGCATCCCTGTCTTGTGCTGGTTTTCAAGGGAAATGCTTCCAGCTTTTGCCCATTCAATCTGATGTTAGCTGTGGTTTTGTCATAAATGGCTCATTATTTTGATATTTATTCCTTCAGTGCCTAGTTTACTAAGGGTTTTTAACATACAGGGATATTGAATTTTATCAAAAGCCTTTTCTACGTCTACTGAGATAATAAAGTGGCTTTTATTTTTAGTACTGTTCATGTGATGAATCACGTTTACTGGTTTGTGTATGTTAAACCAACCTTGCATTGCAAGGATAAAGCCTACTGGATCATGATGGATTAGCTTTTTGATGTCCTGCTGAATTCAGTTTGCTAGTATTTTCTTGAGGATATTTGCATCTATGTTTGTCAAGGGTATTGGCCTGAAGTTTTGGTTTGTTGTGTTGTTTCTGCCAGGTTTTGGAATCAGGATGATGTTGGCCTCACAGAATGAGTTGGGAAGGAGTCGTCTTTATACATCTGGTAAATTTCAACTGTGAATCCATCCAGTCCTAGGCTTTTGGGGGGTTGTGGGCTTTTTATTACTTTTGTATCTTATTATTGGTCTGTTCAGGGATTCAATTTCTTCCTGGTTCAGTCTTGGGAGGTTGTATGCATCCAGGAATTTATTCATTTCTTCTAGAACTTCTAGTTTGTGAGCATAGAGGTGTTCATAATAGTCTCTGAGGTTTTTTGTATTTCTGCAGTGTCAGTGGTGATGTCCCCTTTGTCATTTCCAGATGTGTTTATTTGGATTCTCTTTTTTCTGTATTAGCCTAGCTAGTGATCTATCTATCTTATTGATTCTTTAAAATAACTAACTCTTGGATTCATTGAGCTTTTGCATGGTTTTTTGTGACTCAATTTCCTTCAGTTAAGCTCTGATTTTGGTTATTTATTCTCTTTTGCTAGCTTTGGGGTTTCTTTGCTTTTGCTTCTCTAGTTCTTCTAGTTGTGATATTAGGTTGTTCATTTGAGATCTTCCTAACTTTTTGATGTGGGCCATAAGCTTGCCTCTTAACACTCCCTTAGTTATTTCTCAGAGATTCTGGTATGTTGTATCTTTATTTTCATTAGTTTCAAAGTATTTCTTGATTTCTGTCTTAATTTCATTGTTTACCCAAAAGTCATTCAGGAGGAGGTTGTTTAATTTTCATGTAATTGTATGATTTTGAGTGATTTTCTTAGTCTTGATTTCTATTTTTATTGTGCTATGGTCCAAGAGTGTGGTTGATATAATTTCAGTTTTCTTGAATTTGCTGAATGTTGTTTCATATCTGATTGGGTGTTTCATACTCTGATTGGAGTAGGGTCTATGTGGCAATAAGACAAATGTATATTCTGTTGTTTTGGGGTGGAGAGGGTCCATTTGGCTAAGTGTTGAGTTCAGGTACTGAATATCTTTGTTAATTTTCTGACTCCATGATCTGTGTAATACTGTCAATAGAATGTTGAATGTTCCCACTATTTTTATGTGGGAGACTAAGTCTTTGTAGATCTCTAAAAGCATACTTTTTGAATCTGAGTGCTGCTGTGTTGGCCGCATATATATTTAGGATAGTTAAGTCTTCTTATTGAATTGAACCCTTTACCATTATATAATGCTCTTCCTTATCTTCTTTGATCTTTGTCAACTTAAAGTCCATTTTGCCTGAAATTAGGATTGCAGCCTCTGCATTTTTCTGTTTTCCATTTGCTTGGTAGATTTTTCTCCATGTCTTTATTCTGAGCCTATGGATGTCATGGCACATGAGATGGGTCTCTTGAAGACAGCATACCATTAGGTCTTGCTTCTTTATCCAACTTGCCCCTCTGTGCCTTTTACTTGGGGTGTTCAAGCCCATTTACATTCAAGGTTAGTATTGATGTGAGCAAATTTGATTCTATCATCATGTAGTTAGCTGGTTACTATGCTGACTTGTTCTTGTGGTTGCTTTATAGTATCACTGATCTATATACTTAGGTGTGTTACTATAGTGGCTGGTAATGATCTTTCCTTTCCTTACGTAGTGCTCCTTTCAGGACCTCTTGTAAGGCAGGTCTGGTGGTAATGAATTCCCTCAGCATTTGCTTGTCTGAAAAGGATCTTATTTCTCCTTCACCTATGAAACTTAGTCTGGCTGGATGTGAAACTCTTGGTTGAAATTTTTTTTAAAAAATGCTGAATATAGGTTCCCAATCTATTCTGGCTTGTAGGTTTTCTGCTGAAAGGCCCACTGTTAGCCTGACAGGGCTCCCTTTGTAGGTGATCTGCCCCTCTTCTCTAGCAGCCTTTAACATTTTCTTTCATTTCAACCTTGGAGAATCTGATTATGTTTCTTGGAAATGGTCTTCTTGTGAAATATCTTGCAGGGATTCTCTGCATTTCCTAGATTTGACTGTTGACCTCTCTGGCTAGCTTGGGGAAATTTTCATGGATGATATCTTGAAATACGTTTTCCAGATTGCTTGTTTTCTCTCTGTCCCTTTCAGGGATACCAGTGAGTCAAAGATTTAGTCTCTTTACATAATCCCATATTTCATGGAGGTTTTGTTCATTCTTTTTATATACTTTTTTCTTTATTTTTTGTCTGACTGAGTTATTTCAGAGATCCAGTCTTTAAGCTCTGAGATTCTTTCCTCAGCTTGGTCTATTCTGCTGTTAACACTTGGGATTGCATTACGCAATTCTTTTTGTATGTTTTTAGCTCTATCAAATCAGTTTTTTATATATATTTTACATATATATTATATAGATATATTTTATATATCTATATAATATATATATTTTATATATCTATATAATATATATATTTTATATATCTATATAATATATATATTTTATATATCTATATAATATATATATTTTATATATCTATATAATATATATATTTTATATATCTATATAATATATATTTTATATATCTATATAATATATATATTTTATATACATATATATTTTTATATACATATATAATATATATTTTATATACATGTATATAATATATATTTTTATATACATATATAAATATATATTTAATATACATGTATATAAAATAAATATTTTATATACATATATAAAATAAATATTTTATATACGTATATAAAATAAATATATATTTTATATACGTATATAAAATATTTATTTTATATATGTAAATATACATTTTTATATACGTATATAAAATATATATATTTATATACATATATATATAATATATATATATATAATGGTTATTTTGTTCTATCAGCTCCTGTGTTATTTTATTGTGATTCTAAGCTTCCTTGGATTGGGTTTCAACATTCTCCTGAATCTTGATGATTTTCATTGCTATCCATATTCTGAATACTAGTTCTGTCATTTCAGCCATCTCAACCTGGTTAAGAACCCTTTCTTGGTAACAAGTGCAGTCATTTGGAGGGAAGAAGGCACTCTGGCTTTTTGCATTGCCAGAGTTCTTATGCTGATTCATTCCCATTTGTGTGGGCTCATCTTCCTTCAAAGCTTGAAGTTGCTGTCCTTTAGATGCAATTTTTCTTTTTTGCTTTTTTTTCTTTGGTGCCCTTGGGGGTTTGGTTATGGTATAAGGTCAATTCAATTAACTGGCTTTGATTCTAGTCCACTCCTGGGTCTTGGAGGAGCCCCCTCTGATTACTTCTCTGTCCCCATGGGTATTTTGTTGGGTATTCTGGTTCATGCAGCTCCCTCAAGCAGGGGCCACAGTTGGCAGACAAATCACATCCTTGTCAGGTCGTGTGCTTCCTGGGGAAACACAGGGTTGTGCCTGCCTCAGAGTTTATGCAGAAACTCAACCACTGGGTTGGAAACTTTAGCGGCTGTGATTCATCTGGCTTTGGAAGGTGGAGGTGGGTGGAGTTGCCTGCTCTGCCCTCCAGGTCTTTCCAGAGCAACAGGAGGCTGTGCCTTTTAGCAAATTCTGGCAGAAGTAGTGCTGCTGAGCCAGAAGCTCTAACAGGTGTGGCTCATCTAGCTACCAGTGGTGGGAGTGGGTAGAGATGCCCACCCTGCCATCAAGTGCTTCCTTGGATGACAGGAGGCTGTGCCCACTGGCGGAGTTTCCATAGAACCAGGACCCCTGGGCTAGAAACTCTAGCACGCATTGCTCTCCTGGCTGCAAGTGGTGGGGGTGTGGGGGTGTCACATACCCTGCCATCTGGGTGTTTCCTGGGAAAACATGAAGCTACACCTTCCAGCTGAGTTCCCACAGAAGCAGGGCCACTGGGCCAGAAGCTCTAGCAGTTGTTTCCTACCTGGCTATCAGTGACAGCAGTGGGTGGGATCTCTGTCTGTGCACTTCTTGGGAAAACATGAGGCTGTGCCCACTGGCTGAATTCACACAGAAGCAGAGCCACTGAGCCAGCAGCTCTAGGAGGTGTTGCCCTTCTGGCTATCAGTGGTGGGGGTGGATAGGGTCATGCACCCTGCTGTTCACCTGTTTCTAAGATATCATGAGGCTACGCCTTTCTGCTGAGGTCGCACAAAAGAAGGGCTACTGGGTTGGAGGCTCCAGTAAGTGTTGCCCACCTGGTTACCAGTGGCAGGGGTGAGTGGAGTGGCCAGCCAAGTTTGGGCCAAAGCAGGACCATTGCATCACGAGCTGGTGCCAAGCCCCATCTGGCAAGAATGAGTAGAGCAATCTTATTGCTTCTAGGAACAGCAACTATGGCCTCTACTAGGGCTATGGTGCCACTGTTGATCTGTTTCAGGGCCCAAGGCTTATAGAGGTCCCCTTGGACTCCAGAGTTGCCCTCGCAGAACATCTAGGTGGCTCTCTGCCACTAGAAGCATAGTGGGAAGATGTTGGGGGGCCAGGAGTATGATCCCATTCCCAGTTTTGCACAGGTCCCTTTGGAGAACATGAGTCCTTCGGGGGCTCTCACTCAACTCCCCTTTCCCATGTTGGAGAGATTCTCCTGGCTCCACAAGGGCCCAGCCTCACTCCTGTCTGCTCTTTGTGTTCCCCTGCTGCCTCGATGGATCCCAACAGGTTTTTCAGATGATCAGCCTGCAGGGTCAGTGTTCACCAGCCCTTTCGTTTCCTCTTCATGAGCTGCTTCCAGTCTGCCGTTTTGATACTTCCCCTCCAGGTGATTTTATTTTTACTCTGTGTATTTCTCTGTATTTTAATATTTTTAATGAATATGTATCATTTTACAACTGGATAAGAAGACCATCTAAAATATTTTAAGGAGACGATACATTGCAGGGGTATTAAATCTTAATTTTTCAGGCTGTTAAATTTTAATTTCCTTATGTCTTTTCAAGGACTATAGTGAAGACAAATTTTTTTTAACCATTAAAAGCTATGACAAACAACTGTATAACATTTAATTTCATCAACCCCATCAGAATAAATACCAGATTCTGAACTTATGTCTGGTAAGAAAAGGGGTTCCTCTTCTATTCTACCAATATGCACTATTTGCAAATAAAGTGGTTAAAACTCTCCTTCAAGTAATAACCCAAGTCTGTGACCAGTTCAAACTAAAATCATACCTCTCTGGATGCTTCACTGCACTTCCCTTAATTGCTCCTTTCTCGAGAATACTCCTTTTTCTTTTGAAAAAACGAATTGCCCTTTCTTTGTTTTGTCGGTTGTTCCTGAGGCCTAGCCTAACCTGCTGGTTTTCTGGGTTGAGGACTTGCTTTACCAGAACTTCTCTCCTTACTACCTCTCTTTATGAGCTGGTCTGGTAACTGGGTGCCTCCCTATTCCACCACCAAAAAAAAAAAAAAAAAAAAAAAAAACTCCTCTTGTTATTCTTCCCACTGTAGCATCCAACCTCTATTTGGAAAAACCTCTTACCATTCCCAGTCCAAGATTTCATATCCTGCCTTACATATGAGTCTGCCATCTCTGTCCTAAGGAGAACTGTCAGAGCTACAGCTTAGAAACCTGGACTTGAATAGAAAATCTTGCCCTACCCTTCCATAGCCATCCACGAAAGCGTCTCTGAAAAAGAGGTACACAGAGCTCCAGGCCACCCACAAACTAAGGTAAGCCCCCTGGTGAGCTAGGTGAGGCTGTATGGCTGATTCTACCTTCCTGGGCAAATGATTGGCCCATGGGATTGCTTTTCTCTTCCCCCTAAAACCCACAGCCTAAACTGAGCCCTCTAGATCTTAGTGTCCCATAGTGAGAAAAAGCAAATATAGAAAAGAAGAAAAAAAGAAGTGCCTGTGTCAGGGTCCAGGCTTTCTTGGAGTGGATGACTCTATCCAAGTATAAAGATATCTCAGCCTTGGCCAGGCACAGTGGCTCACACCTGTAATCCCAGCACTTTGGGAGGCCAAGGCGGGCAGATCAGCTGAGGTCAGGAGTTTGAGACCAGCCTGACCAACATGGAGAAACCCTCTACTAAAAATACAAAATTAGCCGGGCATGGTGGCACATGCCTGTAATCCCAGCTACTCAGGAGGCTGAGGCAGGAGAATCACTTGAACCCGGAGGTTGCAGTGAGCCAAGATCATGTGCCATTGCACTCCAGCCTGGGCAACAAGAGTGAAACTCCGTCTCAAAATAAAAAAAGATATCTTAGCATCTCAGCCTCTTTTTAGCGTACTGGCCTTGTGAAAAACCAAGACTCCCCAACACCTATACTCAATAAATGCTCCTGACATGCACCCTTCCACATTAATTTGAAATAAGGTCTGGCTGTAGAGGAGGCACGCAAGAAGGCTAGAGACTCCAATAAAAGCCAACACTAAATTATTTGGAACATGTTTATGAATGAATGAATGAATAGATGATGGATGGATAATTAGGTAAACACTTACTAGTGATTGATGTTAGATGCTGATATGGTTTGTCTCTGTGTCTCTACCCAAATCTCATCGTGAATTGTATTCCCATAATTCCCACGTGTTGTGGGAGAAACCTGGTGGGAGATAATGTGAATCATGGGGGCAGTTTCCCCCATACTGTTCTCATGGTTGTGAATAAGTCTCACGAGATCTGATGGTTTTATCAGGGGTTTCTGCTTTTGCATCTTCCCCATTTTATGTTGCTGCTGCCATACCTTTCACTTCCCACATGATTCTGGGGCCTCCTCAGCCATGTGAAACTGTGAGTCCAATTAAACCTCTTTTTCTCCCCAGTCTCAGGTATGTATTTATCAGCAGCGTGAAAATGAACTAATACAGTAAATTGGTACCAGTAGGGTGGGGTGTTGATGAAAAGATACCTGAAAATGTGGAAGCAACTTTGGAACTGGGTATCAGTCAGATGTTGGAACAGTTTGGAGGGCTCAGAAGAAGACGGGAAAATGTGGGAAAGTTTGAAACCTCCTAGAAGCTTGCTGAGTGGCTTTGACAAAAGTGCTGATAATGATATGAACAATAAGGTCCAGGCTGAAGCGGTCTCAGATGGAGATAAGGAACTTGTTGGGAACTGGAGCAAAGGTGACTCTTGTTACGTTCTAGCAAGGAGACTGGTGGCGTTTTGCCCCTGCCCTAGAGATTTGTGGAACTTTGAACTTAAGAGAGATGATTTAGGGTATCTGGCAGAAGAAATTTCTAAGCAACAAAGTATTCAAAAGGTGACTTGGGTGCTGTTAAAAGCATTCTGTTTTAAAAGGGAAACACAGAATAAAAGTTCAGAAATTTGCAGCCTGACAATGCCACAGAAAAGAAAAACCCATTTTTTGAGGAGAAATTCAAGCTGGCTGCAGAAATTTGCATAAGTAACAAAGAGCTGAATGTTTATCCCCAAGACAATGGGGAAAATGTCTCCAGGGCATGTGATAGGTCTTCATGGCAGTCCCTCCCATTACAGACCCCAGAGCCTAGGAGGGAAAAATGGTTCTGTGGGCCGGGCCCAGAGTCCCCATGCTGTGTACAGCCTAGGGACTAGGTGCCCTGTATCCCAGCTGCTCCAGCCATTGCTAAAAGGGGCCAAGGTACAGCTCAGCCCATGGTTTCAGAGGGTCCAACCCCCAAACCTTGGCAGTTTATGTGTGATGTTGAGCCTGCAGGTGCACAGAAGTCAAGAATAGGGGTTTGAGGACCTCCTCCTAGATTTCAGAAGATATATGGAAACGCCTGGATGCCCAGGCAAAAGTTTGCTGCAGGGGCAGGGCCCTCATGGAGAACCTCTGCTAGGGCAGTGCAGAAGGGAAATGTGGGGTCAGAGCCCCACACAGAGTCCCTACTGGGGCACTGCCTAGTGGAGCTATGAGAAAAGGGTCACTGTCCCCCAGACCCCAGAATGGTAGATCCACCAACATCTTGCACTGTGTGCCTGGAAAAGCCGCAGACACTCAGTGCCAGCCTGTGAAAGCAGCCAGGAGCGGGGCTATACCCTGCAAAGCCACAGGGGCAGAGCTCCCCAAGACCATGGGAACCCCCCTCTTGCATGAGCGACCTGGATGTGAGACATGGAGTCAAAGGAGATCATTTTAATTTTGACTTCTCTGCTGAATTTCGGACTTGCATGAGCCCTGTAACCCCTTTGTTTTGGCCAATTTCTCCCATTTGGAATGACTGTATTTACCCCATACCTATACCCCCACTGTATCTAGGAAGTAACTAGCTTGCTTTTGATTTTACAGGCTCATAGGCCAAAGGGACTTGCCTTGTCTCGGATGACACCTTGGACTGTGGACTTTTGGGTTAATGCTGAAATGAGTTAAGACTTGTAGGGACTGTTGGGAAGGCATGATTGGTTTTGAAATGTGAGGACATGAGATTTGGAGGGGCCGGGGCAGAATGATATGGTTTGTCTCTGTGTCCCCACCCAAATCTCATCTTGAATTGTACTCTCAAATTCCCACATGTTGTGGGAGGGACCCAGTGGGAGATGATTTGAATCATATGGGTGGTTCCCCCATACTGATGCCAATTGATGGTAGAGATGTGACCTTGGCCACCAAAATGACCCCAAATACAGCAGAGAGCAGTCTTATGAATTCATAAGGACTCCGCTATACCTGAGCCAATGCCCATGTTTTGTCTCTTATTTTCCTGGTTCTTGACTGTCTTAGTTCAGGCTGCTATAACAAAATGCTATAGACTGGATGGCTTACAAATAACAGAAATTTATTTCTCACAGTTTGGGAGGCTGGAGATCCAAAATCAGGGTGCCATCACAATGAGGTTCTGGTGAGAACTCTCCTCCAGGTTGCAGACTGCTGACCTCTCAATGCATCCTCACATGGAGAAAAGAGGGTGACAGTGTTCTCTAGGGTCCCTTTTATAAGGGGACTAATTCCATTCATGAGGGCTCCACCCTCACAACCTAATCACTTCCCAAAGGCCCCATCTTGTAATAGCATCACACTGGGGGTTAGAATTTCAACATCTGACTTTGGAGGAAAGGTGGACACAAACATTCAATCCATGGCATTGACCCACTTTGATATTTTCTGCAATATCAGTATCACATGTGACCCTAACTTGCTTCTAGTTCCACTTTTGTCCCTCACACTAAAGGGAGACCTTTTTTAATGCTTGCCCCAGGATCCATCCTTTATCCTGCCCCAGTCTGGGGCTGAACATTGCCAGCCTTAATGAGAAAACTCTATGGCCCTCCTGGCTATTTGAGAGAAATGGATAAATGGAAGGAGATGAAAGCAAACAAAGTTAAATCTAGTGTATTAGCCCTTTCTGCCCTTCTGGAAGGTTGGTCAGGGAGGTGGAATGGTAGAAGTGAGAGGAGCCATAGGCTGAAATAACCACACTGCCACTGTTGCCAGAGCCTATACTGAAAGAAAATACATTTTCCCTTTCATTACAGAATGCAAAGTATGGCTTTTGTTTCATTAACACTGATACATTTTTTAACATATTCTTAAATATTATTGCTCTCTTTTAGCACAACCTGCTTGAGTAGCAACCTGAAACTAATACTTGAATATTCATTTTGCAAACTATCATTTGCTATGTATTTCAAATTCGTACAGTACAAAGTGGCCAGAGACTCGGTTGACCATACTCCCAGACTGTGCTGTACTATAAGTCCCAAATAAGCACTATTTCTGCAGGGGATAATGCATGCTCAACCCCATTAACCATAATAGTGTGAATGACCATAAGCCATTAATTTTGATAAGATCAGATTCATATCACCTCAAAGATTCAACAGAAGCCACAGGAGACATAGAAGTATTCCTACTTTGGTTTTTTTAATGAATAAAAATGTGAATGTAGTTACAGTCCATCTGACAGCTAGGCACCACAGGCCCAAGAAAAAGTTCACCCTGTCCGCAGCTGCAAGAGAAAAGTGCCAAGGAATTATTGCATTAACTCAGTAAGAGTCTAATAGCCAAAAGATGGGGGTAAAAGGCACTGAACACACCAGGCAGAAATTACCCTGGAGTCCTGAAAAGGCTCTTTTTAGGGTGAGCAATTTTATTTCTTAGGAATTCAGCAATATGGGACAAATTATTTGCTCAAGAGTCTGCAGTCATCCTGGAAAAATATATCAGGATCCCAGGGCTCACTTAACCACATTGTGGACAGCTATTTTCAAAATGAAGTAGAAAGAGGAAACTTACATGTTATTCTCATAACTCATAAGCACATTTCCAACAGGCAATTTTGTTTTCAGCTTTCATTACTCATTAATATTCAATTTAGGTTCCATCTTCTTTAGAGGTGTGTGACATTTGTGAGAATCTAGTATTTAATTTTAGGTGTCTGCATAAGCTTGCTTGAGTAAAAGAGAGAGTTTCTGACCTGCCAAAAGGTAAGATTCACTGCTCCCTTCCCAAAGGAGCAGGGGGAGAAAGAAAGCAATAATTTTGCTTTTCTGACTTGAAAATATCTTGTAAGGGGAAAATCATAATTCATAGCCCCATATGTACAAAATGTTTCCAACGGGTTTCATTTTGGAAGTATAAGCAATGAATTTTCTGCTAAATGCAGCAAATCCAGTCACTATATTTATAAAACAAAATGCATTGAGATTCTGAATATAAAATGTAATCTCTGAGTGCAGCAAATTTCAAATCAGCATTAAAAAATATGTAAAAGCAGCAAAAGAAATGGTCTATAATTACTAATTATTAGACTATTTTGGGGTGTACTATTTTGGATCCCATTTCTCTTCTAGTACATTCTGCTCTGATATCTCCTGTTAAAATTAGGTACTAGGATTGATTGACAAATAATATTCTTAATCGTTGTCTCAAAAATCAGAGATTTAGTGTTGCTATTGTTCATATTACTAGTGTGGTAGGCTTGAGTAATAGCCTCTAAGAAAATCCAGTTCCTATTCCCTAGAACCTGTGGATGTTATCTTACACGGAAAAAAAAAATGACTCTGCAGATATGACTAAGTTAAGGACCTTAAGATGTGGAGAGGATTCTGGGTTATCAAAGTGGGACCTAAATGAAATCTCAAATGTCTTTATAAGAGGAAGACAGAGGGCTATTTTATTGTAGAATCAGAAGGGGAGACAGTGATATGACAAAGAAGAAGAGAGATTTGAAAATGTTACACTGCCAGCTTTAAAGAGGGAGGAAGGGGCCATGAGCCAAAGAATGCAAGGGATGATACTGTAAAAGCTGGAAAAGGCAAAAAATAGGTTCTCCTCCATAAGCTAACAAGTAAACCTCTGCCTGAAAACACCTTGAATGCTAATTTTAATCTCTGACCTCCAGAACTTGAGAGAATCAATATGTGTTGTTATAGTCCACCGAGGTGGAGACAATTCGTTGCAGCAAGCCATGCAAAGCTAATACAACTGGTTATCACATGTTCTGGTTTTATATTGCTGGTGGGATACATGGCTTTGCTTGTCTGTTTTTATCTTTACCTTTGAAAGCATTTATACAAAGAAAGTTAGCTTCCTAGGCATTTGACTACCTGATGACAAGGAAAAACCTACTTTTACCTACTTGTCACATGTTTTACAAGAAGAGATTTATTTGTTTTTAAGTCTGTACTTTATTAAATTATAAGATAGATTAAATTCTGAAGAGTAGGTAAAGACAAAGAAAAAAAAGAAGGAGGAAAGCGAGGAGGAGGAGACAAGAAATTGACTAATGTTGCTCACTAGCATTTCCATTTCACCCCCCTCGAGGCATAGGACAGCACTTTCCTGCCCCTTAGAGTTAGATGTGGCCATTTGACTAGTCTAGCAGTGAGTTGTGAGTGAAGGAGACATGCGTTATTTCCATATCAGAGCCTTCCAGGGCAATATCCATCAGTACTCAGGTGGTGGAGCTTCCAACAACCTGGATCTGTGAGTGAGGACAACATGAACAGAGCCCTCCCCATCAAAAAATCTGAAGTTAACTTGATTTTAGCCAAAAAATAAACTTCTGCTGCTTAAATCCACTATGATATTAGAGTTATTGGTTACCACAGCATAATCTACCCAATACTAACTGTTACAGATGGATGGATAGATGGATGGATGGATGGATGGATGGATGGATGGATGGATGGATGGACGGACGGATGGATGGATGGATGATAGATAAATAGATGACAGATGATGATGATAGATAGATAGATAGGGGCTGGATGCGGTGGCTTATGCCTGTAATCCCAGCACTTTGGGAGGCCGAGGCAGGTGGATCACCTGAGTTCAGGAGTTCGGGACCAGCCTGACCAACATGGTGAAATCCCATCTCTACTAAAAATGCAAAAAAAAAAAAAAAAAATAGCCGGGCGTGGTGGCGCATACCTGTAACCCTAGCTACTTGGGAAGCTGAGGCAGGAGATTCGCTTGAATCCAGAGGTTGCAATGAGCCAAGATCGTGCCATTGATCTCCAGCCTGGGCAACAAGAGAGAAACTCCATCTCAAAAAAAAACAAAACAAAACAAAACAAAAGGTAGATAGATAGATGATAGATAGATAGATAGATAGATAGATAGATAGATAGATAGATAGATGAGAGAGAGAGAGGCCTATAGAGATGAAGAAAAGGATGACTGGAAGATATATCATTTCTTTCTGCAGAATGTGTAACAAAGTTTCTTCTACCATATAATAGAGAAAGAGAAGTTATAAAAACTTTGTAGAGAGAGTATTCATCTTATTAATATTTGTATTTCTACCACTTAGCACAATGCCTCGTGCTTAGTGAACACTAAGTAATTTAATAACGTACTTTAGAAAGATAGCAACATGCGGCCAAAGTTTCTGACAGATGAGCCCCCACCATAAACCTCAGATGATTTGGTTCAGACTAACCAGAATAAAACCTGAGATAATTGAACCTAAGACAGACACACAAGATTGGATTTTAAAGATACTCTGCTTTTGTTGGAACCAGAGTTTTCTGGGGTCCCTTCCCTGTATCCCATAGGTCTTTGAAAAGAAATGCCTGGGTGTTTGCAAATCTGCTGTAGCTAAAACTCACGAATTAGAGGCTTGAGGTATCCACCAGTCTATTCTTAAGTGAAAGAATGGCTGATTTTCTGCAGTTCTGTCTGATATTGGTTTATCAGAGTGACAAGTATTGTGGACCACAGACACTTTCAAAAAAATAAATAAATAGTGGCTATATAAACTCTAACTTGTCCTCGATTTTATCTTTACTGCTCTTCAATTGTCTATGATCTAAATACTGAAGAGTATTGAAAACTTTTTTGGAAAAATCTTTATTTTGTATTTCTGAAAGAAAAGCATAATATGTTCCTGGGCTTCCTAAAGGCAGTTTTGGATTTAGCTCCTCACATACCAACTCCATGTGGAGAAGGTAATACCCAGCTGACCATATGAATGGCTATCTGGGTGGATGAAGAATGAGACTATGACAAGCAAAACATGTATTGTTACAGTTCTTTCAGTCTCATGTAACAGAAACCAATTCTGTATAGCTTAAACAAAAAAACAAACCAGCCAAAAATAAAATTTTGAGGGATGGTGCGGGTTGAGGAGGGTTTTTCACAGCATCTAAGAAAGATATAAACAAAACAAGAAAACAAAAATAGAAAGAAGCCACTGTGTTTTCAAAGACTTCAGCTGGAGAAAATAATGAACCTTGTCTCAAAAGCTCTCAGTTTGACATTCCAAATTTCCAGGAAAAAGGACCTGATTGGCCCAGCTTGGGTGAGCCCAGCCCAGGGTCAATAATATTTGGCCAGCAGCATGAAGTTTCATAAATCCTTCACGATTAAAATGACACTCTTTTGTATTCTGGAAAAATTGAAAAAAGTTTGAATTATGGTAGACTTACCATGAGGTGGAACTCAACCACTTTGTAAAATGTCTACTCCAGGGGAGAAGAGAAAAGTGATGTATCACAGAGCAGTGCTTTGGGCTGCAAGATAACAGAAACCCCTAAACAATTATGGATTGGGGGTTTTTTCACACAGTAAAAATGTAGTCAACAGTTTGATGCCCAAATCACCAAAATTCTGTTAGTTAGTTTTTTTTTTTTTTTTTTCTGATAGTCACAAGCTGGCTGCTGCATCTCTAGCCATCTTATCTATAATTCAGGTACAAAAAAAGGAGAAAAGGTAAGGGATGGTGCCTGGAACAAGAAAGTATGAACTGGATATCCACATGCAAAATAATGAAGTTGGCCCCTTACTTCATGCCGTACGCAAAAAAACGATTCCCAGATAGAACAAAGGTCAAAATGTCAGAGCTAAAACTACAAAAATCTCAGAAGAAAACAAAAATATAAATCTTTGTGACCGTGGATAAGGCAATTGTTTCTTAGATATGACATCTAAAGCATAGGCAACCAAAGGAAAAAAAATAAATTATATTTCATTAAAATTTATAACTTTTGTGCTTCAAATGATACTATACTATCAAGAAAGTGAAAAGACAACCCAAAGAATGGGAGAAAACATTTGCAAATCATATATTTGATAAGGGTCTAGTGTCCAGAATACATAAAGAAGTATTACAACTCAATAATATAAAGAAAAATAAATTAAAAATTGGCAAAGGATCTGAATAGTCATTTCTCCAGGAAGGCACAAAAATGGCCAATAAGCACATGAAAAAAGCCGAGCATTCCATTCCTAATGGGAAATGCAAATCAAAACCACAACAAAATGCTACTTTATACCCACTAAGATGCCTGTGGGTATAAAGACACACAATAACAAGTGTTGGCAAAGAATGTGGAGAAATTAGAACCCTCATGCATTGCTGTTGGGTCTGCAAAATGGTGCTGTTGCTTTGGGAAGCAGTTTGGCAGTTCCTCAAAAATTGAACCTAGTGTTGGCATTAGAACCAGCAATCCTACCCCAGGTATATACCCAAGAAAACAGGAAACAAATGTTCACACAAAAACTTGCACATGAATGTTCATAGCAGCATTACTCATCATGGCAAACAACCCAAATGTACATCGACTGACGCATGAATAAACAAAATGTACTACCCACAAAATGTAATATTATTCAGCCATTTTAAAAATATGAAGTACTGACACACGCTACAACATGGATGAACCCAGACAACACTGTGCTAAATGAAATAAGCCAGACCCATAGAGTCAATATTACGTGGTTCCACTTGTATAAAATATCCAGAATCAGCACATCCACACAGGTGGAAAGTAGACTAGTAGTTGTCAGGGTCTCAGTGGAAGAAGGAATAGGGAGTGACTACCAATGGATAGGGTGGTTTCTTCCGTGTGACGAAAATGTTCTAAAATTAAATGGAGTTGATGGTTGCACAACTCTGTGAAAAGATTAATAGCTACTGAAATGTATATTTTGAATAGATGAGTTATATGACATGTAAATTACATTTCAACAAAGCTGTTTAGAGGAAGGGTGGGGAGGAGAGGAGGGAGGGGAAAAAGGGAGGGAGGAAGGAGGAAGAGAGAGAGAGACAGAGAGTGAGAGAGAGTATAAGCTTCTCTAGGAACCCCAAAGCAGGACTATTGCTGAATCTCTTTTGCCTAATTTGTTTTACCTGTAGATAGAAGTAGCTTCTTGAGGTTAGGACTTGCCACTATGTCTCCTGCAAATTCCTGGGGTTATGACTTACCATTGTCTCCTGCAAATATTGCTCAAAACACCTCAGTATTACTTGTCACTGAAGAAATACGAAGACCCAGGCTTAGAAGTGAATTAACTGGGTTTTAATTGCAGCTCTTCCACTTTGAAGAAATTCATATCCTCTCATTAGGCCTCTGAAAGATGCTGCCAGGGCTCTGCTCATTTCTTTTCTCATCCTTTTTCCATTTTTGTGCAGACTGGCTTATGTTCTTATTTCTCAAAGGCCTGCACTCCATCTTTTTGTCAGAGGCTGCCTTCAGGCTGACAGAGAGCCTAAAGGGCTGAGGACGTGTGCAACTCTTTTTTTTTTTTTTTTTTTTTTTTTTTTTTGAGAGAGTCTCGCTCTGTCTCCCAGGCTGGAGTGCAGTGGCCTGATCTCGGCTCACTACAACCTCTGCCTCCCGGGTTCAAGAGATTCTCCTGCCTCAGCCTCCCGAGTAGCTGGGACTACAGGCATCCGCCACCTTGCCTGGCTAATTTTTGTATTTTAAGTAGAGACAGGGTTTCACCATATTGGCAAGGCTGGTCTCGAACTCCTGACCTTGTGATCCGCCCGCCTCGGCCTCCCAAAGTGCTGGGATTACAGGCGT
Source organism: Homo sapiens (assembly GCF_000001405.40). Taxonomy (NCBI): domain Eukaryota; kingdom Metazoa; phylum Chordata; class Mammalia; order Primates; family Hominidae; genus Homo; species Homo sapiens. The sequence goes on along the minus strand of NC_000002.12, from coordinate 75,809,853 downwards.
GAGCCACCGCACCTGGCCGTGTGCAACTCTTAGTCAGTGTCTGTCCTGTTGTGTACAGAGGATATAAATATCCCAATCACCTTGCTTTGCAAACAGGACACCTCCCAGGTTAGACCCACAGTGATTATGAGGCTTTCGTGGTTTTGAGCCAAAGCTGAGTACCCTTATGTGACCTTCTTCTCTTCCCAGTCCCGAATTCTTCGCTCCTACTAGGAACATATCCCAATAAATCCCCTCCACAGGAATCCTCAACTCAGAGTCTGCTTCTGGAGAACCCAACCTAAAGGAACCTTATATGCTTATCTGCAAAATAATAGTTAAGAGGGGTAATGGGAAAAAAGATCTATGAAGGCAACAGAGCAGGCTCTAGAACATGTCTTGTCAGAACATTCTTTTCTTTCAGTAAGTTTTTATAGGCCATGAACAGAAGGACCCAGAGGGAACTAACGATATGGTACAATGAGTGACTGAATAAATGGGCAAGGCAGAAAAACAGGAAGTCTTAGATGCCACACAGCATAGTAATTGAGAATGTGGACTCAGGGAAGCTGGCCTAAATTTGGATCTCAAGTACTCCAGCTACCTGGGCATGTGATTTATTTCTCTAAGTGTCCATTTTCCCCTCTGCAAATGGAAATAATAACAATACCTGTCTCATAAAGCTGTTGAAAGGTTTAAATGAGATCATGGATGTACAGCATCTGGCATAATAAAAAGTTAGCTGTTGCTGTGGTGGTGATGACAGTGGTTATTTTTATTGTAGATGTGTGTAGCATTAGTAGTAGAAGTAATCCGAGGACACCAAATACAAACTTTACTGACTTCACAATTTCACCACGATTGAAGTTAGATCTAATCTGACAGCTGGGCTAAATTCCAAACACCTTACAGCAGATGCAGGTTTAAATTTCATTCCAAAGAATGAAACTCAGTGCCTCATGTTGAGTGTTGGAAGTGTTTTGCCTGACGGCAGAAGGCACTAGGCTTCTGTTTCAGGCAGGTGACACAGGCAGGGATTTTAATCAGCCCTCAAGGGGGTCTTCCTCACACCACCCAGGCTTCTGGTACTGCGAGAAGAACCATAGCTGTCAAACTGACAGCTGAGCAGGAAAGCCTCATAAAATAACATGGGATATATATATATATATATACATACACACACACACACACATATATATGTTTATGTATACACACATATATATTTATTTATATTTATATATATTTATTTATATATACTTATTTATATATTTATTTATATATATTTATATTTATTTTTATATATTTATATTTATTTATTTATATTTATTTTTATATATTTATTTATATATATTTATATATATATTTATACACACACACACACACATATACTTGCTTTAATTTTAAAAGGATGAAAAATGCATGGCAATTAGACTTGCCCAGGCTTAAGTTATACAGTATGGCATGTCAGTCAGCAAGCATAACAATGAGACATAAGAAGTTTGAGGAATAGGTAAACAGCTGTCAAGCGCTGCCTGGAACACAGCTTAGATATGGCACACTGAAGGGGCACACAGTGCTATGGGTCATACAAGGCATCCCAGGAATGTTATATGCCTCACCCTAAGCTAAGCAAACTCCCCTAGGAAACCAGAGACAAGCTGTGGTTGTACACACCTGTGTAAGAGTAGGACTCCATATGTTCTGACTCAGGTTCAGTTCAACCAGTATTTCTGCTTCCCTCCTGCCCCTCCACAGTCTACTCTCCGCCAAGAGCCAGAGAGATCCTCTTACCACCTGCACTAGCTCATATCATGCTTCTACTCAAAACCCTACAATAGATTTCCATCACACAGGGAACAAAGACATTAATATAACCCCAACATAACCTGGCCTCTGCATCCCTCTGTTGCCTCATTTCCTGCCCCTCTCGCCCTTACTCACTTTACTCTAGCCCACCACCCTCCTTTCTCTTCTTCAAGTTTATCAAGCACATGCCCACTCCAGGACATTTGACTCTGTCGTTCCCTCTTCCGGGAATGCTCCCTCCTCCCACTCACTCCTGTATTTCTGTGGCTCATTTCTGCTCAAGTGTCACCTCCTCAAGGTAGACTGCTACCCAACGTATGAGGTAATTACTTGCATATGCGTTAATAGCCTTTCTCGCCCTGTAAGTAATGAAGACAGAGACTTTGTCCGTTTGTTCCCAGTTGTATCCACAGTGCCTAAAACTGTGCCTGGTATATATTAGACACTCAATATTTGTTTAATGAATAAATAGTTGAATGAAAGAATTCCTTGAGTACATGAAACATACCCAGCAACTGGGGTCAACAATAGAATTCAATGCGAAAGAAAACTTGGGCCTTCACTTCAAAGACCTTAAACTCCAGTTCCACACTGTCTGACAGTAGCTATTAGCCACAGGCAGCTGTGGAGCACCTGAAAAAATAACTCTACTAACTGAGATGTTCAGTAAGTGTACAATACACGCTGAATTCTTAAGACTTAGTATGAGAAATGTAAGTCTCAATTTTTTATATTGACTAGATTTGAAATGGTATTTTTAATATACTTGGTTAAATAAAATAATTACAATTAGTTCCACCTGCTTATTTTAAATTGCTTTAATGTGGCTACTAGAAAATTAAGAAGTATGTATTTAGTTTGCATTTTGGACATGCATTGTGTTTCTATTAGGCAGAGCTCATCCAGAGGGAGAGGCAGACAGTAAGTGAGTTCTTTCTAGATAGTATGGGTTAAGAAAGAAAATTTTAAATAATAATAATCAACATGGTGATATAGGGAGGTCAACTGAGGGATAGTTTGTACAATCTGGAGATTCAAACCCTGCTGGGGGAACTGATGTATTAAGTGTGTTTTAAAGCAATGCTTCTCAAAGTTTCATGGACCCGCGAATCACCTGGAGATACTGTTAACATGCAGATTCTGATTTATTGGTCTGGGGTGGGGCTGGAGAGTATATAGGTCTTACAACATCCCAGATGATGCCAATGTAGAGGCCTCCTAAACCACACTTTGAGTAGAAAGGACTCAAAGGTCTGTTTGGAGTTAAACAAGTGGAGGACAAGAAGGCATCGGACCATTAGAAGCTTTACTTCAGGCTGGTCCAACACCTCCCTGCCAACTGGCAGAAGATCTGGCTCCTTAGCTACTAACGCTGCATTTTATTATTATTATTTTTTAATATACTTTAAGTTCTGGGGTACATGTGCAGAACATGCAGGTTTGTTACATAAGTATACACGTGCCATGGTGGTTTGCTGCACCCATCAACCCGTCATCTACATTAGGTATATCTCCTAATGCTATCCCTCCCCTAGCCCCCCACCCACCAACAGGCCACGATGTGTGATGTTCCCCTCCCTGTGTCCATGTGTTCTCATTGTTCAACTCCCACTTATGAGTGAGAACATGCGGTGTTTGATTTTCTGTTCTTGTGTTAGTTTGCTGAGAATGATTGTTTCCAGCTTCATTCATGTCCCTGCAAAGGACATGAACTCATCCTTTTTTTATGGCTGCATAGTATTCTATGGTGTATATGTGCCATATTTTCTTTATCAGGTCTATCATTGATGGGCATTTGGGTTGGTTCCAAGTCTTTGCTATTGTGAATAGTGTTGCAATAAACATACGTGTGCATGTGTCTTTATAGTAGAATGATTTATAATCCTTTGGGTATATACCCAGTAATGGGATTGCTGAGTCAAATGGTATTTCTGATTCTAGATCCTTGAGGAATCACCACACTGTCTTCCACAATAGTTGAATTAATTTACACTCCCAACATTGTAAAAGCGTTCCTATTTCCCCACATCCTCTCAAGAATCTGTTGTTTCCTGACTTTTTAATTTATTTTAAAGATTGCCCACTGGCCGGGCACAGTGGCTCATGCCTGTAATCCTAGCACTTTGGGAGGCCAAGCGGGGCGGATTGCCTGAGCTCAGGAGTTCGGGACCAGCGTGGGCAACACGGTGAAACACTGTCTCTATTAAAATACAAAGGCCAGGCGCGGTGGCTCATACCTGTAATCCCAGCACTTTGGGAGGCCAAGGCGGGCGGATCACGAGGTCAGGAGATCGAGACCATCCTGGCTAACACGGTGAAACCCCGTCTCTACTAAAAATACAAAAAATTAGCTGGGCATGGTGGCGGGTGCCTGTAGTCCCAGCTACTCAGGAGGCTGAAGCAGGAGAATGGCGTGAACCTGGGAGGTAGAGCTTGCAGTGAGCCGAGATGGCGCCACTGCACTCCAGCCTGGGCGACAGAGCGAGACTCCATCTCAAAAAAAAAAAAAAAAAAAAAAAATTAGCCGGGTGTGGCCGGCGTGCACCTGTATTCCCAGCTACTTGGGAGGATGAGGCAGGAGAATCACTTGAACCCAGGAGGCGGAGGTTGCAGTGAGCCCATATCGCACCACTAAACTCCAGTCTGGGCGACAGAGCAAGACTCCGTTTCTTGAAAACAGCAACAACAACAACAACAAAAAGATTGCCTACTACCCGAGGTTGCTGCTCCTGCCTGGAGGCCTGGAGCAAATGAATCAGAGACAGTAGATTTGGGAATTCATATGATGTATTATTGACTAAGACAGTGCCAAGCAGCTCTGCAGGGTGAGAATCACTCAAGCTGAGCCTGAGACTTGGGCTGCTAGAACTTCAGTCCCAGCATCAGGGCCTCTGCTCAGTGCATTCTGTTTCCCTTCCTTCGGACACACACTGGACTCTGGAGCAAAGGGGAAAAAATGTGGAATTTAGGGTCTAGTTAGCCAGTGGCTCAACCCAGGTGGTGTTCTTGCCACCAACCTTCTGCTTCCTCTTATCAGTAAAGGGGTCTCGAAGCTTGGAGTGAAGGAACACCCAGGTAGTTTAGGGGATTTAAGCAGGCTTGTCTCTATGGAGAGTGTTTAGGGTCTCCGGCAGTTACTTATGTTTGCGTTATCACATATAACATATTTGGAACTCTGTACATCACAAGGCAAAGAAAAATACTTGAGAGAAAGGATATGGGATGGAGATTAATGTGAGTGTGAGAGTGTGGGAGCCAGGATTGGCTGCTGGGGCTGCAGCAAACACACAAAGTGAAAACAGAAATTATGTAGGGAAAGTGAATAAAAGGTAATTCCAAGGCACAGAGGTCACGTTAAGGAACACAGACTTTATTGTGAGGGCAAAGGAGAGTTCCTTCAAAGTCATGGGTTACAAGGTAATGAGGGAGGAATTGATTTGAGAGGGACCACCCTGGCTGCGGTGTGAAGGAAGGATTTAAGGGCAGCAGTACTGGCCATAGGATGTGTTAGCATGCTCTTATATCATTCAGGCAACAGGTGAAAAAGGCCTGAACAAGGAGGACTTCAAGAAACTTTAAAGAGAATAAATTAACATCTTAGAGATTGAAAGCAGGGAATTGTGAAGACAGAAAAATATAGGCTTTTTCTCTGATTTTTGGCTCAGATGAAAAGATGGTGCTATGAAAAGAGACTGAGTACACACACACACACACACACACACACACCACCACCACCACCACCAAAGTTAATATTCTTGGGCTTGGAGAGGAACATGAGTGGTTCACTTTGTGGCGTGATAAGTTTTAAGTGCCCAGGGAATAACAAAGTATACTATGCATCAAACTCTTGGATATATGAATCAGGAACTCAAGAGAAAATTCATGACTGGAGACTTAGATTTGACTGTTGCTGCAACGTAGGTGGATGTTAAAATCATGAAAGTAGATAATATTGTGTATGGATAGTGCACAAAAATAGGAAGGCTATGAGCCAAAGATAAATGCAGGGGAGAAGAGAAGGCACCTGGGATGAAGTGAGGTACAAGCACAATCTAGAGAAACCACTGGAAGGAATGAAGAACGGTTTCAAGAGCCAGCAGTGGGTCAACTGTGGGGTCGATAAAATGAAAATGGCCAAAGTCCGTTGGATCTGGTTATTAGGTCATCAGTGACTTGTTCATAAGCTATTTCCATGGAGTACTGGAGTCAGAAGTCAAGTTGAAGGAGATTGAAGAAGAAATGAAAAATGAAGAAAGTAGACAAAGTGAATTTAGTCACTTCAAAAAAGCATGGTGAGAGGGAGGGATGGGGTAGAACAGTGGCTGGAGGAAGACTTCATTCATGAAAAGGCTTAGAGGATTTGGGGGGTTTTGTTCTTTATTTTTGGTTATTTTAAAATGGGAGAAAGTTTTCTATTTCAAAATGGAAAAATTTTGAGTTCAAAATAATTTGTAAATTATTTCTGGCATCTGGGAGAGAACATTTGATCCATAATAACCACACACACACACACACACACACACACACACACACACACACTTCAAAAAGTCGTATCAGACAGTGATGCACACACATACACTCCAAAGTTACTCATGGTCTATAATCATAAAACCCTGGCATTTATCTCAGTTTTAAATTCTAATATAATATAATAGAAAGATTATTGATTAGAGGATTAAAGATCCCAGTTATAGTCCTAGGGTCTTCCAAATGATTGTGTGACCTTTAAGTTACTTTATCCTTCCGAGATTCAGTAACTTTAAAAGGCTGAACTAGATTAGGAATGACATCTTAGATACCAGCCCTGATGCATTGATAGGGGCTGCTTGGCATGCTGTGTTAAAAAGGTTTCGGAGGCTGTGTCTACATTTAACAAGAAAGACTACTGTAATAGATTAGCAATGTCTGCCACAGGCAAGAAAATAGTAGTTTTGTTTGGTATTTCTGAACTCCTGAACTACAGCATTTCATGATTCATTAAATGCATTATCATCCTGTCATATATCACGACTTCGGCCTAGGAAAATGCTCTGTCACCATTTTTATTTCTTATTTAGCCCAAACCCCATTTTTTTTTTTTTACTATGGAAATGGGATCTGACATGACTACCTCTGACATCATCAAATCTCTACCTCTATTTATAAACTAGCTCTATTCTTTTCTGTTTATCTTTCTAATATGCTTCTATAATAGCAAGCCCATTAAGAAAAATATACCATTGGTTATAAAAAATGCCTTCAGATATTTGGAACTGCATTTTTTTTTACTGACTATATAGGGCTCCAAATAGCATCTACAACATTTTAGAGTATGATAGAATTTCTTTGCAAGACAGGTCTATTGGTCCTCTTTCACTGGATTCAGATGCCATGTTTATAGTATTCCTAACCCCTCAAGTGAAAAGTCCTTTGCCCTGTGGACGTAATCACAGAAGTACATGACAACTAATTCTCTAAAACACAATAATGGAAGATCCTTTCTCTCAACCATCCCCAAACTCCCAAAAATGTTTCTTTTCTAAGTGGCTTCCATATATATATCCACTTATGCCCTCAGATAGAGCAGGACCCTGCTCTTAACACTTCTATCTGTTTGCCTGTGACTTCCATTTATGCTATGTGCCCATAGCATTGTTGAGAGGTTCCAATGAAATATAAACAAAAGCATTGTGTAAAAGTCTTGGTCATTATATCTATAAATGATATTATTGCCATTGTTACTCTCCTCACAAGCATAGAGCCACTAAATAGGGAAAGATAGGGATATTCTATAACCATGTGTGGGACTGGTACAAGATGAAAGAACCAGAAAGGCAATTCATGGAGCTTTAGCAAAATACCTTCAAAATCAAAAGGGTTTTGATTTGGGTTAGTCCACAAACCCAGCCAACTTTCCCCTTAATATCCCTCATTTTGTGGTGAGCATTTTTCTTTTTAAGAAAGGCTTATTTAATACAAAACCTGAGGGTCCCCTACTCCTGCCATGTGGCTGTTCCCACAGGAAGCAGTCAGGCAATCTTGGATTGTGTAAGAACATTGCTTCTGTCCCACTGGTTCTTTTATTCCCTAGAGGAACTCCACTGACCTGGGTGCTTCCTTTCCATGGCCTCTCTTTAATATCTCCCTCTTCTCCATAGTCATTTCCATTTCATTGCCTTTTTTCAACATTTGGAGAATCTCTCAAGCTAGTTCTCCATATTACTGATGAAATTATCTGCAGGGTCTACTGTACTTTTTACTTCTTCTAATACATTATAAGATTCTGCCAACTCATGTTTTATTGCAAAGTCATCATTCTAGTTTCTATCCGGCTTCTTTTTAATTTTTATCTTCCTGTAAGCAGGTTTACTTTTGATATTTATTGTCTTATCTCATCTTTAATCTCATGTTTCATGGAATCCAGGCTTAATTGAATTTTATTGAAAGGACAAGCAGATGTTGCCTTAAATTACTTTTGTTTCCTACGGTAAATCTTCTTTCAAGTGTGTCCTTCCTTTGCCTCCTGTGAGCTCTGTTCTTTTCTGTTTCAGAATCTTTTCATAGGGCCCACATTGATGTGTGTGGGTTTTTCCTGCAATTTACTCATACTCAAAAATGAGAATTCTACACAGGCCTGAAATCTCCACCAGAAACAGGTGTAATAAGATGCTAAAATAAGACTGATCTCAGTTTCAGCAAAAGCCCCAGTTTAATAGGGGCAACCCAGGGCCAGCTACATAATTTGCTGGACTCAGTCCAAAGTGAAAATGCAGGGCTGCTTTTTCAAAAAGTATTAAGAAGTCCAAGATGGGAACAGGAGAGCATTAATCCAAGCACAGGCCCTTCTGAGGGAGGAGCCTGTGTAACTGCAAATGTCATATGTCCTTGAAGCCAGTGTTGGAGGAAATGACCCTTGCAATCCAAAGCAGGGTTCTGACCACCAAGTAGGACTTATAAGGTGTCTGTAAATCGAATTTTTGAATCTTAGCCCCTCATCCACCTAAAAGAAATAAAAGAGTTGAACCTGAAGCAGCTAAAGAGTGAGTTGGAATTTGGAGGCTTTCTCTAGAGCTAAGTATCAAATGTGCTGTGACAACCTTACTCCTCAATCTCAATGTGGCTCCAGGGAGATCCCTTGAAGAGTTTTACACAGGAAGAAATTGCAAGCAGGCAGGGAGGGAGCAGCCTCGCCTTCATCTAGAGAGATGCAGTACAGTGCTGCCAAGGAGAAGTTGCCGTAAAGGCATGAAAATGTCCTGGGAAAGAGAGTATTGGCTTTTAATGTTGGCCATGCCAGGAGAGCACCAGGTCATGACAATGCCAGTCAAGAATACCCTTTTCTGCCCCAGCCTCTTGGTCTGGGAGTGAGGCCGAAGGAGCCAGCAGAGCAGAGAGAAGAAAGAAGAAAAGCATTAGGTTGAGGTTTTGACTATTACCCAGTATCGAAATGAGACTGCTTCGTGACTCTCAGTGATCAGAGGAGTTTCTATTATCCTAGAGTAACTGGACAAGGTAAATAGTCCACCGCATGCCAAAGGGAAAGAGCAACATCCTGCGCTTGCACAGAGTTGCGTTATAATTGGGCTTTATTACGTTCTGCTTGTTTAAATGCACAGAGGTTGGGCTCTTTTCAAGTTCTGCTTGTCTGCAGGATACAGACCTCTTGCTGATTGTTTAGATTGAGCACCAGTTGCCTTTTTCATTATTCAGCATTGCAAAGAGAGCAGGAGAAACAGAGGTCTTAGACAGCTTCACTCTATGTGGTGCAGGTGCAGCTGCAGCTCCAGGTGCCAGGCCTGGAGAGAAATCTCCCTACTGCCTTAGGAGACCCTCCCAGCTCCCTACCACCACCTTAGCAGGCCCAACGTTCCTCCCCACCCACCAGGCCCAATTTCCCATTACCTTGAACCCAGAGGATCTGCTGATGTGAGACGTTGTGCCTGCAACGCTTCCTCTATTTCTGTTCCCAAAAGCTGGAGGGGAGGGTGCTGCTCTCCACACTGAATGTTAGCTGCTGAGAATGCACACCAGTGGGGAATCCCCACTCAGGGTCACTTCTTTCAGCCCCGTTTGTGTACTTCCCTGACTGACAAAAGTCTGCCATACCCTGCCCCTCAGTACACCACTTTCTCCAGCCCCAACCCCAGCCCCATCTGCTCTGAGCCAGAGCCTCCTAGCAAACTTCATTTAGGGCACTGGGTCTCCATCCTGGCTGCACATTAGAATCAGCTGAGAAACACTGTAAACACCAATGCCTGGCCCTCACTCCAGACCAGTTTCTGCAAATGACTGGGGAGTGTGGCTCAGACATCTGGGCTTTGCATTCCTCTCCAGGCAATTCTAATGTCAGCCAGGGCAACTCACAGGTTATTCTATTTTTTGCTCAATTCAGTGTCATCTTACAGAAATTCCTCATAGCCTTTGGCATATGGATGACAATGTTTCCTATTTTTCAGTGCTGACACAGATTTTTTTCATATTATTACATTGAGATCAATTTAGATTTGTCTGCAATACAAGGAAGACTCTCCTAACTGTCACTGTTAGGAAATAACTGTATAACATAAGGGAAAATTGAAATCTTTCTCTGCAGAGCTTGTAAAAACAAGCCAAAGTCATCTTATTTTCTGCAGCTATTTAGATGGACAGTTACTAGGCCCAGGTCCTGTTTAATGCTGTAGATTTACACTGGAATCCTAATCAATCATAGAAGTAACAGTCCCTCCATTATTAAGAACCCTTCATGGGCAATTCTTTCTTAGTGAAGAGACAGAAATTAAGGATTGGCCCGGTAAACAATAAGTAAATCAAATCCAAGCACCTGTATGATCCAAATCCCACATCTCTCCAGAACTGCAATTATTTTATTGATGTTTGAATTAGAAAAGTATATTGTTTACTCTAAAAGAAAAACTCAAGAGGGCTAGAGAAGGTAGGACTTCTCCCAGGGGAATAAAATTGATCATGATGTCTGTTCCATGGAAATTTAAGTATTAACATGTAAAGATCACAAAATGTATTGGATTACATTCAGCCTCTAACTTTCCTTTGTTCATTTTCCTGAGCCTCAGCGATTATCGTCACTCTGTGCCTTAATAAGCTCTCACATTTGACCACTCTTTAGGCAGCTGAGCATGTGTTTCCTTTAGGATTTTGTTCACCTTCATTTACCTTCAGAGCCTGTGATAGAAATCACACCATCTCAGATATCTGGCTTCCTCGTACAGGTCTTCTCTATCCCAAGCACAGCAAGCAGATTGCTTTGTTCTCTTGCCATCCTGAGCACTATCCAGGTGCTGAACACAAGAGGCCGTGAATAAATGATGAAACCAAGTTTTAGCTTAGAGCTTACTCTGTTCCATTTGCATACGTATAATGTCAGATTCATTATTCATGAGCATATGCTACAATGGCCCTCCCCTTACAGCTCAATTCTCCACTGCTTCTGACTCTCAGATGTGCAAGATGAACCTCTCTCCTGCAGCGTGGAGCAATTTCTCCTTTCTGAGTTCACAGCAGAGTGATAGCCCTATTTTTAATGCAAGTGTGGCTCCGTAGATGCCTAACATTTACAACCCACCATAAAATAAACCTGAAGGTTTTGATTCTGAAAGCTGTAAGCATATTGGGTCAACAACAACAAAAAATTAAGAAGCAAGGATTCCCTTTAGAATTCTGCTGGAGGGACATGCTGGTCTATCTATAGATAGAAGAGGTAAGTTACAATGGCACATTGCAGAGGGCATGCTGGGAAGCCTTTACTAATTAAAAGTCTCTCTTCCGGATAAGTGTGATGGTTAATTTTATGTGTCAGTTTAACTAGGGTAAGGGATGCCCAGAGATCTGGTAAAACATTATTTCTGGATATGTCTGTGAGGGTGTTTCCAGAAGAGATTAGCATTTGAATCAATGGACTGAGAAAGCAGATTGTCCTTACCAATGTGGGTAGGCATCCTCCCATCCACTGAGGGCCCAAACAGAACGAAAAGGCAGCAGAAGGGCAAATTCAGTCTCCCTATTGAAGCTGAAACATCCGTCTTTTCCTGCCCTCAGACAACATGGCTCCTAGTTCTCAGGCCTTCAGACGCGGGCTGAATTATAACACCAATTCTTCTGGTTCTCCAGCTCACAGATGGTAGACCGTGGGACTTCTGGGCCTCCATAATTATGTGAGCCAATTCGTATACTAAATCTATCTATATGCATATATACATATACATACATATATAGTGTATATATATACACACATATATACATACATATATAGTGTATATATATACACACATATATACATACATATATAGTACACACACACACACACACACACACACACACACACACATTCTATTTGTTCTGTTTCTCTGGAGAACCCTGTCTATTACTATAGCAAGTTCCGCTCAAGCCTAGGATTCTACTATTACAAATAAGGAAATACTGTCTCTTAGAAGGAAAAACTCCTTGGGGAGAATGACGTAGTGGACCTTGTGATTTACTTTAACAGATCACTATCCTCTCTAAAAATAAAACAAGCCCACTCTTACATGGTGCTTCCTATGTGCCAAGCACTGTTATAAGTGCCTTCTGCATACTAACTCATGCGATTCTTAAAATAGCCCTATAACATAGGTGCTATCATCATTATCATCATCTTCATCATCGTCATCGCCATCATCACCATCTCCGTTTTTCAGATGAGGAAATGGAAGCGTGGAAAATTTGAGTAACTTGCCCAAAGTCATATGCAAGAGTCAAAATTTGAACCCATATAGCCTGTTTACAAAGTCTGAAATTAAGCATTGCACTACAGGGTCTCTGGAGGGTGACACACGTGTAAGGTGTCTCTGGATAACAGAAAGAATGGAAAATATTCTGAAAATAAATTCAAAGAAATGCTGGTGGAGAGGGGGTGTGTAGTAGAAGAGCACTAAGCTTGCTGTTGCATATGCATATGATCTGCCCTCCATCCCTATTACCTCCATCCTCATCTCCTACCTGTCCGCCCCCCAACCCTTTCTCCCTCTATTTTGACCACTCTGGCCTCCCTGCAGTAACTTCAACACACCATGAATACTCCCACTTCAAAGTTTTTGCACTTAACTGTTCCCTCCTCTTGGAATGCTCAGAGATCCACAGCCCCTCTTCTTTTAACTCTTTCAATTGTCACCTCATTAAAGAAACCTTGTCTTATAATCCAATATAAAATAGCACAACACCATCCCTCCAGTCCATTATTCCCAGTTCTCTTTCCCAGCTTCATTTTTGTTCACAGTGCTTATTATCTGATATATTATACATTTACTCATTTGTTTATTCATTGCCCCCACAATCACCTGCCACTGAAATGTAAGCTCCATGTGAGAAGAACTTTTGTCTATTTGTCATTGTTGTATTCCTAGCACTTAGACTCATGCCTGCCACCTTAGAAGTGCAATACGCATTTGTTAAAATCAGTGGATGAATGACTATGAACTATATACTTTACAATTTTTCCAATGATGACCCCCAAATGGAATATAAAATTTGAGACATCTTTTAGGTCTACATATATATGCCTGAGGCTATAATTTAACAACGTTCATTGATGAATTAAATCACTGGATCTTTTTAGCAGTGATAAGGTTAGACTAGATATATTTTTAGGTGGAGACTAATAAATATGACTGCACAAGCAGAAGATTTTTGGCAGAGGTGTTGACATACTCGTCCACAGATCTGGGAATCACTAGGCATGCAATCTGTGGGAGATAAAAGTAAAAAGAGGGACTGGATGTTGCCGGAAAGGTCAAAGTCCTACAGTTAGGTCTATGTTCAAATCCTAGTTCTGTCACTAATTTTTACGTGACCATGAGCAAATTAATCTCATTGGGTTTCACTTTTCTCATCTGTAAAATAGGAATGGGTAGCAATATCGCAACATTAACTTTGAAGGGCTATTGGGAAGAACCAGTCAGACAATACAGGTAAAAGTGTTTAACACATAATAGCTTTCCAACCTTTTTCCCTGAATCTTTATGCAAAAGTGGCATGATTTAGTGAGAGGTTGAGAACATAGAGCAATCAAGCAAGATTCTTTGTTTAAAAAGGAAACATTTAAAAACAAAATTTACAAAATCTCCAAGTATGACTGATCTCCTTTTCTCCAACAGCCCCCATAGTTCTACTTCATTATTTAATAAATTATTAACAAAATTAATTTACTGTGTGCTCACTAAATGCCAGATATTATCACTTAGCAATTGTGTCTTATTAGCTTTCCTTTATGATTAATGCTTCATTGGTAAAGGATACTTTTACTGCTCTTACCTCTCCAAGAATGCAAATGTAAAATGAAAGATATTGTTAAAACTTTAGATGCAATGGGATGAATAAGGAAAATGGGGATCCCGTCTGTTCTGACATAAACAACCAAGAATATCTTAAGAAAAAACTTGTGTTTTATTAGAATAAATACTAATACATAGAATATATATATTATTATTATATCAGAATACATCTATGGATAGCTAAGAGTGAATGATGCACCTACATCATAGGGCAGAAATGAAAATGATTAGTTTGGGCACAGAGTCATTTGTTCTTTTAGTTTATGTCTACTCATTGTCTACTTCTCTCATGAGACCACTGACTTCCACATATGTGGCCTCAAGTCTAAGAAATCTTGCATGGAGTAAAGGCTTATTTTATTATTAATTAGGTCTCTCTGGGCTCATGGGATGTTCTGTGTCTTTCTGTTTCTACTGGGGAAAAGCCTGGCTCAGGACTGTGATTTGACAGCTCTTTATTGGCAGAACTACATGAACTGAGGACTCGTTTTTATTTCAAAGGGAGAGTTATTCCCACCAACTCAAGGAAAGAATTGCCAAAAGTCACAGCAGAGGCAATGAGAGATGTGATGCTTGCATTCCACAGCCCTCATTCACCTTCTAGGCTCTGTGAATAGTTTCTCACCTAGATAGAGTAAGACAAACCAGAACTATATCACCCCTAACCACCTCTAAGTTTGAGAGATATTGGGGATGGTCTATGAAGTCAAATTCTTGTCCCAGGCCCTGCCAATAATTGGTGTGAGATTTAGAACTAGATCTCAACCCTTAAATCTTGTCAATTGCTCTGTTTGCAATTTCCTTTCCTCTTTCACCCACACTCCTTGGTCCACATGCTGAGCCTTTTGTGATTTCTTTTCTATCAAAGGTGTACTATTATTTTATAGGCCAGGTTTCCTTGAGTGACACCTCTTTGAGGATAGTATAATAGTGAAGACCATGTAGAAAAATTATTCCTAAGAAAAGCCCTGAAGTACATAGGAATTATTCATTCTCACAACTATTATGGTTCCACAGGAAAAGCAAAACACTTTTAAGGGACTAGTGAAATGTTTTTGATAAACTAAGTGCAGAGTCCATGAATTATTGTGAAAGAGTTATCCATTAGTTCTAGCCAAAAAGCAATATTATTTCCTGAGTATGAACATATTTATTGAATAAACATTTTGAAGCTTTTATTATTAATAGGAGAGAGCAACAATGAAAGCAGTCAGTTGCTTTGGTAGAAATAAACGCCTGATACATTCACAAAATCTCATGAAAACCAATAAAAGATAAAAAGAAAAAAATACACCAAGATGTGTAAAGGACTTTAATTTTGTCGCATGAGAATTTTTTACTCTTTTCTGAAAATTTAAACAAAACATATGCATTCATATTAAGTTTATAAACTTTTTCACTATGTATTAGAAATATAAACTATCTCCGAGAGATGACTGTGGTAAACAATTCTAATTTTTTAGGAATTTCATTTAGGAGAATGAATCTGAATTATCAGTAAACCTAAATACAACATAGTTTTAACTATTTCATTATTTCAAACACATAATGGACAAATTAGAACTAACTACCAACCATATCTTTCCGAATAGCTAGCTTAATGAGTAAATGAGTCGTTTGTAATAAACAGCAGTTCTCACCTTTAAAAACAATTTTGTTTAAAAAATTTTAAAGTTTTTTTTTAAGCAAACAGACCCCCTGACCATCACCCCTACTGTCACCATAAAAAGAGAGAACATCATGACACCCTATATTTTCTTAGAGGTCCTTTGTTTCAGAAATATTTCAGTATAAATTTTATTCCAATCCTTTTAGAATTATCTCAGAAGCATACTGTTGGAGCTTAAATCAATAAGATCCAACAGTATATGAACTTAACTACATGAAAGTTTCAGTTTTCAGGAAGTGAAATTCCTAAGACAATACGAACAGTCTTTAGCACATTTAGACCTAAGCATAGACCAATGACTTTCATTCACAAGAATCCAATCCAAGAGCTTCGCTAATTCTAAATTTTCATGTGGCATCTAACTTCCTTTACTATTTAATTTATGCAAAACTTTTGGATTATGTCAAAGCCTCATCACTTTCTGAAACCTTTTATTTCCTCTTCATCTCCATCATCAGCACTAAAATTTGCCTCCTGTTTTTTGACCACATGGAGTGACCCTGGCACATTTTGGAAAATACACAACTGAACCCCAAGTCCGGAGATGCTGATTCACTGAATGTTGGGGGTGACCCAGGAATATTTTCCTTGTGCTCTCAGATAATTCTAATAGACAGCCACATTTTAAAGATAATAGTATTTATGCAATATGCACAACTCAGTAGAACCAAATGGAGATGTCACGAGTGCTGATGATCTAGATAGAGACTTATTCCTACATAAGTATCATTGTGCATGATTTAAACTCAAGGAAAATTATAAATGACCATCTATTCTGAATCCTCATGAGCTTAGCATCTACTTTGCTTATTTGTATTTTGGTGCCACTGTTTTCCCCACTCCCTCCAGCTGCATGTGAGGAAAATGTTTCATCTGCAAAGTAGGTTTCTCCGCTACCAGAGCCCTCTCCAGCATGGGTGGAGATGCCTTGAATCTGCATTCTAGCAGGAAACTCCCAATCATTATAGATTTCTTGGAGTAGCAGCCTTCCCCTAACCTATCCTTTCATTGCCTGGCCCTTATTATGGCAGATGGTATTTTACAAAGAGGGCTTCAGCAACATCTCCCATCCCACATGTTCTTCTGCCCCTCCTCCATTAAGAGATGAAGTCTATTTCAGGGCTGGGAGCGGTGGCTCACGCCTGTAATCCTAGCACTTTGGGAGGCCCAGGCAGGCCGATCACGAGGTCAGGAGATCGAGACCATCCTGGCTAACAAGGTGAAACCCTGTCTCTACTGAAAATACAAAAAATTAGCTGGGTGTGGAGGCAGGCACCTGTAATCCCAGCTACTCGGGAGGCTGAGGCAGGAAAATGACGTGAACCCAGGAGGTGGAGCTTGCAGTGAGCCGAGATCACGCCACAGCACTCCAGCCTGGGCGACAGAGCAAGATTCCATCTCAAAAAAAAAAAAAAAAAAAAAAAAAAAAAGAGATGAAGTGTCTATTTCACAACCTCCTTGAATCTGGGTGGACTTGGAACTGCTTAGAGCAATAGAATGCAGTGGAGGTTACCCAGAGGGACTTCTGAGGCGCGATCATAAGAGGCCTAGGAGCATCTGTTCTGGCCTCTTGGGATGCTCCCTCTGGGAACCCAGCTGTCATAGTGAGAGAAGCCCAACGCACACGGAGAAGCCATGGGCAGTGTTTCAGTCAATAGCCTCACTAAGCACTGAGCTAAGTCCTCAGCCAACAGCCAACATCAACCACCAGCCACGTGAGTGAGCCATCACAGATGTCCAGCACAGACAAGCCTTCAGGACACTGCAGCCTCAGGCAACACCTGATGGCACCCACATGAGAGGCCCTAAGTGAGAACCATCCAGCTGAACCTAGTCAAGCAACAGAAAGTACTGTAATAAATGATAAAAATTGTTTAAGCCACTAAGTTTTGGAGTGGTTTGTTGCACAGAAATAAGTCACTGCGAAAGTGCCTATGACTAGACTTTTACCCCAGGTATTCATTTACACCCTTTAGTTCCCTGCTGGATTTACAGGAGGTCTCTGAACCTGCTTATTTAAGGGCCAATTTGGTGATTCCTGACTAGTCCCATCTGCGTCCCTGTCCCATAGTCCTCCTTCTTCCACAGCTGACGCACTGGTCACCCACCATAGTTCAACTTACCCCATATTCTGGAACCAAGTTATCTTTCTGGACCTATAAAATCCAAACTCCTTGTCTTGATAGCTCTCTAGCAACAAATCTATCAGTGGTTCTCAACCTTGACTGCACATTGGAATTACTTGGGAAGTATTTTTTAAAAAATACTTGTTTACGGCCCAGTGCGGTGGCTCACGCCTGTAATCCCAGCACTTTGGGAGGCTGAGGCAGATGGATTACGAGGTCAGGAGTTTGAGACCAGCCTGGCCAATATGGTGAAATCCTGTCTCTACCAAAAATACAAAAATTAGCTGGGTGTGGTGGCACGCAGCTGTAGTCCCAGCTGCTTGTGAGGCTGAGGCAGGAGAATCACTTGAACCCAGGAGGTGGAAGTTGCAGTGAGCCGAGATCCTGCTACTGCACTCCAGCCTGGGCAAAAGAGCAAGACTACATCTCAAATTAAAACAAACAAACAAACAAACAAACAAACAAAAAACCATAGTTACTGGTTCCCACATGGTTACGGGTTCCCACCCCCAGAGATTCTCATCTAATTGGTCTGGAAAATGGCTTCTCTGTGCTGCCACTACTGCCATTTTGGTCCAGATAATTTTTTGTTGTGAGGGGCTGTCCACTGTATTGCAAGATGCTTGGCCATATCCTGGCCTGTACCCACTAGAAGTCAGTAGCACCCTTACACTTGTGACAGTCAAAATTGTCCACAGATGTCACCTAATGTCCCCTAGGGAGCAAAATCATCCCCAGTTGAAAACCGCTAGTCTAGATTTTAGCCTGGGCATCAGGATATCTCAAAATTCCCCAAGTAATTCTAAAGTTCAGGCAAGGTTAAGAACTGCTGACCTAAAACAGCATTGCTTTTCAAATTTAAGCATGTATATGAATTACCTGGGGACCTTGTTAAGATGCAAATTCTGGTTCAGTAGGTTTGGGGCAGGCCCAAGATTCTGCACCTTTAACAAGCCTCCATGTGCTGCTGTCATTGTTCTCAGTCCACTTTGAGTAGCAAGGAAGTCAGACACTGCAATTTGCCTGTGGGGTGAATTTGCATTTAGCACCCTCACCTGGGCACCCCAAGGCCTTACCCTAATTGCCCCCAGGGAAAATTGGTTATTGGTGATTGTCAAAACAGACTATGTTCTCCACAGTTGGCAAAGATGTCTGAAAACATGGTAGCAGCAAAATTACTTCAAGTAAATTATTCACTTCTTAGGGATCAGTGTGCTGCAAACTACATATTGCATTTCACCAGTGTAGAAGCTGCCAGCAGATTAGGGGGAAACTTCTCTACAGTTTGCTGCTTGCTGTTGCCAAGGTAGGAAGCCAAACAATGCCTTGAGCTGCCAGCCTTTTTCAATAATACACTTCACATTGCCAGTCGCGAGAAAGGCTGTGTGGGACCCAGAGACTTTCCTGCTGCTCCAGCCCCTCTCCAGCATTTTAAGTCCACAGCTTTAACATATGTCATAGGGGTTAAACAAATGAGTCAAGAGAGCAGATTTTAATTTGAAGAGGGATTTCAGGAAGTCAATTCTTGCTCCTACAGGACAGAGGTCAAGCTACAATCGAGTCAAGACAGACTAGCCTTCTGAAATTTACACAGAACTGTGGAAAGGTCACATCTCCCTCCACTCGTGACTCAGGAACACAGAGGGTTTGTATGACTGTTCAGCTTTGGCTTTTGTCCAAGAGAAATGCTCTCTTTTCACTCCAGAGGTATTTATTTGCGCTAGAATCACTTCAGAAGTATGTCCTCTCTCACCTGTAAATTTAGCCAGGAACTTGAAGATGCTAGTGGCTCAGAAGTCTTCCAGGCATATTATTTAAATCCTACTGATTCCAAAGAAGAAAAAGGTGTCTGGTTGTTTGGGGATCTACAATGGACTACAAAATGTATCTATAGACTATCTGGTTGGCTCAAAATGTGAAACACAGTATTTCTCTACTTAAGTCTTGTCACCTTAAAAAAGAAAGCAAACAAAAAACACCAGGAGGGGTGAGTAAATCTTGGCTGTCCAGAGAAACAATTCTAATTTATTTCAGAGAGTGCTTTGAGTATAGAAACTGTAAGAGAGATTTCTGCTCTTCTACCTCATTTCTGTAAGAAACAATTCTAAACAAACTTTAAATACAATGTTACTACTTAATTCTAAATAGATGTTCTGCCCTGAAACCCACCTCTACTTCCTTACTACGGAGAAAGGGATTGACAATGACAGAGAAAGCTCAAGTTCCCGTTTACCCCTTTTTCTGAAAACTTCATATGCAATCAGACTTAAATGGCTCTGATGGCCTCTCCTCTGGACTATACCCTGGATCCTCTCACTAGTTCTCAACTGGGGGTGATAAAGTCTCCAGGGACATTTCCAATGTCTGCAGACGTTATTGGTTGTCACAACTCAGGGATTACTGCTGGTGTCTTTAGAAGCCAGAGATGCTGCTAGATGTCCTACGAGAAACACAAAACAATTCCCCACAACAAAGAATTATCTGGTCCAAAATTTCAATCATGTTTACTGTCAGAAACCTTGTCTTAGATTTTTAGAAGTTAAAAAAACATCCTCAACCAAAGCCTATTGAAGACTGCAGGCCTCATCTTGCCACCTACAATTCTAACCTGACATAGAAGACAGAAAGAGAGGAAGAGAAAGAAGAAGGACCCCTACAAGTAATTTCTTTACTCCTCTCCAAGGACAGAGATCACATTCTTGTTCCTTTCTGTTATGCCAGAGGGTAACAGTGACTGAGTCATAGTGGTTACTTAACAAATATTTGTTGAAGGAATGGATAAATCCCACCCCTCAGTTAAATGATGTCCTCATATGAGAAAGAAAAGGAAACATATCTTAGCTGTAAGATGAGCTCTCCTGTGGCCAGCAGCCTGGGGCTTGCTCAGACAGTATAGTACAGCCTGGTGCCTCTCAACTTTAATGTACATATGAATCACCTGGCAGTCTTATTAAAAATGTAGATTCTGAATCGCAAGGTCCAGGGTGAGGCCTGAGAGGCTGCATTTCCTACAGATGTCCAAATGAAGCTGATACAGTCCAGGTCACACTGCAGGGCAGCAAGAATAGACGATGTCTAGAGTTGAAGCCAGGACATTTACCAGCTTTCTCAGCCTCCATGTCCTGTTCTAGAAAACAGGGAGGATGATAAAATCTCTGCTATGCCCACATCCAAAAAATTGACAATTATGTCCTGATAGGATCTAAAAGCTTTACAAGGGATTTCAGAAATCATGTAAGCTAAACTCTCCCATTTTTAAGTGAGGAAACAGAGGCCCAGAGACATCTTAGCATGTCCAAAGTCACTCTTGTGATTGGCTATAGAGCCTGAACCAGATCCCTCACACTGATCCAGCCATCGTTCCTCCCTGTGTGTCCAAGGTCACTCTGGTGATTAGCTATAGAGCCTGAACCAGATCCCTCACACTGATCCAGCCATCTTTCCTCCCTGTGTGTCCAAGGTCACTCTGGTGATTGGCTATAGAGCCTGAACCAGATCCCTCACACTGATCCACCCATCGTTCCTCCCTGTGTGTTCTGACTGCACACGCTGCCTGGTGCCTAGTACTGCAGGTCTGGCTGTTGTTTACTTGCCTGTGCTTTTTCCCTGATGGCGTTGCATAATGCCTTGGCTAAAAATGAACACCTACCACTCCTCCAAGTGTACCTGCCACTTCATCCATATCCGATTGCCACATCCAGTGAGACTGGCCACCTGCTGCCATGTTCCTGAAATCAGTTCTTACATTCTGCTGCTCAGTTTTGTGCATCACAATGTCCTTATACTGGATTTTTCTCCCCTGATGTATAAGAGGTGCACAAATCAAATTAACCACAGGTGAAAAAGAGCAGTTAGCCCAGTGCCAAACAACAGAGCAGACACCGAGCTGGGATTAAAGCCCCACATTTTGATTCCTGGTGCATACTCCAAACCTCTTCAGAGAGAACACAGCCCTTCACTGTTTACCAAACTCTCATTAGTCCAACAGCCTGTTGTCTTAATGCTAAAAACCTGCTAATCAATAGCAATTTAGGTGAAGGGAAATTATGTTTAAAGAGAAACATTCTAACACTTATAGGTTCATTTTCAGAATCTTACCCTCCAATTGTCTCAGAATAATCTTGGGCCTGCTTTTCTTCCTTTCCTGCAAGTAGATAACACTGTTCTGAGAACTCAAGTTGTATTTCTGTCCTGTGTCTTTCCTCGCCCCTCATTTGAAGCATTCCTCCGAGTCTCGTGTATTTTAAGTGCCATCTAGTGGTAGATCTTCAGATGTTAATAATATAATGAAATTTAACTTAAGGATATTTGGGGAAATAGATGGTCTGCAGATGATGGAATAATCTCTCTACCTGAGAAATCACTATATCTGCTATATGTGGTTACCAATATTCAGAGTATTTAAGTACTTTTTTCAAATAATCCTGCGTATTAATTTAAGCATTCTTTTGAAAATCTTGTAACTTCTCAATCAAAAAGCATTTTCAAGATCTTTACAATTAGAGATTTTCAATTACATATTAGAAATAAATTAAAGCATTCTGCATAATTTTTTAATTTGAAAGACAGGTTTTTAAAACTTAAAGCTGCTTAACTCCTCTGCGTATCTTCCATCAGCGTTTTCTATTTGCTTTGATAACTCTACCCACTTCTTCCCTTACAGAGAAGAAGAACAACTCAGGATTTCCCTCTACAGAGGGACAAAGAGTCTTTCCTTGCATCCTCTTCCTTGGAGAGGAGGGATATTGGAAAGACTGATCCTCCCTTCCCTTCCTCCACCCACTTAGGCCCTTCAGCATCTACTCCTTTTTAGGGATTGAATCTGTCTGAATAGTCATATGATTTTGGTTCCTCTGTCCATTATCTGTGCAATGACAGACAAGCCAGGATGAGAAAAAATTAAGAAATGTTTCTACAGACTTCTCACCAAATCCTAACAGGTTTGGAGTTATTATTTGAATTTCCAGCTCCAGGCCTGATGCTGCTTCTTCAAGATCAAAGGGATTATGGCAGAAACACACTTAGAAAAGTAGACTCCAAGTACTTAGAGAAAATATGTACAAATGAAATACAGCCAGGAAAATATTAAAACAGATGTTCTTCTACAGCACAAATGGCAAGTCCAAAAGAAATTTTCATTATAAATGATTAAATATACTCGAACAGCAGCTACTATTAAATGCTAGCTTACAATTCATTTTGTTTTTTATAGCATTCATTTTTCTTAATATAAATTTTTATAAATATAAATGAAAAATATAGACAAAAGTAAAAAGTAGAATATAAGTTATCCTCATACATCCTGTAGACACAAGCCCTATTAAAATCCTTTGGGTATTTTTCTGGTACATGTCTAGGTATGAAGATTGGGATCATATATATGTAAGGTTTTGTCGTGATTTTTTTTCACCTAATAATATATTTTGAGCATCTTCCCAGGTCATTAAATTTACAGTGAATATAGTTGATGACATGGGAAGATGCACCAAGTTTAATTTAACCAACACTTATTCATAGACATCAGATTGTTTCTAAATTCTTACTCATATCTAAATAATTCTGAGATGAACTTCCTTGTATACAAATAAGGCAAATGTAAATATTTATTACAAATTGATTTCTAGAACTTGAACTACTGGGTCAAAGGATGTGAATGTGTTGAAGTTTTGTGATACACAACAACAAAGTGGTGACTAGAATTGTAGCCATTAATTAACACTCTTAAAAGTACCTCATAAAGGTACAACCGTGACATTTTCTTTAAAGAGGGAGGCTGCTGCCTACCCACCCTCTCCTCTTTAGGATGTCTCCTTGAACATACGATAGGCCTGATTTAAAGGCTCAGCCTTTTATTAATAATTTTACAGTGCAAATATGTGGGCTTTTTAACATGTAAAACTGGCTCCATAATTGGTTCAGGGGTCTCCCACAAGGGATACATAAGGCAATCACAAGTGCATCCTCTGGTCTCTCAAGAGAAGTGTTAGTTGTTCTATCTTCCACCTTCCTACATAAGTTCGTATCAAATTCTGTCCAGACTTTGTAATCACTTTCGTGCTACCCTACATGCATGTAATTCTGATAAATACCCAATATTAAAATTATGTTCTCTCTCCCTTTCATATGGGTACAAAAGGGCCTTTTGTTCCTGAGACTGTTTTACTTCTGTAACAACCTGGTGGAAATAACTATGTCCCACAAATTGGTGTTTCCATGGACATGGCTGTCTGGTAACAATAATGGGAAAACAATGTAATTCTAGAACATTCTAGCTGAATTCACTCAATAGAGGGAAATACACTTTTTTTTTCTTTTTTTTTTTTTTGACAGAGTCTCGTTCTGTCGCCCAGGCTGGAGAGTGCAGTGGCGCAATCTCAGCTCACTGCAACCTCCGCCTCCCAGGTTCAAGTGATTCTCCTGACTCAGCCTCCTGAGTAGCTGGGACTACTATTATTGACAAATTTTCTAAACTCCCATCAGGTTTCTCAGGTCTTACATTGTTATTTTCTGGATAACAATTAGAATTTTTATTGTTTTTAATAAGAAAATAAAATATTTTAAAACATGTACCAAAAATAATTCCCAAATTGACAAGTTCCACTTTAAATCTAAGAAAAAGAAAAACTCTCATATCTGAAGTTTGCTTTTTCATTCCTGTTGAAGTTCCCTTCAATAACTAGGGGAGGCTCAATAACTTTGCCCAATTATTAAACCAGAATAGTAATCAGGAGCCATGGCTGAAACTCCCAATTCTTTACCCCAAAACTGTCAGAGGGGATTTTCAACTCTGAACTCAAACAAAACAACAGGATTGGTGAAGGATGACTAAATCCACCTCAAATATGAAACTGCCCATATTTGACCATTTTTGGTTTAGAAAAAAAGTGGTATTCATATGGTACAAGCTAATAGAACCATTTATCATTATCAAATCATAGGGACATAGACAACTAGAAGCAAATATCCAGAGATACCACTACTCACTGGTACTGGACACATCCCAGGCAGACCAAGAGGCAGCCACATGACCGTTTATCCTCCACCTGCCATCCTCATTTCCTGTAGCTATTACCAAACGACTAGGACAGGACCCAAAAAAATCATCAGCGGTGAGAGTAGTCAATCTAGAGAGGAGAGTGTCAGGTTTTTCTTCTTATCCCATAGAATGGAATGAGGAGGATTCCCACCTGCCCCAAACTACCAAGGAAGGCACCGAGATACTCACAGAGATGTAGAGCCAACAGGAAGGGCAGACAGACATGTCATTATAAAATAGCTTTTGGATGGTAACAGCCCTTTCCCAAAGCAGACCTCCTTCTTGCCTGGAGACTAGACTGCCTTTGTAGGACTAATATTAGCCACAAAATTAGAAATGATGGTTTAGCAGTCATGCAGCTGGAGGCTGCAAGATTCTGACCCTCCCTAAACTGCTCCTAAGATCAGTGCTTGAGATACTTTGCATCCCCTGCACTTGATGGATCAGCTGGCACCACCCAGATCAATAAACTGGCTCATCTGATCTTGTGGCCCCCACCCAGGAACTGACTCAGCGCAAGAAGACAGCCTCAATTCCCTATGATTTCATCTCTGCCCAATCAGCACTCGTGGCTCACTGGCTTCCCTTCATCGACCAAATTATCCTTAAAAACTCTGCTTCCTGAATGCTCGAGAGACTGTTGTGAATAATAATAAAACTCCGGTCTCCCACAAAAAAATAAAATAAAATAAAGTAGCTTTTGATTCAGACTTGCTCATAAGCCCTCCTGTGCCTATTTGAGCTAGAGGAGATGGGAGTTGGTGAGATGTGGCAGGACAAAATGGGAATGACAAGAGGAAGGCTTATAGTCCCACCTTTTGTCATAGCAAAGCTGTGTCAGTCCCATTGGATCAGGTGGGTATATATTCAAGGTAGCTGTGCCTGAACTGCCTTAGTATTAGACAAGTAGAATCAAGAAACAAGAGACTACAGGGTGACGGCTGAGAGGCAGGGACAGGGAAATGGGGTAGAAGAGGAGAAGCCAGAGGTCTGTAGTGGCAACTATGCAGTTTGGAGGCCTTCCTGCAAGGGCCTTGAAAGAACCATGCTTAAGTCCCTAGAGAGAAGAACACCTACATATTTACACAGAGAAGGGACTAACTGCCCATTGCTGGCTGGGGAAGCTGCAGTGTATAAGAAAGGATTACAATGGTGAATTAGTAAGTATAAAGTTCTCTGCCCCTTTCTCTGTTACCTCTGCATTGCCCCAACCTATAGTAGCTGGTAGAAGTGAAGGAGCTTCCCCCATTACAAATCCACCCAGCCATAGATAAGGCATGTGACAGGAATCAGGGAGAAGACGAGATTAGAGTTGATTAGAGATTGAGTTTTAATATCTACTCATGCCCAAGAGCTAGTTAAGAAGAAAGAAAGGGAGATGCAACCGAGCATGATTAAAAGCAATGGATGGAAAAAATTTTTTCATTATTGTACATTGACAAGTTCAGACTGTTCAATAGGCCAGTTACACTGGTATCTAGACTGATGAACTAATTGAAATTTCTGGGTCATCTCTGTGGCTTCATTTGCTAAAAGTTCTGCTCTTACAGTGTAATTGAATTCAAAGACAAGAAATCACCAGTGTCAATTGTAAAGAAGAAAGATGAACTTTTATTTGGAAAGAAACTGCATCAAATTAAATTAAATACAGTTTGTTGTTTTGTTTCAACTCACTTCTGTCACATATAATATCTAAGGAGTAGACACAACCCAGTCCAAATAGTATTATCAACAGCACCAAAAAAAAAAAATGCATTTGGTTTATTTCATTGATGGGGTGTGGAGAGAAGAATAAAGCCAGTGGTTCTTGTGTTCAAAAAATATATAGTTAGTTAAGGCCGGGCGCGGTGGCTCATGCCTGTAATCCCAGCACTTTGGGAGGCCAAGGCGGATGGATCACGAGGTCAGGAGATCAAGACCATCCTGGCTAACACAGTGAAACCCCGTCTCTCCTAAAAATACAAAAAATTAGCCGGGCGTGGTGGCAGGCGCCTGTAGTCCCAGCTACTTGGGAGGCTGAGGCAGGAGAATGGCGTGAACCCGGGAGGCGGAGCTTTCAGTGAGCCAAGATAGCGCCACTATAGCTTGGCCTGGGTGAAAGAGCAAGACTTCATCTCAAAAAAAAAATATATATATATACATATATATATATAGTTAGTTAGTTAAATGAATTTTTCACTTTTTAGTTGTCTCAAAAATTCTATGATTCACAGATCACAATGATACATTTATTCTAACATGGCTACTGATATCATTTGGCTGTGTCCCCACCCAAATCTCTTCTTGACTTGTAGTTCCCATAATCCCCACATGTTGTGGGAGGGACCCAGTGGGAGGTAATTGAATAATGGGGGCAGTTACCCCCATGCTGCTATTCTCATGATAGTGAATTCTCACGAGATCTGTTGGTTTTATAAGGGGTTTTCCCCCTTTTGCTCAGCACTTCTCTCTCCTGCTACCTTGTGAAGAAGGATGTGTTTGCTTCCCCTTCCACCATGATTATAAGTTTCCTGAGGCCTCCCCAGCCACACTGAACTTTGAGTCAATTAAACCTCTTTCCTTTATAAATTACCCAGTCTCAGGTATGTCTTTATTAGCAGCATGAGAACAGACTAATAGAGCTACCTTTTGAAATTTGGTTTCATAAAGTTTCAGAAATTGAAGCCACATAAAAAGAGGCTACTTCACAAAGAGCTTTTCCAAGTTTATAAAAAGTGTTAACTACTTTGCAAATCTTCCCTATAGCCCAGCCCTATCACAAGGTAAAGATCAAATGGACATTATTTACTCATTATGAGAGACATGTCTTTTGTTAGAATCATTAAACCCAAATATTATTCTCTTTAGGTCATTAATTTGGAAATTTTCTTATGAATGGTAATAATCTACTTAGCTTCCTATGAGACCTTGTAACTATATTAGTTATTTTACTTTCTTTGCCTTGAGCATTTAGGATCTTGGAGTTTAATATCTCTGGAAATTTACGAAGCTTGTCTAAAGAGATGGCCACAGTGGTTTAACTTATACATTAAATAGCAACTACATTATGATTAATTCCTCATCTGTCAAGAACTTTTTGAACTTCAAATTGTCATACTTCTATCCATTTTCTTAAGACAAATCTCTGTTCTCTGGACACTTGAGACAAGTATGTTTCTTCAAAGCAATTTTAAAGTTCAAATATCACCCATTTATAACCATCTGCTCCTATAAAACTTCAATGAATATTTCAAACATTAGCAAGTATTTTGTCTCCTGTAGCTAGAAGCAATGTCTGCATGTCCTTTCCATAAGACACAGGTAAGACTTCTATTTATTCAGCAACATATAAGTAACAGATAGGTGAAATGGGCATGAAATTGACAAACTATACTGTTTATGGAATAAAATGTATAATTCTTTTCTTCATTTCCTCAAGGTTATTATTGTATTTCATAATTTACTAAAACTCAATTTTACTTTTAAGTAGCAGAAAACATCTATGTGACTACCCTTTTGGTACGAATAACCTTTCAGTGCTGTTACTGAACAGTACAAACCCAAAATTTTGAGTTCTTGACAGTACTCTGCCTGGAAATGGCATAGACTGTGCACTGAATTTGCCATTCATTATGCAAGCCTCAAATTAATAAGATGGTGTTTTCTATGAATGATCTCTAATTATAGTCTTTCACCAATCTAATTCAAATTGGCTTCTCCTATAGTAAGTCAAAATAGCTGCATTTTACTCTCCCTGAAAAATAAAGTGAGATCCAATCTGTCTTCCAGAGCTAAGGTTGTAAGACTGAGCTGACATGAGAATACCTCAATGACTTGAGGTCACAGGTTGTGAAACTTAGGACTATGTTCAGGTAAGTAGAGAGTGTCTCTGAGGGATCACTGAAAACAGGGCTGAGCAGAGAGTTGGGATCCAGCAACAAAGCAACAAGGACACCAAACAAGGAAAAGAAATTACCCAGAGGGTTGTTGGAGGTGGAGCCTAGAGAAATCTCCCAGGCACTGGGTAGCACATGTGGGTCCTTTGTATACAGCCCTCATGGCCCTAATTAAAAAAAAAAAAAAATTTGGAAGCATTACCAAGACATGCTGACTTTTTTTTTTTTAAGATTATGCTCAAAAGTTCAAAGTAAATCTCAGCCTAGATTTTCTGGAGATAGCTCTCACACTAAAATCTTTGGAGTTAACTTGTCTCATTTGGGAAGCGCCTCTGGTATTATAACCTAAATTATGTCCCTGAATGTTGAAGTTTTAAGCCCCAGTGTGACTATATTTTGGAGATAGGGCCTTTAAAGAGGTAATTAAGGTTAAATAAGATCATACAGATGGAACCCTAATATGATAGGACTGGTATCTGTATAAGATCCTCACATCCTATAAGCTATCCTTGTAAAGAATTCTATCTTTTTTCTCACAGGAAAAAGACCATATGAGGACACAGAGTTAAGGGAGTCATCTGCAAGCCAAGGAGAGAGGTCTCAGAAGACACAAAACCTGCTGGCACTTTGATCTTGGACTTGAAGCCTCCACACCTGTGAGAAAATTAATTTATGTTGTTTAATCCACCCAGTCTGTGGTATTCTGGCAGCCCTAGCAAAGTAAGACATCTGGGTTTACCATGTAGAAATTGTATCAGTGTTTATATATCTTAAAAGAGATATACTTAAAAATATGAAAGTATTTTTATCTACTGTTGCCACATCTCAGTTAACAAATACTAGTTCATTTTCAAGAAACTAGTGCTCATGGTTTTTTGTATGTAGTAAAGAACTATATAAGCAAAACGTATAATGATTATTTTTTGCTCTTTCTGCATCCTGTATGACCAATGATATTATTAGGAGATTCAGGCATCTGGCTGTTAACATAATTTGTAGTGGTATACAAACTAAGGAGTAGTACGTCTTCATCTCTACCACTTCCACTTAAATCTACAAGCTTCCGCTCCTGAGCCAGATGAGTGATATCCTCTTTGTGCCATTTTTAGTTTTACTACCAGTTTAAAACCTTTTCTTTTATTCTCTTATTTTTTAATTCATTCTACTATGTACTGAATACCTATTAATGTGCCAGGTGTGGTATTAGACACAGGATATGCTTTTCCTGCTCACATAGAATATATAGCCTAGAGGGGGAGACAGAAGAAAAAAAATTATGTAAACAAATATATAACGTGTATCTACTATAAAGAAAATGTATAAAGTGTAATGATAGAAAATAAGGGAGCCTACTTCAGAAACTGATGGGCCATACCTACCTACTTAGGGTTTAAGCAAGTTGAGTGTTTAGGGAAGGCCTCTGGTCTAGGATAAGGTAATGCTAGCATTTGCTGCAAAAGGTAAACACCTAGATGTCAGTGGCTTACCACAACAGACTTTGGGTTCTCCCTCACGTACAGTCCAATAAGTTGTTCCGTAGGCAGCCTTCCACGTAGTGATTCAGAGACCCAGGTTTCTTTCACCTGTGCCTCTGTCATAGCCTAGAACCTCAGAGTCTTTTGTTTTCAGTCGATGAACAGAAGCAGAGAGAGTAGAAAAGCCAAGACCACTTTTTGTGTCTTCAACTTTTATTTTTATTTCTGGGGTACATGTGTAGGACATGTGGATTTATTACATAGGTAAACATGTGCCAGGGTGGTTTGTTGCACAGATCAACCCATCACCTAGGTATTAAGCCCGGTACCTGTTAGCTATACTTCCTGATGCTCTTTCTCTCCCCACTCCCCCTCAACAGGCCCCAGTGTGTGTTGTTCCCCACTTTGTGTCCATGTGTTCTCATCATTCAGCTCCCACTTATAAGTTAAAACATTGGTGTTTGGTTTTCTGTTCTTGCATTAGTTTGCTGAGGATAACAGCTTACAGCTCCACCCATGTCCCTGCAAAGGACATAATCTTATTCCTTTCTATGGCTGCATAGTATTCCATGGTATATATGTATCACATTTTCTTTATTCAGTCTATCACTGATAGGCATTGGGGTTGATTCCATGTCTTTGCTATTGTAAATAGTACTGCAATGAACTTACACATCCATGTATCTTTATAATAGAATGATTTCTGTTCCTTTGGGTATATACCCAGTAATGGGATTGCCGGGTCAAATGGTATTTCTGCCTCTAGATCTTTGAGGAATCACCACACTGTCTTCCACAGTGGCTGAATTAATTTACACCCCCACCAACAGTGTAAAAGTATTACTTTTTCTCCCAACCTCACCACCATGTGTTGTTTTTTCACTTTTTAATAATCACCAGTCTGATTGGCATGAGGTGGCATCTCTAACTGTGGTTTTGATTTGCGTTTCTGTAATGATGAGTGATGTTGAGCTTTTTTTTCATATGTCTGTTGGACACATGAGTGTCTTCTTTTGAGAAGTATCTATTCATGTCCTCTGCCTGCTTTTTAATGAGGTTATGTTTTCTTCCTGTAAATTTGTTTAAGTTCCTTGTAGTCTCTGGAGAGTACACCTTTATCAGATGGATAGATTGCAAAAATATTCTCTCATTCTGTAGGTTGTCAGTTCACTCTGATAATAGTTTCTTTTTAATTATATTGCATTTGTCGATTTTTGCTTTTGTTGCAATTGCTTTTGACGTTTTTGGCATGAAATCTTTGCCCGTGCCTGTGTCCTGAAGGGTATTGCCTAGATTTTTTCCTAGGGTTTTTATAGTTTTGGGTTTTACATTTAATTCTTTAATCCATCTTGAGTTAATTTTTGTATAAGGTGAAAGGAAGGGGTCTAGTTTCAATTGTCTGCATATAGCTAGCCACTTCTCCCAGCACTATTTATTAAATAGGGAATCCTTTCTCTATTGCTTGTTTTTGTCAGGTTTGTTGAAGATCAGATGGTTATAGATGTATGGTGTTAATTCTGAGGTCTCTGTTTTGCTCCATTGGTCTACATGTCTGTTTTGGTACCAGTACTATGCTGTTTTGATTACTGTAGCCTTGTAGTATAGTTTGAATTCTGGTAGCATGATGCCTCCAGTGTCAAGGCCACTTTTTAAGCCCTTTAGCACACAAATGATCACATCACTTGTGCACACATCTGTTGGTGAAAACTGATCACATAACTTCACTATATGTCAGAGGAACTGGGAAACATAGACCCTGACTGGATAGCCACTTCTCCAAAACAACTATACCTTATAGAATGAGAATACAAATGTTGGTGGAGACGTGGCCATCTCTGTCACTGCCCCTCTTTGAGGAAAAGACACTGAAGAAGAGATTTGAAAGATAACAAAAAGTCAGACCATGTGTAGAGCTGTGAGAGGGTGAGCCCAGCCAGAAGGAACTGGACATGGGAAAGTCAGCCTCAAAACAGGAAAGGTCTGCCATGTTCAAAAGTCAGAAAGAAGAGACTGAAGTGTAGCAGACAAGGGAAAGGAGGCATTTAGTGATATTGGAGAAGTGGGAAGACAACTGATCTGTGGACTCTTGTAGGCCACACTGAGGAGTGTGGATATTTTTATTAAAGTATCAAGATGTTTTTAATAGCATAATAGTGTGGTCCAATTTATTTTTCAAAAATATTTATCTGGAAGTCATGAGAAGATTGGCAAGGAGTAAGAGATGGAGTGGAGAGATCAAAAATGAAACTCTTTTATTTCCTAAGACAAAGGCCATTGTGAATTGAATAAGTGTAGTCACTGTGGAAATGGCAAAAACTGAACCTGGTAACCCTAAGAAGCAGTAGGTCATTTGCTTGGCCTAATGTGCACACCTTGCTCATCTGATGGGAGGAACGTAGCACATGGATAGCTGCCAGACTTTGCATTTTGGCAATAGTAAGACAGGCCTAGAAGTCTGGGCTTCAGGTGGCTAGAAAGGGAGGCCCCAAAGTGATGTAAGAAGAGATATATTAAGATTGAAAGAGATGTTGCCCTGGTGCTCACATTTAGGGAGAAATCCTACATGGTAGTGAGTTTAGAATGTTAGTATTGACAAGCTGCAATGAAGACATAGATGTTTGACTCTTTTTATGTCCATGAATATAAACACAGGCAAAAAATAATAACGTGAGTTTCAGAGTAACCATATTACTTTTTTTATTTATCAAGCTTAGGCAGAAGAATGCCTTCCCTTCATCTAAACTTTTAAAATACTGCTACAGATGAGAATTTAAAATGTCTTTGGTGAAGGGATATGCAGCCTTTATTTGATCTAAGACTTTGGTTTTGAAAAGTGAAAATGTTAGGGCTCCTTTCTCACATTGAAATACCACATGAGACAAATCTGAATATCAAAGGATCTGAAAAAAGAAGGTGAATGTAATTCCAAAATTCAAGGGATCAATGGAAGATGGTCACTTCACAGAATTCCGTGTGTAGGACTCCCAAGTTACCTGGAGGATTATCTGCAAGCTTAGCTGCCTCTGATGAATTTTTTGAGAGAAGAAACCAACCCTCCAGCCTACTTCAGAAACCCATAGATAAGGAGTTCTTTAGTGCTCCAGTATATTTCTGGTGTGTGTTAAATAAGCCAGGATTCTACATGCTGTGTGCATGGTGTTTTGCAAGAACACAAAAGACTCATTCCTGCCTTAAAGGGCTAAGATATAGATACAGGTGGTTTACTAAAAGGCCTGCTTGCTTGAGAAAGGGTTAGTGGAAATGGTATGAATGTGAAAGAGATAGCAGGGTTTTACCCAAGGCAGGCAGCTCTTCATCTGGCATAGATGCTATTTCATTCACAGCATTAGGTATAATAACAGCAAAAGAAGCCCAACACGAAATTACAGCACTAAGGAAAGCAAAATAATTACAGTTTCGAAAAAAAAAAATCCCCAGCTCACTGAAAAGTAAAGCTTTATAAGCCCTTTGTGGAACTTCTGGATGATTCTACTAGATTTCTTCACTTAAAAAGTATTAATGATAGGAGTACTTGATGAAATTCTTTGGCAATTTTTACTAGTGCTTTTGAAGAGGATCAAAGTCATCAGTGTGTGGACATGACCAGACTCTGTTTAAAAACTATGTTTAATCGGTTTTTTACTCAGCTTCTTGGTGACAAGGACCTCAGTCATTTTGCAAGAACCTTTGTTAAGCTTTTTTGGGAACAAACTGACTTGCCAAGTACAATTAACAACGGTGAAGGTTGTAAAACACAGACATTCCTCCCTGCAGGTTCCAAACTCTAACCATAAAGAAAAGATATATTAAAAATAAATGGAAAAACAACCCCTTTGCCTTCATTTGCAAAGGCAGCTCTGTGTACTGGAGCTCTCACCCAGGAATCAGACAATCTAGACTGTCTTTTCAATACTGCCACTACTCAGCAAGCAGGGTGTTTAACCCCTCCAAGCCACACTGTCCATTTTGACAAAATGATGGAGTTGCAATAAATGACCTATAAATTAACTCATTTCTGTTCTAACACGGAGCTTCTCAGACACAATAATGAATGGGAAAGCTTCACATTGAGTGGGCAAAGATAACAGAAATCACCATCTAGGGAGGCCATTGAAGACACTGGCAGATTTAGAGGCTTTCTGTGTGTTTCACCAATGGAAGACCCACGTGCCAAGCATCTGAGTTGCAATGCTGAGCTTTCACCTGGAGATCTAAGCCAGTCACACACTCAGAGCTCTGACTAACATTAATGGTAACCCGTGTGTACATATCAATGCTGGAAGCAGTGACTGTACTTCAGAAACCCCCAGGTGAAGCCAAAGGCAAAACTATGGCTATAATTTTAAGCTCACGTTTTGAGCAAACCAAATACAATTTTAAAAGGAAAAAAAATGCCCAGTTTAATTGTCTCCCTGAGAATCCTTACACTATACCTTATAAAGGAAAATAAAATTAGAAACCTTGGTTTTAGTAGACTAACTGTCAATCCTCTCAACGAACAAAGACTCTCCCATGGCATCCCTTGTCTCTGTATTTATTGATGGCTTGTATCGTTCATCACACAATAATAATCTGGATGTGATGCAGCAGAAGAAAATGCAGAACTGTTTTAAATAATCATTTTTGTTTGTTTTTACTAAGTAGAACTACAGAATTAGTAGCATCCTGGCGCAGAGCTTTAAAAGTCTCAGTCAAGAAATTTCAATTGCCTTTGCAGCTTTTCATAAAAATTAATTTGATGATCAGCCAGATACTATCAACATACAAGATGCTTGGTACACAGAATATAATATGAAAAGCCAGGACAGAACATTACTAAGCATTTCAGAGCCTTCTGGAGTGAAATATAATTTTTAAGTAGATATTGGGAATTAGGGAATACATATCATGTACAATAAAGTCATGCTAAAAGATGTTCCTAGCTTATCTCAATCTCCAAAAGAGGCCATTTTCAATCTACTGCTTTTTAAATGTCCTAAATTTCTCCCTTTGAATGCAGAAATGCTAACATTTATTAAGCACTTCCCTGTTTTGGGTAATGTTTTAAATATTTCATTTGTTCAACAAATTTGTTATTGAGCACTGACTACTCGCCTGGCACTGCATCCAGTGTTAGGCATAGGGTTGTAAAAACCCACACCACCTATACCCTCATGGACTATATACACTAGAAGGGGAGGCAGAAATTGAATAAACAAACTTATTCAATATTATTACAAACTGTGAACAGTGTGATGAAAACTCTGCAAGATATCATACCTGGAAAAGAGAAGGGAAACCCTTCCTGAGAAAGTGAGTTGAGACCTAAGAGGTTTCCTCCAGGGAGCTGGTGGGAGCTGCCGACAGACAGAAGAAGATGGGCAAGGCTTTTGGGGATGGGTACTATCCCTACCCTCATACAACAAAAGGACAAACTGATATTTAAAGACATTAACTAACTTAGCCTAAGGCAATGCAGGTACTGCCTGACAAGTGAGGAGTCAAATGTGAGTGTACTATCAGAGCTTCAATAATGAAGGGACCTATGGGAAAAACAGGAAATGCATCCTCAATTATTACACTTATGAGTTCATGACATCTTGTGTTTCAGATCAACTGATTGTCCTCTGAAGGTGTCAGAGGAAAAAAAAATAATCCTCTTGTCATGAACAGCATCTTGCAATGCCTGGGCAAATCATTATCGCCATTATTATTATTATTTGGCTCCCTCAGAAGCTGCAGGCATTGGAGCACTGCCAATAACAGGAGATACGAGGTTCACTGAGCCAGAAGAATCATACCATAAATCCTGATGCCATTTTGAGAACATTAAAAAGCAAAC
Source organism: Homo sapiens (assembly GCF_000001405.40). Lineage (NCBI taxonomy): Eukaryota > Metazoa > Chordata > Mammalia > Primates > Hominidae > Homo > Homo sapiens. The sequence goes on along the minus strand of NC_000002.12, from coordinate 75,773,764 downwards.
AACCCATAACATTATAGAGCAAGAAGATGAACAAATATCACCTTCCCCCTGAATATGAGAACAAAGTGCATTAGATAAATAAAAGGCTGACCATATCACATAAAGGACACCGAGAACTACTGATGAAAACAGATCAAAGAAATGTATTCCACTTTTCTGTCTGGGCAAACCAGGTTACACAGTAATGATGGGGCTCAGATCACACTACCCCAAAATATGAGACCTTGGTATGTTGGCTATTTTAAGCTGAAAGAATCTGAGAAACATGTTTCCAGAGGGACTCTCTGACTTTCCTCTGCCCTTCTTCCCTGAAGCAGGTCATAAGGCTCTCATGTTCATGGTGCCTTCCTTATATCCACGGAAAGGAAGATCCTTATCTCCAAGACAAAGGATGTCAAGAAGAATCAAAACAAACAGGCTTTGCTGTTTCCTCCAGTTGATTACCCTTAGCTCATAATCTTTTCTTCTTTTTTTTTTTTTTACCCCATCATATTTGTCATTGACTCTTCATCAAACCTACCATTAAAACACTCCGGTTTAATTATTTCTTCACGTCTGCATTTCCTTATGAAGGCTCTTGTGCCATGAAAAACATGGTAAATCAATTTGCATGCTTTTCTCTTGTTAATCTGTCTTTTGTTACCGGGGCCCCAGCCAATGAACCTAAGAAGGATAGAAGGACAAGACATTGTTCCTCCCCTACAGTAGTTACCTGCGGAGCTGCCAGAAGCATCAGATAAGGCTCCACTCCTGATCAGTGTCCATTTCTACTATGTTTTTCTAACTAGCACCTAAAATGTTAATCAGCTATTAACAGTAGGGTCTCTCCAAAGTTATACAGCCAAACTTAGAAATAAGAATGGAATTTGGAAATGCTGATGAGACTGGAACTGTGCCAGGTGTCAAAGGGTAATTTTTTAAATAGATAAAATCCTGACTCTTACACAAATATCAAACAAACACATGTAATAATTTGATTTAACTTATTACTCAGAAAGAGAACCAGTAAAATGAAAGCTGGTTCAAAGGAGAAGCCAAAGAAAAGACATAGCTATAGATTAGGAATATTGAAATGAATTGCAAATGGAAGCAAAACTGGCCTCTTTCACAGTATACGAGGAGTGTCAATTGAAGTTCCACTGGATAGGACAGAAGTTGCATGCCTATATACAAGAATTATCATGCATTACTATCAATTATCTGCAACTTATAGAGTTGTAAAAATGTGCAAGGACAATGAAAGTTATAATTAGATAGCTCTTAAGTACATGGCCTTCCACTGAAGCACACATTTTTTTTTCCCCACACACAGAGATGAAATATATCCATTATGCCAGAACTGGTGACTTCAGGCAGATCATTGCATAATGTAAGGACAAGTAGAAATTAAAAATAAGAGGCTTAATTTGTTCCTGATTAAAATAAGGAAAGAAATTCCCCTCTCCTCCTTGTTCTTAAAGCATTTATTTTAGAAAACTTAAAATAATAAGTACTCTCTTTTCTCTTTGAAATGTATATAAATTCTTTTGAAAACTAAATAGGCCTTTTGTCAACTTTATGACCCAGGAATATTTTTTCTCAAGAAGCTGGGAGCCATCTTTTTGAAATACAAACATCAAAGGAGATAGCACTTCTCTTTCTGTGGGAGGGTTGGAGCCTTACTTCACTGACGCTGGAAGCCTTGCTCCGAGTTGCAAAACTACCTTTTTTCTTTTTTGATTAGTATTATTTTTGATTGACAAATCATAATTATATGACATGTATGGAGTATAATGATATGTTTTTCTCAACGCACACAATGTGCAATGATGAAATCAAGCTAATTAATATATCCTTCACCTTACTTACATAACATTTTTTGTGGTAATAAATTTTCTCTTAGTTATTTTGAAATATATAGTATATTATTATTGATTATATTCACCCTGATGTGCAATAGATCACAAGACTTCTTCCTCCTGTCTAGCTGAAACTTTGTACCCTTTGATCAGCAATTCTTCATTTCCTTGCTCCCTACTCCCACCCCCAGCCACCAGGAACATCATTCTACTCTCTACTTCTATGAGTTCAATATTTTTAGATGTCATGTATAAGGGAGATCAGGTAGTATTTGTTTTTCTGTGTCTGACTTATTTCACTTAGCATAATATCCTCTAGGTTCATTTATGTTGTCCCAAATGACAGAATTTCATTCTCTTTTAAGACTGAATAGTATTCCCTTGTGTATATGTACCACATTTTCTTTATCTATTTATCCATTGATGGACACTTAGGTTAATTCCATATCTTGGCTATTGTTAATAATGCTGCAATGAACATGAGAATGCACACATCCTTTCAACATACTGATTTCAATTTCTTTGGATCTATTTCCAGAAGTAATATGGTAGTTCTATTTTTAGGTGTTATTTGTTTTTGTTTTTGTTTTTGTTTTTGTTTTAAAATGGAGTCTCGCTCTGTTGCCCAGGCTGGAATGCAGTGGCATGACCTCAGCTCACTGCAATCTCCACCTCCCGGGTTCAAGTGGTTCTCGTACCTCAGCCACCCACGTAGCTGGGACTATAGGCACCTGCCACCATGCCTGGCTAATTTTTTGTTTTTTGGTTTTTTTAGTAGAGACAGGGTTTCACTGTGTTGGCCAGGCTGATCTGGAACTCCTGACCTCAAGTGATCCACCTGCTTTGGCCTTCCAAAGTGCTGGGATTACAGGTATGAGCCACAGAACCTGGCCAATTTTTAGGTGTTTTTTTGTTTTTGTTTTTCTTAAGTTCCTCAAAACTACCTCTTGCCATAAAAATATGAGATATTTGTTTTTCCTCTAGATAAAGCCAATAAGCTAACATGGATGGTCACCCCTCTTACCAGAGAGATTTAGGATAAATGAACTATGCATGACAAATGGTGCTGTCAAGTTCTCTTACTTGAGGACTATGGTTTCTCTTGAAACACGTGTGTAATAGGTTGTATCTCTTTGCCTGTATAAGAAGATGAGATTCCTTTCTGTCTTCGCAATCTCTTATTGAATTGCCTATGATGTGTATTGCATTCTGGTTTAAATCTTATTCAACAATAAAACTGGCTTCTTTCTCCACTAGTCTTATAGAGAGAATTTTGCTTTTACTTTCATTTCCCCCAAAATAGTCAACCCATCCAAATGTACCAGAAATCCCAGAAGCATCCTGCCAGAATCAAGAACCATCCTGCCAGAATCAAGAACCCTGTGAACCAAACTGCTCGTTCCCTGGTCACTGTCTCCTTGCCTCCAGACACAGGATGATGCCTTTTGCAAAAATCAAAAAAGCAGTGAACAAAAGGCAGGCATTCTACTGTATTCCTAGCTTACAGTAGATCCTAGGTACTATGTGTAGATTGACGTATGCAGTTAAGAGGCCTCAGCAAACAAGGCAGCCTAGGGAAAGTTAAAATGCCCACAGCAAACATGATATTCCTTGATTGCTGTCACTGAGCATTGAAGGTTGGCTCCCCAAATATCACCAACACAACCTGCTGATAGACAAAGCTGACTTTATTGCCTACTACAGTTAAGGGAGAAAACCACCTAGCAATGCTTTGGCAGTATCTGAGAAAGGGGGAAGATAAAGTCAGAATCTATGAGAATTGGATCTTGGATTGACCTAAGGCAAATATTTTAAGAGGGATTGAGGGGAAATTTTGGATCTGGGATAGTATTGGGTAAAAATTATCACATAACAGTCCAGAAGTGGTGGAAATAATAAAGTGGTGATTTTGAGGAGAGGGATTAAAAAATTTTTAGGTTATAAATGTCTGTTGATGTTTTCCACTAAAGAGCTGTTTGGTCTTTTGAGAAATTCCTGTAATGAATAGTCAAAGCATTTTCCTGAATAGTAAAATCATGCTAATGAAGACAGAGGAATAGCACAAACTCATATTAATGCGGACGGTAAGGCATGGCTTTGATTCCCAGCATCTAGGCTGTGTGGGGGTAGAGGATTTTGACTTTTAGAAGCTCAGGCCAAAACTCAGATGTGCAGGAAATGTTCTTTTTCTTTTTCTCTAAGTCAGCTTATTTGCTATTTTGGGCCCTGTAAGGTTTTTAATATCCATATTTATTAATATTATCTTGAATGCACACACAAGGTTTCTGGAGCAGAGAAGATTATCCATGAACTCTGAGAAATAAAGAAAGATTTATTTTCCCACAGGCTCTGATTATGCTGGAAAATCATCTCAGCCCATTAGGGTTCATCACACCACTTTTTCCCTCTTGAGTCAGATTCAACTTGTAGCCCCAGCCTCCAAGTCCTTCTGTTTCCCCAGAGGTCTACTCAGGGAACATAGTTCAAGGCTCCTCTATATAGGGAAATACCTCAGACACCTCTGCTCTCATCTCTTTCCCTCTTTGCTTTAGCTGCCCCAACCCGGGGACTCTTAGAAGTTGGAGGAAGCCATTCCTGCCTCAAACCCCTAATTCTCACTCAGTCTGTGCACCTCTACTCCTCCATACCAGGGTTTCTCAACCTCAACATATTGATATTCTTGGCTAAATAATTTTTGTGGTGGGAGCTTGTTCTGTGGATTGTAAGAGATTTAGCAGCACCCTAAAAATACCCACTAGATACCCCCAAGTTGTGACAACTAAGAATTCCAAGTGTTCTCTGTGGCAAGAAAAATGGGCCCTGGTTGGGGACCATTACCCTAAAAGTTTAAATTTTGTGAAATAAAAACCAGGAGGAAACTTCCTGTGTATTTCCTTCTTGCTTGCCTCATTTCTTCTCTGAGGTACTGAACTTAGGATGGCCTCCCCAGACAAATGAGGGCAAGGCAAAAGAAAAGGAAATTTGGTGGTGGAAGAACATAGATGAATAATTCCTTATAGTATCCCTTCAGTTGACCACTCCATCTCAGTGCTGATTGAAGGTCACCTGGGGACTATTAAAAATGCAGAATCTCAGGCTCCACCTTGCTGAATTGGAAGTTGGGCACTGGACCCAGCAATCTGTATTTTAACAAGATCTCCAGATGATTCTTATGCCATGTAAAAATAAATGACCACCCAAATAAGACTAAGCAGAGGCTCTTCATTCAGAGCTTGCTATAGTAAGGGAGTCAGTCACCATCACTTATATTTGGCAGGGACTCAAAGGGTGGGAATGCTTTACTGACATGGGAAGCTAGACGAAGGCTATTAAAAGTGGAGCAGCCTATAGGATTGATTTGGGAGCATATTTCACTTTCTCTAGTTGATTCTGAGTTAGAAGTGGGGTCAAAAACTCATGAAGCTGGCATTTCTTGGCCAAGTCCCAACCGTTCTGGGCCATTTGCTACAGAGGTTATGGTTTGGCTTCTTGGGCTGGTTGCTGCAAGCATTAGTTAGAGGTTGTGTTGTGTTGGATTGGGTTGGGTTGGGTTAGGTTTCATTGTCATCTATACTCTGGCCATTGTCTGGTTGTATATTTCATCTCTCAGCTGCTAAAGCTTGAGAATCATTGCTGTTTTCAAAAGAGCTGACTGAGCCAGGTGCTGCAGATTTGAGGAAGATACCCTCAGGGAGCTGACAGTTTAGCACAGAAGGACACTAAAACTACCTGCCATGAAAATCACACTGATGCAGAGAGCCATAAAGGAAGCCAAAACAAGATTTCCTGAGAACGGAGAGGAGTGAATAATTCCCTCTGACAGGGAGCTCAGGGAAGGTTTCCAGATGGTGCAGCATGTGTGTTGAACCTTGAAGGATTAGTGGAATTTGAAAACAAAAAAAGAGAAATAAGATAAACCTACTACTTCTGGGGAGGAAAAAGGTTTGTAATCAAAAAAAGAGTTTACAGGGCTCAAAAATAAACATTGGTCTCTCTAGGCTGGAGGGAAGGGAATGGTCATACAATTCATGCCGCAGCCCACTTACTCCTCATCACTGTATCTGTCTCTTTGTACCAGAAAGGACAAAAGATCAGAACCAGGTACATATTGATACATGTTTAGAAGCAAACAGCTCTTGCCTTCTGGCAAGGGGCATCTCTACCAGTGGCAGCCCTTAAAGACTAAAGACGCTCAAATAGTAGCATACACACATGCAGGATGAAACCTGGGGAAGCACCAAGTCCTGGAAATGGAAAGAAGATGAGACTGTCATATGAATAACCTGTGCAGAGTGTAGAGAAGGAACAAAGAGAAGGGATCAGAGGGGCAGGGATGGAAAAGGAGATGTAAAACCAGAAAGACTGAATGAAGAAGGGAGAGCCAAAGGAGGAGGAGCCTCCCTGGAGAGCTCATCCTGTGGACGGGAGGGAGAAGGCAGCAAGGTCTTTAAGGGGAAAGAAAAGGGAAATCGATTATTTTATAGCCCTGGGATTACAGAAAAAGAAGAATGGCATGCAATCATGTCTCCAGTGCTATCTCCCCTCATATGTAAAAAAGTCCTAATGTTCATGCCCTATTTACCCCCAACCTCATCCATAGCACAGAAGTGGGGACTCCATGGGTAAGTCACAGAGTATAAGAGGAGGAGAAGAACAGCAGGAGCAGTCAGCACAGGGACCTGCCGACTGCTTTCTTCCCAGAGAACAAGGTGAATGTATCTGCCTTTCTCTGCCCTTCTCTTCTCCAGAGCCAATAGTTCCTCCACCTTTCCGCCCTTTCATTTCTGGATGTTCAACTTTTATCTTTACAATATGAGGAAAGCAAAGGAGGATAAAACAAATCTTCCAAGCTCTCCTGTCCCCTAAGGTACATCTTAAAAAACAGATGCCCTTTGACTACAATCAAAGTTCAAATATGGACTTTTCCTCAAATCCACATTTTTCCTTTCTTACCAGAAAACATTCTGATTCCAATTAATTTTCCCAGTGGATATCTTGAAACAACGAGCCAGTGCACCTGGGTCAATCAGGCGCTATCACTGAGAAATCCAGCACTTGGCTAAAGGATAAATTTGGTACAGTTAGTCTTTCTATGAGGGAAAGCCAAGGAAGAAAATTGCTAATTGATGGCAGCTATTATGTGCCAAGCACTGGGATAAATACCTTTATATGAATGCATACTTAATTTGAAAAATCACCATGGGAAGTCAGCACTGTGATCCATGATTGACAGCTAAAGCACTGAAGCTAAGTCTTAGTTCACAAACTAGCCACCTCATTAGAAAGCAGTGGAACTGAAGCCTGAACTCTGCTAGGCTGAATCCTAATCTTTTGCTCCCTTTGCCTTCATGGCAACATATCTCTGCCCACGTAAGTGTGTTCATCCTTCACAATGACTCCCTGACCCCTCATATGAAACCTTGCTCTTTAGGAAGGATTCATCGCCAGTCATTTTAACTTAGTATATTTTCCCACGTACCTATGTTCCAGAGAACACAGATAGCATGAACTATGGATTTCATGGGCAATTAAATATGGAAAACACCAGGTTAAACAAATGTAAGCAGATTACTTACTTCTTAGATCCTTGATTATGGATACGTACATTGCGAAATAAGAAGCTCAAATAGCAGTAGGATGAAGTGAGATAATGGGAAGGTACATCACAGTGCTCCAAAAGGGAAAATTGTAAGACAATACAATGTGGTGTTTAAGCTCTCAGTCTCTGGGACCAGACTTCTTAGGTTCAAATCCCAGATCTATCACTTATCACATCAGATCTAGACTTTTGGGCAAGTTACTTAACCTCTCTATGCCTTGAAGAAATGGAGATAGTAAAAGACTTTACCACTTTCATAAGTATGTCATAAAGATTAAATGAAGTGATACAGACAAAGTACCTTTAGAATACAGTGTGTGTGACAGCCATGAAAATGCACCTCTCAGATCTCCTGCTGCAAAGAGCAAAGTCAACTGACAGCCCCAGCTGCCTCACCACTCTGAGTCCACCAGTGTGTTTGTGTTGAGGCCACATTTTCACGGGCATTGCACAGTATGGGCACTAATACAAGCCTATCCCTAAGGGACTCCTCTAATAGGTGTCTTCAGCTCCAGGACCCCTTATCCTGGCTGAAACGTTCTTAGCATGCAATGTAATCTAAATTTCTTCCTACTCAATCCCCCTCCTTTTCTGTCTCCACTTGATTCTTCCCCTGTATGCTTCAGATGTTTCCCCAATAAATCTCTTAGGTGTCTAATCTTATTTTAGCATTTGCTTCCTAGAAGACCCAAACTGACATGGCTAACTACAGTCAGGCACAGCCCACAAAGTTAGTTGCCCATGGAGTCCCTTACTCAAAAGCATTTCATGATGCTTTTGAAATGCACTTGAGGAAATGAGTGAATATATCTGTTGTTAAGTTTACCTGTAGGGAGAGCCATTTTTTAAGCATTTGTTACAAGGAAGTGAAGGTGAGAGCAGAAGGATCTTCGGGTTAATCTAAAATCAAATTACATACCAACTACCCAACTTAACACATATGACTGGGAGTATTTATCATAATAAATAGAATTGACTAGTTTTTGGGAACATAAAATAATCTGAAATTCTCTTCCTGCCATAGGACTCTGTGAATTTGAAACAGCTCCATGAGAACCCAAATTGCCTTACTGAGGCTAGGAATAAAATGAGGGGCAGGGAGTATATAGATTGTATGATACCAGTTCTCCGTCATCCAGTCATTTATTGACTCTTTTACTCATTTAATTAATATTGAGCTCTCACTATGCACTGGTTCCATTCCTAGGGGCTAAGGATGAAGTGATACAAGAGTCAGATGCAGACATAACTTCAACAAAATGTGATAAAGGCTGTAAGACAGAATCAAGTGCTATAGGGACACAAAGGAGAGAAAGCCTCACTCTGCCTAACACCGAGAGGGAGTCTTTCAGGAAGTTAAACGGTAAATGGAATTCCAAGAAAAACATTGTATACAATAAACTGGAAGTGTGAAGGAAACAGCACAGAGTTGGCAGAAAGCAGATGCTGATTATAACATCCAGAATCAAAGTTCATAGTGGGAGGATATTGTAAAGATAGGCAGAGGTCAATGGGCTCCCTATGGCACACTGAGGATAGTGTACTTCCCCATGCAGAAGGTAGAAAGTCACATGGTTCTGCTTGGAACTGAGCCCCTTACTAGACAGAGGAGTGCTGGAAACCTTCCTTAATTGGGTTGGGCCAAAATTGGTAGTTGTAGGGCCCTATCAGCTGATGACGTGGATGTAATAAAGCAGGAATGGAGCACATGAGAATTTGCACAGGAATACATGTGCATTATTATTTTAGCCCCAGAAGAAAATAAGCCTATTCTATTGAAAATCATCAGTATACAATTGCTTTGAAGCACTTACAAGTAATAGAAATGCCCCTTTTTTGTTATTACAACAAAATAAATACCAACAAAATATGAGTCAGAAAGAGTTGATATTTCAGAGAGGCCTCTGAATTTTCTTCCTAGCAAGTGCCAGGGTAAACTGTATTCAACCAAAAGAAAAGTTCTAATTCTGAAAAAAAAAAAAAAAAAAAGTTTCAGGTTCTCAGTAACATCTGACTGTTCTTTGTGCCCTCATTTTATTCTGTGCTCAAATTTTTTGAATTCCTATTTTAAAAACCCATGCATATTTTATGAATTGAGCCTAAATGTCCCATCATCACAAATTCCTAAGACTCTTTCTGCTCAGGAGCTGATCATTAGTGAATTCATTTTGTATTCCAGTGGTTGTCAAAGGCCATTCTGGAGGTGTTACATTGGATTTTGACATTAATTGATGAACACTTAAGCTCATCATAACTCTGCTGGGATTCAGAACAGCAGAAATTAGAAAGATGAATTTCAGGAGATGAAACCATCGAAAAGAAATGTAACTTCAGAGTCATTACTGTTGAATGCTTGGAGTTCCGTGACATCCATACAGAATGCAGTAAGGGCTCTTGCTGTAGTCAAGTATAGTGCCCTGGTGGGAAAAGAGGGTTATTCTGCATGTGTCAAGTAGAACTGGACAAAATTAGCAATCCACCTTCACAGCCGTATGTCCTGGGCACACAGGAGAACTAGATTTACCTTATTCTGTTAACTGGTTAAAGATGAACATCTCCAAAATGAGAAAAATCTATTTAGATTAAAATCAAAAAGAGCTCCTCTTTCTATTGCTACCAAAGGATTTATAGAAATGGAAAATGTCACTCTTAGGCCAGCAGACAGAAATCAGGGCCTTGGAATCCCATCAGCTTTGACAGTAAGTATTAAATAAAGATACTGAGCTAAGAAGAAAATAGAGCAGTTTTCTTTGGCAACAGTAGGTACTTGCTCAGCTATGCTATTTGAATAACTCATTGGGAGCTTGGTAAGGTTCAAGGTATTAGAGAGCTTTCTGAAAACTGGAAAAGATGGTGAAATGATTATTAGATAGGTTGAAAATCAATACATATATAAAATCCACAACAGCCGTCTTAACTTCAGTCCAAACTTCTCTGGGGTCACATTCTTGAACTCAAAAAGCCAATCAACAAGTATGTTGACTTTTCTTTCCTTCTATTTACTCTTCAAAACTCCACAAGGGAATTTATTTTGCTTTGTTTTTTCATTTGTACTGTAACCTACAGGGTTTCAACTGGTCAGAAAAAGAGACTATATATCAAAAGGTATGAAGGAACATAGAGGGTTTTGTGAAGAACTTATCTCAGTGAAAGCAAGGAAGTAATTAGCTTTTTGGAAACATTGAATTCATTAATATGATTAATAACAACACCTCCACTGGGTCTGGCACAGTGCTAGCCTCTATAAACTTTCATTTCTCACAATTTGTGTGTAAGGAAAGGATACGATTGTCTCTAATTTACAAATAAATAACCTGCAGCTTGGAAAGGTTCATTGAATTTTCAAAGTTATTTAGCTGGTAAGCTTTGTACCGAGGTTTCAATTCCAGGAACTTTAACCCAAGTGCCCAGTGAACCATTTTATCTCGCAACCTCTGACTCAGTTGACTTATTTATCAGGGCTGTGGGGTGAGCTCTTCCAGCTGAAGGCAGAAAATAATTGTTCTCACTAAGGCCAATGTTCCATGCAGCCAAGTGACTGACTGAGGTCATGTATTTAAGGTGTAATAGCAAGTCTGAGGATGAATTCATATTCTTATAGATTACAGTGGCATCACTGATGATCATTAAATTGATTCAGTCATAGAATTTTCAGAGCCTTTTTGTGAGTATTGCATTCAATCTTCCCCCCAGAAACCATGTATAAATTTGGAAGCCAAACGAGTAGATTATATTTTCTCGAATCTAGCATGCACTTTATGTTCTTATGAGTTTATTGCCTGTTTTGTATTTCTTAAACATTTTTTTCTGGTAACAAAAGCAATATAAGCTAATACAAAGTATCAGATTGTCAAATCAGACACACAAGGAATCAGAGATCTTAACCAGTTTCAAGTCTTACCAATAACTTCAAGAATTCAGGGAACCACAAGGCACAGACAGCATGGAAAAGTTGCCCACACTGCACCCCAGGTATTTCTTGCCACATTAAGACATGCTCTGGTTGAGATTAAATATACAAGGTCTTTATGTGGGGGATGCAGGTAGCAATTATACAAAAGGGAGCTAATTTAGTCAGGAAATATCCCTATTTTATACTTTTAAACTACACAGTTTATCTGACACTTTCTAGTGAGCCATGCCCCGGAAACCCATAAATTCCAGGTTTACTTACTACATATAAGCAAGTCTAGACACACCAGGTACCTCTTGCTAAAAAGTATGTAGTAGATAAATAATCTATCACTATTAAATACCACTGATCTGTATGCCAGACAGTCTATCATTAGCATATTTACAAAGGTACTTGACCAAGTCATCCCTCTTTCTTTCCCCAGGCTTTCCTCCAAAAAGTAAAAGAAAAAATGCACAGTTGCTGCTGACCCTTTCCTTTCCAAATAGCATACTCATTAGGGACATGTTTGAAAGTATAGAAAAAAGTGGGCGAAGGATACGAAAGACACTTCTCAAAAGAAGACATTTATGCGGCCAACAAACATGAAAAAAAGCTGATCATCACTGGTCATTAGAGAAATGCAAATCAAAACCACAATGAGATACCATCTCAAACCAGTCAGAATGGTGATTATTAAAACATCAGGAACAAATAGATGCTGGCAAGGCTGTGGAGAAATAGGAACGCTTTTACACTTGGTGGGAGTGTAAATTAGTCCAACCATTGTAGAAAACAGTATGGCAGTTCCTCAAGGATCTAGAACTAGAAATACCATTTGACCCAGCAGTCCCATCACTAGGTATATACCCAAAGGATTATAAATCATTCTACTATAAAAACACATGCACACGTATGTTTATTGCAGCACTATTTACAATAGCAAAAACTTGGAACCAACCCAAATGCCCATCAATGATAGACTGGATAAAGAAAATGTGGCACATATACACCATGGAATACTATGCAGCCATAAAAAAGAATGAGATTGTGTCCTTTGGAGGGACATGGATGAAGCTGGAAGCCATCATTCTCAGCAAACTAACACTGGAACAGAAAACCAAAGACCGCATGTTCTCACTCATAAGTGAGAGTTGAACAATGAGAACACATGGACACAGGGAGGGAAACATCACACACCAGGGTCTGTTGGGGGATCTGGGGCAGGGGGATGGAGAGAATTAGGACAAATATCTGATGCATGTGGGGCTTAAAACCTACATGATGGGTTGATAGGCACAGCAAACCACCATGGCACATGTATATCTATACAATAAACCTGCACATTCTGCACATGTATCCCGAACTTAAAGTAAAACAAAAAATTTTTTAAAAATGCAAGATGAAAATAGAAATCACCTGTAATTACTAAGCATCGCCAATCTAGAAATATTTACTATTAAAAATACTTTGTGGCCAGGCACGGTGGCCCATGCCTATAATTCCCCACGTTTTGGGAGGCTGAGGTGGGAGGATCCCTTGAACCCTGGAGTTCAAGACTAGTCTGGGCAACACAGTAAGACTCTATCTCTATTTAAAAATGCTCCAGTCTGGGGGACAGAGTGAGATCTTGCCTCAAATAATTAAGTAAATTTGTTAATGCTTTTCTCTTGCTCACCTGTAGAAAAAAAATGATAATAATAATTAAAGTTTTTTAACCAAAAATAAGTAAAAATACTTTGTGTTTTACTCTAATCATTTTTCTATGCAGATTATGTCTATGAAATTAGTTACTGAGAATCATATGCTGGTGGCTTTTTCCCCCCAGAAAATTTGCAACCTATGCTACACTCCCAATGAGCAATTCAAATAGCAGAATTAAGCTTTTTCTCTACACATCTTAATGCTAGATTTTAAAGCGTTTGTTTTCATTTTATTAATCAGATAGGAACATATGCCAACCTGGATCTTTGAGTGGCTGCAATTAGTAGAGCTCTCTCATTGCTCCACATTGGCTGTATTACATGAATAAGAAGTAAACTCTTGTGTTAAGCTCTTGCTATTTTGTGGTTGTTACTTTAACAAAAGTTAGTCTATCCCTACTGATTGATAGATACATTTGCAAATATTTTTCCAGGTTTTCTTCTTTAATTTAAATATAGCTAATATGTTTTATTGCTGCATGTAATTTTTATAATGGCAAATATCTCAAGTTTTGAAAATTGTCAATTCCTTCTTTGCTTTTATGCACTGAAAGTTTTTTACTGCAGAGAGATAAGATAATTCTCCTATGTTTCCTTCTGGTTCTTTTATGGTTTTGGTTTTTGCATTTAATTATTTTCTAAACAGCATTTAGAAAATATATGTTTTCTAATCATGGTACTACCATTTTCCATATTCAAAGCAAAAAAAACTTGAAAAATATAATAATAAACAAATGATATAGAGACAAAATCTTTTATTATGCCATCACCCAAAGATAACCAGTCCTAAACATTTGTTTATATGTATTGTCCGTAAATTATTTTCCTATACAGAGACATACATTTAAGTGAATAAATGGGATGATGCTTTATGTAATATTTTGAAACTCATTTTTCAGTTACATAAAACATTATATTTTATAAAATAAATAAAAATAGTAGAATAATTTATTTTCTTTTGGATATACACCTAGTAATGGGATTAGTGGGTTGAATGATAGTTCTCTTTTAAGTTCTTTGAGAAATCTCCGAACTGCTTTCTACAGTGGCTGAAATAATATCCATTCCCATCAACAGTGTATAAACATTCCCTTTTCTCTGCAGCCTTGCCAGTATCTGTTTGTTTAACTTTTTGATAACAGCCATTATGACTGGTATGAGATGATATCTCACTGTGCTTTTGATTTGCAATTCTCTGTTGACTAGTGATGTGGAACATTTTTTTCATATGTTTTGTGGCAACTTTTATGTCTCCTTTTGAGAACTCTCTGTTCATGTCTTTTGCCCATTTTCAGTAGAGTTGTTTTTTGCCTTGTTCAATTGTTTAAGTTCCTAATAGATCTTGGATATTAGTCCTTTGCTGTAGTCCCTTGCTGGATGCATACTTGGAAAATATTTTCTCTCATTCTGTAGGTTGTCTGTTTATTCTGTTGATAGATCCTTTTGAGTGCAGAAGCGCTGTAGTTTAATTAGGTTCCACTTGTCAATTTCTGTTTCTGTTGCAATTACATTTTTTTTTTTTTTTTTTTTTTGAGATGGAGTCTCGCTCTGTTGCCCAGGCTGGAGTGCAGTGGCACGATCTCGGCTCACTGAAAGCTCCGCCTCCCGGGTTCACGCCATTTTCCTGCCTCAGCCTCCCAAGTAGCTGGGACTACAGGTACCTGCCACCACGCCCAGCAAATTTTTTTGTATTTTTAGTAGAGATGGGATTTCACCATGTTAGCCAGGATAGTCTCGATGCAATTACTTTTAAGGGCTTAGTCAAAAATTCTTTTCCAAGTCTGACGTCCAGGGTGATGTTTCCTAGGTTTTCTTCTAAGATTCTTGTAGTTTGAGGTCTTACACTTAAATCTTTACTCCATCTTGAGTTAATTTTTGTATATGGTGAAAAATAGGGATCCAGTTTCATTCTCCCTCATATCACTAGCCAGTTATTCCAGCATGGTTTTTTTGAATAGGGAGTCCTCTCCCCATTACTTATTTTTGTTGACTTTGTCAACAATCAAATGATTCATTTCTGGGTTCTTTATTCTGTTCCGTTGGTCTGTGTATCTGTTTTTATTCCAATACCATGCTGTTTTGGTTACTGTAGCCTTATAGTATAGTTTAAAGTCAGGTAATGTGATGCCTCTGGCTTTGTTCTTTTTGCTTAGAATTGCTGTGTATATTCAAGCTCTTTTTTGGTTCCATATGAATTTTAGAATCATTTTTTCTAATTTTGTGAAAAATTACATTGGTAGCTTAATAGGAATAACACTGAATCTGTAAATTGCTTTAGCCAGTATGGACATCTTAATGATATTGATTCTTCCAATCCATGAGCGTTAAATATTTTTCCATTTGTTTGTGTTATATATTATTTCTTTCAGTGGTGTTTTGTAGTTCTTGTCGTAGAGATATTTCACCTCCTGGTTAGGTGGATTCCTAGGGTTTTTTTGTGGGTGTGACTATTGTAAATGGAATTGCATTATTGATTTGACTCTGAGCTGGAATGTTATTGGTGTATAGAAATGCTACTGATTTTTGTACATTGATTTTGTATCCTGAAGCTTTACTGAAGTCATTTATGAGTTCCAGGAGGCATTTGGTGGAATATTTAAGGTATTCTGGGTATAGAATCATATCATTAACGAAGAGAGATAGTTTAATTTCTTCTTTTCCTGTTGAATGCCTTTTATTTCTTTCTCTTGCCTGATTGCTGTGGCTGGGACTTCTAGCACTATGTTGAATAGGAGTGGTGTGAGTGGGCATGCTAGTCTTATTCCATTTCTCAAAGATAATCCTTCTAGTTTTTGCTCATTCAGCATGATGTTAGCTATGAATTTGTCATAGATGGCTTTTATTACTTAAAGGTATGTTTCTTCAATGCCTACCAACAACTTCAAATCAGAATGGTTCTTCTTTCTTTATGAATGCATTAGACCTTTTTTAAGTATATCAACTCTTTGTCTATCATATATGTTGCAGGTAGCTTTCTCATTTTATCCTTCTCCTTTTTGTTTTACTTACACTTTTACCATGCAGAAATATTTATATAGTCTAATTCATCCCTCCTTTTATGGTTCATTTATTTTGTTCTATTCCCAGAAAGATTTTCTTTCCAACATTACATAAATAACTATCATACCTGAGCTCTTCTGATTTCTCCCCTTGCCTAAGGGAGAAGAAAAGCATCATGACAAACAATTTCAGTTTCCTCTAGCCTCTCCTAATGTCTGAAAAGCATCTTATACATTAGTCTTACCCTCCTCTTTCTAGGACCCCTACCCCTAATAATAAACAATGATGTTTCTGTGCCATAAAGGAACCAAAACTAAAATAAAGTATCTAAGTAGGCAACTCATGTTATAATTATAAAATTTAGAATCACGGTTGGAGTGGAGAAGATCCACCATTCTTTTGGTTCACTGAAAAATATGAAGCTAACTTTGTCTAATCCTACATCAGGAAGATATAGGGGATTTACCTTTTGTGCTATCCTGAGGATTTTGGTGTTCAGGGTCCTACCATAAATTTCTAGGGAGGTTTATAAATGCCTTAGGCTATTAAACAGGTTCAATACAGGGTAGGTTGGATGGGGTGCTAAGCAAGTATTGGACCACAGATTAGCATCAATCCTATCAAATGATCAGCAGATCAACTGATGCCCTGGTTGTGGTTGATTAACGGTCCTCACTAGATAGCAACAAGAACACAACTGAATCCTGGTATTGGCCATCAATGGTTTATTGTTCCTTTGAAGGCTCATCAAAGTCTCCAGATCTTATAATCTTCTGTCTTTGTATTCCTACTCATCTTCCCTTTACCTACCTGAGGCATCTTTTGCCTACACCGCATGTAGAAAAAGTAGAGAGTTAAATACTTTTTAATCTGAAGTAAATGACCCATAGCTCACTGTCTGGATTGAAAGGAATAGAAGGGATGCCTTCAAAAGTGCAGTTGAAGAATGCAATGGCCACAAAGGGAATAAAAGCCAATCATGAAATATCAGTCAGAGTTCTTCATTTCAAAACACAAAAAACAACTGGCTAATTTAAGTAGAAAATTAATTGATTAAAAGGATAGAGCATGTTCATTCTCTTGATTTAATTATTCTTCGTTGTATTCTTGGATTATAACATCACTTTGTACCGCATAAATATATATATAACTCTAATTTGTCAATTTATAATAAAAATACATTTTTTAAATTTTTTTATAAAAAAAGATATGAGATAGCTTATAGAATTATCAGGAGGCCCAGAAAAACTAGGTTTAAGAAACTCTACCAGCTTTTGTATGTTTATACAAAATTATGTGACAAAAATGGTCCTTTGCAGACATCATTGTTATTACTGCCAAGCTCCAGACACTGTGACAAATCAACATCACCAGCTCTGGGCCCTGGACACTGCCTTCCACAACACAGCCACAGCTATCATGAAAACCAGACTTTCCTACAAGTGCCACCACCATAAGAGAATGTGCCTTCCGGTCTTCTTTTGCATCATGAGACCCCAGTTCAGAGTCTGGGAGATAAGTATCTTTTTAATGAAGCTAAGGTCGTATGTCCCTACCGTGGGTGCAAGGGTTTCTGGGAAAGCTAGAAGCCATGCTTTTCAGCGGGTTGACTCTACCTACCACTGAGATTCACAAGGTGGAGAATTCCCCAATATAGGAACAAGTCTGGACATGAGTCACAAAAACATAATGACAAATGCCTTCTGAATTAATATTTTAAAATACTATTCTGACTCAATCATTTAAAACCATATATATATGTCTTTTTATCTCAATGATTTATATATTTTGAATTCAATTGCTTGCTGCTTTCATAGATTTTTTATAAAGTGGAGGTATTCATTACAATTAGATTAAGCTGCAAGTAACAGAGAAACCAAAAATAACTGTGGTTTAACGGCTTTTTTTTTCAAGTTTAAGAAGTACAAACATAGTCCAAGACAGGAATGACATTTCATGATGACAGAGACCCATACTCCTTCATTCTTGTTGCTCTGCTATGTATAACTTCCATTTCCAAGATACTTTGATGGCTTAATGTAGCTGCTAAATCTACAAACATTGTGTTCACATTTTATTCAGCCATAAGAAGAAAAGAAAAAAGAGAGGCATATTCTATCTCTCTAAGGACATTTCCAAGAAGTCGAGCATACCACTTACATCAGTTTACATCCCATTGGGCAGAACTTAGCTACTTAGACAAGTGGCCAATCTAGCTGCAAAGGAAGTTTAGAAGTAGAATCTTTATTCCAACAGGTCACGTGTCCAGCTGAAAACTGAGGTTCTCCTTCTATGGAAAATGGAGGAAATGGATATAAGGGAAAAACTACCAGTCTTTGCCATGCTAAAATACCTTTATAACTGAGAATGTGGAATTATAAAAGTTAAGTTACCTATCCAAGGTGTGGTGGCAGGCAAACGCTCTAATCTCCTAAGAACTAGATTTGTTTGACCTCCTTGATTATTACTGCAAACTTTTTGGGCATGGCCTACCTAAACTTCAAGCACCAGAGTATATGTCACTCTCTCCATGGCACCTTCCCTAATTAAATGAGCCTACCTGGGCTCTATAAACTGTATAGTACTCACTGTTTCTCTTACTGCTGTGGTAGAAGAATTCTAAAATGGTCCCCAATATCCCTGCCCCTTGTTGTACCTGCTCTGTAGAATTATCTCTACAGGGAATGAGAGGGACCTATTAATATGATAATCACCTTCATGATTGTTGTATTATATAAAACTTTATCTTAGCAGAAGAGAGAGAGAGATGATCCTGGTGTCTTGAAGAAATGAGGTGTCACGTTGTGAGAGGGCTGTGTGGCAAGGAACTGGGAGTGACCTCTAGTATCTGAGAGTAGTCCCACCATTGAGAGCTAGCAAGAAGGAGAACTGTAATCCTACAACTGCAAGCACTGAATTCTGTCAACAGCCATAAGAGTTTGGAAAAGAACCTCAAGCTCCATAAAGGAACGGAGCCCAACTGACACATTGACTTGAAGCCTTGTGAGACCCTAAACAGAGAAACTAGCTAAACCATGCTCAGACTTCTGACCCATGGAAACTGTGAGGTAATAAATGGGTATTGTTTTTAGCAACTAAGGTGTAGTAATTTGTTATGCAGCAATAGAAAATTAATACCACTACAGTACTACTTTGTATTATTAAGACAAAGAAAAGTGGGGAGATGGAAATAGCAATGAAGTCTTATTTTGCTGCAGGTATAATGCTAAGGGCTCTACATACACTATTGTATTTAATATCTAATCAACTAGCATATTGGAGGAAAATAGGGCTCAGATAAGTTAATGCAATTTGGCCAAAGTATAAAGCTAGAAGACAGCAGAATTGACCAACTGGACCAAGAACTGGACCACCCATTTCTAGTACTTTTCTAATAATTGCTTAAATAATTTTTTTAAAAAAGCAGTAAACTTACAAGCAGTATACTCTAAGCTTTGTTAGGAAGTTACTTCTATTACTAAAATGTTTGAGTACTTAACAGTATTTATTTATAATTACTAAATTATATGTTTATTTATAAATTAGAAATGTTCTTACTTGAATGAGCATCTGATTTTGTTTGTGGGTTTCTTACTTTGTTTAGCCATTAGCTTGTTTAAAGGAAGAAGAAGAGGGTGAGGGGAGGAGGAGGAAGTGAGAGATGGAAGAATGGAAGGAAAGGTAGTTGTGATCCAAGAGTTGAGGGTCATTGAGGAGGAGGAGCATAAAGAAGGAGGGGATTATGGGACAGAGGACTACATTTGAAAGCTAAAACAGCACAACAAATTTAAGCATTTCTTAAGTGTTTTCTATACTATATTTTATGGACCAAATGCAACATAGTATCTTCAGGAGAATTTCTACAAACTTTCCTGGTAACTGTTGTGAGAACATTGAAAGTCAAATGTGAGCTGTTACAGCTTATCTTCAACTGATCCTTTCTCTATTGTTTAGACTAAATCTTAAGTAGTGCTATTACAAGAGCTCCTGGTCATTGTAATAAAAATTGTAGTGCCCTTCCACAGTTGGATTTTATAGTATGGTGATTAAACTTTTTGAGGTGCTGGTATTCTGGTTTCTATCCTCCTGATTGATTTCATTCTCTCTTTTGTCTTGTTTTTGATTTATTTCAGAAACATTATTATGACTTGTGTTCATCATTTCAGAAGGCCTCATTTGTGTAAATTTTCAGTCTCCCAATCTTGTTCCCGTAACATATCTTATGTCTAATTTGTTTCAGATATTTCAATAGCAGATGACAGTCTGGCTCAGACTAATTACAGCTGTTAATGAAAGATAATGATATAGTGGTAATAAAAATACCACATCTCTTTTCATATTTTGGAATTTACTGTAAGCTCCTCTGAAGCTCAAAGAGGATCATGTTTTCATTGCTCATCCCTGAGACTAAAAGAAATGTCAGAAATCGCATTTCAGTACACAATTAATATTTCTTTGCCCAGCTGGCTGTGTGGGCTTTCAGATTGCAAATCTAATCTGCTTTGCAAGATTTTCTACCTAATTCTTGGCTTTATCCCCAGATTAAATACTGAATGCTGTTTTAGCTGCTAACTTCTTTGGACAGGCCATGAGTACTGCAAAATAGAGGCAACATTTTTTTTTTCTTAGCAGTCACTTCTCAAGTTACAGAAATAACTGATATAGTTTGCACTAAATCCGCTAGGAAAATACATCAATTAATCTCCTGCTGTTTGTATATCTTTTAAGGGTTCAGGGATGAGTAAAGTGAATAAATAATAAAGGGATTGACAGCTGCTTATAAGAAGAGACTAAAAAAGATTGGGAATACTTTTATATTTGTTTGTAATTTAAAAATGCAGAGGTAGACAAGATAATATAATTAAAACAGCTAAAATCAGAAACTCTGCAAATAAGTGGCCAAGAGTTGTACAAGAAATTTTAGAATATCATCATATTCTGATCTGAGATAACTGAAGAAGAATGGGGGTAATTGATAATATCAGATTAATACTTGTCAAAGCACAGTACAAAATGGACTTAATATTGACTTAGCATTTTTAGATGATATGTAAATGTGTAAAAAGTGGAAGCTACCAAAAGTTTAAAATAGTCTCTTGTTATGGTTTCTTATGAGAAATAAAGACTGAGAAATTAGAACTGAACTTAGAAAACTAAAGTTGGATGTTTACCAAGAGTGTGGATAAGCAAGACCCAGCTCGCTTTGCCACAGACTGCTTTGAAAGATAAAAGCAAACACCCTAAGACACTAAGTGTAACAATTGCTAAAAACCCTGCTCTATGCTCCCATGTCAATTAAAGTGACTTCAACTGGCCTGCTTTACCTAATCCCAAATTGTTAAGTCCCATCCCCAAACCACTCAAGCTCTAAACCTAATTACAATCCTAGGCTCATAAAAACCCAAAGTTTTTTTCAAGATACCATTAAGGCTTTACTCTTAGCAGCTCTCTCCCTTGTTGAGCAATAACATGAACCAGGTTGTTTGAGACAGGCTTTCTTAGTGCTCTTTAAGCAGTCTAACAGCACTTAATCAGCTTTCGTTCTTTTTGTTTTATTTTTCTTTTTTTGTATTCTTGTTGAGTGTCTTTCATTGAGGATTAAAATAAAATCAATACAACATCAGCTTACCGTTGCACAAACTATTCCCCTCATCTACTAAACACTCCAGCTACAGTCCTAGCGAGCAGCTGAATGTTCACCCTATGTGTCTTGTTCATCCTTTGTTCTGCGCCTTTGCTTCAAGCATCTGCCCAGGGCTGTGAAGCCATGGTTCCTATACAACATGTGCAAGCCACTCAAAATTTTCATCACCCTCCTTCTTAATGTCAGAGCCTTGCAAAGTTTTTCTTCTTTCACTCATAGTGTCCCGTCATGCTAAAAATTAAAAAAAAAATTGTATAAATACTGTGAAAAAGTATAAGACAAGTTCTAGTTTAATGCAGACTTCATTTATCAATACCCCCATTTGGACAATTATACTTGTGGAGTGGAGAATAAACCGATGTGTGTTTGTGTGTGTATATATATATATATATCTTATGAATCCAGGTCACATGTGCACAGGCTCAAAAAAGTACTACCAAACACACGCAAAAACACAAGGACAATTTCAAAATGACTCAGAGCCTTGTGTCTTGAAAACCAGAAAGAGATCTCGATACCTAATCTACAGAAATGCTAACTTAAATCTTTACTTCCTTCATAAGTCACAGCTGCTACTGGGGCTCTGTCTGAAGCTTCTTCTACCTTTAGCCCATCTGATGTATCAGCCTTCTTCCTCTTCTCTTCTCTCAATACAGTCCTTTTTTATGTTAAGTGTTTAATGTGCATCAGCATCACCTGGCGAGCCTGTTAAAACACAGATTGGTGGCTTCATGCCAGAGTTTCTGATTCTGGAGGTCTCTGATGGCACACAAAAATTTTCATTTCTAGCATGTGCTCAGGTGATACTGATGGTTCAGGGATCACTCTTTGAGTACCACTGATGTAGGTCATCTTAGTCTCTCTGGTTGAGTTCCTTTTTCCCTCCTGTATCTATAATTCTATCTTCCACTTTCCATTCTCCCAACTCTCTGCCAGAAAAATACCAAAAATACAAATCTTAAAGATATTTGTCAACTTGGGCTGCCATAACAAAATACCATAAACTGCAGAGCTTAAACCCCAGAAATTTACTTCTCACAGATCTGGAGGCTGGGAAGCCCAAAATCAAGGTGCCAGCCTAATCAGTTCCCCAGTGAGGGCTTTCTTCTAGGCTTGAAGATGGCCACCTTCTCACTGTGTCCTCACATGGAAGAGAGACAGAAAGAGTTTGGGCCTCTCTTTCTCTTCTTACAAGAGCACTGATCCCATCATCAGGGTCCTACCCTTATAACCTCATCTAATCCTAATTATCTTCCAAAGACTCCATCTCCAAATACCATCATATTGAGGGCTAGAGCCTCAACAAATTCATTTGTGGGAGCAGGAGTGTTCTGTCCATATGAATAATTAACTCTCCTGAGATGGCAAAGACTGAATTCCTCTTCACGGGCAGATAAATAAGGTGAAAATTCCTTAGTCTTGTTAATAATGATTGCACTTTAACTTATATAAAATATACAACACCATGGGTGAATCTCCAAAATAAAAAAGAGGAAAGTCAAACACAAAAGATTATATATTATATGATTCCATTTACATGAAGTGCTAGAAATAACAAAAATATAGTGCCAGAAAACAGACTTAATGGTTGCCTGACACTGGTGGCCTAAGGAGAAAATTGACTACAAAGGGGTGCAAGGAAACTTTTTAGAATGATAGAAATATTCTAAGACTTGGTTTTGCTGGTGGTCACCTAGATATATGCAATTGCCAAAATACATTAAATTGTATACTTAAAATGAGTGAATTTTATCATATGTAAATTATGCCTCAGTAAATAAGGGAAACATATACATACTTTATATGTATATTATATATTAATATATATTACTTTATATATATAAAATGTTGAAATGTCTCCAAAAACAAAAAAGATTTCATTTAAATTAAGCTGATGTGACAACCAAAATTCTCTGTGGAAAAATAAATAAATAAACTGATAGATTATCTTCTGATTTTAAAGGAATTTTCTTGTTTTGTTTTGTATTTTATCTTTCATCTCATGTCTAAAGTGTGCCGGCCCAGGTTACAGGCTACATCACACACAATCAGTACCTCAATCAATGAAATAAGTGTGGCTCACTCTCCTCTTCCTGGGTGGGGTTCAAAGGATGTCTAAAGAATTGCATTTGTGAACTAAAGAATGCTACGTTGCTTTAGTTAAACGCAACTTACCTGATGAAGAAAGTACAATATAAGTTCAACAAAGGAAATGGTTTTGTTTAGGGCAGAATCTTCACTAATCTCTTACTGTGGCAATGCTTGGTGTGGTCTCTTCTTCTCCATCTCCCAGAGGAATAATTACACAAGTTCTGCTTTCTGCTCACCTGCCTCCTCATGTCAGATTTGGCATCTCTATTGCAAGATAATTGCTGCTTGGAATATTCAATTAGCTTTTAATTAAATATTGCTCATTAATATAACTGCAAGACAATAAAACATATGTCATTTGATTAGCCAAAAATTCAAATATAAATTACGTTCATTTTTATGCCAACATGCACATTACCTAATGAGACATTTTTCACCCTGCTATAAAAAGATTGTGTGTGATCTTATTTTCTTTTAGAGATTTTTTTAATGCGTGCAAGAAAAGTTTTTAAATTATATGTGGCAACTCATATTCTATTTCTTATCTCTACATTAACTATTTAGAACAGAAAGTTACGTACAGTTAAGTACAATGAAACTTCTTTGTAATAGCAGGTGTTTGGATATTAACTTAACACTCAGTTTTATATGTCATTTTATGTATAAAAATTTGTTGTTTATAGTGATCATATATATATTAGAACACAGATAGCATTTTATTTAACAACATATTTTGTCTGGTTATAAAAGTAATATATAGTTATATAAGAAGCCTTTTAAATTATAGAAAGGTAACCTATTAATACATTGATGTATTTTGTTCCTGTTCTGTTTTTAAAAACTAAAATTATAGCATATATTATAATATGTAATCTGGCTTGTTTAAGATTGTATTGTGATCACGTATCATGTCACTTTTTTAAAATTTAAAAATCTGAAAAGCTATGTGATATTTCATTATATAAACTGATTATAATTTTTAGACATCAGGGTTTGTTTTTCCCAATTTTTCACTATTATAGGTAAAAGTAAGGAAAATATATTTATTCATAAGTCTTGGCCATACCTCTGGTCAGGACTGATTCCTGAAAATAGAATTACTGGATTAGAAGAATTAAGGGAATACTTGTATTCTCAGCTTCTCATGTTTTTACAGGGTAGAGAGCAGCCTGGTGCTAACACTTCTAGGCCCTGTACAACCCCTGAAACTGATCCTCCCATAAGAAGCCAGGGTGATTAATATGGTTAGAGAATTGGAGAGAGTTGATACCTCTGGTCTCCTGTGATTTCTGTGAAGAACATCCCATGCTTTGACCTCTTGGCTTACTTAGCTTTTGATGTAAGACCACTGGGGCAAGGTGGTACCCACTAATAGCAACACCCCAGTGAGGAGTGACTGCTCTTTAAAGTTTCTCAACCTGTAAGTGGGTTGAGGTGGGGATGGGTATTAGGAGGTCAGAATTATCAGGCCCCAATATCCAACAATGGGAGAAGGGGGAAAGGCCCCATCAAGTTCTCCAAGCAGCTTTATTTGATAATCATGTACTTTAGAACACTTTGCACTCCTTCACTTAGTTTGGGCTCTGCTTCATCTGCAAGGAGCCAGGTAGGAAATAATTGCAATGAGTAGGATTCAGGTAGCAAACTTTTCACTTAATCTCCAACAAATGATATAATACAAGAGCTCAGAAGAGATAGAACAGTAAATTCACACTTTGAAATACTCCTTCTACTGCAAATACATAGCAGTAACAGTAAAAAATGTGGAAAAAAACAAACAATAACAAAATTTTTTAAACTGTGCTAAAAAAGAAATAAACAGTTTCATAAACCTGATATGGAAAAGAAATGAAAAATGGGAGCTGCGCTCTGGGTCAAGGGCAAAGAGGAGTAATTCGGAGTCTGGTTCCTGTGGAATTATGGAGAATAATAATGATCCACTAGGCTGAAAACGAAATCAGAGAAAGACCTACTGACTAAGTCAGGGTTTGGTAAAGATGTTCAATTCATGAAAACAGGGTTAAGAAAATGACTACTGACTCTACTTAAGACTGCAGATTATAGGAGCCATGAAAGGCCAAAACACAGAGATAATAGGATATTTCAAATGACATGAAAATTATATAATGCTAAGAAAGATGTTCAACAAACAACAATATGAGCTTGAATTCACTTCAATTGAATTTTACTGTATAGCATAATCAGACAAAGGCTTTAAAATAAACATGTTAGTAGGCCCTGAAATGACAAAAATGAAGGAAATATAGCCTTAGAAAGGACAATTATAAAATAAAAGTGGAAAATTTGTAAAGGACAGATGAAAATGAAAATAAAGAGGTCTTGAAAAATGAAAATATGATAATCAAAATTCAAAACAAGTCAATGAATAAGAAAAACCCTAGATAGGACATAGTAGAAGAGAGAATTCATGAATCAGAAGGTAGTTAGGATTTGTCAAAGCACAGTAGCAAAAACAGAAAAATGAATTATACTTAAGTGTAATATATGTACACACAAGCACATATATACATGTACACAAATGCATATGACAGAGCAATAAGAGACAAGGATAAAAATTAATAAATGACAGCATATGTATAATAGGACTCTCCCTGACTACAAGGAAGAATAGAGCCACAAGTTAGTGGCTGAAATTTTTTTAGAATTGAAGGAAGCATATGTCCTTAGAATACACTTGAACTCCAACTACTGAGCAGGATAATAAAAATAAGTACATACTAAGCTATATCAGAGTGAAATTATACAGTGTCAGGGAAAGAAGAGAAAATCTTAAAAGCTATCAGAGAGGGAAAAAAAAAACATTATTTAGAAGAACCATTGAGGTCAGATGCAGTGGCTCACACCTGTAATCCTAGCACTTTGGAAGACCAAGGTGGGTGGATCACTTGAGGTCAGGAGTGCGAGACCAGCCTAGACAACATGGTGAAACCCTGTCTCTACAAAAAAAAAAAAAAAAAAAAATACAGCCAGCCATGGTGGCTGGCGCCTGTAGTCCTAGCTACTCAGGTGGCCGAGGCACTAGAATCACCTGAACCCGGGAGATAGAGGTTGCAGTGAGCCAAGATCGTGCCACCCCACTCAAGCCTGGGTGACAGAGCAAGACTCCATCTCAAAAAACGAAAGAAAAAAAAAATTGAGATTAACAGACAGCAGATTTCTTTCTTATATAAGAAATTTCAGAAGATAATGGTGTAAAATCTTGAAAGCACTGAGGGGTAATAACTTTGTTTTGCCTTTTGTTATTATTGTTTGTCTTGTTTTGTTCTTCACAGTCTCTCCAACATCAAAATTTTGGAACATCCTAGATTTTAATCCTTAAATGTCTTTTCTTTTTCTCTTCTCACTCCCTCATGGGCTCATCCCGTCTCATAGTTTTACATGACATCTATATGTTGATGAATTCTATTTGTTACCCTTTGCTACACAACAAACCTCCCTAAAATATGGTAACTTAAAACAACTATTTATTGTTACCTCTCACTGCTCTGAGGGTTGACAGGCTCAGCTGGGCAGATGTGGTTTGCGGCCCCTCATATGGTTACAGTCAGCAGTAGCTGAGGCTGTAGGCATAGGGAGGCTTATTCATTTACAAGTTTGGTGCCTGGGTTTGGATGACTAGTATAGTTAGAGGCCAGTTAGGCATCTCTACCTCCATGGAGACTTTCACTCCATCATAGCATGATAGTCTCAGAAAAGGAGATATTCTTTCATGGTGGCTGATTCCCAGAGTAAATATTCAAGAGCGCCAGGCAAAAGTTGCAAGGTTCTTATCACCTAATGTTGAAAGTCTTAGAACATACTTTTGCCACATTCTATAGGTTAAGCAAGTTGTTAAAGCTTAGAATCTATTTTCTTTCCTTTTCTTTTTTTTCTTTTTTTTGAGATGGAGTCTGGCTCCATCACCCAGGCTGGAGTGCAATGGCGCGATCTCGGCTCACTGCAACCTCTGCCTCCTGGGTCCAAGTAATTCTCCTGCCTCAGCCTCCCAAGTCACTGGGATTACAGGCACCCGCCACTATGCCTGACAATTTTTTTGTATTTTTAGTAGAGACAGGGTTTCACCATGATGGCCAAGCTGTTCTTAAACCCCTGACCTCTGGTGATCCGCCCACCTCAGCCTCCCAAAATACTGGGATTACAGGCGTGAGCCACCGCGCCCACCTAGAATCTATTTTCAACACAGTTGCTAGAGTGATTATTTTAAAAACTATATTGAATCATGTTACTTCGTTACTCAAAACTCTCCAGTGGGCTTCCTTCTCATTCAGAACAAAAACCAAAGTTCTTAACACTGAATGACATGAGCTTACATAAACTGACTTTTGTTCTTCTGTAACTTCATCTCAAACAATTCTTCCCCATCCCCCTTTCCAACCTTCATCTCATTCATGGCACAATACCCTCCTTGATATTCCTTGAAAATATCAGATATCCGATGCTCTCTCACCTCAAGGCTTTGTACTTGTATCTTCTACTCAGACAACTTTTCTACCAAGTATTTGTAGAGCTTGATCCCTCAGAGCTTTGCTCAAACATCATCCCCACAGTGAATCTTTATTTGCAAATCTGCTCAACACTCCATATTTTGTTATCCCGTCCTCCACTTTATATTCTTGCCATAAACGTTATGACTGTCAGAAATACTATGGATTTTATTTATTTATTTATCCAATCATTCATTTACTCATTTATTGACTGTCTCTGTCAATTAGACTGTAAGTTCCACAGACAAGGATTTTTTTAATTTTGATCTTTTTAATTGATAAATAATAATTGTACAGATTCATGGGTTACATAGTGATGTTTACATATGTATAATACATAGTGATCAGATCAGGGTAATTAGTATATACATCTTCTCAAACATTTATCATTTCTTTGTGTGGGGAACATTCAATATTCTCCTTCTAGCTATCTGAAGCTATATAATATATTGTTGTTAATTCTACTCATCCTACAGTGGTAGAGAACACTAGAACTTATTTATCCTACGTAGCTATAATTTTGTGTCCTTTAACAAATCTCTACTTATCCCTCCCTTCTCTCTACCCTTGCCAGCCTCTAGTATCCTCTGTTTTACTTTTTACTCATATGAATAAACTTTTCTCAGCTTCCACATATGAGTGAGAATATGTGGTGTTTAACTTTTTGTTCCTGACTTATTTCACTTAACATAATGTCCTCCACTTCCATCCATGTTACTACAAATGACAAGATTTTATCTTTTTGTGGCTAAATGGTATTCCATTATGTATATATTGCATTTTCTTTACTCAGTCATCTGTTGTTGGACACCTAGGTTGATTCCATATCTTGGCTATTGTGAACAGTGTTGCAATAAACATGGGGGTGCAGATGTATCTTTGATATACTTATTTCCTTTCCTTTGGATAAATGCTCAGTTGTGGGATTGCTGGGTCATGTGATAATTTTAGTTGCAGTTTTTTTAGGAACCTCCATACTGTTATTCATAGTGACTGTATGGGTTTACATTCCCACCAACAGTAAGAGTTCCCTTTTCTTCACATTTTCACTAGCATTTACTATTTTTTTGTCTTTTTGGTAGTAGCCTTTCTAACTGAGGTGAGATGATACCTCATGGTGCATCTGAGTTGCATTTTCCCAGTAATGAGCGTTGTTGAGCATTTTTTCATGTTTGTTTTCCATTTTTGTGACTTCTTTTCACAAATGTTTGTATGTTTGTTCAGACTTGCCCATTTTCCAATCAGATTTTTTTTTTTGCTGTCAAGATGTTTGAGTTCCTTATATATGCTGTATATTAGTCCCCTGCAGTATGAGTAGTTTGAAAATAGTTTCTTTCATTCTGTAGGTTGTCTTTTCACTCTGTTGATTGTTTCCTTTGTTGTGCAGAAGCTTATAGTTTGATATAATCTCATTTGTTTATTTTTGCTTTATTGCCTGTGCTTTTGAGGTGTTATTCATAAAATCTTCTCTCAGACCCATATCCTGAACCATTTTCACTATATTTGCTTCTAACAGTTTTATAGTTTCATGTCTTCTATTTAGAGTTTTGATCCATTCTGAATTGATCTTTGTATAGGGTGTGATGTGGGGGTCTACTTTCATTCTTCTGCATATGGATATCCACTTTTCCCAGCACCAACTATTGAAGAGATTGTTTTTTCCCCAATTAGTGTCCTTCGCACCTTTGTCAAAAATCAGGTGGTTGTAGATATGTGGATTAGTTTCTGGGTTTGCTATTCTGTTCCATTGATCCATGTGTCTCTTTTTGTGACAGTACCATATTGTTTTGATTACTATAGCTTTGTAGTATATTTTGAGATCTGGTAGTGTGATGCTTCCAGCTATTTTTGCTCAGAATTGCTTTGGCTATTTGGGGTCTTTTGGGGTTCCATAGAAATTTCAGGATTTTTTCCATTTCTATGAAGAATGCAATTGATGATTTCATAGGAATTGCATTGGATCTGTAGATTGCTTTGAGTAGTATTGTAAATTTAGCAATATTTACTTTTCTGATCCATGAACATGGGATGTCTTTTCATTTGTTTGTATTGTCTTCATTTTCTTTCATCAGTGTTTGTAGAGATCTTTCACATGGTTAAGTTTATTACTAGGTATTTTTTGTTGCTATTATAAATGGGATTGCCTTCTTGATTTCTTTTTCGGCTAGCTTGTTTTTGGTGTATAGAAATACTACTGATTTTTGTTTATTACCTTTGTATCCTGCAACTTGACTCAATTAGTTTTACAGTTCTAAGAGTTTTTGGTAGAATCCTTACGTTTTTCTCTATATAATGTCATGTCATTTACAAACAGGAGCAATTTGACTTCCTCCTTTCCATTCTGGATGTCCTTTATTTCTTTCTTTTGCCTCATTGCTCTAGCTATGACTTCTGGTACTATGTTGAAAAGAGTGGTGAGAATAGTTTTGTTCTTGTTCATAGAGAAAAGGCATTCAGCTTTTCCCCATTTAGCAACATGTTAGCTGTGGGTTTGTCATACATGACATTTATCATATTGAGATACTTCTCTTCTGTACCTAATTTATTGAGGGTTTTTGTCATGGCACAATGTTAAATTTTATCTAATGCTTTGTCTGCATCTATTGAGATGATCACATATATTTGCTCTTTATTCTATTGATGTGATATATGACATTTATGGATTTGTGTATGTTGAAACGTTCTTGCATTCCTGAGATAAATCCTACTTCATCATGGTGTATTATCTGTTTGATGTTTTATTGGATTCAGTTTGCTAGCATTTTGTTGAGAATTCTTACGTCTATGTTCATGACGGATATTGGCCTGTAGTTTTCTTTTTTGTTGTCTCCTTGTCTGGTTTTGATGTGAGAGTTATGTTGGCCTTATGGAATTAGTTAGAAAGAATTTTCTCTGCTTTAACTTTTTGGAACAGTTTGAGAAGAATTGACATTAATTCTTCTTTAAAGGTTTGGTAGAACTCAGCTGTGAAGCCATCCAGTCCTGGACTTTTCTGTTTTGGGAGACATTTTTATTACTGATTCAATCTCATTACTTATTATTGATCTGTTCAGGCTTTCTATTTCTCCTTGGTTCAATCTTAGTAGGTTGTATGTATTCAGTAATTTATTTATTTCCTCTAGGTTTTCAAATTTATTGGCTTATGGTTATTCATAGCAGTCTCTAATGATCCTTTGTATATCTGTGGTATCCATTGTGATGTCTACTTTTTCATTTCTGATTTTATTTATTTTGGTCCCCTCTCTTTTTTTCTTAGTCTACCTGAAGGTTTGTCAATTTTGTTTATGTTTTCAAAAAACCAACTTTTTGTCTTATTCACCTTTTGTATTTTTTAGGGTCAATTTCATTTATTTCTGCTCCCATCTTTATTATTTATTTCTTTTTACTAATTTGGGGTTTGGTTTGTTCTTACTTTCCTCATTTTTGGGGTGCATGATTAAGTTGCTTATTTGAAATCTTCCCTGTTTTTTGATATAAGCATTTATTGTTATAAACTTACCTCAATACTATTTTTGCTGTGTCTCATAGGCTTTGAAACGTTGTGTTTCTATTTTCATTCATTTCAAGACATTTTACATTTTATTCTTAATTTTTGTCTTCACCCATTAGTCAGTCAGAAGCATGCTGTTTAATTTTCATGTATGTGTACAGTTTCAAATGTTCCTCTTGTTATCGCTTTCTAGTTTTATTCCATTTTGATAAGGTAAAACACTTTATATAATTTGATTTTTAAAAATTTGTTGAAACTTGTTTTGTGTCATAACATATGATCATCCTGGAAAATGTTCCATGTGCTGAGGAAAAAAAAAACTGTGTGTTTTGCAGTTGTTGGGTGAAATGTTCTGTAAATTTTTGTTAGGTCCATTTCATCTATGGCATAGTTTAAATTTGATATTTCTTTGCTGATCTGTCCAATGCTGAGAGTAGGATGTTGATATTCCCAACTATTATCATATTGGGGTCCATCTTTCCCTTTAGATCTAATAATATCTGCTGTATATATCTAGATGCTATGGTGTCGGGTGTGTGTGTGCATGTGTGTGTGTCTATATATATATATAGAGACACACAAACACATATGTACATAATTGTTATAGTCTCATGCTGAATGTATCCATTTATTTATTTATTTATTTATTTATTTATTTATTTATTGAGACAGAGTCTCACTCTCTCCAGGCTTGAGTACAGTGGCGTGATCTCAGCTCACTGCAACTGCAACCTGTCAGGTTCAAGCGATTCTCCCGCCTCAGCCTCCTGAGCAGCTGGGACCACAGGCACACGCCACCACACCCAGCTAATTCTTGTATTTTTAGTAGAGACGGGGTTTCACCATGCTGGTCAGAATGGTCTCGATCTCTTGATCTCATGGTCCACCCACCTCGGCCTCCCAAAGTGCTGGGACTACAGGCATGAGCCACTGTGCCCGACCCCCTTTATTATTATATAGTGTCCTTTTTGCCTCTTTTTACAGCTTTTAACCTGAAGTTTACTTTGTCTGATATACATATAGCTACTCCTGCCCAAGACCATGAACCCACCTCTTGCATCAGTGTGACCTGGGTGTGAGTTATGGAGTCAAAGGAGATCATTTTGGAGCTTGCTAGTGAATAAGTCTCACCAGAGCTGATGGTTTTATAAAAAGAAGTTTCCCTGCACAAGCTCTCTTCTCTTATCTGCCACCATGTTGAGACATGCCTTTCACCTTCTGCCATGATTGTGAGATTTGACTGCCCCGCTGGATTTCAGACTTGCATGTGACCTGTAATACCTTTATTTTGGCCAATTTTTTCCATTTGCAATGGTTTTATTTACCCAATGCCTGTACTCCTATTGTATCTAGGAAGTAACTAACTTGTTTTTGATTTTACAGGCTCATAGGCAGAAGGGACTTGCCTTGTCTCAGATGAGACTTTGGACTATGGACTTTTGAGTTAATTCGAAAATTACTTAAGACTTTGGGGGACTGATGGGAAGGCATGACTGGTTTTGAAATGTGAGGACATGAGATTTAGGAGGGGTCAGGGGTGGAATGATATGGTTTAGCTGTGTCCCCACCCAAATATCATCTTTAATTCCCACGGTTGTGGGAGGGACCCGGTGAGAGGTCATTGAATCATGGGGTGAGGTCTTTCCCATGCTGTTCTCTTGATAGTGAATAAGTCTCACAAGAGCTGATGGTTTTATAAAAAGAAGTTTCCCTGTACAAGCTCTCTTCTCTTATCTGCCACCATGTTGAGACATGACTTTCACCTTCTGCCATGATTGTGAGGCCTCCCCAGCCACATGGAACTGCAAGTCTGTTAAACCTCTTTCTTTTGTAAATTGCCAAGTCTCAGGTATGTCTTTATTTGCAATGTGAAAACAGGCTAATGCAGTCACCTCTTCCAATTTAATGGTGTAGGTTTCAACATACTCCACTGAACTGACACCCCAAGACCAATTTATTAGTATAATAAATTAGTATAAATAATTTGTATAAATGGGTCTTGGGGTGTCGGTTCAGTGGGGTGTGTTGGCCTTAGTTCTAGGTGGATGTAGTGTAGTCTCCATGAAGTTTCTTCAGCTGTAATTCACACTGGTAATGTGAGAGTTTCTCAGTGGGCTAGAATGAGAGAGTTTTTGGTGATGTTGATGTCACTTTGCCAGGGGTCAATGTATTAGTCAGTGTTCTCTAGAGGGACAGAACTAATAGAATATATGTATATATGAAAGGGAGTTTATCAAGAATTGACTCACACGATCACAAGGTAAAGTCACACAATAGGCCATCTGCAAGTTGAGGAGCAAAGAAGCCAGTGGTGGTTCAGTCCAAGTCCTAAAATCTCAAAACTTGGGAAGCCAACAGTGCAGCCTTCAGTCTGTGGCCAAAGACCCAAGAGCCCCTGGCAAACCACTGGTATAAGTTCAAGAGTCCAAAAGCTGAAGAACTTGGAGTCTGATGTTCGAGGGCAGGAAGCATCCAGCATGGGAGAAAGATGAAAGCCGGAAGACTCTGCAAATCTCCTCTTTCCAACTTCTTCCTGCTTTATTCTAGCCACACTGGCAGCTGATTAGATGGTGCCCAGATTGAGGGTTGGGTCTGAAGCCTCATCTCCCCTGCCCAAATCAGATCTGGCCAAATCAGATCAGAGGGTCGGTCTGCCTCTCCCAGTCCACTGACTCAAATGTTAATCTCCTTTGGCAACACCCTCACAGACACACCCAGGAACAATACTTTGCATCTTTCAATCCAATCAAGCTGACACTCAATATTAACCATCACAGTGGGCCCATGGAGCTATTTGTCAATCACACAGCTGCTTAGCTGGCCTGGGGGTGTGTCTTCTAGGGGTGGGCCCCTAGGATATTTCTCAGGACCAGGATGCAGGCTCTGGCTGTTCCACCAACCCGGGAGCATGTCTGCTGGAGGTGGCTGTTTTACAGGTCAGATGCAGGTACAAGCCTGCTAGGCTGGCTCAGGAGCATGCTCACTGAAGGTGACGTATAGGGCTTTTTATCAGGTCCCTTATACAGGTGGATGGCTGCTTACCTGGCCTGGGGCATGTCCACCAGGGTTGGCCCACAGGGCTATTTGTCAGGTTTTAGACGTGGGCTCCTGGCTGCTTTGCCTATCTTGGTGCATGCCTGCCAAGGGCAGCCTATGGGACTATTTCTCAGGCCTTTATTGAAACAAGCTATTGAACAAGCCAGGAGCATGTCCGCAGGGAAGTAAGGGCACTGCAGGGCTGCTTCTCAGATCCTGAGCATGGATGCATAGCCACTTCTCTGGCCCGGGGCCTTGCCAGCTCCTCAGAGGCTTGGGACATCTCCTGCTTGAGTGGGAGAACACACAGTGGTTTGGTCAGCTCAAATTCAGGTTTGCTCTGGGTAGGATTGCCAGGCTGTTCCTCAGGCTGGAGCTGCAGTAGTGGGAGTTGGTTTCCCTACTTTGCAGGACCGGGGTCACAGCTGATTCTGAGACCAGGCTTCACACAGCTGGGGTTGTGGCATTCAGCCACCTGTGTGGGTTTGGCATAATGATGATAAAGCCCTAATGCTGGAGAGGTGCAGTGGCTATTGGTCCTCACGCCTCACAGTAGGGTACACTCCAGAGGTGGCTTTGTCCTCAAGATGGAACCATGCTACAGCAGCTTGGTTTGCAGTGGGCGGGTGGGAGGTGGGAAGTATAGACTTTGTGCTCCTAGTGTAGGGCAATGCCCATCAGCTCTGCAAACTGGGCTCAAGGCTTATAAGGACTCTGGGATTCTTCTGTAACAAGAACTGTAGGTCTTTGTGGTGGCAATGGGAAATGGTGTGTATCTTCTGCTTACCTTCCCCCTGCAATGAAAAGTCCCTTCTGACTCAAAGCAGATCTGATTTGGGCAGGGGAGATGAGGCTGCAGAAACTGGGTGCCTCCACACTGTCCTTCTGGATTTCCAATTACTGCAGGCACATCTCCACTCTCCCACTGCACTCCAGAGCTCTCCCTTCAACACTCCAATCAAATCTTGGCTGTTTATTTACTGCCTTGGTCCTGTCTTGTGAGCAGGACAAACACCAGGCATCTCTGGTCAGCCACGTTGCTGACATCACTCTCAGGCAAGGATTTTTATCCATTTTCTTCCCTGATGTATTGTCACACCTAAAACAGTGCCTGGCATATTATAGGTACCTAATAAGCAATGGTGTGCCGATAAATGTTTAATGACGAGCTCCCATAAACAAAAGCAAAACAAAACCATGATTTATAGAATTTGCTGATCTCATGGTATATGTAGTCCTATCGCAACCAATTTCAACTGATAGGTCACTGAACATGGAATTGGTAAGCGATAAGCATAATTGGCTCTCATGACCCATTCCAAGTCAGCTACAGCTGTAATACTTGTTTAAAAAAATGAAAAAAAAGGAAGGAAGGAAAATACATCTATACTGAATTCAAAATGAAGGAAAATAAAGACTTTCTCTAAACAAAGATTTTAGGAGTTCACAATCCACAAACTGTCATTGAAGGAACCAATTAAGAATGCTTTAGTAAAAAGAAGAGTATAACTACAGAGATTGCATAGAATACAAAAACAATGGTGGTGCTGAAATTATAAAATGTATTAATAAATGTAATTATCAAATATATAAATTTTTGATAATAAATGTAATTTATTATCAATTTATAAATTTATTATAAATAAATAAATTTATAATAAAATTATAAATTTATAAATAAATTTGATGATAAATGTAATTATCAAATATATAAATGTCTAAAAATATAATTTTTATGTTTAAAAATGTGACACAAACTCTAGACAACAAAAAGAAGGGGTTCAATGATAAAGAGACTACTGATAGAGCCATTGTCTTGCTTAGGAGTTGGATAGAGATATTGAATAACTGTATGTCAGATGTTTAAGAATACCACTAATAGCCTAAAAAATACAATCTGTAGCTTCCAAATTTCCAGAGTGAAAAACCAGGGAGTGAATATGGAAATCTTCACATCCCAATATACGAGGGGAAACAGAGCAATGAAAAAGGATGATAAAAAGAAAACATAAAATAAAATGGTAGAAATAATTCACAATACATATAAACGGATTAAATGCTCATTTTAATTGGCCGAAGTATATTAATTTTTAATTCAACTTTAAATCCAAGACATATACCTAAATAAAGACAACACATAGAGGTTGAAAATAAATGAATGGAAAGCTATACCAGACTTGCAGGTTAAGAATGACAAACAGAACACATAAATTTACTTATGATTCATTTTGAAATCTCATTAAAATGGCAGCTAATGTTTTTAAGGCCTAAATCTATTTTTTAAAAAAAGACAATGGTAAAAGAAACGTTAGCTATAAAACATCGAAAGCTGTAAAGCAAGTGGATTCTTGGTAATTGACTTAGCAGGTAGTGAGGAAAGCAAGAAAGAACTATGATTTACATTGCAGACTCAAAAGGCTTAGGATTCGGTGGCACCAGGGATCTCTGGAATGGGGTAAAATAATAAAAATTATACTGCAAATAGACAGATTGTCTGAAAGTGTTTAAGAAGCAGTTCCCCAGATCCCCTCATAGGGTTGCTTTGAGGATTTTATGAGTAATATATGTAAAGCACACAGAGAAGTGCCTGGCACGAAGTAAGTGTTCTACATGTGTTTGCTATTATTACTCCATAGTGGGAAGTTAATAGATAATTCTATTAAAAGATGGAAAGGCAGCAATAGAAGCATACTATAGAGATGGAGGTTAATAATAAAAGAATTGTCTAAAAGAAGTTAAAGTTGTTTCATCTGGGGGAGAGGAACAGGGGTTACTAGTTTTTTATAACAAGCCTCATAAAGTAATAGCAAGTACTTGACTATTACCATGATAAAAAATTAAAACTTAAAAGGAAATAGGGAATAAAAGGCAGGGAAGCTGGTAGGCATAGTAGCTAATACTAACCAGAAGAAGGCTAGTATAGCAATTCTGTGCTGTTTTGACTCACAACATTTCTAACACCAAATGTGTCAGTTTTTTTTTCTTTTCACACCAACCAACCACTTCTACAGCTCTCCAGACACCAACTTCATGTCCCACAATTCAATGTAATTCTGATTCTAACTACCCAGAGTCAGTGCAGACATCTCAGGTTAAGGGCTCAGTCTCACAATACCGCCCGAATTTCAGATGTCCATCACAAGTCTGTCACCCATACTTCTGACCAACCAGTTCCCACGACTCCCTCCTCAGGTTTGAAAATTTGCTATAATAGCTCACAGAATTCAAGAAAGCACTTTACTTACTATTACTGGTTTATTATAAAGACTACAACTGAGGAACAGCCAAATGGAGATCTATTTGTGCCTACCATATTGTACAATGCAGAACTAATTCCTATTTTAGACAAAATATTTCATATAATAGAAGAAGAGGAAACGCTGTTCACATTATTGAATGAGGCTTTAAAATCCCTGATACCAAACCAGACAAGAATAGTGCAGGAAAAAAAACAATGTGTAGACCAATTTCACTCAAAACAAAAATGGAAACATTCTAAACAAAATACTACATGAAATTCATATGAAAAAGCTAAAGGTTAAGAATATCCAAGACAATTTGAAAACAAGATAAGAACTTGCTCCACCAGATATTAAGATTTATTTTAAAGATCTAGTAATGAGACTGTGTGACATTGGTCCAAAGATAGACAAATAGGCCAGAGAAACAATATGGAGAACATGACAGACATAGTATTGCAAAGCAGAAAGCAAGAGTGTCCTGTTCAAGGAATAATACACAGGTAGATTAAATTATTGTTAGTGATCTAGTTCTTGGGTTGGGTAATATTCATCATGTTATAAATAAACAAACAAAATTAAAAAAATAAAGAATGCCCCATTCAATCTATGGTGCTAGGACAACTGGATGTCCATAATTAAAAATAGCTGAATTAGACTCTGCCTTTAAACCCTACACAAAATATACTTCAAATGGTTTAAAGAACTAAATATGAGAAATAAAACTTTAAAAAGAAAATATGACTTTTTGGTAGGGTTTCTTAAGCAAAAATTTTAAATAAGATTCCAAAAAGCACAAAGCTGTTCACGTCAGGTAAACATTGATACATTTTACCAATTAAAATATAAAACTTCTGATATGGTTTGGCTGTGTCCCCATTCAAATCTCAACTTGAATTGTATCTCCTAGGATTCCCATGCATTGTGGGAGGGACCCTTGCTACCGTCATGTAGGAAGTGCCTTTTACCTCCCACCATGATGCTGAGGCCTCCCCAGCCGTGTGGAACTGGAAGTCCAATTAAACCTCTTTTTCTTCCCAGTCTCAGGTATGTATTTATCAGCAGCATGAAAACTGAATAATACTGTAAATTGGTACCAGTAGAGTGGGGCATTGCTGAAAAGATACCCAAAAATGTGAAAGCAACTTTGGAACTGTGTAACAAGCAGAGGTTGGAACAGTTTGGGGCGCTCAGAAGAAGATAGAAAAATCTGGGAAAGTTTGGAACTCCCTAAATACTTGTTGAATAGCTTTGCCCAAAATGCTCGTAGTGATATGGACAATAAGGTCCAGGCTGAGGTGGTCTCAGATGGAGATAAGGAGCTTGTTGGGAATTGGAGCAAAGGTGACTCTTGTTATGTTTTAGCAAAGAGACTGGCAGCATTTTGCCCTTGCCCTAGAGATTTGTGGAACTTCAAACTTGAGAAAGATGATTTAGAGTATCTGGCAGAAGAAATTTCTAAGCAGCAAAGCATTCGAGAAGTGACTTGGGTGCTGTTAACAGCATTCAGTTTTACAAGGGAAGCAGAGCATAAAAGTTTGGAAAATTTGTAGCCTGACTATGGGACAGAAAAGAAAAACCCATTTTCTGAGGAGAAATTCAAGCCAGCTGCAGAAATTTGCATAAGTAATGAGGAGCCTAATGTTAATCCCCAAGACCATGAAGAAAATATCTCCAGGCCATGTCAGAGACTTTCACGGCAGCCCCTCCCATCACAGGCACAGAAGCCCAGGAGTCCCTGTGCCGTGTGCAGCCTAGGATCTTGATGCCCTGTGTCCTAGCCACTCCAGCTGTGTCTGAAAGGGTCCAATGTACAGCTTGGGCCATGGCTCCAGAGGGTGGAAGCCCCAAGCCTTGGCATCTTCCACATGCCTGGATGCCCAGGCAAAAGTTTGCTGCAGGGGCAGGGCCTCATGGAGAACCTCTGCTACGGCAATGCAGAAGGGAAATGTGGGGTGGGAGCCCCCACACAGAGTCCCTACTGGGGCACTGCCTAGTGGAGCTGTGAGAAGAAGGCCACCGACCCCAGACCCCAGAATGGTAACTCCACCAACAGCTTGCACTGTGTGCCTGGGAAAGCCACAGACACTCAATGCCAGCCTATGAAAGCAGCCGGGAGGGAGGCTGTACCCTGCAAAGCCACAGGGGCGGGGCTGCCCAAGACCATGGGAACCCACCTCTTACAACAGCATCACCTGGATGTGAGACAGGGAGTCAAAGGAGATAATTTCAGAGCTTTAAAATTTGATTGCCCTGCTGGATTTTGAACTTGCATGAGCCTTGTAACCTCTTTGTTTTGGCCAATTTCTCCCATTTGGAATGGCTATTTTACCCAATACCTGTACCCCCATTGTATCTAGGAAGCAACCAACTTGCTTTTGATTTTATAGGCTCATAGGTGGAAGGGACTTGCCTTGTCTCAGACGAAACTTTGGACTGCGGACGTTTGGGTTAATGCTGAAATGAGTTAAGACTTTGGGGGACAGTTGGAAAGGCATGATTGGTTTTGAAACGTGAGGACATGAGATTTGGAGGGGCCAATGTTGGAATTATATGGTTTGGCTGTGCCCCCACTCAAATCTCAACTTGCATAATGTGTCTCAGAATTCCCATGTGTTGTGGGAGGGACCCAGGGGAGGTAATGGAATCATGGGGGCCAGTCTTTCCTGTTCTATTCTCGTGATAGTGAATAAGTCTCATGAGATCTGATGGGTTTATCAGGGGTTTCCACTTTTGCTTCCTCTTCATTTTTCTCTTGCCACCGCCATGTAGGAACTGCCTTTCGCCTCTCTCCATGATTCTAAGGCCTCCCCAGCCATGTGGAACTATAAGTCCACTTCAACCTCTTTTTCTTCCCAGTCTCGGATATGTTTTTATCAGCAGCATGAAAACGGACTAATACGACTTCCATAAAACAGAAAACAGCAAATAAAATATAATTCACAGGCTTGAGAAAAGCTATTTGTCATAATAAAGCTAACAAATGAATAGGTCTGAATACATAGGAATACCCAAAAATCAATTTTTAAAAAGATAGGAACATCCAACAGAAAAATGGACAAAGAATATGAGAGTAAAGTATTACACACCAAAAAAAGAAATGTAAATACTACTAAACATATGAGTAAATGTGCAGCTTTACCAATGATCAGACAAATACAAATGAAAACAATAACAACATAAGATTGGTAACATTTTAAAGTTTGATGATTCCAGGGATCAGTGAGAACATGGAGCAACAGGAACTCTCAAATGCTGCAGATGGGCATGTGAATTTGAACAACTACTTTGAAAGGCAATTTATTGGTATCTATAAAGTTGAAAAATGTGCAAGCCCCCTCAGGCATCAATTACATTTCTAGATAATTCATCTTAATAAACTCTTCTGGTTTATTATGCAGACCAATTTCATTCTCTCATTTTGTCCTATCTTTACCCTTCTAGAATAGGTCCAGAGGAGGCTTCAATTCCTGAACTCCAAAACACATCACGGTATATCATCGTGGTTTTCTTATACCAACTATAAAAACAGCTTACCCAAGATTATACTATTGCCCAACAGTAGTTGTTGAAGTTCATTGTGTTTAAAATAGCATTCTTCATTTCCAGCACAGATACAAATTCCATTGTAGTAAGAAAGTATTGTGAATAGAAATGATAAAAATGGATATTACCTTTGAGTCCTACTATATTTAGAATAAAATCCAAAACCCTTAACAGGACCTGTAAGATCACTGATATTCTCCCTGGCCTGCCTCTCCAGCATCACATCATTTCACTCTCCCCCAGCTCTCTTCAGTCCAGCCACAATGAGTATCACCTAACTTCTTGAACACACCATGCCTCTCCCACCAAAGGGCTCTTGCTGTTACCTCTGCCTGAAAGCTGTCTTCTCTACCTCTTTGTCTTGCTAATTCATGATCTATTTGCAGGTAGCATTTTTTGACAAATAATAAATATTTGATGAATATGTTTTGCCTGACGTAGACTGGCTAAATACGCAAATGATTTGTCTTATTTGCTGTTTGTCTTTAGGAGTTGAGTCCGGTACAATGTCCTTCAAAATCAGGCCACAGATGAGAAGCTGCATTCAATTCCAAGGGGATTGGCAATGTGGGAGGACAGATAGGGTGTTATCAGGATGCCAATGGGAATGGGTGCAGAATCAATAAAGTGTGGCACCTTTGAGGAAAATATTCATCACTCCCAAAGCATGACACGAGTAGGAATGTGAAAAGGGATGTTCTGTAAGGCAAAAACCATCTCAAGGATTTTGTCAAAGGACACAGCAGTTCTTTTGGTTTAGGGGTCTTTTCTTTTTTCTGCTGCAAATATCAGAAATGGTGTTTTTCAAACTTGATCTATAGAGCATAAAGCCAAGAGAACCCCTTTGGATCATTTGTGTGTGTGTGTGATATAGCTGTTCAGGTGATGTCACGGTGCAGTCAAAGTGCCTGAGCAAGGGAACTTATAAGGGACAGATTGTCTGCCACCTCTGAGACTAGCCCACCTAAGCATTTGGCCCTGACCAGTCTGGCAGCCCTTGGGCTCTGGTTCTCAGAACAGCACTGTTGTATGTGTCTCCAAGCTTCAAAATTCTCAGACTGGAGGGTTTTTCAGGGTTTCACTCTCTACTTGGCCCTGTAGTACTTTAGATTGCAGGATAGAACATGCCTGGCCAGCAGTTTAGGTGGACAGGTAAAGGAGAATAAGACATTCAAATAATATATTTCTAAAGCACTGTGAGGGTCCCGTCTCACCAGCTGGCTGCTCCAGGGTTAGATAGCCTGCATGTTTTGTTGTGGCATGCCAGGTCCTCTCAAGGCATGCTTCAGCCAGCCTAGGTGTCAATAGCAGCTGACTCCTCCTGAGATAACTGATCTCAAATGCAGCCAGTTTCTTGGAGACTTGGCACATGTATCTTGAGTCAAAAAGCTATATGGTGCCTGGATCCATCATCACTTAAACGTGAAGGCAAGAATCTTCCACCCAGAATTCCATGAAGCATCCCTTCCTGTGACCAGGACCCAGGATGAAGTACAACATTTGGGAGTGTTGAGTCTTGCAGCAGGATAAATGTCTATCCATAGATCCATAGGTAGACCTAGGAGGAAATGGTCTACCCACTAGAGTATATGCTCTGCCATCTGGTTTTGCAGCAATTAGGTGAATGGATGGATCAAGTGGCCCAGAACAGTAGCCACAGGAAGTTGTGAACATGGTATCAGATATGCCTCATTATTTGCAGTGAATATCTCTATTCAGGAATCTGCAAGGCCCCAGAAACTCTGGCTATCACTTCACCTGGTGAGCCTTGAAGCTGCCCATAGAGACTGCCAGTCACCCCAGCCCTGCCAGGGTCTGTGGATGGCACTTTGACCATCCATGCCAAGCCAGG
This sequence comes from Homo sapiens, assembly GCF_000001405.40. Taxonomy (NCBI): domain Eukaryota; kingdom Metazoa; phylum Chordata; class Mammalia; order Primates; family Hominidae; genus Homo; species Homo sapiens. The sequence goes on along the minus strand of NC_000002.12, from coordinate 75,730,329 downwards.
CCACCAAACATTGCTTGGCTAAGAATGGAGGTTCAGGTTGCTTTTAAGCAGCAGAAAAAAGCTGGAAGAGAGGTACTACTGACTTCGCCTTCTCTACCAAACAAGGAACTGCACTATGCTCAGCTCCCGTGTAAAATTGTATCCTGACATTTATAGGTGCAGTGGGGTTAAACGGATTTAGAAATGGAGCCACAACATCAATGGGCAAAATGGGAAATATGTTCTTACAAAACTGGCAAAGCCAAATCCAAAGTAGACAGTGCCCTCATGTGGAAGAAAAAATTTTTTTGCGAAAACAAATTTCCACTGTTTTCTGAGTGACTGTAGCTGAGTATTCTTTAGAAATACGCAAGAGGTAAGTTAACATTCTACCAATAAGAGCTAGCTGACAGGTAACAAATGATTAACTTTATCATATGAAATTTAAACTCAAGAAACTGTCTGGGGTTCAGCAAAACTAGACAACTTATTTTTAATACAAAGAAGTGTATTAGCCCATTTTTTTGCATTGCTATTAGGAAATTTATAAAGAAAAGAGGTTTAACCGGCTCATGGTTCTGCAGGCTATACAAGCATGGCTCCAGCTTCTGCTTTGCTTCTGGTATGGGCCTCAGAGAACTTACAACCATAGTGGAAGGTGAAGGGGAGCAGGAGTGTCACATGGCGAGAGAACAGGAGCGAAAAAGAAAAGGCAGAGGTCCCAGATCTCGTAAGAAATAACTGAGCAAGAACTCACTTATCATCATGGGGATGATGCTAAGCCATTCATGAGGGGATCCCCCCTGCCTGCCCCACCAAACCATGACACAATCGCCTTCCACTAGGCCCTGCCCGCAACATGGGGAATCACATTTCAACATGAGATTTGGAGGGAGCAAACATCCAAACCGTGTCAGGAAGTAAATATAACATCTAGTTAATAGGAAATGTGTTTTGTCTATCTGCCCCCACTCCCAACCACCCATGAAATAAAGATTTTTTTTTAAGGTTGTTTGAAGGAGTAGCTAATTAATAATCTTCCCCTGAGTACCCACTTATGTCCACTGGGCGGTAAGTCATAACCATTCCCCAGGGGACAGCAACATGGTTTCACAGGCTCGCTAGTGATTTTTTTTTTTTTTTTCTGGGAGAAGTGGTAACACCAATGGTATTTGAGTGCACTGGGCCCTGAGTCAGATCTTTGCTCAGTCCCCTGAACACAAAGCACCTGCAAACGGGATGAGAGAGCATTTCTGAAAAGGGAGGCAAAGCTGGGAGGAAGAGAGAGGAGGATCTGAACTTTCATAGAGCTGGAGTCTTGCTCTGGCCTCTAGCAGCTGTGCAGCCCAGGACATGTGGCAGGGTCCTGCTGGTTAGGTTAGAGTGATAGTATCTGTACCACTACCATGGAAAGTAGCAAGCCCTACAAATCAGGGCTTTTCTCCCGGAGAGCCAGCTGTTAAATGCTTACCAGCACACTACTGCTTCTGTGATTGACTTTCCCCCTTTTAAGCACTCTCACTCTCCTGTTCCTGCTACTTGCACTCTTCACCAGCCACACTTTCATTCCTTGCACCTGTCCTAACTGCCCTGTCTGGGAGCCCTCTCTGGGCCTCACTTCCTTTCATATCAAGTCTAGATTCCCTGTTCCGTCACGCTGCTCTGTTAATTGCACTCTTAACAAACTAGTGTCCCTATTTAAAAATTCCCTAACTATGAATCCATCAAATCTATGCCATTTTCTCCTACCTCATGGCATCGAAGCATTACTGAAGAATATCTCATAGCCCTGAGTGTTGGGGCCATTTAAATGTGTAGTATGCAGCCTCATAGTTTTTTCAGTGCTTCTTAGAAATCTATTTATTGTGCATGGCCAGCTTAGCTCTTTTGAAACTTATCCACTTTCCCAAAGTTAGTTATTTTCTACCACCCTTTCCCACACATATTCTCTACATGTAGCCTCACCTACTTTAAGAGAAAACATTAAAATGGAAGTAATAGCTCTCAATATATTAGTGGCCAGCCAAAAAAAGTATTTTTATCCACATCATAGTACTTAACTTTCTCTTATTTCAATTACAGTATTATTCTTGCTTCTTTCCTTCTTTCTTCAGAGTCCTTCAATTTCTTAATCTATAAAATATGAATAACAACACTGACCTCATGGGGTGTTTGTGAATACTAAATGAGTTATTATTTAATAAATTGAACACATATTTGTAATGCTTTTTAAAAATATCTTTATTGATACATAATTCACATACAATTTGCATAATTAATGTATATAGTTAAATGATTTTTAGTATATTCACAGAGTTGTACAACCATCATCACAATCTAAATTTAGAACATTTTTATCACCCCAAAAAGAAACCCTGTACCCATTAGCAGCCACTCCCCATTCTTCCCTCCCCAAAGCTCCTGGCAACCACAAATCAACTTTCTGCCTCTGTAGACTTACCTATTCTGAATATTTCATATAAATGAAATCATGCACTCTCTGTTCTTTTGTCACTGGCTTCCTTCCCTTAACATGATGTTTTCAAGATTCAACTTGCAAGGATTTTAGAACAGTCTTCGCACATCGGAGGTCTACTTTGAGTTTGCAGTTATTATTTCCTGGGCTATTCTTCCTTGAGGACTAAATTCCAACCTTTTCCATGCTTCTGGGGTTCCAGTATTTACTCTCTGCAGTATTTTTAACTCCTTTTTTTTTTACTTTCATCTCTGTCTTTGCATATAAACCCTCTGAAGCCTCTCCAATATCTAATTCTTTCCTATCTTTCTCTCCAGACAACATTAATTTAAAAGCTATCTACTGTTTCTACCACATTTTCCTATTAACTCTTGATAACTTATCTATCATCTAGTAGTAGAAATATAAGTTGAATGTTCCTTATCCAAAATGCATGGGACCAGAAGATTTTCAAATTTAGATTTTTTTCAGATTTTGGAATACTTGCACATACATAATGAAATATTTTGGGGATAGGATCCAAGTCTAAACATGAAATTTATTTATGTTTTATACACACAGTATACACATAGGCTGATGGTAACTTTACACAATATTTTAAATAATTTTGTGCATGAAACAAAGTTTTGTCTACATTTTTACTGTGCTCCATCACATGAAGTCACATGTGGAATTTCCCTTTTGTTGAATCATGTTGCCACTTTAAAGGTTTTAGATTTTGGATCATTTTGGATTTCAGGTATTTGGACTAGGGATGCTCAACATGTAGTAGTAGGGCTTTTTCTCTTAGAATTACCACTGACTCTCAGAGATAGACCCTCAAAATGGCCATGTTTGTTGCATTAAGTTGAACCATATAAAATGGCCAATATGCAACGATTTTTTGCTTACAACAATGGCAATTTTACATCACTCAATCTGTCAATTCCCTCCAGTCAAAGACTACTACAAATGCACCTGCAGTTGTGGAACTTGGGTTTACTACTCCTGGGCTCTCTCAGTAGGAAGGTTTTAGGATTTGAGTTTGTCTTAGATGATTGACGGTGGGTGTTAAGGATGTAGGAATTTGCTCCAAATTGGATGCTATCAGAAAACAGAAGCAATTATTTTTCTCAATCCCCTGCCAAAGGAAGATGATATTGTTGATATTCAGATTTTTACCATTGCTGAGATTTTGCTAATCAAGATCAGAAAGTTGTTGATATGGTTTGGATCTCTGTCTCCACCCAGATCTCATGTTGAATTGTAATCCCCAGTGTTGGAGGTGGGGCCTGATGGGAGGTGATTGGATCACGGGAGTGGATTTCCACCTTAGTACTGTCATGACAATAATGATTGAGTTCTCGTGAGATCTGGTCATTTAAAAGTGTGTGGCATCTCCCCCATCTCTCTCTTGCTCCTACTATGGCCATGTGAGCTGATCTGTGTGCTTCCCCTTCACCTGAGGGGTTTCAAGTTTCCTGAGGCCTCCCCAGAAGCCACCCAGATGCCACCATCATGCTTCCTATACAGCCTGCTGAACCATGAGCTAATTAAACCTCTTTTTAAATTACCCAATCTCAGGTATGTCTTTAAACAGTGCTGGAATGGACTAGTACAGTCGTTCAGAGAACAGAGTCCATATTGGATTAGGGTTAACTCCTCCTTCTGTCATAGGATGAATTGAATCATCTTACATGACAATGGCTATGCAGTCATATTTAGATGTCTGAATAGGATATATTGGCCAACTGCAAAAAAGTAATAACCTAAAAAATATGATTACTTATTCACCTTCACAATAAGTCTCAAAGACAGAAGCCTAGAATATAAAATAAGGGTGATGAAAATATATCCCAGAATTCACCTGGATCTGTTTTAGAGAGGTAGATGTTTATTTTAGCTTAGACATGGACTATTCTACTTGTCCTCTAACATATATAACCACATCAAGAAGTGATCTATTATAGTAAATTTTTCCTTGGATTGTTAAGAATAATTCAAAGGCTATGTAACTATTCATGATAACTTCAGTGAATAAATTTAAATTTAAATGGCTTTATCAGGCTTCTAAAGAAGAAGTTGTGTAATTTTTTTTTTTTAATTTTTTATTGATCATTCTTGGGTGTTTCTCGCAGAGGGGGATTTGGCAGGGTCATAGGACAATAGTGGAGGGAAGGTCAGCAGATAAACAAGTGAACAAAGGTCTCTGGTTTTCCTAGGCAGAGGACCCTGCGGCCCTCCGCCGTGTTTGTGTCCCTGGGTACTTGAGATTAGGGAGTGGTGATGACTCTTAACGAGCATGCTGCCTTCAAGCATCTGTTGAACAAAGCATATCTTGCACCGCCCTTAATCCATTTAACCCTGAGTGGACACAGCACATGTTTTAGAGAGCACAGGGTTGGGGGTAAGGTCACCGATCACCAGGATCCCAAGGCAGAAGAATTTTTCTTAGTACAGAACAAAATGAAAAGTCTCCCATGTCTACTTCTTTCTACACAGACACCGCAACCATCCGATTTCTCAATCTTTTCCCCACCTTTCCCCCCTTTCCATTCCACAAAACCGCCATTGTCATCATGGCCCGTTCTCAGTGAGCTGCTGGGTACCCCTCCCAGATGGGGTGGTGGCCGGGCAGAGGCGCTCCTCACACCCCAGACGGGGCGGTGGGACAGAGGCGCTCCCCACATCTCAGACGATGGGCGGCCGGGCAGAGACGCTCCTCACTTCCTAGATGGGATGGCGGCAGGGAAGAGGCACTCCTCACTTCCTAGATGGGATGGCGGCCGGGCAGAGACGCTCCTCACTTTCCAGACTGGGCAGCCAGGCAGAGGGGCTCCTCACATCCCAGACGATGGGCGGCCAGGCAGAGACACTCCTCACTTCCCAGACGGCGTGGCGGCCGGGCAGAGGCTGCAATCTCGGCACTTTGGGAGGCCAAGGCAGGTGGCTGGGAGGTGGAGGTTCACGCCACTGCACTCCAGCCTGGGCACCATTGAGCACTGAGTGAACGAGACTCCGTCTGCAATCCCGGCACCTCGGGAGGCTGAGGCTGGCGGATCACCCGCGGTTAGGAGCTGGAGACCAGCCCGGCCAACACAGCGAAACCCCGTCTCCACCAAAAAAATACGAAAACCAGTCTGGTGTGGCGGCGCGCACCTGCAATCGCAGGCACTCGGCAGGCTGAGGCAGGAGAATCAGGCAGGGAGGTTGCAGTCAGCCGAGATGGCAGCAGTACAGTCCAGCTTCGGCTCTGCATCAGAGGGAGACCGTGGAAAGAGAGGGAGAGGGAGACCGTGGGGAGAGGGAGAGGGAGAGGGAGAGGGAGAGGGAGAGGGAGATTGAGAAAGTTGTGTAATTTTTAAGTTTTTCTTGATTCAAAGACAAGTTTTTGGCATCCTTCTCCAAAAGTGTTTTTGTTTGTTTTTTTACTGTGGGAGTTATAGCTCATGTAGTATACATAAAGAGGGAGTTAATTTTTCCTACATGGAATTTTTCCAAATAGCCTGTATTTGCTGCTTTTTTAAATTTTTTTTTTTAATTCTGGGGTGCATGAGCAGGATGTGGAGGTTTGTAACATAGGTAGATGTGTGTCACAGTGGTTTGCTGCCCCTATCAACTCATCACCTAGGTATTAAGCCCAGCATGTGTTAGCTATTTTTCCTAATACTCTTCCTTCCCCCACCCCACCCCTGGACAGGCCCCAGTGTGTGTGGTTCCCCTCCCTGTCTCCATGTGATCTCATTTTTCTGCTCCCACTTATGAGTGAGAACATGTGGTGTTTGGTTTTCTGTTCTTGCCTTAGTTTACTAAAGGTAGTGGCTTCCAGCTTCATCCACGTCCCTGCAAATGACATGATCTCATTCCTTTTATGGCTGCCTAGTATTCCATGGTGTATATGTACCACATTTTATTTATCCAGTTTATCATTGATGGGCATTTATGTTGATTCCACGTCCTTGCTATTGTGAATAGTGTTGTAATGAACACTGACATACATGTATCTTTGTAATAAAATGATTTATATTCCATTGGCACCGGGTGCTGTGGCTCACGTCTGCAATTGAGGCGGGCAGATCACGAGGTCAAGAGTTTGAGACCAGCTGGCCAACATGGTGAAACTCCGTCTCTACTAAAAATACAAAAATTAGCTGCAAGTGGTGGCACATGCCTGTAATCCCAGTTACTCAGGAGGCTGAGGCAGGAGAATCACTTGAACCTGGGAGATGGAGGTTGCAGTGAGCCGAGATCGTGCCACTGCACTCCCACCTGAGTGACAGGGAATGTGTCAAAAAAAAGAAAAAGAATGATTTATATTCCTTTGGGTATATTCCGATATGAGGGCGGGGGCGTGGAGCCAAAGCGGGTGGAGCCAAGATAGCCGAATAGAGGCATCTCTGCTCTGCAGCTCCCACCGAGAAGGACGGAAACTGCCAGTGAACTCTGCATCTTCAATTGAGGCACCAAAGCTCTCTCACTGGGACTGACTAGGTGGCGGGCGTGACCCACGGAGAGCAAGCAAAAACAGGGTGGAACAAGACCCCACCTGGCAGCTGCAGGCAGCCAAGGGAGCTCCTTCCCCCTGCCAAGGGAGATGGTGAGGGACTGTGCTTCCCCTCCCTGAAAACCAGGCTTTCCCCACGGATCCTTGCCTCTTTTTGGAGGTTCCTGGGCATTCTTTTCAAGGAAACATGATCTGCTGGTACTTTTAAAATATCAAAAAATCTCTAACAATTATACTGCATATACAGGTTAAGTTAGTGTGTGGCAGGCAAGTATAAGCCTTGTGTTCACATAGGTAGTACTCTAGAAAGTACAGATTCTATTGAGAGTGTAAGTACAATTTAGAACAATAGAAGAAGGCTGATGTTTTGTCCCTCAAATTGGGCAGATTCCTTAGAAGAAGTTAAATATTTCCTGCAAAGCTGATTGGTGTGTCTGTGAAGAGAACAAACTGACTATTGTGAGAAGAATGGTATTAGTTCTCTTTTCTAAAAGGCTGTTTTGCTGATACAGCTGTAACAACTTTAGCAAAAATATTTTGCTAATGGGAGGCCAAAGTTTAATTTGTATAGGACTCAGTAAAGGTTGTCATTAATGATGGGAGGGAAATTTAAGCTATGGAAGGTCCTATAAATAATCTACTTTTTGAAGTGTTGGAAGGAATAGTTATTAAATTTTGTCAGCAAACAGTTAAATTCCTAGCCATAGCTATAATGTGAGAAAAACACATCAGGAAGTTTTGTTTTTTCTTAAATAGCCAAAGATTATGTAGAGTCAAAAGTAATAGAATTATGATAAGGAAGATCATATTGAAAATTCTTTTAATTAGTTCATAAAAGGTACAAAAATATAATAATGGTTTATATTAATAGTAAGGGAAAAGCAAATGGGTGATGAAGAATCAGAAATTAATCTTGTCTGTTGACTTGGGTAGAAGCTGCTTTTTCTGTAGTCATCAACATGTTCTGTCTCCTTGTGTGTAAACCATTTATTTCTCTAGTCAGAGGCTTCTGTACATAACAATCCTAAATTTAGGGTCTCTGAATGGAGTGGCCATACAATAATCACTAAAAAAAAATGTGTTGGTTGTTTTTTACGTTGGGATCAACACCTTGGAGTTTTACTGGTATATCAGTTGTTAACATTACCAGGTAAGACCTAGTCTATCAAAGTTCAAAGTCAATTTTTCCCTAATTCCTTCTTTAGAAGACTAAATATCCGGGTTTCTGATCATGGAGAGTCCACTTAGGAGGATGTTTTAGAAATACAGCTTGTTAGTGATAAAGCTGTAGGCATCATCTGAATCCCTGGTAATGGTCAGTCACACCTGCTTGTAATAGCTTAGAATCTAGGCTTGGAAATAATGCCCCAATGCATAAGGCAAATCTGTTTTTAACTCAGAGGGAGAAAACCTGTGGTTCCTAGAGAGAACTGATCTTATTTTCATATAAGCTAATTGTAATGATTTGGGACCTGGGTATTTGATGTTCCTTCAAGCTTTGATAGTTATAGTTTAGAACTGCATTCCCTGCATTCTTTTCATTTTTCCTGAAGCTTGTAGATCATAAGGTAATAGAGATTCTGAGTAAAATGTAAAGCTAGAATGGAATAGAGTGAGATTCAGCAGCACTTCTGCCCACTATGAAAACTAAGAAGTTGAGAGAGTCAGTTGGCAGAGAGATGAATGAAGCAGAGATGCAAGGACAAGAAATGGAAAAAGTCCAATTTCCAGTTTCAGTCCTACCCAAGATCTGCATTCTTAGTCAGAAGACACTCTGTATTCTTACAATAATTCATCCTTTTAAAAAAGTATTGTTATGTTTAAGTAGTTTGCATTGATTTATGTTATTTGCTCACATTGATCAAAGTTGGGATAGCATGATTATCAAATAGAATACTAACTGCCGTGATCCAAAATGCATCTAATATTTTTAAAGCACAAGTGCATATAAAACTTTTGAGAAATACTAACTGGCCATTATTACAGGATGCTATGAAGCACTTTATTATTTTGAAAATTGTTAGATAAAAGGAAAGGAATAAACATTTATCCTCTCTTTCCTACATAAATGATACCACTGAGTGACTCAATATTAGATGAGATAATTCTCTTTTAAAAAGTTTCCAGGGGCCAGCGCTGTGGCTCCCATCTGTAATCCTAGTGTTTTGGGAGCCTGAGGTGGGAGGATTGCTACAAAACAAGACTCAATTTCTACATAAAGAAAAAAAAAGAAATTTAGCGAGTCATGGTGGCATGCACCTGAAGCCCCAGCTACTTGGGAGGTTCAGGTAGAAGAAGAATTGCTTGAGCCCAGGAGCTCAAGGCTGCAGTGAGCTATGGTAACACTACTGCACTCCATCTGGGTGACAAAGTGAGACTCTGTCTCTAAAAAAATAAAAATAAAAAAGGAATGATAGAATGAGAATATCACCATTTTTCAAGCCCTAATGAATTATTAGATCTCGATATTAAGTGTTAGTGGCAGCTAACATCATATATAGATGCACACATAAAGAGACAACTAGATATTATGTGCATCTAGATGGAAGAAAATAACCCTTCCTATGAGGTATTCTTGCCATAAAAGTTGAACCTGAATCTGTGCAAGCCTCTGCTTAAAGAAAATATAGGAGACAGAGAAGCATGTTAGAAATGACATCATACGAATTACATCAGCCAAAATAAGACTGGAATAAGTCTTTAGCTTTTTTCTTTTTTTTTTTTTAACAGATGTATTGCAAGAATGCAAGTGGGGAAAGCAAGAGCAAGAGTGAAAAGATTATTATGGATAAAAAAAGCTTGAAAGATATACCAACTAATCCCAATTTGGGGGCCTTGTTTAGATCCTGATTCAAGCAAAAGGTAAAAAATTATATGATTATAAGATAATCAGAAATTTGAACACTAAGTATTTTATGATATTAAAGGTTATTGCTAGTTGTTTTTTAAGTGTGATAATTGTATTGTGATTACATTTTTTAAAATATTCTTATGTTTAAAAGATGCCTGAAATATTCATGGATGAAACATTATGTCTGTCATTTATTTCAAAATAATGTGTGAGGAGAGAAGTGGATGGGAGTACAGATAAAACAAATTGTTCATAGATGAAAATTGTCAAAGCTGAATGATGAAAGCTCATTAAACTGTTCTTTTTTTACTTAGTATATATGTTTTGAAGATTTCCATAATATAATTTTAACTAAACCAGATCATTTGGATATCTATATTAAAAAAGTAAAATTTGACTGACATCTCACTTCTTACCAAAAAAAATTGTAAGTATATTATATATTTATAACAGAGATTATCTTCTTATCCTGGGGTAGAGAAAAATTACTCAAATGGGACACATAAAGCACAAATGGTAAAGAAAGGTTAAATAGATTTTATTATATTAGCATTAAACATTTAAGAATTTCTCTTTACCAAAAACAATCATTAATAGAGTGAAAAAGCAAACCACAACTGGGAGAATATATTTGCAAAACAGCTATCAGTTAAATACAAAATACATACAGGAGAGCTATGCACCATTAAGAAAAAACAGACAACTCAATAGAAAAATGAGCAAGAGACTTGAACAGGCAATTCAGAAAAGAAGAACTCCAGATAGCCTAATATGTACAGTATATATACATATATATTTATGTATATATATGTTTTCATATACACATATACAGTATGTATACTGTATATATTTATGTATATGTGTATTCACATATATGTAATGAAAAAGGGTTTATCCTCATTAGTAATCAAGGAAATTCGTATTCAAAGAATAAGGACATACACCCAGATGGCTAAAACAAAGACAGCTGACAATACCAAGTGTTAGCAAGTATGAGGAGCCATGGAAACTTTAATACACTGCTGATGAGAATGTAAATTTAGGCAATTACTACTTTGGGAACTGATATTTTCCAGTGAAGTTGAAGATATGCTTACCCTATGACCTAATGATTCCATTCTTAGGTTTATACCCAACTGAATTGTGTGCCCATGACCCAAAGAGACACTTGTATCACAAGTGCTTTAATAACATTATTTGTAATATAACAAAAAAATCAAAATAACCAAATGTCAGCTGAGCGTGGTGGCTCACACCTGTAATCCCAGCACTTTGGAAGGCTGAGGCAGGTGGATCTCCTGAGGTCAGGAGTTTGAGACCAGCCTAACCAATATGGTGAAACCCCATCTCTACTAAAAATACAAAACTTAGCCAGGCATGGTGGTGCACACCTAATCCCAGCTACTCAGGAGGCTGAGACAGGAGAATCGCTTGAACCCTGGGAGGCAGAGGTTGCAGTGAGCTGAGATCATGCCACTGCACTCCAGCCTGGGCAACAGAGCAAGACTCCATCTGAAAAAAAAAAAAAACAACCAAATGTCAACGATATTAGGATAGATAAGCTGTGGCATATCTATACAGTGGACTGTTACGCAGCAATAATAGTAGACTACAGTTACACAGAAGAACAATGTGGAATTATAATACAAACACATATTAAGCCAAAAAAAGCCAAGCACAAAACAATACAGATGGTATGATCTCAAAAGTTCAAAAACAGACAAAGCTACATCATAGTGTTTGAGTATGTGTGCTTGCAGTAAAACTGTATTTTTAAAAAAGCAAGGAAGTGATTACTGTAAAAGTCAGAACAATGATTACTTCTGGGGACAGGGAGGGTGAAATGATTGAAAAGGGGAACAAAAGAGAGTGCTGGGATGCTAGCAATCTTCTATTTCTCGACTTTGTTGGTGGCTGTGGAGGGATTTGCTTTATGATAAGTTCTTGAACTGTACATGTTTGTTTTGTGCATTTTTCTGGATGTGTGTTACATTTCATATTGAGTGAAAGGTTTTTCATTCAGTACCTCAAATGAGAAACCCTAGTGGAGGCACTGAAAAGAAGCCTGGATTTGTTAGAAAGCTGATTGGTTGGAATAGAAGGAAAACTCTAGAATTTTTCCTAGATCTCAAAGGCAAGGGATTTAAAATGAAGAAAGGCACTCATAACCACCCTCTAAACTGACCTTTTTTGACATTGTTCCTCTTAATGCCTATAAATTGCCATGTATTTTGACCTTAACTTGATCTCCATTGCATGAATAGCTTGTGGTTGGTTAGCACAGCATGATTTATTTCACATGACTCCTTTCACCTTGACCTCCTTACAAGACCTAACTGAAAATCACCCATGCCATCTTAGTTATTGTGAGTAGTGCTGCAGTGAACACTGGAGTGCAATTATCTTTTAGAGGTCCTGATTTCAATTCTGTTGACTAAATGCCCAGAAATGAGACTGCTGGATCACATGGTAGTTCTACTTTTAATTTTTTGAGGAATCTTCATATTGTTTTCCATAGTAGCAGTACTGTTTTGTCAAGTGAAGGATGAACAGATGAAGGAAATGTGTTGTATAGAGAGAAGGGAATATTATTCATCCTTAAAAAATAAAGAAATCCTGCAATATGCAACAACATGAATTAACCTTGAGGACATTATGCTAAGTGAAATAAGCCACCAAGAAGGAAAAACACTGTGTGTTTCCACTTACATGGGGTATCTAAAATATTCAGACTCATAAAATCAGAGAGTAGAATTGTGGTTTCTGTGGGCTGGGGAAAGAGGAAAACGACAAATCACTAATCAACTGGTATAAAGTATCAATTGTACAAGATAAGTAAGTTCTGGAGACCTACTGTACAACATTGTCCTTATAGTTGGCAATGTTGTATCTTACACTTGAAAATGTGTTAAGAGGATAGACCTCACATTAAGTGTTCTTACCACAGTAAAACACATTTTTTTCAAAAATCGCCCAGCTGGCCGGGCGCGGTGGCTCACGCCTGTAATCCCAGCACTTTGGGAGGCTGAGGCGGGTGGATCACAAGGTCAGGAGATCGAGATCATCCTGGCTAACAAGGTGAAACCCCGTCTCTACTAAAAATACAAAAAATTAGCCGGGCGCAGTGGCGGGCGCCTGTGGTCCCAGCTACTCGGGAGGCTGAGGCAGGAGAATGGCGTGAACCTGGGAGGCGGAGCTTGCAGTGAGCCGAGATTGCGCCAGTGCAGTCCGGCCTGGGCAACAGAGCGAGACTCCGTCTCAAAACAAAAACAAAAACAAAATCGCCCAGCCTAGGTCCTAAAACTCTGTAAATACCCTGCCTTATTCTTTCATTTTCAGATACTTATAAGATTCTGTCAAGGTGGTGTTCTCTCTTACTGTAGTTAATCTTATAAACTTGACTTTGGTTGATCAATAGGTTTTTCTGATGGTCCTTGGGGTATCTGACAGTTAATCAATAGATTAGTTCAGGCACATAAGAGTGACAGCTCAAAGACCTCTATTCATTATGAAAATTAGGACCTAAAATTGAGAAAATTCTCAATACTTGGGATTACAGGATATCATAAAGTATTTCCAATAAACCAGATCCTAGGGCTAATGTGGGTTCCTCACACCTGACCTTTGGAACAGGACCCCATGTGTTTCATGACCTTCTGGTCCCAGCGCAGGGCCCCTATCATAGTAAGTGCTTAAAAAAATAGATGCTGAAAAAATGAAAGCACAGTTAGTTTCATATTTGTATGAATGTGTTTCCATAGTAATTTTTTAATTAAAAAAATGACTTATAAACATGACTTCATAAAATTTTGTCCTCTTAGAAAGTTTTAAAGAGCCTGGCTTAAAAGGAAAATATATTCATTACTCAGCTCTATAGGAGGCAATTTCCATGAGATTATTTGATACAATCCGTTTATAAGAAGCGCATTTCTCACTAGAGGGAGCTCAGAATCCACCATTAAATGGCAAGACACGCTGGATAAAATGTCACTTCACTTTAGGGAGAAAAGTCTGTTTGGGTAAATATGACATTGATTTCCAGAAGTTGGGAATTTTTAATATGCCAATTTTTCCCATTGTTAACCTCTGCAATTCTAAATGACATAAAAGGGAAATAATACAAACTCTCATAATGATCAGCCAATTACTTAATAAGCTAATATTGTAAATAAACACAGTAGGGCAAATAAAAAGATATGGCATTATCTCTACCTGCTTGATGAAGGATGGTGGTAAAAATCCTAGTATTCATGAAAATGAGAAATTACATAAGGCAGTGGTAAATATGAGTATCGGGAAAAGCTGTTTGGAGAAATATAGTTTTGCTCTTTGCCCTTTTCCTGTGCCCATAGGTAACTCCGTGGAGCATCTTCTACTTTAAAGTTGCACCTTCTTGGGTACATTTGGGTACATTTGGGGAAAGGGGCTATCTCACAGCCACTCCTAAGCCAGCGTGTTCAGTAGCCTGCTTCTCTCCTATCATCCACTCCATCTCCTTTGACACCCTCAGCTCAGAATCGTGGAGCCACCAGCTTTTCCTCATCCACCACCTGACCTCAGCTGCCAACTCTTTCAATCTCAACAGCAATGTTAAGATTGGATTTGGAGGCTGGGCACGGTGGCTCATGCCTGTAACCCCAGCACTTTTGGAGGCTGAGGCAGGCGGATCACCTGAGGTCAGCAGTTTGAGACCATCCTGGCCAACATGGCAAAACCCTGTCTCTACTTAAAATACAAAAATTAGCAGGGCGTGATGGCGGACATCTGTAATCCCAGCTACTCAGGAGGCTGAAGCAGGAGAATCGCTTGAACACAGGAGGCGGAGGTAGCAGTGAGCTGAGATCGCGCTACTGCACTCCAGCCTGGGCAACAAAGCGAGACTCCGTCTGAAAAAAAAAAAAAAAAAAAAAAAAAAGATTGTATTTGGAGCAAAGTTTTACTAAATCCTTGGAAGAAAACTGCACTGTATCTAAAAAGCACTTCATCCGATTCTCCCATGTAACTGGGAACTTCTCACTGACCCTCATTTCTCTCAGATTCCAGACTACAACCATCCCCCACCCTCCACCTCAGATTCTGAAGTTTTTCTCTACCCTTTGAAATTCTTCACACTTCTCTTTACCCTAGAGTTCCAAAATCTACCATGCATGTATGTCCCAAATATTATATAGGACCTATTTATACTAAAAAGCTACTCCTGTTTTATCTGAATTTCAAGTTTTACCAGGTATTCTATATTTTTTCTAAATCTGGCAACTATCCCTCAGAGTCATCGCTCTGCTTTCCCTGGGGACAGAGGAGAAAACTCAGGATTCCTCCCCCTTTATTAAATAAGTTATCTTTATTTCATCCTCTCCCACCAAGGCAACACCCAGAGAAAATAATTTTTCTCACTTCTTTCCCTTAGAACAAATGTTTGATTTCTGTTTTAAATAGCAGAGTTTTTTCTATCTCCATCATATATCACCTATCTCTTAACATGTTTGCATTTAACAAGTTAGAGTGACTTGTTTTCCAGTTTTATTTTCGTGAGTGAACACAGATGTTTCAGAATTGCCTCATCCAACCATTTAGTTCATTGTGTTCATGTCAGTTGTGCACTAAACACTAAACTAGGTATAGGATATCAAAATGAGTAAAAGAAGGGCTCTGTCTGGGGAGGCAGTGTCTTTTAAAATGGGAAAGTAAACAATGAGTCCACATTAGCAGATGGCTCTGAACTCAGCCGAGAACAGTAAACTCTGCCTAGCGTTTTCACATTTTGGTTTAACATCGTTTGTGAGTTAGTGACTTTTGAAGGGAAAGAACAGCCTTCTAGAACACCAACATCACACTTAGATTGTCCTTAAATAAACTGCTGCCTTTTAAGCAACACTGGGAGTGAATTCTGTCCTGCTGACCCCCTTTCCAATTGCAACAAACACCTAAAATGACTTTGGAAGCTGGCAGAGAACCCTTTTTGAGGAGGTGCAGACAGATATCCCCTTATGGTGAACAACTTCTACACTTAAATAACCTTACTCACTTTGAATAGATTCTTATTAGTTTTCCTTTTGGGGGGCTATTTAGGTTTCTAAATTTTGAGGTACCTAACATTTACATGCTGTTACAATCTGATATGAAGTTCATCAATGATTAAGTTATTTAGACTATTTTTTAAGACTTCTTTTTTTTTTTTGGAGATGGAGTCTCACTCTGTCACCAGGCTGGAGTACAGTGGTGCGGTCTCGGCTCACTGCAACCTCCGCCTCCTGGGTTCAAGTGATTCTTCTGCTTCAGCCTCCCAAGTAGCTGGGATTACAGGCATGCACCACCACGCCCGGCTAATTTTTGTATTTTTAGTAGAGATGGGGTTTCACCATGTTGGTCATGCTGGTCTTGAACTCCTGACCTCGTGATCTGCCCACCTCGGCCTCCCAAAGTGCTGGGATTACTGGCGTGAGCCACTGCGCCCAGCCTTCTTAAGGGTGATTAATACTTAGTATCTGCTCTAGGACCTTGCTATTTAGAGTGATCCTCAGACAAGTATCCTCGCCTTCACCTGGGAGCTTGCTAGAAATGAAGACTCTTGGTTCCTACACATAGCAGCTCAATCAGTATCTATATGTCCACACTATTTCCATGTGCTTTGAAGAACATTAGATTTGATAAGCATTAGTCTAGGGCTTAGCATGGTGCCTGTGCTAGTAGGTGTATAATAAACACTGATTGAATTGTACGATATATTAATATGTTTCCTTAAGAGTGCATAACAGAACACTGAATTTCTCTCCAATTACAATCACGATCATCTTCCTCATTCTCCTCACTGTTTCAAAATGCTAGTCTTAGCTGGGCATTGGGGTATGCGCGTGTAGTCCCAGATCCTCAGGAGGCTAAGGTGGGAGGATCACTAAGCCCAGTAGGTCAAGGCTGAAGTGAGCTGTATTTGCACCATCGCACTGGGTGGCAGAGCGAGACTCTGTCCATAAAATTAACTAAACTAAAAATTATAGTCTCCTGTTTGGTTTAGCATTAACTACTTTATAGTGTAATTTGGAAAGATGTCCTCCTCTGCTAAGGGAGTACAGAGCAGTATCCATGGCAGAACTTGGGAATTCTGCATGGAAAGATGGCATCTGAAAAGCACTGGACCGAACGGAACCCACTTCTCCATCTCCAATCTTTAAAGTTTATTCTAACTACAAGGAGCACTTGGTCCATGATAGGAAGCTGTTCTTTCAGATGCCACAAGTATCTCTATTCTCCAGAAATATCTTTTTCACACCATTTGCCAATTTTCCAAAAGAAACACACAAAAAAACAAGTAGTTCTCTAATTTTACCTGGATTTAAAAAGAGAAGCCTCTCTTTATAATAAGACATTAATAACTTGTGAATAACTGATAATACTGTATCATATAATTTCCCAAATTTACATCAAGGAGTTTCAGTTTATTGAGAAAAGCCAAGAAAAAAAGACAAAGCCAAGAAAAAAAAATTCCGGGGCTAGGTCAATCAGAGAAACTTTGCCTCTTCTCGATTCCTTTGGTGACATATAGTCAGTGATACAATGGTAAATGTTTAATGACTGGATATCTGGGAGAAACACCTGGACTTCTAAGGTCTTCCAATTTATATGGTATAAGTAGTCCCTTTATGGCTGATTTCAAGGTGCCAATATTGTGTCCGGAATTGGTGGGTTCTTGGTCTCACTGATTTCAAGAATGAAGCTGCGGACCCTCGCGGTGAGCGTTACAGCTCTTAAGGTGGCGCGTCTGGGGTCTGCCCCTTCTGATGTTCAGATGTGTTTGGAGTTTCTTCCTTCTGGTGGGTTTGTGGTCTCGCTGGGCTCAGGAATGAAGCTGCAGATCTTCACGGTGAGTGTTACAGCTCATAAAAGCCACGTGGACCCAAAGAGTCAGCAGTAGCAAGATTTATTGCAAAGAGCGAAAGAACAAAGCTTCCACACTGTGGAAGGGGACCGGAGCGGGTTGCCACTGCTGGCTGGGGCAGCCTGCTTTTATTCTCTTATCTGGCCCCACCCACATCCTGCTGATTGGTAGAGCCCAGCGGCCTGTTTTGACAGGGCCGTGATTGGTGCGTTTACAATCCCTGAGCTAGATACAAAAGTTCTCCACATCCCCATCAGATTAGTTAGATACAGAGTTTCCACACACAGGTTCTCCAAGGCCTCACCAGAGCAGCTAGATAGAATGTCTATTGGTGCACTCACAAACCTTGAGCTAAACACAGGGTGCTGATTGGTGGGTTTACAAACCTTGAGCTAGATACAGAGTGCCGATTGGTGTTTTTACAATCCCTGAGCTAGACATAAAGGTTCTCCAAGGCCCCACCAGAGCAGCTAGATACAGAGTGTCGATTGGTGCACTCATAAACCTTGAGCTAAACACAGGGTGCTGATTGGTGTGTTTACAAACCTTGAGCCAGATACAGAGTGCTGATTGGTGTATTTACAATCCCTGAGCTAGACATAAAGACTCTCTATGTCCCCACCAGACTCAGGAGCCCAACTGGCTTCACCTAGTGGATCCCGCACCGGGGCTGCAGGTGGAGCTGCCTGCCAGTCCGGCGCCGTGCGCTCGTACTCCTCAGCCCTTGGGTGGTCGATGGGACTGGGCGCCGTGGAGCAGGGGGTGGTGCTCGTCGGGGATGCTCGGGCAGCACAGGAGCCCATGGAGTGGATGGGAGGCTCAGGCATGGCGGGCTGCAGGTCCCGAGCCCTGCACCGCGGGAAGGCAGCTAAGGCCCGGCGAGAAATCGAGCACAGCGCCGGTGGGCCGGCACTGCTAGGGGACCCAGTACACCCTCTGTAGCCGCTGGCCCGGGTGCCAAGTCCCTCACTGCCCGGGGCTGGCAGGGCCGGCCGGCTGCTCCGAGTGCAGGCCCGCCAAGCCCATGCCCACCCGGAACTCCAGCTGGCCCGCTGTCACCTCTCAATATGACGCCACTAAACATGGAGTTGATAACAGGTGTGCAGTAGCTCAACATTATATAGTATTTCTACCATACAGATACAGTAGTAGACAGAGCTTGATGAATATAGAACAAATTTGCGTCAGACAATAGCTTTTTGTTTTTAGATAGTTTCTTTAAGGGTGAAAACATTTAACCAGGCTCTCTTGAAGCCCTGCTGCCTGGGGGAAGTCATTTGATTTTTGCTAGTCTGTATGCATTGTTTATGTACAGACTTTATGGTTTTGTTCTCAAAGGCATCTCCTCCTACCCCGAGCCTCACACTGCTGGGGTTTCGTTTGTTTTAAATCTTGGTTGGAGGGGGCACTCTCTCCAGAAAGTAAAAGACAACGGATCTGGCTCCAGTCCAGGACGGAAAGCATAACGCTTGATTTCTGGATGGGGTTTGCACAAGGACAGCACGTGAGTTCTGCTCTCCGTGGGACTCAGACCGGATAGGCCGTGAAAATCTCTAAGGTGTCAGTCCACGCAACCTAACCTGGCAAAGGGAATGCTTTGCAAACTCAGGCCCCAGAACAGAACTCGGCCTACCAGATCCAGGGAGCCAAAGCACGCAGGCGCAGACAGAGTAGCGGTGAGCAGAAGGCAGGCGGGACGGGCGCGCGCACTCGGCGGCCAGGCGCGGCGGGAGCGCGCCCTAGGGGGCGGGCACTGAAGCTGCGGCTTGCGGTTCAGCGGGTTCTAGGGCGCCGGGCGCTCGGGCCTCGGCCATGGCTCACAGGCCGAAAAGGACTTTTCGGCAGCGCGCGGCTGATTCCAGCGACAGCGATGGCGCCGAGGAGTCGCCTGCTGAGCCTGGGGCGCCGAGGGAACTTCCGGTCCCGGGTTCTGCGGAGGAAGAGCCGCCCTCTGGAGGAGGCCGCGCGCAGGTGGCGGGACTGCCCCACCGGGTTCGGGGCCCTCGTGGCCGGGGCCGGGTCTGGGCGAGCTCCCGGCGTGCCACCAAAGCGGCTCCCCGCGCGGACGAAGGCTCAGGTGTCCAGGGAGACGCGGGGAAGCGGGGAGGTGACGGCACAGGGCGGGAAGGGGCCGCGGGGTCTCTGGATCCTTCTCTGGGGGTTCTATAACTTGCTGCCGACCACAAGCCATGCTGAGTCTTATCCAGAAAGACTTATCCAGAAGGTAGTGAGCGAGAAAATAGCTCGAGCACTTGCCCGCTATCTGCATCTGCCTTTTGGACTCCTTGGGGGAAATAAAACAATCGTGTACAGTTGGGAGGCTCTTCGTTTTCACCATCAGTTGACTCCATCAGTTATAACTAACACAGTTATCAAAGTTTATGAAGAACCTAAACTGTCACAACAAAGTTCAATAATTTATAATACTATTAAGTGGGCAGAAGTTATATGTACCTTTTAGACACTTGACCAACTTATCTTTCTTGAAAACATTTAGCCAGAGTAGTACAGGAATCTAGGTTTTGGGACATTCCCCTTTGTTTATTTTCTTTTTTCACCAGTTATTTGCAAAAACTAATAGTAATATATACAACACAAAGAAGCATGATAGAGATTCATGACACTGTAGATGGTACCAGTAATGGTGTTAGATATAGTGTCGTCATTTTGAAGTACCTTTGAGTTCTTAAATACAGGTGTAAGGCAGCATAAAGTTGTTTAAATAAAATGTGCTGCTCTGAGTTGGAATTGTAGCTTAATGAGGAATACGGTTTTTGGTTAGTCTTGAGAGCTAAAATCTTCCTATTATTTTTTATTGTCATTAAAGTGATTTTTATTAATTTATTGAGAAGTAAAAAATGTATATACTTATAGTGTACAACATGATGTTTGAAATGTGTCTACAGTGACTAAATGGAGCTAATTAACATTTGCTTTACCTTAGGTACTTACTTTTTTTTGTGGTGAGAACACTTACTATCTACTCTTACTAATTTTCAAGTATGCAATGCATTGTTATTAATTTTAGTCACCGTGTTGTAGAATAGAATTCCTCTTGTCTAATTAAAATGTGTGCCCTTTGACCAGTATCTTCCCAACTACCCTCAACCTCACTCAGTCCCTTCTAACCACTACTCGACTCTCTGCTTCTGTGATTTCTGATTTCCACTTTTTTAGATTACATATGTGAGATCATGTGGTGTTTGTCTCTCTGTGCCTGTCTTATTTCATGTAACATAATGTCCTCCAGGTTTATGATCTTCGTGATTTCTTGGTCTTTCTTGTGACCTTCTATTTGTCTAAAGTTTTCATGACCTTTTATATTTGTTTTCTGGTTAAACTTTGTAGATGAAAGTTGAAGTCAGGAGTTCCTTTTCTCTTGCCTTCTAGAATAGTGGTTCTCAAACTCTTTGGGAATTGGACCTCTTTTAGACTCTTAGAAATGATTAAGGATTCCAAAGAGCTTTTGTTTCAGTAGGTTATACCTATCAATATTTATCACACTAAAAATAAAATTTATTAATTCACTTACAAAAAATCTATTACATGTAAGGATAAGTAAGATTTTTGTGAAAAGTATTACCCCAAAAAAGGAAGAGTAGCATTGTTTTCAATTTACAGATCTCTTTAATGTCTGGCAAAATATTAATAGAAGACAGATGAATTGTCATAGGTGTTTCTGCTTTTAATCTCTTGTGCTATTTTGTTTTGGTTGAAGTATTTGAAGAAAATACAGCCTCTGACAGATACATGATTAAGACGAGTACTTAATAGCATTTTTAGATCATTGAGGGTGTTGTGCTTTAATATAACACAGCTCAACAAGTAATAAACTAACCCTTCTTAAAAGTTAGTTGCGGGCCGGGCACAGTGGCTCACACCTGTAATCCCAGCACTTTAGGAGGCCGAGGCAGGTGTATCAAGAGATCAGGAGTTCGAGCCCAGCCTGGCCAACATGGTGAAACCCCATCTCTACTAAAAATACAAAAATTAGCCAGGCATGGTGGTGGGTGCCTGTAATCCCAGCTACTCAGGAGGCTGAGGCAGAGAATCACTTGAACCCGGGAGGCAGAGGTTGCAGTGAGCTGAGATTGTGCCACTACACTCTAGCCTGGGTGACAGAGTGAGACTTTATCTCAAAAAAAAAAAAAAAAAAAAAAAAAAAAGTTGCCAAATGGATTCTTAAACCATATGATTAAATTTGGGGTGCTCTTACCTTAAAACTCTGTTCTGTTTTGTACTTTGGATCTTTTACTCATGAACGATTGGTAACATCTTGCATTATTTGGAAGGTATTCATTAGCTGAGTTTGCAGATCTTGCAAATGTTGGAGCATTTTATTGTACAATACCAAAAAAATCATAGTATTACCACTGATTAATCAGTCTGTAAGTACTGGAAAGCTGTTAGGTTCACAGTAGAGAATATAAGTTTTCCAAAATCTCAATTTTCACTTGAAATCTCTCATTTTATTGATAGGCACAACCGGGCTCATGTTTTGAGAAAATGTTTGTCAGATAGCCATGTCTGAATAATCGGTTTGTTAGTCATTCTTTCAAGTAAAATGGTGATGCTTCTTAAAAACAACGTCTAGTTCAGCTTGCAACTCAGTCACACAAATGCTTTTCCTTAAGGCAGCCATTGCATTTCAAGATGCAGCAAAAGTGCCTTATGAATACTTTGATTTTGTCACAAAGAATATTAAACATGTGTACTCAAGGGTCAAAATTTAATAAAATAACAATTTTTTAATTAGTTCATGAAGAGCAACTGGCTTTTTTCTGCCATGTGAGGTAAGGAAAAATACCATAACTGCTACTACAAATTGATTCATTCATGCCAAGAGCCTAGCAGTTTTACCCATCACTGCCTTTACTTCATTATATAAATATCAACATGGTAAAAAGAACAAATAACATGTTATTATTGTGATGAAAGTAGTTTTAATTTCACAGACTCTCTGAAAGAGTCTCAAGGACCTCCAGGGATTGATAAACCATGCTTTAAGACCCACTGCTTTGGTGTTAATCCACTTTGGAAACAGGTATGGGTTGTCATAAATGACAATATCTAAGAAAGATGTGAGCTGCAGCTATATTTTTTTTAGTGTTTTAAATTTTGATTTTACTCCAGCCTTTTTTGAACTGTATGTAGGTCTTCTAACTAAGGTAGAAAATTAAAATTAATGAGTAGTATGTAATCTTATGTTTTAAGGTTACTCATAAAGATTGCAAATTTATTGTGGATTAAGAAATCCTTTCTTGTCAATAATGTCAAGAATTCCTTTATTTTGTTCATTCAATTTTCACAACACCCCTGTGGGTTTTATCTTGGTGTTATCTTTGTTTAACAGATTAATTGAATTTAACAGACTATTTACCTTCCCAAATCATGCATTGAAAAGATGGACCCATGGTTTAATATTGACCAAAGTGCTCGTTACAATATTTCTCGCCACCAGCCGTTGAAATATGGCATACTATAAAGAGAGCCTAAGTTCTGAAGTTGCCTGGGATTAGGTTGACAGCCCTGCTTCTCCACTGCCCGAGTTGGTGTTCTTTATCCTCTCAATCCTTAGTGAACTCATCAGAAATTGCATTTACTTTATAGAATTACAGGTATTAAATAAGTCATGTAAAACAGGTTTCAGTGTGCCTAGTACATAGTATACATTAAATATTTTTCTTTTCTACTTATTCACAATCATTACTATTCTAAATATTACTTCATTTTTTGTCGCTTTTTTTTTCTCTAATGCCTCCTTCCCTTTTCTCATTGCATACTTTTGGAAATATATTATTAGATGCCTAGATAATACAAATAGGGTCTTTGTACACTTAGTAGATCATTCAGTTGCTTAAGAAAGAAAGTTGGAGGAAGATCAATATGTCTACTTTAATATATGGACTAGGATTAAAACACCGTATTATACATATGCCATGTGTTGTTCAGAATTTCAATTAATAATTCCATTATTTTGACTCTTTTTTGTTGTATTTTTAAAATGTCCTGTTAGAATCCAGAACCCTTGATGTGTCCACAGATGAAGAGGATAAAATACATCACTCCTCAGAAAGTAAGGATGATCAGGGTTTGTCTTCTGACAGTTCTAGCTCTCTTGGAGAAAAAGAACTTTCATCAACAGGTTAGTAATTTGTATGATTTTGGTTAAGAATTTTATTTTTAATATAGTGTTTTTGATATAGTTATTAATGACATAACAAACTCTAGTGACATGGGGCAAGTAGGTCATTAATGATGATTGTCAGAGTGCCAAAATTGCTCATTTTTATTACATTTTAACATGCACAGGTCAGACAGCTTATAAGTAGCAGGGCTAGGATTCAAACCCAGTTTGTTCTGGAGCCTGTATTCTTCTTAATCACTGTGCTATACTGGGTGATTGACATTGATACTTGAAGGATGGTAAGAATTTGTCAGGGAGGATGTTTCAGGTATAGGATGTAGCATATCTGAAACTCTAGGGAAGGTATGTAATATGTGCAGGAAGCTAAAAATAGCTCTGGCTGAAAGTATTTGGTTGCGAGTTTAAGGAAAAGAAAACAGGAAGGACAAGTTGGAGTCAGATTATACAGGGCTTAGGGAACCACTGAAAATTTTATACAGATGACATGAATGTTTTTGTGTCTTAGAAAGATCAGTCTAGTTCAGGGGTTGGCAAATCTGGCCCACCACCTGTTTTTGTAAACAAAGTTTTATTAAAACACAATCACAGTCTTTCAGTTACTTAATATTTGTGGGTGCTTTTGCACTGCAGCAGCAGAGTTGAGAAGTTGCCACAAAGACCCTATGGCCCGCAAAGTGAAAAATATTTATCTGGCGTCTTACAGAGGTTTATAACTTGTTTTGTGCCGTGGACTCCTTTTTCAGTCTAGTGAAGCCTAAGATCCCTTCTGAGAAAATAAAGTAAAATACATAGCTTTGTAGAGGAAACAAATTATATTGAAATAAAATTATTAAAATATATTTTATGACGCTTGTAATATAGTAATAAGTGCTTCTGTGCTTCTTTTTTTTTTTTTTTTTTTTTGAGATGGAGTCTCACTCTGTCGCCCAGGCTGGAGTGCAGTGGCGCAATCTGGGTTCACTGCAAGCTCCGCCTCCCAGGTTCACGTCATTCTCCTGCCTTAGCCTCTTGAGTAGCTAGGACTATAGGCCACCACGCCTGGCTAATTTTTTGTATTTTTAGTAGAGATGGGGTTTCACCGTGTTAGCCAAGATGGTCTCGATCTCCTGACCTCTTGATCTGCCCACCTCGGACTCTCAAAGTGCTGGGATTACAGACGTGAGCCACCACGCCCGGCCATAAGTGCTTCTTTATTAGCCTATTAAATAACAACAACCAGTAGCTCTGTAACCTTGTAATTTTGTTTCTTCTCCATGTCCACAAGGTACAGAAATACTAAGCGATTAAGCCAATATTAAGAACTGAAATCTAGTAAACAGTTGAAGCCTTGTCTGGATTCTAGATACAGTGCTATTCAGTAAAATTTTCTGTGGTTTGGAAAAATTTTCTATCTTCACTGTCCATATGGTAGCCACTAGTCACAAGTGGCTGTTGAGCTCTTGAAATGTGGCTATAGCGAGACTGAGAAATTGAATTTTTAGTTATATTTGAATACTCACATAGGGCTAGTGGCTACTGTACCAAACAATGCTACTATAAAAGATGGCGGATTAGACTAGGTGCCATGGCTCATGTCTGCAGTTTGGGAGGCCGAGGTGGATGGATCACCTGAGGTCAGGAGTTTGAGACCAACCTGGCCAAAATGGTGAAACCCTGGCTTTACTAAAAATGTAAAAATTAGCCAGGCATGGTGGCATGCACCTGTAATTCAGGGGACTGAGGCAAAAGAATTGCTTGAACCTGGGAGGCAGAGGTTGCAGTGAGCAGAGATCATGCCAGTGCACTCCAGCCTGGGCAACAGAGCAAGACTCCATCTCAAAACCAAACAAACAAAAAAAGATGGTGGATTAAACAGGATAAGGCAGTGGTTGTAAAGTGTTGGCAGCACTGCCCCCACCTTAGGAGAGAGGGCAGCGTTTGAAAATGTGTGGGATTATTTAAATGATTATAGTAGTTGAGTTGTTGCTGGCACATAGTGCCCTAGAGGCAAGGGATGATAAATGTCTTAACAGGAGTGCAGAACAGTTCAGCGCAGTGAATTGCCCATCCCCTATGCACATTGAGAAACGCTGATTAAAAATTGAAAACTTGTCCTGTGAGGAACACCTGAAAGTTCGAAGGACTTATTGGCTGGCGAAGAAAAGATGGAGGAATGTGTTAATTTTAAGGGCTGGCATGTGGAAGAAGAGCATTTATTTGTGTTCCGATGAATAACTGCCTCAAAATAGTCCCTCTAGCAGAGATTACTTGTTACTAATAGAAGATGATAATTTACCTCTCAGCCCTAGATGATTGCATATCAGATAGGATGATATATGTGAAGAATTATTCATAAGTTATAAATTTGTAAAAACATGATGTATTTATTATTGAACAATATGCTGACATTATTGATTCCTCCTATGTCTGCCCAGCATCTGCTGTGTGAGAACCCTTGAACGAGGTATTGAATATGCAGAAACAGGACAAACGCAATACTCTTCTCTTCCTTGGTTTTTTACTTCTTTATTTTTACTTGAGCAGTTACCTTTATGTAGCACTAATATCTTACTAGTGTGTCCCATTGCTTGTGACTTACTAATTAAACCCTACCGAGTCACCTGCAAGAAAATCACTTCCAAAATAAGTATTTCTGTGTCCACATTCATACACTTGAGTATTTGAACCTAAATGTCTTATCTTAATCCTGCCTGCACATTAAAATCCTCTAGGGAGCTATAAAAACATACTTCTGCTCAGCTCTGCCTCAGATCAACATCTGAATCACTGGTATAGAGGCCTGGGTATGTCAAGCTTCTCAGGTGACTCTGATGTGTAGCCAGGGTCGAGAATTGCTACTATAACCTGCTGTGATGGTTTTGAATCTTAAATGCTTTGGGAGGAGGAAGAGACACCTGACCTTCATCATGTCCCTGACAGTAGTCTATAAATAATTACTAATCTATAAAAAAGCAAATCACTTCATTTTCTATTACTTGTTCTTGATGAATATTTATTGACTTCTAGTGATTTCTTTATTGCTTCATGATTCACTCAAGGACTTTTAATTTTCCCTAGGGCTGATGTCAAGCATATTGGTCTGTGATTTCTAAAATCTTTCTCTTTTTTTGTTTGTTTCAAACATGGGAGCTTTTGTGCATCTCCAAGTACATGGCATTTTTCTGTTTATTTCTCAAAGAATTTGGGTCAACTTGTGGGAAAGTTTAGAAAATTTCACTTCAGCCTCAGTAGCTTGACATCTTTTTAGTAGTTTGAAGTGCTTAAAATGGTGAAAATTTCTCTCGCTGTTTCTTTAATGTAGTATTTTTCTTAAGAAACCGTTTTTTCCAGAATGAAGATAAATTTCAGCTTAGATCATGCATGAAGAAACTCGTTTTAAATTGGAAGAGTTTATGCTAATGATATTTATGCTGTACAAAATAAAGAAAAAAAATAAGACTCTCTTAAGAGTTGTTGTCATTTAAAATTTTTCACCTGGTAAATGAGCCTGATTATTTTCTTTACACTTCTTAATGTCTCATGTTTATTCACGTGGGGCTCACTACAGAACCGCAGAGGCTAATTTGGCTTTGCTCTGTTACTGTTTGTAGTATGTTTGTGATTTCTTGTAAGTGTGGGTAGGAGGGAAGGAGGAAGGAGGACATCATAGTGTAGTATCTCTCTTACTTGGTAAGTCAGGCTGGTCTGTCATTGATCCTTCTAACTTCTGTAGCTCTCACTGATTGGGGAACACCACACTCAGCCCTCTCCACATCCCTGCGCTGACAATCTCAGAGCTTCCAGAAATGAGAAATAGCGACCCCTCAACAAAGTGAGCAGTACCTGATGAGTAAGAGAGTTAAAAGATAAAATGAAGCAGTTTCAGTATATTTTCTGATACTTCTAGATTTGTTTGATTTTTCTAAGTTGTATTTAATCTCTATTAAGTTTTCTTCCTTTGCTGATACAGATTTTGAGCCATTTATTAAAGTCACATTCATATATCAAAATAGCAAATAATTTAGGAAAATGGTGCTTTTTTCTTTTTCTTAAATGTGAGGAATATTTACTTACATTGGTCTTTGGTTTTTAGTGTCCTCGTCTTTGTTTCCTTCAGTTAAGATCCCAGATGCAGCTTTTATTCAGGCAGCCCGCAGAAAACGTGAATTGGCCAGGGCCCAAGATGACTATATTTCTTTGGATGTACAACATACCTCCTCCATCTCTGGTATGAAGAGAGAGAGCGAAGATGACCCTGAGAGTGAGCCTGATGACCATGAAAAGAGAATACCATTTACTCTAAGACCTCAAACACTTAGACAAAGGATGGCTGAGGAATCAAGTATGGATTTACCAATATATGAAGATTAGGATATTTTTTATTAGAATATAATATGAGAGAATCTCCATAAAAAATGTAATATGCTGGCTCACATTTTATAGTGTTGATAATGGTTTTTAACATCGATTTGGTCCATGATATTGTGACCTCTAAAAGATGTATCTGTATCAAAATGTTATTATCAAGGAGTATGTGTAATAATGTTTATTAATGCCTGACCTCCCACCTTGATGTTTTTGGACAGGTTAAAAAAAATGTGCAGTATCTTACTTTCAAAGCATTGAAAACGATCGTTTTTACCTGTATAAATATATTTTTTTTAACATGGAAGCATCTATAGAGATTTTAGATGTCATGTATTAAAATCTTCCCTGCTGTAATAAAAAATTTCCTCTACCAATAATACTAAGCCTTAAAGGACTGTTTTCATATTTCTCATTTATGATATATGCATTTGACCAAGGTTTTGGTAACTTTAAATAATATTTTTTTCAGAAAAGGACTTAGTTCCTTACAATTTATTTTTAAGTGTTTGGATTCTCAGGTAGTAATTGAGAGATCTTTGATAAGAAAAACCAAACATTTCATTCTTTCTCAGTTTTTTACAATATAGGGCTATAGTGTTTTGAGTGGGACAGTTTAGTGATAGGAGTGCAGGTTATGGAGTCAGATCCCAGGATCCAGCTTCCAGCTTCAACATAGTCCTAAGACAGTTACTTAACCTCCCAATATTTGCATTTCCTCATTTGTGAAATGAGGGCAGTAATAGTGCCTTCTTCCCAGAATTATTATGAAGAATAAATAACACGTCAAGTGGTGCTAAGCCTTTGTATAATCTCAAAAAATGTTGGCTTGCTGCAATTAAAATGGAAAAATACTAAACGTTTACATGTGAGCTTTTTTTCCGCTAGTAAGCAGAAATGAAGAAACAAGTGAAGAAAGTCAGGAAGATGAAAAGCAAGATACTTGGGA
Source organism: Homo sapiens (assembly GCF_000001405.40). Classification (NCBI taxonomy): domain Eukaryota; kingdom Metazoa; phylum Chordata; class Mammalia; order Primates; family Hominidae; genus Homo; species Homo sapiens. Next base: position 75,701,226 of record NC_000002.12, on the reverse strand, counting down.
ACAACAGCAAATGAGGAAAGCAGTTAAAATCATAGAGGTAATCATTTTTTATCCCATGTGTATTAGATTCCTGTGGCTGCTATAACAAATTACCACAAACTTGGTGACTCAAAAGAACACACATTTATTCTCTCACAGCGTGGAGGCCAAAATCTGAAGTCAAGGTATTGGCAGCACCTTGCTTCTTCCAAAGGCCCTGGGGGGTTGTGGGGAGCGGTAATTCTTCCTTGCCTTTTGCAACTTCTGGTCATTCCAGGTGTTTCTTGGCTTGTGACTACATAACTCCTCTCTCTGCCTCTGTCTTCACGTGGCTTTTTCCATGTCTCTACTGTGTGTTTTTCTCGTAAGGATACTTGTCATTGGGTTTAGGGCCTACTCAGATAATCCAAGATCCTTCACTTAATTACAACCACAAAGACTCTTTTTCCAAATAAGGTCATGTTTGCACTTTCCAGGGATTATGTCATGGATGTATCTTTTGGGAGGCCTCCATTCAACCCACTACACTGTGCATATTATCTTATTTTCCACTAGATTATAAATACCTTCCACTTGAGGGTACTATTTTTTTAATCTTTAATTTTATAGTAATTGACAGTTTATATTGTACAGGTGCTTAAAAGTAAAGTTTAGCCCTCAAGCTTTACTTTTAAACGCCTGTTCTGTATAATACAAATATATCCAATTTTCTCTTTGGAGACTGTTTTTTTCACTTCACAATACAACAGAGACATCTCACCGCAATGGTATATCTACTTCGACTACACCTTAATGATTTCATAGCAATCTAGTGAATAGATAATATATATCATTTATATATTAAATCTCATTATGTGATTTCTCATATAATTTTTTATTGTAGTGAACCCTATGGTAAATATTATACACAAATATGTTATACCTATATTATGATATGTAACTGTTACATTTCTGCATACACAAATAATAGTTTTGTGTTTTATTTAATTTTTTAAAAGATGTAAACAAAGTAAATATCCAACAATAGGGGTCTTGGTACAATACAGTAAGGTGGGATGAAGTGCTAAAAATGGTATCAGAAACCAAAGCTCGGGAGGCTGAGTCAGGTGGATCACTTGAGTACAAAGAAGACTAGCCTGGGCAACATAGCCAAACCCTGCCGCTACAAAAAATACAAAAATTAGCCAGTCATGGTGGCACACACCTGTAGTCCTAGCTGCTTGGGGGGCTGAAGTGGGAGGATTGCTTGAGCCCAGGAGGTCAAGGCTGCAGTGAGCCAAGATCACGCCACTGCGCTTCAGCGTGGGTGACAGAGTGAGACCCTGTCTCATTTAAGAAAAAAAAAAAAAAACAACGTTAAAGCCCAGATTTGGCCAGGCATAGTGGCTCACACCTGTTACTCCAGCACTTCGGAAGGCCAAGGTGGAAGGATCACTTCAGCCCAGTAGTTTGAGACCAGCCTGAACAACACAGTGAGACCTGAACTCTACTAAAAACAAATAAAACTAGCCAGGCATGGTGGCGCATGCCTATAGTCCCAGCCACTTGCGGGGCTGAGCTGGGAGGATCACTTGAGCCCAGGAGTTCTGGGTGCAGTGAGCTATGATCACACCACTGCACTCCAGTCTGGGCAACAGAGTGAGACCCTGTCACTAAAAATAAATAAATGAATGAATGAATGAATGTAAAGTTTAAACAAGTAGTGAGCTTTGAAACATAACAAATGTACTGTACTTGGGGTTAAAAGTCCTAGATTTGGGCTGTGGGTCTGCTGCTAGAATATAAGTTCTGTGAGGTCAAGAATTGCAATCATAGTGTACATCAGAGATTCCCAAACTTTCTCATTCATGGAGATGTTAGTGTCTTGGTAATTTTATCATGATACTTGTAAGCCAAAAGAAGTACCAAACAGTTCTATTTATTAAGTAGTCCAAAGAATTTTATACAATTTATGTCCTAAGAACTAACCATTTGGAAAAAATAATACAGATAAATTGAAGGCAAAACATTTTTATCTTTTTTTAAATAACCAAAATTCCTTACTAATGAGATGTGTGTTCCTGTTAGGCATTGCATGACTTTTCAGACCTTGGAGTCAGATTGGACACTGTCACTCTCATTTCCATACTGATGTTCACACAATACTTGTTTTTATCATAGCATCCTCCCAAAACCCAGCTCCACAAATATGACTTCATCAAAAGGAATGGAACACATTCTTTTTTTTTTTTTTTTTGAGACAGAGTTTCTCTTTGTCGCCTAGGCTGGAGTACAGTGGCATGATCTCGGCTCACTGCAACCTCCACTTCCCAGGTTCAAGCAATTCTCATGCCTCAGCTTCCTGAGTAGCTGGGACTACACGTACATACCACCATGCCTGACTGATTTTTTGTATTTTAGTAGAGATGGGGTTTCATCATGTTGCCTAGGCTGGTCTCAAACTCCTGAGCTCAGGCAGTCTGCCCACCTCAACCTCCCAAAGTGCTAGGATTACAGGTATGAGCCACTGTGTCTGGCCATATGGAACACATTCTAATGTAACTGTGAACTAAGAGCTAGTAGTCCAACAGATGTTGAGTATTACGGTTTTTCCCTAAAAAATTTAAAATGTCTCACTACACCCCTTTAAATTTGCTAGGATGCCTTTGCACACAGTTTAGGAACCACAATATGCATGCAATTTTGAATTCTGATTTCCTTGCTTGACATATTATAAATTATCTTCTCTTGTTTTTATATCGTTATAACAACTGATTTTAATAGCTATATAATATTCACTGGAGTCACTGAATCATAATCTTAACCATTCTTCATTTTGGACATTTTAGGTTATTTGCAATCTGATTTTTTTAATTAACAAATAAGAATCAGTGAATATTTAATTATTTTCCTCCTCTCCTTTCTTTTGTTCAGATGTGTGTTTTTGAACTATTCCTTTGTAATAATTGCCAAGAGTTGTATTACTAATCGAGATGAACATTTTTATGGCACTTAGTATATTTTTCTCTATTGCCATTTAAAGAAAACTTAGCTCAATCTGTAATGTCGCCAATATCATGGGAATATTTTACCATAATCTTGCCCTCTTCAGGTCCAAGTATAGTTGGTGAAAATGGAATCTCACACTTATTTGATTTTCATTTTTATTGCTAATGTGAGTACATTTACTGATTCCTTTATTGAAAATCTACCATTTGCCACTGTGTTACTTTCCTGTGGCTCCTGTAACAAATTACTGCAGACTTGGTGGCTTAAAACAATAGAAGTTTATTCGCTCTGAGGTCTGGAGGCCAGAAGTCCAAAATCATAATGTCAGTAGAGCAACCCCCCTTTCCAGAAACTCTGTAGGAGAATCCATTCCTTGACTCTTCTAGTTTCTGGTGGCTGTTGGCATGCCTTGGCTTGTGGCCACATCTCTCTTTGTTGCATCTTCACATCTGCTTCTTCTCTTGTGTCCCAAAATTCCCTATCTCTTAGGATGGTACATGTAATTGTATTCAGACCCCATCGGGATAATCCAGGATATACACCACATCTCAAAGTCTTAATTACATCTTTTGCCATATAATGAACATGAACATGAATGTGAACATGTTTTCATGGGGTCACCATTAGCCTGCTACGGCCAGTTACAATGATGTACAACCTCTGCAGGAAGGGAGACAACTAAACAAAACAATTATAGTGAAATCCTACAGGTGCTGTGACAGAACTCTGTGCAGGGTCCTGAGGTGGCACAAAGGAGCAAGTGGGTGATCAGTTTTATAGGAGGGAAGGTAAGTGAGGAAGTCTGAGAAAGCATTTATGGAAGTGGTGATATTTGAATGGGTTATTGACTGCAAAATATCAAGAGTGTTTGGAGATTTTGTAGATATGCGTAGAGCTGGATGGGAGGCTTGGTGAGAACTGAAATGACAAAAGATGATGCTTCATGGAAAATATAAAAAGAATAGCTAAGCCAGTGAAATTGGCTAAATATCTGGTCAGTTTTCTTCATGTGTCTTTGTGTAAAATAGAGGTTCTTCAGGATCTTTTGAACATTCCAAGCATGGAGGAGCTGTGATTAGACAGAGGACACTAATGTGAAACATACCATGTTATAAGATATATGTTAGGAGTGCATTTCTTTACAAGGACCAGAAAACCCAAATAAGAATGTCTTGGCTGGGCGTGGTGGCTCATGCCTGTAATCCCAATACTTTGGGAGGCCACGGCAGGCAGATGACGAGGTCAGGAGATTGAGACCATCCTGGCTAACACAGTGAAACCCCATGTCTACTAAAAATACAAAAAAATTCACCAGGCATGGTGGCAGGCGCCTGTAGTCCCAGCTACTCGGGAGGCTGAGGCAGGAGAATGGCGTGAACCCAGGAGGCGGAGCTTGCAGTGAGCCGAGATTGTGCCACTGGACTCTAGCCTGGGCAACAGAACGAGACTCCATCTCAAAAAAAAAAGAAAGAATGTCTTAAAGAAAAGTAAAAACTTTACCTACAAACCCTCCAGCACACTTCCATTTACTTTTCATTGACTAGAATGGAGTTGCAGTTAAATAGGTACTTCTATCATGGAAATAGGTGTTAGGTCAGCCAGACAGGTCTGTCTACTCCACAAATTAATATTCATGAAGGATTGTTGTTTCTTAAAAAACTGGGTGACTTTCTGAGAGTACATTAGACCATAACCAAAATTAGCTTCAAAACTAAACTTTTTTAAAAATGTAATTTTTAGAATTTGCTTCTTAAATATGAATTTAAACTTCTAAATTTTAAAACTGAATTTAAAAACATTTTATTGGGACCATGAAAAATTACAAAGACATGGAATTTTTTAGCTTGAAGAGACCTTGGATCATCCAGTCCCTTTACATGCTATTAATGTTTCAAAGGTAAATGAAATAAATGGTTTTGTAAAAATCTATTTTTACTTTTTTAGGAAAGAGACATAGATCTTTCCTGTGGCAATGGATCTTCAAAAGTGAAGAAATTTGATACTTCCATTTCATTTCCGCCAGTAAATTTAGAAATTATAAAGAAGCAATTAAATACTAGGTGAGCAATACTCATTTTGAAATTTACATTTGTCCTAGATATTTAATACTAAAGATATAACACTATATTCTTTTAGATTATTAAGTACTGATATTAAACAGACTTATGGGGGGGAAAAAGGATCTCCTGTGTTATCATACTAACACAATTTATTTCATTTTTGTATACACTAGTCCCCCCCATATCTGCATTTTTGCCTTCTATGGTTTCAGTTATCGGTAGTGAAACCATGGTCCAAAAATATTGAATGGAAAATTCCAGAAATAAACAATTCATATGTTTTAAATTGCATGCTGTTCTAAGTAGTGTGATGACATCTTGAGCTGCCCTGCTTCATCCTGCCCAGGATGAGAATCATCCTTTTGTCCAGCATCTCTTTGCTCTGTAAGCCAGCAGCCTGTTAGTCACATAGTAACCATCTCAGTTATCAGATCAACTATTGCAGTATCACAGTGCTTGTGTTCAGGTAACCCTTATTTTACTTAATAATTGCCCCACAGTGCAGGTGTACTGTATGTAATATATAAATTAAACTTTATCATAGTTACCTATGTATAGGGAAAAAACAGCATATATAGGCTTTGGTATTATTTGCATTCACTGGGGGTCTTGGAACCTATCCCCATGATTAAGGGGTGACTACGATATGTCTTTTTAGTCTTTATAACATATTTTACGTGGTTAAAATCAGTAAATACAAAATTCTACTTTTCTATTTAATATGATTATAAGCATTTTTCTATATTACCAAAAAGCCTTTAATTTTTTTAAAAAAACTATCATGTTTGTCCATATAGTTGTTATATCATAATTAAATACTTCTCTGTTGGACATTTTGATCTAGAACAGGAGTCAGCAAGTCGTCTTTTTGTGTAAAAGGCTGGATAGTAAATATTTTAGGCTTTAAGGGCTAGATGATTGCTGTTGTAACTGCTCAACTCTATGTTACAGCATGAAAACAGCCATAGACAATATGTAAACATATAAGCATGTATGTGTTCCAATATAACTTTATTTATAAAAACAAAGGATGGACTGGTAGTTTGCCAGCCCCCTAGAATACAAAGATAACCTTGCATGAGGGATAAAAAAGAGGCAGCAGATCATTGATTTATCGTAGCATTTTATTTTATCTGGATAACTTTATTATATTTTATTTTTTATTAACTAGGTTTTTTATTTTAAAAAGACCATACACTCTCATTGTTAAAAAATAAAATAACCAGTGGAAAGGATATACAGAACGAAGTAAATTACCACCCTCCCTAGAGGAACCCATTGCTACCAGTTTCTTATGTTTTGTTCCAGAAGTGGTCTATATGTATATCTTTATAAGCACATGTATACTTATATATTCCCGTTTTTATACAAAAAAGGACATTATATACCCTGCTCTGTACCTAGTTTTTTCCACATGATATTTACTTACAAGTTCACTGCTATAGTCAAAAATATTCTACTTAACTAAAACATTTTATTAATAATGCCTACTATACATTATTATCTTGATTAATTTCTTAATTCTCACTCTCCTTTATATAAAGCAAAGAAAGATTCTGAAAGACAAATGCAAGAAAACTTGAAGAGAGAATATTTGGCCTAAGCAAGTGCTAAAGGGTTTCCTTTTATTGTGGTGTTCTTTGCTTATCTAGTCTATAAACCCAGATTTATATGATTGTCAGTTTCCTTGGTGGTCTTTGAAAATATTTACATTAGATTGCTACTTTTAAAAGAGTATGAAAAATAAACTAATTTTTATTTTATTTATTTAGATTAACATTACTACAGGAAACTCACCGCTCACACCTGAGGGAGTATGAAAAATACGTACAAGATGTCAAAAGCTCAAAGAGTACCATCCAGAACCTAGAGAGTTCATCAAATCAAGCTCTAAATTGTAAATTCTATAAAAGCATGAAAATTTATGTGGAAAATTTAATTGACTGCCTTAATGAAAAGGTACATATCAATATTTATTTATATCATTTCCTTTTTTGGAGAAAACCCCTTGTGCAATTAAGAAAAGTCTAAATCTCACAATTAGATACTTTTCTCTAGTATTTTTCCTACACATTTTTAAAATAAGATGATAGCATTCTCTTAATGTTGGATATTCAAGTTTTTTGCAACTATTTTATTATTGTAAGTAACATTGTATAAAATTTTGTATATAAATTTTTGTTATAATTTCTTCTGTTTAAGGAAAATTCCTTGAAAATGAAGTCAAATAAAATGAATTATTAAGTCTAAATATTTTTAAGGCTTATGAAACATTACAAAATTGACCTCCAGAAAGATTGTGCCAGTTTTATTAGTTTACTAGATTAGGAATAAATGGATTTTGTTTTTACATATCATATTTTGATCTCAAGCAAACTCTTTGGTTTTCTGCTTGTGAATTATTTGTTTCTTGTCTTTGCCCTTTTATCTTTGTGGTTCTTAGTGGAAATTTTTTTCTTTTTCTTTTCTGGTTTTGTTAGAGTATGAACAATTCTTTATAGCTTAAAATTTTTTAATGTTTTATCCTACTTAATGTGAACTTACCAGTTTTGTCTTTTGAATTTGTTTGTAATGGTTTTTCTTTCAACATTCAGATGTTTTGAAATTTTTGTTTTTAGTTTTTGTTTTATGCATACTAAGTTTTTACATTGGGGCAGGCCTTCAGTTGTCTGTTTTTAAAAATAGATTAACCATTTCAATAAATTATTCTCTACTTTCCACATTTTTGTTATTTTTATTTTATTTATTTTTCTAGTGAGGGGGACAGAGTCTCGCTCTGTCACCCAGGCTGGACTGTAGTAGCACGATCTCAGCTCAATGCAACCTCTGCCTCCTAGGTTCAAGCGATTCTCGTGCCTCAGCCTCCCAAGTAGCTGGGACTACAGGCGTGCACCACCACACCCAGCTAATGTTTTGTATTTTTAGTAGAGACGGGGTTTCGCCATGTTGCCCAAGCTGGTCTGGAACTCCCGAGCTCAGGCAATCCACCTGTCTCAGCCTCCCAAAGTGCTAGGGTTATAGGCCTGAGCCACTGCACTCAGCCCACATTATTTTTTGTTTATAATTAAAACAATGAGATGCTTTGTCCCAATTGTTGTTTTAAGTTGGCTATCTTCTACTATCACTTGGTAGTTACTTTCTGAAGTATTTATTACAATGTAATTTTCTTTTTTCATTTGCCCTTGAAAAATTACACTGTTAAAATTTTGTCAGCCTGTGCATTAATGTACTCATAGCAGCAGCTGTGGAGTATCAATGGAGTAGGAGGAATTGTTGCTCCCCAAAATATGAGAGTTTCAATTTCAACAAGTCTCATTTCTGTATCACATCACAACTTACTTACCTGACTCTGGTTAGTTTTTCTCCATTCCCCGATTTTTCAAATTTCACCAGCTTTGAGTGCCCCCACCTACTTTCCACACCCTCAGCCTGGAAAACATCTGTACCCTTCATTTTTTCCTATTCTTCTGTCTCAAAAAAAAATCTTCTATCTCAAACTTTAATGCATGTTCCTGACTCCATCCCATTTGGTTTCTTTTTTTTTTTTTCTTTTGAGACAGAGCCTCACTCTGTTGCCCAGGCTGGAGTGCAGTGGTGTGATCTCAGCTCACTGTAACCTCCACCTCCAGAGTTCAAGCGATTCTCCTGCCTCAGTCTCCTGAGTAGCTGGGATTGAAGGCAGGTGCCACTGCGCCTGGCTAATTTTTGTACTGTTAGTAGAGAAGGGGTTTCGCTATGTTGGCCAGGCTGGCCTTGAACTCCTGACCTCAGGTGATCTACCCACCTCCCAAAGTGCTGGGATAACAGGCATGAGCTACCACATCCTGGCCCCCATTTAGTTTATCTATCTCTGATAATTGTAACAGTTCCAGTAGACTAAGTCAATTTTCTGATTTTTTAATATTAAAAGTATTGGCAGCTAGGTCTGTTGCACACAATGTTTTATACTTCAGATGTGATAGTATTGGGAATGTTTCTTTGAGAATTAAGCATATAAATATGCTTATGTATCTTCTAAATATTACTTTTATATATATATATATATATATATATTTCATTATCGATGACCTGCAAAATGTTACTTATATGTGTATTTCAGATTATCAACATCCAAGAAATAGAATCATCCATGCATGCACTCCTTTTAAAACAAGCTATGACCTTTATGAAACGCAGGCAAGATGAATTAAAACATGAATCAACGTATTTACAACAGTTATCACGTTAGTGTTTTTCGTGTTCCATACAATTTATTATTCATTAAGCTAAATTATGTGAAGAATAAAAATATTTTTATTTTTATAAACATGTTTTTCATGTATTTTCCCACAAACCCTTTACCCACCAACTTCCAAAAACTCAAAACATTTAGAAATAGGACTTAAGAATGTTTTAAATTAAGTCCAAGACTCAAAAATAAACATGACTTCCAGTTATTTACTATTTCAGACAGAATATGTACATAGCCATTTAGAGAATGTTTTGAGACAAGTTCACATAATTCTGGAGGCTCTGTCAGAAGTCTAACTTCATAGTTTCAGAGCCCTTTTACAGATTGGTTCTGGTGAGTTTCAATACAGATTTTAAGATCTCATTATATAAAATACGGATGCCTCCTCTTTTTTTTTTCGCATTGATTTTGTACTTTCAGAGATATCTTCCTTTGATTAAGGTGCTATCAGGAGATAGTGAAAGACCATAACCAAGTAGCTAGTAAATGCAAAGGCAAAGTGACTTTCAGTGAAACACACAACCCTTAGTGGATCATAAATAATGGTATTACGTATTAAAATAAGAAATAATATGAATAGAATACAGTAATCCCTCTAATCTGCAGTTTTGCTTTCCACAGTTTCAGTCAACAATGGTCCAAAAATGAATAAGTACAGTACAATAAGATATTTTGAGAGAGAGATACCCAACATTCGTATAACTTACAATATATTATTTTCATTGTTCTACTTTATTGCTATTGTTAGTCTCTTACAGTGCCTAATTTATAAATTAAACTTTATCATAGGTGTGTATATAGAGGAAAAAACAAATAGGGTTTGGTGCTATATGCAGTTTCAGGCATCGACTGGGGTTCTTAGAAGGTGTCCCCTGCAGATTAGGGGGGACTCCTGTATTGGCAAAGCCAATATTTCTTGCATTTGGCTATGGAAAAAAACTGGTAGAAACTACTGGAAAAGAATATGAGAAAACGAAACTTTGTGGTAGAACTTTGTTGCTGTTCTCAACAACAGCAAAAGTACACCAGCCAAAGTACATTTTTAGGCTAATGAACCTCATGCCTGTTAATATTGCAATAAAGAGTTAACATTGAAATGTCATTGCATAATTAATTGCAAAATTTAAGCATATTTATGTATTTACATATGCATATGTTTATACATCCATGATATTACCTTTATTTTCAAAGCATTTTACTTTTTTCTTTTGAGAATTTGTAGTATGAAGTCAATTTTATTTATTAACAGGCAAAGATGAGACATCCACAAGTGGAAACTTCTCAGTAGATGAAAAAACTCAGTGGATTTTAGAAGAGATTGAATCTCGAAGGTACCTATATAAAGTGAAGATTTAAAGAAAGCATCATTGAGCAAGTACTTTTCACTACTGAAATATAATTAACCACATGATGTCATTAACTATACCTGATATACATTATTAATTTGTAAGAATAATAGAAAAGCAAAATTTAGTAAAACCACCCTTGACTGCTTTAAAGACACATTGGTGTATTTGGATCAGTTAAAAGGAATGGGTAAAATGACATTTATCAGGCTGGGAATTCCTTGTAACTAGAAACCGGTCCTAATTATAATTACCCCCTCTTCGGAATCTGGTTAGCCCATGGGAATGTCCTAAATGGGAATGTCTTATAAGAGAAAACAAAACAAAACAAAAAATGCAGAACCACCAACTCAAACTAATGAAACTAAAAATGTCAAAAATATTAATAAAATTGTGCGCTGATATGATAGTATATTTCTGGCCATTTAAAATAAATGATAAAATTACTTATTTTCAGCAAGAGGTTAAAAAAAATTTAGGCATTTATTTTCAGCAAGAACTACTTACTTTTTGTTTATTTTTGGTTTGTTGCAAAATATAGGACAAAAAGAAGACAAGCAAGGGTGCTTTCTGGGAATTGTAACCATCAGGAAGGAACATCTAGTGATGATGAACTGCCTTCAGCAGAGATGATTGACTTCCAAAAAAGCCAAGGTCAGTTACCAAGTTTCTAATATATCATGGTTTGAGTTTTGAAATGGTGAGAAACACTTTGCTGGGATTGCCCTTAATAAGTACATAAGCTATATAAAACAGTTGGGTAAATTCAGGAAAAATGAAACACATTTTTCCTCTGTAAGACTCTTTTCTCTGAAAAAATGGAGTAAAATGAAGGAAGGAACATTGTGAGTATTCTTACATCTTCATAGTTTTTTCTCTTAGACGTTCTCCAATTAATAATGAACATCTTCATTTCATTTCTTTACCACACATACTTTCTATATTGTCATTTTTAACTTAAAACATTTGAATTTGGTGAAACTTTTTAGCATGATGAGAAGATGCATATAGTTGAAAAATTCTAGGCTCTGGATTTAAATAAATTTGGGTTCTAAGGGAGATTTTTTTCTGTGTAATCTTAGACAAATTTTTTGACCTCCCTAAATTTGATGTTGTTTTGTCTGTAAATAAGTAGACTATACCTATATGGTATGGAAGATAGCTACGATGGTAAAATGAGATTAATGTATTTCTGCGTATAGCAGGGGTATATATGGTAACTTCTATTAGTGTTGATATTATTACTTTGTTGATAAAGTGATTTAATAAAAATTTATATTAATATAAAAGGACAAATTTTAGCTCAATTGATTACAGTCCATCATGACCGTGTTTTTAAGGAAGCATACTTAAAGTTCACAACTTAAAATGCATAAAGAGACTTATTTTGTTTACAGGTGACATTTTACAGAAACAGAAGAAAGTTTTTGAAGAAGTGCAAGATGATTTTTGTAACATCCAGAATATTTTGTTGAAATTTCAGCAATGGCGAGAAAAGTTTCCTGACTCCTATTATGAAGCTTTCATTAGTTTATGCATACCAAAGCTTTTAAATCCCCTAATACGAGTTCAGTTGATTGATTGGAATCCTCTTAAGGTATTTATGCTTAACATATGAAAAATTATCCTGATTATATTAGTTGCTTAAATTCCCTTACTATTGTGTTAGGCATTAAATACCTTACCCTTAGAGTCGGAGCTGAAATTTAGAGCTTTGGAACAATAGTCAGAAAATGTGTGCTTTCGGCTACATTCTTCTTTTCTTGGCTGTCACTTGATTTTTAGGCTAAGCATCATTAACATCAGTAAAGCAAACACATTTTTTTTTAGCTTCTTGTACATTAAATTTAAAATCCTCCCAGAAAGTATAAGGTACTGTTGGGTTTGGAGAAAGTAGATATAAAAGCCTTGTTTCAAGAATTCTTAAGTTGGAGATGACATACTGGGAAGAGTTGCTTAGGGTTGTGTTGAGAAGGTGGAATGCAAGCCTTTGAAGAGTTTATGGGGTAAACAGGATGAATCAGAAAGGGAAAGGTGTTTCATAAAGGTGTAAAGGGAGAAGTATTAGTTCAGGAGCTAGAAATTGCACAGATATTTAGATCCTAAGTTAAGGAATATAAACTCTGTTCACTGAATTTGACTGACTAAAAGAAAAAAAAAGAAGTATGAACTCAGCAACTGCCTACTGTGTAATAGGACCTTTAACTAAATCACATACAAATTACATATTTATGCTTAGTGAATTGAAGGGGCCAGAAATAAACTTTGCTTGAAGTGGATGAATTTTTTTTATAAACAAATTCCATGGCTGTTTCAAGTGCCTAACAAATTTGTATTTTGCTCCAAGCAGAGTACTTGCCATGTGGTAGGGTCTAAAGGCTCCGGCACACACTAGGTAGTTGTTGAGTGTTTGTTGTGTGATTGAATGCATGAAATGCAGCTTCTTCTTATGTTACTTAGACACCATGTCTCAGTCATGCTGTCCTGCAATCCTGCCTAGCCTTGGTGGTCTAGTGTTAAAATAGGGAATTAATCTCTTCTGATCCTTAGAAAAGCTCTGGTGATTATTGAAAAAAATAATAACTATTTAAAAATACACTAATGTTGAAAGATTTCTTTATAACTTTTGTAATTTTCTTTGTAAGTTGGAATCCACAGGTTTAAAAGAGATGCCATGGTTCAAATCTGTAGAAGAATTTATGGATAGCAGTGTGGAAGATTCAAAGAAGGAAAGTAGTTCAGATAAAAAAGTCTTGTCTGCAATCATCAACAAAACAATTATTCCCCGACTTACAGGTACTGCTTCGTAACCTTGGTAAAATTAAATTATTTTCTGACAGAGTATATAAGGTTGTTAATTTCTGTTATATTCACAAAGTTTTTTCATAAGTTTTTAATCTCAAGGAAATGTTATATGTAGTAAAAATCAACAGCTGTCAAATGTAAGGTGGTTAAAAAATTTGTGTTTGTACAGGTGGTTGGCTACCAAACTGCTAATACTCAGATTGATCACTAATCCTCATCTGACGTATCATCAGCAGTTCCAACAGTTGACCCTTCTTTCTTCCTAGAAACACTGTCTTTACTTGGCTACCAAAATACCACACTCTTAGTTTCCTGCCCACCTCTCTGGTCTTTGCTGTCTGCTTGTCACCTCTTTGACTTCCAAGTGCTACAGTATCTCTGGATTCAGGTCACTTACCTTCTCTGTTCTATTTACTTCAGTCACTTAGTATTTAAAGTCAGTTTAGTGTTTGTGGCATTCCCGCTGCTTTTATGGCACTTCAGTCATTTTTTAGCACACTTCCATCCATACTACATGTGTCCTTTTTTCCCCTTAACTTCTCTAATTGTGTTTCTTATCCTTTTCTTTAAAACCATTGCTTCATCTGGGAGTGGTGGTTCATGCCTGTAATCCTGGAACTTTAGGAGGCCAAGGCAGGTAGATCACCTGAGGTCAGGAGTTCAAGACCAGCCTGGCCACCATGGCGAAACCTCGTCTCTACTAAAAATACAAAAAACTAGCTGGGTGTGGTAGCAGGCACCTGTAATCCCAGCTACTCAGGAGGCTGAGGCAGGAGAATTGCTTAAACCTGGGAGGCGAAGGTTGCGGTGAGCCGAGATCGTGCCATTGCACTCCAGCCTGGGTGACAAGAGTGAAACTCCGTCTCAAAAAAAAAAAAAATTGCTTCATTTCACTCACATTTGCCACTAGCAGCTATGAGCACTTAACATTAATGCTTGTGCTTCAGACCTTAGCATGAAGTCTTTTGTTTTACCTGTGTACTTGATAAGGATCCGTTTCACTATGTCACTGAGAAAGAAATTTGACAGCAAAGACTGCAAAACTCTTATTTAATTTTTTGTGTGTTTGTTTTTGAGACAGGGTCTTCCTCTGTCACCCAGACTGGAGTACAGTGGTGTGAACATTGCTCAAGTCAGTCTTGAATTCCTGGGGTCAAGTGATCCTACTGCCTCAGCCTCCCAATTAGCTAGGACTCCAGGCGCGTGCCACCATACCCAGCTAATTTTTAAAAGATTTTTTTAGAGACAGGGTCTTGCTCTGTTGCCCAGGCTAGTCTCAAACTCCTGGCCTCAAGAGACCCTTCCCCTAAGCTTCCCAAAGCACTGGGATTATAGGCATGAGTCACCATGCCCAGCCTAGAAGTTGGAAGCAATTAGCCTTATAATTGCTTCTTAGGCAACTTGATTATAAGATTTTGGCTGGGTGGAGTTGCTCATGCCTGTAATCCCAGCACTTTGCAAGGCCGAGGCAGAAGGATCGCTTGAGCACAGGAGTTCCAGACCAGCCTTGGCAACGAGGTGAAACCCCATCTCTATTTATAAATTTAAAATTTAAAAAAAATAAAAAATAAAAACTTTCAAGATTTTATTTCAATGAAACTTATGGTGCATTTGTGGGGTGTGTTAGAAAGTTACTATTTTTAACTAACTCTACTAATGATAGAATGCATGTGCCTAGTTTAAGCACTCTGCTGAAAAAATCTAAATACTAATGATGAAACAGTCCCACAAATAAGTAGCTTTGTGAGAAATTAACACTGACTGAGTCCAAATAGTGATTGAATTCTACATATATTTCAAAGATAGCACTAACAGAATGTGCTAATGGATTGGTTGTGCAGCAAGAGAGAAAGAGAGGAATCAAGAATGGGTCCATTGAGGAATTGGCCTGAGCAACTGGAAGGACAGAGGTGCCATTTCCTGAAATGAAAAAGTCTGACAGGAGTAAGCTTAATGTGGGGAGCTGTATTAGCATAGCAGCTCAGTTTGGGACATGTTGATTTTGAAGTACCTGTAATCTAAGTGGACATGTCAAGTCAGTTGTTGAATACATGAGTCTTAAAGGGGGAGGTCCAGTCAGAAGGTATAAGTTTGGAATTTATCCACATGACATTTATTGATGGCATTTAATGTATAAAATTGACTTTGAATACCAAGCGAGTGAATATAAACCGAAAAGAGAAGGTAAGTGACCTGAATCCTGAGATACTATAGCACTGGGAAGTCAAAGAGATGACAAGCAGACAGCAAAGACCAGAGAGGTGGGCAGGAAACTAAGAGTGTGGTATTTTGGAAGCCAAGTAAAGACAGTGTTTCTAGGAAGAAAGAAGGGTCAACTGTTGGAATTGTTGATGATAAGTCAGATGAGGATTAGAATCAATCATTGGAGTTTGCTATGTGAATGTCATCTGTGATTTGCTAAGAGCGCATTAGGTAGGCTGATAAGAGATAAGGCCTAATTAAAGGGAAAGCAAGAACAAGTGAGAAGAGAGAAACTGGAGATAGAAGTTTAGATAGTACTTTGAGGAATTTTGTTGTAAAAGATAGGAGGGAAATGGAACAATACTAGAGGAGGAAGTAGGGCTAAGGGGGATTTTTTGTTTGTTTATTATTATACTTTAAGTTCTGGGGTACATGTGCAGAACGTGCAGGTTTGTTACATAGGTGTACACGTGCCATAGTGTTTGCTGCACTCATCAACTTGTCATCTACATTAGGTATTTCTCCTAATGCTATCCCACCCCAGTCCCCTGACCCCCAAAAGGCCCCGGTGTGTGATGTTCCGCTCCCTGTCCATGTGTTCTCATTGTTCAGCTCCCACTTATGAGTGAGAACGTGCAGTGTTTGGTTTTGTGTTCTGGTGTTAGTTTGCTGAGAATGATGGTTTCCAGCTTCATCCATGTCCATGTCCCTGCAAAGGACATAAACTCATCCTGTTTTATGGCTGCATAGTATTCCATGGTGTACATGTGCCACATTTTCTTAATCCAGTCTATCATTGATGGGCATTTGGGTTGGTTCCAAGTCTTTGCTATTGTGAATAGTGCCACAATAAACATACATGTGCATGTGTCTTTATAGCAGCATGAATTTATAATCCTTTGGGTATATACTCAGTAATAGCATGGCTGGGTTAAATGGTATTTCTAGTTCTAGATCCTTGAGCAGTCGCCACACTGTCTTCCACAATGGTTGAACTAGTTTACAGTCCCACCAACAGTGTAAAAGTGTTCTATTTCTCCACATCCTCTCTTTTAATTGTGATGTTAGGATGTCGATTTTAGATCTTTCCTGCTTTCTGTTGTGGGCATTTAGTGCTATAAATTTCCCTCTACACACTGCTTTAAATGTGTCCCAGGGATTCTGGTACGTTGTGTGTTTGTTCTCATGGTTTCAAAGAACATCTTTACTTCTGCCTCCATTTCTTTATTTACCCAGTAGTCATTCAGGAGCAGGCTGTTAAGTTTCCATATAGTTGTGCGGTTTTGAGTGAGTTTCTTAATCTTGAGTTCTAATTTGATTGTACTGTGGTCTGAGAGACTGTTTGTTATGATTTCCATTCTTTTGCATTTGCTGAGGAGTGTTTTACTTCCAATTATGTGGTCAGTTTTAGAATAAGTGTGATGTGGTGCTAAGAAAAATGTATATTCTGTCGATTTGGGGTGGAGAGTTCTATAGATGTCTATTAGGTCTGCTTGGTCCAGAGCTGAGTTCAATTCCTGGATATCTTTGTTAATTTTCTGTTTCATTGATCTGTCTGTTATCGACAGTGGGATGTTAAAGGCTCCCACTATTATTGTGTGGGAGTCTAAGTCTCTTTGTAGGTCTCTAAGAACTTGCTTTATGAATCTGATCTGAGTGCTGCTGTATTGGGTGCGTATTTATTTAGGATGGTTAGCTCTTACTGTTGCACTGATCCCTTCACCATTATGTAATACCCTTCTTTGTCTCTTTTGATCTTTGCTGGCTTAAAGTCTGTTTTATCAGAGACTAGGACTGCAACTCATGCTTTTTTTTCTTTTTTCTTTTTTTTTTTTTTTTTTTTTGCTTTCCATTTACTTGGTAAATATTCCTCCATCCCTTTATTTTGAGCCAGTGTGTGTCTCTTTACATGAGATGGGTCTCCTGAATACAGCACATTGATGGGTCTTGACACTTTATTCAATTTGCCAGTCTGTGTCTTTTAATTGGGGCTTTTAGCCCATTTACTTTTAAAGTTAATATTGTTATGTGTGAATTTGATCCTGTCATTATGATGCTAGCTGGTCATTTTGCTCATTAGTTGACGCAGTTTCTTCATAGCGTTGATGGTCTTTACAATTCGGTATGTTTTTGCAGCGTCTGGTACCAGTTGTACCTTTCCATGTTTAGCGCTTCCTTCAGGAGCTCTTGTAAGGCAGGCCTGGTGGTGACAAAATCTCTCAGCATTTGCTTGTCTGTAAAGGATTTTATTTTTCCTTTGCTTATGAAGCTTAGTTTGGCTGGATATGAAATTCTGGATTGAAAATTCATTTCTTTAAGAATGTTGAATATTGGCCCCCAGTCTCTTGTAGCTTGTAGGGTTTCTGCAGAGAGATCCGCTGTTAGTCTGATGGGCTTCCATTTGTGGGTAACCCAACCTTTCTTTCTGGCTGCCCTTAACTTTTTTTCCTTCATTTCAACCTTGGTGAATCTGACAATTATGTGTCTTGGGGTTGCTCTTCTCGAGGAGTATCTTTGTGGTGTTCTCTGTATTTCCTGAATTTGAATGTTGGCCTGCCTTGCTGTGTTGGGGAAGTTCTTCCGGATAATGTCCTGAAGAGTGTTTTCCAACTTGGTTCCATTCTCCCCATCACTTTCAGGTACACCAATCAAACATAGATTTGGTCTTTTCACATAGTCCCATATTTCTTGGAGGCTTTGTTTGTTTCTTTTCACTTTTTTCTCTAAACTTGTCTTCTCGCTTTATTTCATTGAGGTGATCTTCAGTCTCTGATATCCTTTCTTCCACTTGATCGATTCAGCTATTGATACCTGTGTATGCTTCACGACATTCTCATGCAGTGTTTTTCAGCTTCATCAGGTCATTTGTATTCTTCTCTAAACTGGTTATTTTAGTTAGCAATACCTCTAACCTTTTTTCAAGGTTCTTAGCTTCCTTCCATTGGGTTAGAACATGCTCCTTTAGCTCAGAGGAGTTTGTTATTACCCACCTTCTGAAGCCTACTTCTGTCACTTCGTCAAACTCATTCTCCATCCGGTTTTGTTCCCTTGCTGGTGATGAGTTGTGATTCTTTGAAGAACGGGCATTCTGGTTTTTGGAATTTTCAGCCTTTTTGCACTGGTTTCTCCCCATCTTTGTGGATTTATCTACCTTTGGTCTTTGATGTTGGTGACCTTCAGATGGGGTCTCTTAGGGTACATCCTTTTTGTTGATGCTGATACTATTCTTTTCTGTTTGTTAGTTTTGCTTTTAACAGTCAGGCCCCTCAGCTGTAGGTCTGCTGGAGTTTGCTGGAGGTCCACTCCAGACCCTGTTTGCCTGGGTATCACCAGCGGAGGCTGCAGAACAGCAAAGATTGCTGCTTGTTCCTTCCTCTGGAAGCTTCGTCTCAGAGGGTCATCCGCCAGATGCCAGGCAGAGCTCTCCTCTGTGAGGTGTCTGTCGGCCCCTACTGGGAGGTGTCTCCCAGACAGGATACACAGGGGTCAGGGACCCACTTGAGGAGGCAGTGTGTCCCTTAGCAGAGCTCGAACACTGTGCTGAGAGAACCACTGCTGTCTTCAGAACTGTCAGGCAAGGACGTTTAAGTCTGCTGAAGCTGCGCCCACAGCCACCCCTTTCCCCAGGTGCTCTGTCCATGGAAGATGGGGGTTTTATCTCTAAGTCCCTGACTGGGGCTGCTGGCTTTTTTCAGAGATGCTCTGCCCAGAGAAGAGGAGTCTAGAGAGGCAGTCTGGCCGCAGTGGCCTTGCTGAGCTTCGGTGGGCTCTGCCCAGGTCGAACTTCCCGGTGGCTTTGTTTACACTGTGAGGCATAAACCGGCTACTGAAGCCTCAGCAGTGGCGGACACCCCTCCGCCTACCAAGCTGAAGCATCTCAGGTTGGGCTCAGACTGCTGTGCTGGCAGTGAGAATTTCAAGTCAGTGGATCTTAGCTTGCTGGGCTCCGTGGGGGTGGGACCCACCAAGCCAGACTACTTGGCTCCCTGTCTTCAGCCCCTTTTCCAGGGTGGTGAATGGTTCTGTTTCTCTGGCGTTCCAGGTGCCACTGGGGTATGAAAAAATAAAAATTAAAAAAAAAGCCTGCAGCTAGTTTGATGTCTGCCCAAACAGCCACCCAGTTTTGTGCATGAAACCCACAGCCCTGGTGGGGTAGGCACTGGAGGGAATCTCCTGGTCTGCCGGTTGCGAAGACCGTGGGAAAAACACAGTATCTGGGCTGGAGTGCACTGTTCCTCCTGGCACGGTTTCTCGTGGCATCCCTTAGATAAGGGAGAGAATTCCCCAACCCCTTGTGCTTCCCAGGTGAGGCAACACCCAACCTTGCTTCAGCTCACCCTCTGTGGGCTGCACCCACTGTCCAACCAGGCCCAATGAGATGAACTGGGTACCTCAGTTGGAAATGCAGAAATCACCGGCCTTCTACGTCCATCTCGCTGGGAGCTGTAGACTGGAGCTGTTCCTATTCGGCCATCTTGGCAGCCTCCTTACACTGAGGGGGATTATTTTTAATACAAGATAAATAGTTGTTTGTAGGGTGATGGAAAAAATCTAGTACAAGTGATGTCAATACCAAAGTGGAAGGACAGTGTTCTGGGAACAGGATCTTAGACTAAGCCAAAAGGCTTGGGATCTCATCCACAAAATAAACAGTTTGCCTGAAGTGGTGGGAGTGTGGGTGCCTCATCCATAGGAATAGGAGACAAGTTAGAGCATATCGGCACAGATGTAGGTAGGTGTGTAGATGCTGTGGTAGGAGCTTCATAGTGCTGCTTTTCTGATTGCTTCTATTTTCTTAGCAAATTAGGAAGTAATTAGCTGAAAGAGAATGCAAGGGAGTAGAAAAAATAAAGTAGGAAATAATCATCTAGAAGGAAAAAGTCCATCAACTGAGAGAGAGATAACGGAGAGGGGAGAAGGTATGAAGTAATCATCTAGGTGAGAGGGAGAGTGAATGGACCTGAGAGACAGAGAGAGAGAGAGGCTCACTCAAGTTGTATAGTGATCAAGTTAATGTGTTTGTTTTTCCAGCCACTTTTTATCTGCATGGTTGCAGGCAGAGACTCAGTGACAAGGTGAACTTAACTATAAAGAGCTGTAGTTTAGCCAGAGGAGTTTAACAAAGCCCAAGAAGAACAAGGAAATTGAAGATGTATGCAAATATGTAATGGTAATAATTGGCCATGGAACTTAAACTGAATAAGGAGGGAAGTAGTGTTTGTTAAAGGTCTTGATTATTTGTATATGAAAAGCAAAACAATCTAGTAAATACATTGTGTACCACTGAAATATTTGTTTCAGACTTTGTAGAATTCCTTTGGGATCCTTTGTCAACCTCACAGACAACAAGTTTAATAACACATTGCAGAGTGATTCTTGAAGAACATTCCACTTGTGAAAATGAAGTTAGTAAAAGCAGACAGGTAATAATTTCTAGAGTTGCGAACTCCATGATCTATCTCTAAATCATTATAATTTTCTTACAGATCTTGGTTTATAAAAGATGCAGAAGTGATTATCAGAAAACTGTTTGGGGGAAAACATATTTACTTTTGATTTATAGAAACTAGACTTTTTCTCAGACTGCACTGAGATGAAAAAAAAATTTTTTAAACTGGACTTGGCTATTTTTTATCTTTATAATAATAAGATGAAAGAATATACCTTGATACTTCTCAACACTGTGATAGGAGTGGTAATCATTTTAAATTATAGACATACATGTAAGGACCCAGATTATGACTTTCATTCCTATTAGCTTACTTTTCTCTGTTCAGTGATCTGATTTGTGTTCTCATGGCCCAGGCAGCCATCTTTCAGGATTATGAATATACACTGGCCCTGCAGAGATGAACCGGTATAAATTCATTAGTGCAAATTCATTTCTTCTAAAGGAAGACAACAATACTCATTACCTTTGTTCTTTTGGCAAAAATCCAGTGGCATTGTGGCTTTGCTTGAACAATGGTTTCAAAATTAGACTGACACTTATTGTATTAACTAGTTATTTGTAGTCTACCAAATAATAGTAGTCTCTTTAAGGATTCAAAGTTCAGTAAAACAGATCTTAATCTTACAATGATCTAGAATTGAATTCAGTGAACATAAGACATATTGGGGAACTTTTTAGAGTGATGTTGCTGAGAATCTTCTCACTCTTTCATTGTAGCATTTTTTTTTATTGTTTGTTGATGAGATTGTAGATTCATGCAGTTTTATGAGTAAACCAATTTTAGGTTGAGCTTTAGGAAATTAAGGAGAAATTGACAGACTGGAGAATGCCCGGAGTAGAATGACAGAGGTGGTTGAAAAGCAAGGAGGCATATCATATTCATATTATGAGCACCATTAAGTTTTAGCCCTTGGAACTGTGATTACAAAGGAGGATAGCTGTAAGAAATGAAAGGGAGAAAAGGGATACCAGCCTAATTCTGCCTTCAAGAAGCATGTAATCTCAGAGAAAATAAGATGCACATAAACTGTAACTTAAAACTGGAAGTGAAAAGGAGAAGTAGGGAAGATAACAAACACTTATTTAATTCCAATTGTGTACTAGGCACTCTGTAAGGTCTTGTACCTGTCATCTTAATCCCAGCAGCCCTATTTAAAAAATGGGTGATCGCCAGGTATGGCAGATCACGCCTGTATATCTGAGTGCTTTGGGAGGCTGAGGCAGGAGGATCTCTTCAGGCCAAGAGTTCAAGACCAGCCTGGGCATCATAGCAAGATCCATCTCTACCAAAAAAATAAAAATTAGCTGGGCTCCCCCTTGAGCCCAGGAGTTGAAGCTGCATTGAGCCTTGATTGTGCCACCACACTGCAGCCTGGGCAACAGCAAAACCCTGTCTCTTAAAAGGATGACAGCCTCATTTTATAGATGAAGAAAATGAATCTTTAAAACTAGTTGTCACAGTGCTACTATGAATGAGCACTAGGATTTGAACTTGGATAGTCTGCCTCTAAAGCCCAAGTTTGCCTCACTGACCATGTTGCCTCCCCTTGAGCAGCATAGATAAAGTACTGTGTCTTCAGGAGAGAGACAGGAGAGAGAGGTTACCTTCAGCAGTGGGGATAAGGAAATAATTTATCTTAGGGGTGGCATTTGAACTGTGGCTTGAGGGAAAGAATAGGATTTCAACATGTGGCAACAGAGAGAGAGGCATTTTCTGCTTACCTCCAATAGGATAAAAACTCAAGTAAAATAGATGGAAACTGTTGCAGGAATTAGAGATATTTAATTTGAAAGATGTACAGAGAGATGCTGTTTGTATTCAAAGAAGGTATAGATTTATTCTGTGCTGTTATGCAGCATAGAACCAAGATTAGTAGTTAAAAGCTACAAAGAAGCAGATATATAATCCTGCATTTGCTTTCCATATAGTATTGTTTAGTTATAACCTAAATGTAAATCATTATGCTTTACCATTTGTTAAATACTTTCACATTGTCTCATTTGATCCTCATAACCCTGTGAAATGTATTTATTTTAATTGCATTTTTACAGATGAAGCTGGGGCCCAGAAGGGTTAAGTCATTTTTGAAATACTTGAATACTAAGTGGTAGACCTGGCTCTTTGTGATCACTGAAGCCCTTCAGCAGTATTATGGATTCACTCATGAAGTCTTTTTTTTTTTTTTGAGGCGGAGTCTTGCTCTGTCACCCAGGCTGGAGTGCAGTGGTGTGATCTTGGCTCACTGCAACCTCCGCCTCCCAGGTTCAAGCAATTCTCCTGCCTCAGCCTCCCGAGTAGCTGGGACTACAGGCACCTGCCACCATGCCTGGCTAATTTTGTGTGCTTTTAGTAGAGACGGGGTTTCACTGTATTAGCCAGGATGGTATTGATCTCCTGACCTTGTGATCCGCCCACCTCGGCCTCCCAAAGTGCTGGGATTACAGGCAAACTCAAGCAGTTTTTATAATGGATGTTTTTATTCTGAAACCGCTCTGCTGTGAATGTAGAAAATGGGTTGTTTTCATAAGCAGGAGAATAGATTACATCAGGGTTTTCAGTCTCAGCACTACATTGGCATTTGGAACAGATAATTTTTTGTTGTGAGGGTTTGTCCTGTGCACTATAGTATGCTTAGCAGCATCCCTGGCTTGTGCCCACTAGGTGGCAGTAGCACTCCCCGGTCTTCACAACCAAAAATGTCTACACATTGTCAGGTATTCCCTAGGGATGGCAAAATGGCACTTGGTAGAGAATCACTTACACTATATAATGCCCCATGTTGCTAAGACAGTTCACCAGTGGGATCACTCCATTTCTTCAGTGATGAAAGAGAATGAGGTTCAAGAATGAAAATTGAGTCAGACAACATAGTTTCTGTTTTCAAAGTTAGAAGGAAATGCTGTAAGCTAATGCCTGGTAATAATAGTTTTGATTCTGACTAAAAATCTAAAGTAAATTATTATAGAGGAAGATTATGAATACTTAAATTTAAAAAGCAGTAATTACTATAATCTGTCATTGATAGGATTCCCAAATACAAATGATACTTAACATTGTTTATTGAAGCAAATTGTTATTATGATTGTTCTTAGGGATTAAATGGGGAAATATAAGCTTAAGTAAACCTAAAAAATAATGGCCAGTAGGGCATTGGCTACCTATGGGGAGTCTGTTAGTATTAGATATCTTCTCAGCTTTGCCCTGTTCAATATTTTTATTGAACTGGATAAGGAGTTAAAATACATACTAATGAAATGTGTCAGTGACAAAAAGCTAGGAATTCTGTAAGACTTGTGGATGGTAGAATTAGAATCCAAGAAGATTTCAAAAGATTGTAGAAAATTGACTGATTCAAGAAATTGTGAAAAAATAAATGCATGTCCCACCCATGCGTTTAAAAATTCAACTATATAAGTAAAAGATGAGAGAGACACAGTTTTGAAGCAGCATAAGTAAGACAGATTATAATCAATAAACCCAGCGTGAGTCAGCAGTGTCACTTGAGTAACAGAAAACAGGTACATGGGAGTTTCTCCTAGTATGTGTGTGCTATTTTGAGTAAGAATGGCATATTTGGTGATAATACCCACAGATTAGACCTTCCTGGGAATATTGCATTTAATTTTCGGTGTAAGCATATTAAGTGGAGAGTGTCTTAAGATAGTATGGGAAAGAGAAGATGTAAAAAAAAAAAAAGTATGATATTCATCTTAAAATCTAGAAAATTGTCATGTGGAAGTGGGGCTAGTTCTATTCTATATGATCCCAAGAAGTAAACCAAGACCAAGGAGTGGAAGCTGTGGGAGGGAAAAGTTTGTTAACTCTCATTGTTAACTGAAATCTAATAGTCCAAAGTTATGGGCAGCCTCAGGAGATAATGATCCCCTATCAGCAAATGGTTTTAGACATGGCTGGTGGACCATTTAGTAGAAATGTGAAAATAAGTCTAAACATCACTTGGGAGTTCAGATAGATTTTCAGACTCATTTTTTGTTTTTTCTTTTTTATCAACAGAATCTATTTCAAATAAATCTTACGCAATCCGATACGCAAACACACATACAGAAGTAAAACTGCTCCTACTGTTGTGAGCACCTGCCTTTATTCTTCCCCAACCATCCCCAACATTTGTCCAGGCCATCCTGGGATTACCTCCATGGATATAGAGAACAGCATAAAAACCATTGGCATCACACAAGTGCCTCTTTAAAGCTGTTTCAAAGTATATATATATACACAAAGGGTTGTATGTGAGTCTGAAAGTGTGATTCAGAATGCTTGTTAAAACTGTTTGGAGAACCTTATTTTCCATCAAACAAATGATGTTATTTAATACTTAGAAAAGTTAATATCTCACGGTTTTAAAATATGTGAATTTATGGGAGGTTTCTTTTCTTTTTTTTGTTTTTTTTTTTTTTTTTGACAGAACCTTACTCTGTCACCCAGGCTGGAGTGCAGTGGTGCAATCTCAGCTCACTGCAACCTCCACCTCCTGTGTTCAAGCGATTCTTGTGCCTCAGCCTGCCAAGCAGCTGGGATTACAAGCATGTGCCACCATGTGTGGCTAATTTTTTCTATTTTTAGTAGAGACAGGGTTTCACCATGTTGGCCAGGCTGGTCTCAAACTCCTGGCCTCAAGTGACCCACCCACCTCAGCCTCCCAAAGTGCTAGGATTACAGGCATGAGCCACGGCAACCGGCCAGTGAATTTATGTTTTGTTTTAAACAATTTATTTGGAAATATTAATACTTTGAAAGAAAACTTTCATGAATAAGAGTAGTATTTCCATATTCCCTTTACCAAGATTTACTTGTCATTAATATTTTGCCCCATTGGCTTTATCATTAGCCCTTCCATTTTAAATATATACATACAATATGTTTTCTCCTGAGTACTGAGAACAGGGTGCATATTTGTTAAGACAAGGATATTATGTTATATAACCAGAGTAGTTAGCAATTTCAGTAAATTTATCAACACTTAATCTACCATCCATATTCCACTTTTGCCAGTTGATTCAATAATGTCCTTTATAACATTTTCAATAGAACTATTTTAAGAAACAAAATTTAAACAATATGGGAACATTTGTCAAGGCCAGCATCCAAAATCATTAAAATTAAATGAAAAAAATCAAAGCAGCTTTTTTTGTATCATGAACACCTAACTCAGTAAGTTACATAAACTCAGATGCTATTTTTTGGAGATACTGTCTAGAAAATGCTTTTTTTTCTTTGAACAGAATTCAGAATGTTTAAAGAATGGAGTAAAATACAACTGAGTTTTAATTTTTAACATTAAATAAATGTTGATATATGGCCACTTGAGGAATATGTTATAGATAATTAAGTGGAAAGAGAAACGACTTCAGGTCATGCTTTTTAAGAAAAATATATTTGAATTCTACATTTATGGATAATTCAGTTAGTATATAGTATGTGACAGTTGAATTTGTGCTGTATACATTGTCATTGACTTAAAAATTAACTTTTACTCTAATGTGTAGTATGCCATTTTTATTTTTCAAATATGAATAAGAATATCATTATATAAATAATATAAATATTGCTAATATATGAAAAAAATAAACACTCATTGTCTTTCATCCTAGTACAAGGATTAATACCATCGTAGGATATTTTCATCCTGGCTTTTTTTTCAAAGTTATAATCCTAATAGGCATGTAAGTTAGTATACTACTTCTGCTTAATGTTATCTCATTGCGTATTTATAGTTGTCTGTTACTGTAGTCATCATAATCTTCAGCTAAAGTTTATGATAGATTCACTGGAGCGATGTAACATCTCCTTAAAATTCCCTGTGATTGAATAGTTTGGTCATTTCCAATTTTTTTATGTACAAACAAAATGGATTTCCCTAAGTGGATTTTCCAACAAAGGACCCACAGCTGGAGTATATAAAAGACTTGTACAAATCAGTAATAAAAAGACAGAACCTAATACAAAAAAATAGCAATGTTGGCAAGCAGCTTAATTAGGTACTTTGCAAAACGGCTTGCCAAGTGGCAAATAGGAATATGAAAAGATGCCCAACAGCACATTACTCAATGATAATTAAATGAGAATTAAAACAACAAAATGAAATATGACTGCATACCCACTATAATTGCAAACATTAAAAAACAAGAAAATGCCAATTATCGTAAGTATGTAGTGAAACAGGATTTATTTTATACTGCAGGAATGATGTAAATGGGATGCCACTATTCTAGAAACCGTTTGGTTTTTTGTACGTAGTTGAACGTATGGACATGAACTGTACTCCAGCCATTCCATTTCTATTTATATACCCATTAGAAATGTATGACCATGCATACTAAATGACATGTACAAGAATTTTTATGGCAGCATTATTTATAATAGCCACCAAACCAGAAATCACCTAAGTGTTCCATCAATAGTATTCATGCAACAAAATACTATATAGCAATGAAATTGATCCAACTATACCCATATGTAGCAACATGGATAAATAAGGTTTTTTTTGTACCCAATTGATAGTTATTTTAACAGCTGGTTATGTGAGTGTGGATAAATTTGTACTGCAGTTAAAATTACTTTTTTTTTGGTAAATACATTTCTATCTTCTATCACTGATGCTTTTCAAATTTGTAATAATAGGATTTACTTAAATCCATTGTTTCAAGAATGAAAAAGGCAGTAGAAGATGATGTTTTTATTCCTCTGTATCCAAAGAGGTAAGCGCTGTTAATTTCTAGATTGTTGGAAATAGCTGATCATAGAATACAGATTTGTTTAAGAATGCAATGCAAAAGAAACTACAGTGTTTTATTTTTTGTTTTGTTTTTTGTGTTTCTTTTTTTTTTTTCTTTTGAGACTGAGTCTCACTCTGTCGCCCAGGCTGGAGTGCAGTGGCGCGATCTCGGCTCACTGCAAGCTCCGCCTCCCAGGTTCACGCCATTCTCCTGCCTCAGCCTCCCATGGCTGGGACTACAGGCGCCCGCCACCACGCCCGGCTAATTTTTTGTATATTTAGTAGAGATGGGGTTTCACCATGTTAGCCAGGATGGTCTCGATCTCCTGACCTTGTGATCCGCCCGCCTTGGCCTCCCAAAGTGCTGGGATTACAGGCGTGAGCCACCGCGCCCGGCCAACTATAGTGTTTTCAAAACATGTGTACACATACTCTATGAGGATGCAAATTGAGATTTCAACAAATATTTCTCAGTGACTTACATAAAGCCGTGCTTTATCTTGGCGCTTAGATGAATTTTGTTTGGTTGGTTTTGGTTTTGGTTTTACATATATCCTAGGAACATAGCAGGTGATATAGAGTGGTAAAGAGCACACGTCCACTGTTAGTAGGTATTTTTATGCACTTGTTTTCTCATCTATAAAATAAGGATAAAATTAGTGCCTACCTCACAGGATATTAGGGAGATGAAGAGAATGCTCAGAACACAACAGGGCCTAGCACAGAGGAAGCACAATGCTGAGGAACGAGAAACTGCACCTGTAAATTCTGCAGTCACTTTAAATTATAAAACGAGTATTTGATGTATGATCATAACTTTGCTAAGAAGCCATCAGTTATAATGATGCATGAACTGTAGCAATCCAGTGAGTAGTGACAGGATGGAGGAGCTTTATGGAGGGGGAAGAAAGGAACCTCAAAGCTTTCTGATTCATTTTGAATCATGAGATGTCTACATGTAAAAATTCTGCCTTGGTAAACTTTGTTTATAATGTTTTAGATAATGCATTCACATGGTTCAGATGTATGAATGTGATATATTAGTTATTTGTTTATAAATATATATTTTATAAACATATTTATAAATATATAAATATATATTTTATAAACATATTTATAAATATATAAATATATATTTTATAAACATATTTATAAATATATAAATATATATTTTATAAACATATTTATAAATATATAAATATATATTTTATAAACATATTTATAAATATATAAATATATATTTTATAAATAAATATATATTTTATTTATAAAATAAAATAAACAATCTCTATTTATATTCCATTAAGGCTTAGTTTGGTTGGTTTAAAAGAAAGTCTGATCTTAAACTCTGGTTCTGAAAGACTAATAGTTCTTTGCATTTTCTCTTCTCTTTCGTTTGTTTCTAATTAGTGCTGTAGAAAACAAAACATCACCTCATTCAAAGTTCCAAGAAAGACAGTTCTGGTCAGGCCTAAAGGTGAGCAAAAACTGCAAAAATGAAAAGGCAATTTTTGTAAAAATCCTGTTTACTATAGAACAAAGAACAACAAACTTCTTCTATAAGAATTAGATAGTATTTTAGGCTTTGTGGTCACATGGTCTCTGTCGAATTACTCAACTCTGCCGCTGTAGCACAAAAACAGTCATAGTACATAAACAAATGAACATGGCTGTTTGAATAAAACTTATGAACACTGAAATTTGAATGTCATATAATTTCCTCATGGTACAAAATATTTTGTTTAAAGACAGTTTTAAAACGTCCTTGAAAAGTGTTAAAACCATTCTTAGCTCACGGACCCTATAAAAACAGGCAACAGGATGGATTTAACCCACAAGCTATATAGTTGGCTAACCCCTGGCCTTAAAATTATTGCTAAGTCAGTGGCAGTAGGGATGAGAAGGAGAAGAAGGTTCAAACAATGTTTGGGAGGAAGCATTGAAAGGAGTCGATAACTGATCAAGGGAAGATAAGATCTATTTTGTACATAATGAAGATATATGTGGGACAAATAGAGATACAGAGGTCTAGGAGGTGGTTGGATACATAAGTCTGAATTTCAGGAGACAGATCTGAGCTAGAGATTTGGGAGTCCACTACCTGTAGGTAATATTTGGAGCCATGGTCATGAATGGCAAGCTGCGTAAGGAGACTGGATGAAGCATGAGAAGTAGGCCAAGGACAGAACCTCGGGAAATACTAACAGAAGAGGAGAACATGGAGGCTTCAGGGAATCTGTAGAATCAATTATGAGCCTTAGGATGATCACAAGAGAATGGCCTCAAGGAAGCTAAATGAAAGATTTTCAAGAATGAAGAAAAGAGTGTTAAATGCCACCAAAGAGTATTAAGAGAAAGACTGAAACACTGTTTATTGGATTTGACAATTAGAAGGATATAGGTGACCTCACCAAGAGTAGTTTTAATAGTGTGAATTAATATTTGTCATGTGGTTGAATCAGGGAAAAGGCTTTCTGGGAAGAGGGAACAACATCAACAATGAGATAAAATGTGAAAAAGCATTACATTTTAGTAAAACAGCATGTAGTTCAGCACTCAGAGTAATGAATATAGTACTGCAAAAAAAGAAACACCTTAAAATTCACAGAAAGATCTGAATTTAGTAGAGGGAAAGGACAACCAATATTTTATTAGAATTTATTATGGTTACTTAATCCAAGTTATCTTCAAACTCAAAGGTGATTATAAATCTTTATGTATCAGAGGAATGAAGCTCTCAGCGTTGATTGCCTTCTCAAGGTCACATGTTGGTAATGGCGGCCCTAGTTTTGACAGTAGTTCTTTATGAATCACGTGGTCCTGTGGTCTTATACTTGATGGCCCCCGGCTTTGAGAGAAAATGGATTGGGAAGGAAGATTATTGATCTGGAAAGGCTCTAGTGAAGTTATTTGAGATAGATTTGGGGATGGTTATCCTAGAAAATGAAAATAAGATGAGCAAATACATGGAGTTTGGAAAGAATCAAGTATTTATTCAGAGATATTGTATTCTAAAATTGACAGTTCCAACAGGGCTAATTGTAGTGAGAATTTTAGTTTGACCAACTCTTCATGTTTGTTAGAGACTATTACAGTTTCTCTTTGGAGAAAAGGTACATATTTACTTGATATTTTATTTTAGCTCTTCCGCAATATTCTTCTTTGGAATGGACTCCTTACAGATGACACCTTGCAAGAACTAGGACTAGGGAAGCTGCTAAATCGTTACCTTATTATAGCACTTCTCAATGCCACACCTGGGCCAGATGTGGTTAAAAAGTGCAACCAGGTAAGTTGTGAAGGAAGACTGATTCTAATTTTATCATTTCTAAAAAATTTAGCTATTAAAATCTATTATTTAGCAAAATAATTAAATGTGTGGTACTCATATATAGACAAATGGGCCAGGCACAGTGGCTCATGCCTGTAATCCCAGCACTTTGGGAGGCTGAGGCAGGCGGATTGCGTGAGGTCAGGAGTTTGAGACCAGCCTCACCAACATGGTGAAACTCCGTCTCTACTAAAGATACAAAAATTAGCCAGGTGCGGTGGCTAACACCTGTAATCCCAGCTACTTGGGTGGCTGAGGCAGAAGAATCGCCTGAACCCAGGAGGCAGACGTTGCAGTGAGCCGCCATTGCACTCCAGCCTGGGTGACAAGAGCAAAACTCCATCTCAAAAAAAAAAATTGACAAATGAATTTAACAAAGCTAAAATGCAGAGCCGCTCTTCTGTATTTAAGAAAGAGTATACTGGTTTGAAATATCCCCAGTAGGGAAAGGAAAAATTACTTAATAAATGATGCTAGATGGCTGGCTGTTTACAAAAAGAATGTTAAGTCCTCACCTCTCACTATACACCAAAAAAATTTCAGGTAAAATTTTAAAAAATGTAAAAATGAAACTATAAAATATACTAAGATGGTAAATGACTATATTTGAGAGTGAGGGAGTTCCTTCTAAACTTAAAGGCAAAAGAAGAAATTATGAGAAAAAGTAATAAATTTGAAAAAATATAAAACTTTAGTGGATCAAAAAGGTATTGGGATTAATTGATTATTATTAAAACTGGGGAATGTGTTCATTGGGCTCATTATACTATTCTTTCTACTGCTGTTTGTGTTTGAAATTTTGTATAATAGAAAGTTAGAAAAGTTAAGAATCTAGGAAATAAAAAGTTGTTAACATGTAACAAGTGTTAATATTCACATTAAATAAAAAAGCTCTTTACAATTTAGTAAATAATTCAAATGTTCTGACTAAAAATGGCCAAAACACGTGCAACAGTAAAGTCACCTAAAAGGATATGTAAAACTAACCTTAAAATATGTGAAAATAATTAATAGTACTAATAATCAGAGAAATGGAAATTATTTATAGGAAGGATATTTACTTGACCAGTTGTGTTGGCAAACATTTTTTGGCGTTGTTATTTTACTTACGATTTCCAGTGTTATAAACACAGGAAAACAACAGTTCCATCATTGCAGGGGCACCATTCACTGTATGCAGTGCAGTGGTTCTGGAAAACAGTCTCCTGCACTGGGGGAAGGAGGGATACAGCTCTTTTGGAGAGTATTTTGGCATGATGGATACAAAACTTTTAAAGCTTATATTCTTTGACTTAGCCAAAGTAAGTTAAGTCAAAAATTAGAGATGCACATATAGATTTTAAGTACAAAGAATATTGTTATAGCATTATTTATAATAGAAAATAGTTGGAAACACCTACATATCCCTAAAAACATGATGGTCTTCTCATAAGATAAAAATGTGAAAGGAAAATAAATCTCAGAACCTGTCTCAGATACTTTTGGGTTCACAAAAGTTATGTTTTTGAAGAATTTTTAAGAATATGGGAAAATAATTATTTTATAATTAAAAACACATACACACTAAACTGTTCCCAGATAGAATAGGGTCCATCTGCTTGTTCTTGCAGCCCAATAACAAGATGCAGACAGACTGGGAAAGAAAGGAGCTTATTTTTGCAACCAGTTACAGGGAAAAGGTTGTAGCAACTCACCAGACCAACTGAAAGTTACAATTTGGTTTTTTGTTTTGTTTTGTTTTGTTTTGTTTTGTTTTCTTTAGCACTTATATGCATTCTAAGCTCCATGCTACATGGGAGAGTGCATCTACAAGTGAGAGTGTTTCATTCAGTCTGTACAATCTAACTACCGTCTGGGGTCTGTAAAGCTTTCTCTAAAGTCTTGGAAAGTTTTTTAATCTTAAGTGGGCCCTGGTACAAAGAGTATGTGTAAGAATGCTTTCATTATTTGATCAGACTTTAGGATCTGGGAAAACTCAGGCAGGGTCTTAATGGGTTTGTTTTCGCATTCCAGTTCTTGTACTCAGGCACCAGTTTCTCTAGCTCTTTAATGTTTAACTTACACATTCATCAAAATTATAGAAAAGGGTTAGTGGAAATTGATTCATCTGGTTGCTAATGGAAACCTAGTCTGCCATAAAACTATATATCAATTAGTAGCCAACCATGATTGTTCTGGCTATAGTTTTTATATCATAGTTTTAAGCATTATATATTAAAAATTTAAATCATCATCCATGTAATGTTGTTCAGGTTTAGTTTAGTCCCCTTTGACCATAGGGTCTATTATGAAGTGGAGAAGAGGAAATATATTTACACAGCATTCTTTCCACAGCATATGGTTAGAAAACCAGGCCAAGAAAATCGACTTTTAGTGCTGGGATCATTAACGCAAAAGCTACATGGTTAAATGAGAATTTTACTGAGACTTGTAATACAAAACAAGGGGAAAACAAGTGCAAATGACATTCAATAGTAAAGGGTGGTTTTAAAACTTTTAAAAAGAGTTTACATAACAAAACTTGTAGGATCTTCTGCCTTAGGCAGTCAGTGTGTCAGTATTTTTCCTGAATAGTTGAAACAGGTGATTAAGGAGTAGAATTCTTTTTCCTCAACCATGTTTTAAATGCTGACCAATCTTAGAAAGAGCGCATTCCAGAACGTTTATTTAATATACTGTATAATATATAGGGTGCATTTTAATTTTTTCCCCAACTCTCTGCTTTCTATATTGATCTTGATGTTACCAAATGTAGCATAATCTGTATGATTATCTAGGAATTTCCTTGAATAGTGTGATATTGTGACAGGCCAGGTTTCCATTAGCAAACAGAACGATCAGTTTCCAAGAACCCGTTACTATAACGTTAATGAAAGTGTAAGCTAAACATTAAAAAACTGGAGAAACTGGTGCCTGAGTACAAAACTGGAATGCAAAAACCAACCCATTAAGAACCTGCCTGGGTTTTCTCAGCCCCTGAAATCTGATGGAATAATAAAAGCATTCTTACACATACACCTCATTCTGTCTTAAGATTAAGAAACTTTCCAAGACTCTCGAGAAAGCTTTCCAGACCCTAGTCCCTAGCTAAAGATGAGATAGAGATTGAATGCAACACTCCCACTTGCAGTTACAATCCCACACGTAGCACGGAGCTTTAAATATATACAAGCACTAGAAAAAAGCTTAGAACTTTGAGTTGGTCTGGTGAGTTACTCTGACCTCCCTTCTTTCCCAATTGTCTGCATCTCGTTTTCGGACCTCAAGAGCAGGCAGCCATACTTTGTTCTCTCCGGGAACAATATCAAGTTTTTTTCCTTTCTCCCCTTTTCCCTCCCTTCTTTACCCTTGTTTCTGCTATGAGGAAGTTTTTTTTTTTTTTACTTTTTAAATTTTTTCTAACATTTTTCTGTTTTTACCAAAACTTTTCTCAAAATCTTGTATTACTCTTAGGATGACAATGATAAAATGTAATTTCCATTTCCAAAAGAAAAATTGAATGCACCTACATTGATTCATTCTGCTGCTTTACAATTAAGGCAATGTATTACACTGATAGAAGATTAAAAACATAATTAATTTATCTTTCATTCTTTGTATCTTAGAATCACCCATTTGGTTCCTTAACTCCATATAGATCATATGCTAGGCCATCCAATTTCTTTATAAAATAATAGTGAATGTATGTATTTTAGAGTTGTATTGACCAAATATTTTGTGTCTAGACATTTTTGGTTTTTAGTTGTAAATTATGTTTTGTACAGATTTAATGACTCACAAATACAAGAATATAGAAAGAATTACTAGTACTACCAGGGAGTGTTCATAGAGAGTAGTGTATTTTAAGTTCTTAGCATTAAAGAATGAATTCCAAAATATATGTAGCCTTGGACACAAAGGGAAATCTTTAGAAATTTTTATTTAACCATAAACTATAAAATGGGGAGAATGATACTCAGCTTACAGTATCACTATGAGATTATATTAGCAAGATTTCTTAGATAACTGTCATTGTAAACCAGCCATGTGTTTTGATTAACAGGTAGCAGCATGTCTACCAGAAAAATGGTTTGAAAATTCTGCCATGAGGACATCTATTCCACAGCTAGAAAACTTCATTCAGTTTTTATTGCAGTCTGCACATAAATTATCTAGAAGTGAATTCAGGTAATGCATATTTTATTTTCACTTCTATAAAGAGAGTTCATGGATTCTGTATGCTCTCAACAACTTTTAGAAAGATTTGTATTTTTACTGTACTTTTAAAAATTTGTTAAAACTTTGTAGAGTTAGTAGATATTTTTATGGTTACCTTTGGGATGGCTTATGCATATCCATATTTTAAAATGTAAATCTCCCCCAAATTAAGCAAATTCAAAAAACTATAGCACAGGGGAATATAGAATTAAAACTATAAATCAAAAACATTTTATTAAGCACTTTTTAAATGTGTTTTTAATTTTCCTGTCCATTTTTAGAGACTCAACAGTTGTTAAGTACAGGTCTCCAGCTTGGTATTTATCCAGCAGTAGCTAGCTCTCTGTTCTGAATGTTTCGTTCACAGCACCAGCTGTTTGGGGGCTTAAATACAGTGGTATTCCTGTTAACTCCCTCTCCAAAAAAAATTTTTAAGCCCAGATTTGGCCGGGCATGGTGGCTCACGCCTGTAATGTTAGCACTTTGGGAGGCTGAGGCAGGAGGATCACTTGAGCCCAGGAGTTTGAGAACAGCCTGGGAAACATAGCAAGACCCTGTCTCTAGAACAAAAAATTTAAAAATTAGCTAGGCATGGTGGCATGCGCCTGAGTCCCAGCTACTGAGGATGCAGAGGTGGGAAGATTGCTTGAGCCTGAGAGGTTGAGGCTGCAGTGAGCTATGATTGTGCCACTGTACTCCAGTCTGACCAGCAGAGCCAAGACCAAGTCCCTTTAAAAAAAAAAAAAATCAGATTTGTATTATTTGCTAATGTCATGATGTGTGAATATACTCCCACCATTGCTTCCACCACAATGTCTCATACAAGCTAATAGCAACGCAGCACTACTGAAAT
The DNA here is from genome assembly GCF_000001405.40 of Homo sapiens. Classification (NCBI taxonomy): domain Eukaryota; kingdom Metazoa; phylum Chordata; class Mammalia; order Primates; family Hominidae; genus Homo; species Homo sapiens. Next base: position 75,665,045 of record NC_000002.12, on the reverse strand, counting down.
TTCTGATAGACTTACTATATGCTTTTCTACCTTTTACAGTAATTCACATTGAAATTTGCCAGAATACATCCACTAATGATCTGTATTTGAACTTTATAATTAAGTGGAGATGGCAGCATCTCTCTGTGTTTTATGCTACTTTAGATATTGGCTTAAGGTAAAGCTTTTGTTTTAGATTAACAACTGATGATCAGGTTCTGAATTGACCGCTGTTCCCTCATACATTGCATTTTTAAAGGGAGAAATTTGTTTTGTTTTTCAGGGATGAAGTCGAAGAAATAATTCTTATTTTGGTGAAAATAAAAGCTTTGAATCAAGCAGAATCCTTCATAGGAGAGCATCACCTAGACCATCTTAAATCACTAATTAAAGAAGATTGAATAAACTTTATTGGAAAATGCTAAAATTTTAATATAGTTACACTCAGTTCCTTTGTTTGAGAAGAAGCTGGTGCCTCTCTCTTCTTTATTCCCTGTAATAGAAGGTAGGATTTGAAAAAAAGCAGGACTCCACCTCTGTATTCCCCCGTGCTTTACCTTCTGGCATCATGAAAAGCTGCCATGATTCTGTGGTGTTCTAAGGAATTAAATGCACTGGAGCTTTAAGAGCTCAACGTGTTTCCCTTTGATTCTTTTGGCTGGTCTTTCAATTTTCTTAAGAGGGGAACTGGAGAAACCTTGCTAAAGGTTTTAGCTTAAGTGAGCATGCTACTAAGTCTTCTGTCCTGAACCACAATAATATCTTTTAGTTCTCTTTAACTACCTTTATTTAAAAATAAGTCAATATGAAAATCTCAGTTGGAGTGAATTATTTGCTAAGTATTAAATGATTAAGGCATGTGCCGATTGTCAAATTATCCTTCAGAAATCTGTACCAATTTAATGTACCAACATAAGCATAAGTGAGTGCCAATGAATCCCTACCAGCAGTAGTTATTATCCTTTTTAAAAATGCATTGAAAATTTGAAAGGTAAAAATCTTATTTTAATAGCGTATTTTGTGTTGGCTATTAGAGAGTAAACATATTGGTTTTGGCCATTTGTAATTATTTCTGAAATATCCATCTTTTTCTTATGGACTTTAAGACCTTTATATTTTTAAAGATATTGATTTTTTGCCCATGCTTGTGGCAGAAGTTTTCCTTATTTGCCATTTTTCTTTTATTTTTTTTTTAATTGTATTTTTTGAGACAGGGTCTGGCTCTGTCACCCAGGCTGGAGAGTAGTGGCACAATCTCGGCTCACTGCAACCTCTGCCTTCTGGGCTCAAGCAATCCTCCCACTTCAACCTCCCAAGTAGCTGGGACTATAGGCATGCGCCACCATGCCCAGCTGATTTTTGTAATTTTTTGTAGAGATGGGGTTTCGTGACATTGCCCAGGCTGGTCTCGAACTCTTGAGCTCAAGCAGTCTACCCACCTTGACCTCCCAAAGTGCTGGGATTACAGGCTTGAGCAACCATGTTTGGCCTTTCTTTTAAATTTGTTGATGTTTTTTGAAGCATTAAGTCATTACTTATTAGCAAGTTACTATTTTGTTTTTTTGTCATTGGTGGTAGGACTAAGAAGGAAACAGATATTTTAAATACTCACAACATGTGATTCATTTTCTGATAAAATATTTGTCTAATAAAACAGAGGCAAGATAATTTAATCAAAAGAAATTAAGAAAATTTTCCAAAAATGTTAGTTTACTAGTAATTTTTCTAAGTCTACTTATTAAATAACTTAAGGGAAACTGTAAATATATTTTGCAAATTGTTGTTCAAAAGATAATTGGAAAAAATTGAATATATTGTAGGATTTGAATATACAGCCTACTTTTATGTCACCTCTACCTTCAAAACTACATATAATTTATTTTAGGAGTTGGATTTGTTATGTCTGTTGCAGTGAGGACTTGTGATTCACTGGTATGAAGAATTTTTTGATGTTTATATTAGTAACAAAATTATACAAGGATAGAATCTCATCTAGAAAATGCAAACTATTGTTGAAAAGCAGTTAGCATTTCCACACAACCGCTGTCCCCAGAGATAACTGCTGTTTTCATTTTAATGTTATCCTTTTAGACCTTTTCTCTATTTACAAAAATGTTACGTGTTTCTATGTGTACATAGTTTTGGGTTTTTTTTTTTTTTTTACGTAAGTGGCAGACACTTTATTGCACATGAAATTTGTAATTTTTTTCTATTTAAGTACACATTTGGAAATTATCCTCTGACTTTTGGATTTTTAACTAAATATGTTGGACGTGTTCCTTTATATATTTAAGTTCAGCACAGAAACTTTCCTACCTTTTTGTGGAAGATAAAATATTAAAACTGCTTTCAAAACTACAAATTGACTTAAACTGCTATAGTAATTTTCAATTAAATTTCATTATACCTGGAGTTTGAACGTTAAGGTTTTTATCATATACTGTAATTCAAAAATTTACCTAAATCTCAATGTAAAATTCTTTTTTTTCTTATTACTATGAAATGGATGGAATAAGGAGGGGGAACACAACTAGCAAGAACAAAACATTGGGTTGGCAATTGATATCACATCTTAATTCTTTCCCTGAATTTCTTTCAGCTTTTTGTTCACATAAAGAATGTGAAATTTTTACAGAATCAGACAGATGACTTTAAAGAAATTTTTTTCATGATGGAAAAATCACCTCAATTGATTTTTCCATTTCTTAGGTCCTTGAATAAATGATACTTAGGTATACCTCAGAAATGCCATATATGATACAAATCCTGCAAAAGACATCATGAGAAAATACCAGCAGTATCTATCATGAATGTAGAAATAAAAGTCCTTAAAATAATTAGCAAATCAAATCCAGCAATGTATAAAAAAGATAATAGGGTTTATTCCTGGAAAGTAAGGTTGTTTTAACATTAGTCAACCAGTGTAATCACTCACGAACAGAATAAAGGAGAAAATCCACATCTCGATGACTGCAGAACCAATCATCTCAATTATTACCGAAAAAGTGTTTGACAAAATTCAGCACCCCCTCATACTACAAAAACCTTTCGGCAAAGTAGGAATATAAATTCCTCAATCTGATAAAAGGCATCTGTGAGAAAAATCTATACCTAACATCATATATAATGGTGAAATATTAAAGCAAGGATGTCTGCTCTCACCATTTCTGTTCAACATTGTTCTAGAAGACATAGTCATACAATCAGTCAAGATAAAAGAAGGCATAAACATTGAAACACAAGAGTTAAGATAGTCATTAGTTGGCCAGACATCCCAACACTTTGTGAGACTGAGCTGGGAGGATCGTTTGAGGCCAGGAGTTCAAGATCAGCCTTGGCAACAAGCTTGTTGTAAACATTAAGAGAAATGAAATGTCTTGTACAGCATCGGCACATAGGAGCCTTCTAATGAGGAGCCTATCCCTGAAAAAGTGAAAGATATATCATTTTTCTAATCCTTCGAATAGGATAAACTAAGTTTTTGATCTCTCTGAGTTATTCAAAAGGCTCAGGGATTTATTTCCCATCACAACACTACAAGGTAGTTTAGAAAATATACATACTTGAGCAACATGGTGGAGTAGGCACATTGAAAAACAAGCAGGGGCTGGGTGTGGTGGTTCACGCGTGTAATTGCAGCACTTTGGGAAGCTGAAATGAGAGGATGGCTTGAGGCCAGAAGTTCAAGACCAGCCTGGTCAGTATAGTGAGACCCCAATCCCTAAAAAATATATATATATTTTTTAAAGCAGGAACAGGCATAGCCAATTTTATCAGAACTCTGAAAAACAGTAAAAAGTTTATAGCAATGAAGCAAATGCTGAGTCAAGAACAGGCAACTTTAAAATGGCAAGAAAGCTTTGTGACATTTCTGCTTGCCCTTCCCCCACAAGCTCCCTGGTGTTGCAGCAGTCTTGAAATCAGCAACTGCATTCTGTCTTGGACCCTGATCCCCATTTCTAGAGGAAGCTGAGCAGAACTTACAAATTCTTGTTTAAGTCTCTGGTAGCCTGTCTGGGGCTACTTAAAGGATTGACAGAGCACTCATCGTAAGCAGTAGGCAATGCTTGAAAAAAGTGTAAGGTGAACTAACAACCGCAAACACCTGGGTCGAAAGACTATGGTCAAGATATCCAAAAAACCATCTATGTTCTGTGAGAAAAAGCTGCAAAGGAGTTTCTTTGGGAAATTAGAATATTCAACAGCACATACAGGGAGATTTAGAAAACTACGTGCATACACAGCAAGAAGCATGCTCAGACAAGATCTGCAAAGACCCTACGCTTTTGGGCCTGATTGTTAGGCTCAGTACAAGCCTGGCTAAGTATTAATGGAAAAGCCCAGCACAGAACCAATCTACAAAGACTGGAAAGACTGGGAGAGAGATTTTTCTGCTAGTTTTAACTCCTTTCAAGGAAATCTATGTCAAACTATTAAACACAAACTAAGGAACAGAGACTTCAGTGATGACACACAGAAGGAATACAGTCTTTGCAAAAATAGTTTGGAAATGACTGCACATGTAGCAATAGACTGCTACAATCTTCAATAATAAAAATAAAACTAACTCTCAGGAAGGGGGGAATATCTGATTTTCAGGGCCACCACGTTATGATGTTCAAACATACAGTTTTCAACAACAAAAAGACAGCATACAAAGACACAGGAAAGTATGGCTCATTGAAAACAAAATAATGAAAACCATCCCTGAAGAAACACAGACATTGGACTTACTATGCAAAGACTTTAAACAATTGTCTTAAATAAGCCCAAAGAGCTAAAGGAAAACATGGACAAAGAACTAAAGGAAGAAAGAGACATATGAACAAAATGAGAATATCAATAAAGACACAGACGTTATAAAAAGGAACCAAAGATAAATCTTGGAGCTGAAAAGTACAGTAACTGAAATAAATTCACTAGAGGAGTTCAACAGTTGATCTGAACAGGGAGAAGAATCAACAAACTTGAAAAAAATAAAAAGAAGGGCAACTGCAATAATCAAGTCTGAGGAACAAAAGAGAACACAGCCTAAGAAACTGGTGAGACAGCATCAAACAGACCAACATATACATTAAGAATATTTCAGAAGGAAAAGAAAGAAGCAGTGAAAAAAATTGAAGAAATAATAGCCAAATATGTCCAAAATTTGATAAAAGACATAAATCTATGACTCCAAGAAACTCAACAAACTCTAAGTGGGATAAACTCAGAGACCCACACTGAGCCGCGTTATAATCAAACTGTCAAAAGACAAAAGCTGAGCAAATCCGAAAAGCAATAAGACAGAACTGACTCATCAAGAATGAGGAATCCTCAAATTTTATAACATCTAATATCTCATGAGAAACCATGAAGTCAGAAGGTAGTGGGATGACATATTTAAAGTGCTGAAAGAAAAATACTGTTACCAAAAATTCATGTATCTGGCAAAATTATCCATCAAAAATAAGGGAGAAATCAAGACATTCTCAGATAAAACAAAAGCTGAGGGAGTTTATTACAATTAGACTTGCCCTGCAAGAAATGCATAAGGGAATCCTTTGGGCCGAAATGGAAGGGCACTAGACAGTAACTCAAATCTATATAATGAAATAAGGATCCAAAATAAGATAAATATATTGACAAATATAAAAGTCAGTATTACTATCATACTGTTTTCTAACTCCACTTTTTATTTCCTAAATGATTTAAAAGACAAACTCATACAAATAACTATAAATTATTTATTAGGCAATTTGTGCCATCAATAACATAAGGGGGGCAGGGGCAGAGCTTTACAGGAGTAGAGATTTTGTATGCTATTGAAGGTAAATTGGTATCAGTTTAAATTAGATTGTTTTAAGTGTAGGATGTTAACTATAATCCCCATAGCAACCACAAATAAAACATCTAACAAATATACACAAAGGGGAGTGGAAAGAGAATCAGACTAGTTCACTACAAAAAAACAGAAAAGAAGGCCATAAAGAGGAAATGAGGGGCCAAAAAAGTATATGACATATAGAAGAAGTGTTAAATGGTAGAAGAAAGTCCTTCCTTAATTACTTTAAATGCAAATGGATTAAATTTTCCAATCAAAAGGCAGAAATTGGCAGAATGGACAGAAAAAACAAAACAAAACAAGATAGTGATATGCTGTCTACAAGAGACTATAGCTCCAAAGACACAAATACATGGAACACATAGAAAAAGATACTCTGTGCAAAAATTTTTTTAAAAAAAGAGAACCTTAACACATTGTAAACCACCTTGACCTAAGAGACATATAGAAAACTACAGTCAACAATAGCATGATAAATATTTTGCTCAAGTGTATGAGGAACATTCTCCAGGACAGACCATCTATCAGGCCACACACCAATTCTCAAAAACATTAAAATCATACTAAGTATCTTCTCTAATCACAATGGAATGAACTTGGAAATCAATAACAAAAAAACAGTGGGAAATTCATAAACATGTAGAAATTAACACACTCAACCAGGGGATCGAAGAAGAAATCACAAGAGAAATAAAACATGACATTATCTAGCAATTCTACTCAAGATGTATACCCAAAAGAACTTAGAAACAGGCAATCAAATACATACTTGTTATGTCAATGTTTACTGCAGCATTATTCACAATAGCCAAAAGGTAGACATATCCCAGTGTTCATCAGAAGATGGATGAACAAAATGTATATACATACAATGGAATATTATTTAGTCATAAAAACAAATGAAATTCTGACACATGCCACAACATGGATGAATCTTAAGGACTGCTTGAGGCCAGGAACTCAAGACCAGCATGGGAAACATAGCAAGACCACATCTCTACAAAAAACAAAATCAGCCAGGCGCAGTTAATGTGTGCCTATAGTCTTAGCTACTCAAGGAGGATTGCTTGAGCCCAGGATTTTGAGGCTGCAATGAGCTATGATCACACCACTGCACTCCTACCTGAGTGATAGAATGAGACCTTGTCTCAAAGATAAAAAGAAAGATTTGAGGTTACCTGGGGTTGGGAGAGATACAGGAATGAGGTTATTGCTCAACAGTTACAGAGTTTCAGTTTGGGGTGATGAGAAAATTTTGGAAATAGTAGTAATAATTTCACAACATTGTGATGTAATTAATGCCTCTGACTTGTAAATTTAAAATGTTTACAATGGCAAATTATGTTTTATATATATATCCTACCACAATAAAAAAAAAAAGCTTTAGATTATGCACATTTAATTTTATTTCTGGGGGAAGATTTGCTTTACTTCTGGGGAAAAATTCACAAGAATTTTAAAGATATTCCTACAGAGTAAAAAGCATGATTGTTTACATGTTTTTGAGCACCTGTACTTACAAGCTGATCATACATTTGCAGAGCTTTAGGTCCTAAAATATACTGTCCCATCTACCATTCTACCAAGATTGAAGTGTGTTTATCAAGACAGAAAAAGAACAGGTTTTAATAGCTATCTTCTAACAAGATAAAGAGAAGAAAAATATAAGATATAGGCTCTTGTTAACCTTTTATTTTGAGAGGTTCTTTTGAGAGGTTATCTCAGCAAATAATCTAAACAAGTGAAGGATAGGATATCTATTACTTGTTGACAGTAGTTAGATGACTATATAATCATTAGTGAAAAAGATCAAGGAAGTAGCTGAAAGCTGCTGTCTGACAGACCCCTAGACAATCTCCTTCCTGGACAGACCCCTCCAGGAAGGAGATTGGAAGCCTCTATTCTAGGGAATCTGACAAAACCAAAATATTCATGTGGAGGAGGGGACTCCCAAAAAAGCCCATTCAGATAATCCTAAAGACAGCCCCTTCCCACAACCCAAAGGCTTTCCAAGCTTTTTAGTCCCTCTTTCAACCATAAGAAGACAGCCAAAGATTATCAGATATCCTGGAAAAGTCTGAAATATAGACAACAAAAAATAAATACAGAAAGAAATTTGGAGGAAATAGATGCGCAAACAATTTTAAATGAAAAAAAAATACACTATATTGAATACCCCTTATCTGTGAACAAATCCATAGATAAAGGCTTTTTGGTTGTAAGAAAAGGAACTTCTACAAATCAAGAAGGGGTCTTAAGATTTTAAAATACAATAGCAAAGAGTTGGAAGATTGAGCTAAAGAGCTAAAAAACAGAGACTGGGGTCAAGGGAGGGAGGTAAGAAAATAGATACCCAGTGCTGGATATCCAACATCCAAATAATAGTTGGGAGAACAAAGCAGCAGAGAATAAATCATCAACCAATGCTAAGTGTTTCCCAGAACTGACAGAAATGAGTTACTATCTGGAAGGGTTCACCTAAAACCCAATACAATGGATAAATATAGACCCACACCAAGACACATCATCATGAAATTTATGATGGGGAAATCAAAATGGCATTGGATTTCTCAATACAACAATAGAAACAAAGAAAATGGAGCAACAATATTTTTAAAGTCCTGAAGGAAAATTACCTCCTACCTAAACGTATAAAGTATCAATCAAACATGAGACATGCAAGGTCTCAAAAATTTTACCTCCACACAAACTTCCTCTAGAAGCTACCAAAGGATGTGCTGCAGCAAAACAAGTTAGTACTCAATAAAATGGAAAACATGGAATCCAGAAAACAGCTGAGCGCAGGAAAGAAGTTAGTCCCAAGACAGCTAGGAACCAGAGGGCAGATCTGAAGGTAACTCAATGGATAGGCTGAGAGTTGCCTTCAAGATTTAGGATAGTACTGTATTTTTTAACCTGAGGAACAGTATATCCAGGTGAGTATGGACCAAATTACATGTTTTTCTTTAGCATGTGTGCTTATACCCCAGCTTTCCAATCCATGCTGCATGGATCAGCAACAACACTCATATCATACCAAAGGTATTGTTTTAACCTAATCCTAAGATACAGAGTTTGATTCATCATGCTGTGAGCATCAAAAAACAGTTTACTTCCTCTAACCACATTTCTGCAACATCCAGCTACCCAGTATAATCCTGCCAGATACCTTGTGGTGAGCCTTCTGTTTAGCAGAACTCACTCATAACCTTAGCCATGAATTTGCTCAAAATTGGCCTCTGTAAACTCTCAGAGGAAGCTGAAGCCAGACTATGACCCAAAGACTGTAACGTTTCCCTTGAAGCCTTCATGCAATAATAGTAATACTGCCCCTTTATACTTGCTAACAGGTTTTTTTTTTCAGGTTTTTCAAAATTAAATATATTGTTGAAGAATATATGTGTTGGCAGTAAACTAAAAGAAATGCAAGGGAATAATTAACAAGTCAAGATGATATTTACATTTAAAAAGGAGAGAGATACAATTGCAGATTTACTGGAGTCTTCTGAGATCTTATTAAATGTTTTATTTCTTAACATTCCTACATATTAATAAATGTTCTATTTCTTAACCTGATAGTGGGTACATGAATGTTTATTATTCTGTAAATCATATTGTGCTTATGAATTGTTTCACAATTAAAAAAAAAATTCATCCCACCTATTCCCTTTGCTCAGGTTCCATGCTCATTAAAGACCATTCTGGTGATGCTCTGACTTCTATTGTAGCTTTGCCTCCAATAAGCAAATGGACATTGGTCCATTTGGCATGTGTAATTCTCTTTTTAGAGTAATAAACTGGTGTACAAGTTTTATTTTAGAAAAAAAGTATTAATAAAACAATGAATGCTTAGTTCACTTAATTACTATGTTCTTATAAATGAAATTAAATTGGTCTCAAAATATATCCTCTTAGAGCCAATGTATCTTCTGCAACTAACCAAATTCATTCTCAGAATCAAGACCTTTTCGACGCTTCAATTTCCTTCCATATTGCAGCTTCAATTTTTGAAGTATCATATTCCCTCATCATATCAAATTCAAGCCATGGCTGATTCCACTTCTGAGCTTCTTTCATTTGCTGTTCAGTTAAACAAAGATCAAATCTGATTCCTTTAATATTAAAATTTGGACGTTCCCAGCGTTTAGACCAGGGCTTAGGCTTCATTTTTACTTTCAGCTAAGGAAGATTAAAAAAAAAAAAAAAAAAAAAGCAATAATTAGGCTGATAGGCATGAGCAAAAATTCTTCTGAAGTTTTCATTAAGATGATTCTTTCTTTCTTATTTTATACTTGAACTTCTAGTTTCAAATGTATAACCCATACCTCATTAACAGGAACTTTTTGGTTAGGCTCTTGTACTACTGGCTTCATATTCACATCAAAAGTGCTATATTCAGGAAGGGCATCTCGTAAGTATAGCAAGCTATCATCCAGCCGTTTCTCTAATTTGACCACCTGAATCTCCTGGACCCGAGGATTATAAAGTTCAAAGCAAATCTCGACACCTAAATAGAACAGAAAACATATTCTTACAATCTAAGTCCACGTTCCTATACATGTTTCATACTGCAGTAAAAGCATTTCATAAAGGAATTAGCACAAAGTTTTGCATGTAGAAAATGTGCCGTTAATTTGAAATTTTTAAGATAAAGATTACTGAAAGAAATAGAAATAAGCTAAAATCCATTTAAATATAAAGTTAGAAAGTCTGAATTGGAATGATAGTCTAAAAAAGAAAAAAATGGCTTCTAGAAATATGTTGAGTCACATATCTCTTCAATTCTCATAGTAGTAACTTCAGAGAAAGTCTGAATTCTTCCCTATGTCACGTTTTTTATCTCCCAATTACTTGAAGAAAAATCAATCTTCCATGTTAAGAGTAATAAGACTAATGGTACAAAAGAAGTAAAATATTAAGTTCCAACTTTGGTTAGAAGCTCCTTTGATTAAGGATTAGTGGATTAAAGGGATGGAGAGAACTAGTTTTGCCTTTTGCCCTTCCACCTTTCACCATGTGAGGGCACAGTGCTTGGCCCTTCCAGAGCACACAGCAACAAGGCACCATCTTGGATGCAGGGAAGGAGGCCTCACCAAATACAAAACCTGCCAGCACCTTGAACTTAGATTTCCCAGCCTCCCGAACTGTGAGAAATAAATTTCTGTTCTTTCTAAATTACCCAGCCTGTAGCATTTTGTTACAACAGCACGAACAGAATAAGCCACCAGAAATGTAAACCAGAGAGACTGCACAAATGCAAGCAGATGATGGTGACATGGATGAGGGTGATAGCAATGTAGAGGGAAGAACAGGCAAAATTGTGATATATTTTTTGGAGACTGTGCCAAGAAAACTTGATTGACTGCATGTGTGAAAGTAAGTGGGTAGGCAGAGTGGTACCATTTATGGAAATAGAAAAGACTGTGAATGGAACACCTTGCAAGGGGAAATAAAGAGTTCTGCTTTCAACTTATGCTGGTAAGACATCCAAATAGAGTGTTGATCAGATAGTTGCAGATAGTTGCAAATCTGGAACTTAAAAAGGGTCAGTCCTGGAGTTATAAATTTGGAAGTTATCATTATACAGATGGTATACAAAGCCACCGAACAAGAAGGAAACACTAATGCAGGAAGCAGTGATGGGGAAGGTTGAGGCAGGTTACAACAGTCAGACATACTACAGAGAATGGCAAGAGGGAGCTAATCCTTTTTGAGTATTCTGTGTCCAGTACTTCAAATACAGTATCTCACAGTTGATTGGCTAGAACCATGTAGAGTAGAAACTATTACTATCTTAATGCTTAAAGAAAATCAAATGACTCACTCCTATGCTCATTTACTTCTATTACAAGGCCTCTCCAAGTATTTGACCAGATTGAAGGCACAAATCAATTAAGTCCTGCTGAATTCCTGCACGCACAGCCCACTGTCATTACAGAATAAGCAAGACAGCAACTGCTTTCACATTTTCAATTTCTTTGAAAATAAGAATACTTTGTTGTTGGAACTTCATGAAGCACACAACTTGATAAACGTAATTGTTCCTGCCATTTTAATTAATAATCTTGCTAGAGTTTTACTCCTTGTTCCTCTATTAGGCATAGTATATAAACACAATTTTGCCTTTTTAAAATTCCTCCCAAGTCATATAAGACAGTGATAATTTTGTTTTGTGTCATAACATAAAGTAAAATGTGGGTATTCATTTTAGGAGCAAGTAATTCATGAAGACATTAAAGGTTTGTCTTAAAGTTTTACTCATGGGTTATTTGCTCCTAAAACAAATATCCCCATACTGCTTTATAGTAATTTATTCCCCTCTTTGATGTTGCCATGGTTTGCAAAGTCTACTTCTAATGACTGTTGTTCCAATAACATAAGAAGCCTTCAAGAGAAAGAAGTCCATCAACCATATTTAATCATTAACTTCAAATCTCAATCCATTCTAAAGCCACAGGCTCCACATCTTCCCTCAGAGTCTCCTTTTACTTTCAAATTTCAGATTTCTTATCCCAGGATGCAGAAACAAAAAGGAATCCTGAGATAACATTTTCTAGACAATGAAAATGATGAAATAAAACTTACCTTGTCCTTCGATAACATTCCTAAGGATGAAAGTAGCTCCAAGTCCTCTTCCTGATCTCTGAATGCAAATCCCCAGAAACTGGCTGATTTTTCCACTGGCATATGGGTCAGCTGTAGTAACACGAAGAATACTTCCTACAAATTCAAAAGAGAAGTGAACTTTTTTTTCAGCACACCCAGCTGAGAAGTAAACTTTATATAAGATGCAGAAACAAACAAATAGCATTTCTAGATAACTTAACTTCCTAAATGTTTTAATGTAGGAATAAATACTTCATATGAGCATAACCCAGATATGTAAAAAACAATCTTCTTTTGCTTTTTAAGAAAACTAACCATCCAATCACAAACTAGCCATCCTAATTACTAATAATAAAAACATACAGCTCTTACTGACCAACATAGAACTCTGGAATGTGGAGTACTTTTCTCCTTTCTAACATATCTTTTCTTTCTATTTGAAATTTCAGAGGATCTGTTCTTCCCCTTCGAGGAATGAATTCAGGACTCAAGAACCTGTAAAAAATACAAATAAATAATTAAAAGTAAACTCAAAAGGCTGCTAGAAGAAAAATTGTTGCTTTTCAAAGAAATTAAATATGATATTGATGTATTTTATTCTTCATTGTCTAAATAAAAGTCAATCTTATTTCTAAAATTGTTAATGCTCATGAAAATAGCTAACAATTCCTGAGTACTCACCTGGTATTTTGTTAAAAGCTTTATGAAACATCTATAGCATAAATTAATCCTTCTAGCAACCATGTGGGTTTGGTGTCATCTCCTTTTTACAGAGCAAGAAACTGAAGCTTGAAAAAGGTAAATAACTAACCCATTGCTACATTAGCTATAAATCTGTCAAATCAAGATTTAAATGTAGGTATGTTGGTCAGTCTCCAAAGCCTATAACCATTACTACAGGCCTCACACTGAGCTATACATGCTATAATAAATTATGTCAGAAAAGACATCAACATATAAATCACTAATTATAAATTGACTTTTAAAATGATCTTCCTGATCAGAGAAGATGGCCCTGGAGATGGTGCTGAAGGACCTGGGGCATCTGCAGGCTTGTTGGCTGTGTTTGCTGGTCAAGACTATAGACCAGTTTGAATATGAAGGTTCTGACAACTGTAACACCTATCTACAGACGAAGAGTAACTGAGATGGTATATGACTGCACTAGCTCTTCCTTTGATGGAATCATTGCAATGATGAGTCCAGAGGACAGCTAGGTCTCCAAGTGGCAGCGAGTCAGTAACTTTAAGCCAGGTACATATGCGGTGTCATTCACTGGTCACCTGCCCCAAGGAATCGTGTAGGAGCTGAAAAGTCGAGGAGAGACCTACAAATCCAGAGACACAGCTGCAGCACATCGTGTCCCTGAACCATTTTCTCTTCCTTGGATGACAGGTGCGGGTGGGAGGGATTTGGGTTGGTGGATTAACAGATCGAACTGAAGAGAAAGTAGGATGCTGATTTTCCTATCCATGGCCCAGGGATGCACCTTGCCCATGGCAAGGACTCTAGGTCAAATGCCAATAAATATGAACCTCTAGAAAGTTCTTAAGGCCATGATACATTCCTTGCCTCCCTCTCCCTTTCTCTTAGGCACAGTAAGAGCTTGTTTATGCTGTAAGAATCTTCCCAGAACAGCAGAGGCCCTTCTACTCCCTACTGACTGTCTCTGAGCCTTCTGTACTGCAGCCTTTCTAGTGTGCTTCCTTGCTTCCAATCAGAAGGTGCTGTCCAGAGGCTAGGTAATCCCATCAGCTTGGTAGTCCTGGGGTCTCGTGGTTGTATCTTTCTGCCCTCTAGACCTGGCACAGCAGTATCCCTTGAAGAAATCCTGAGGCTTCATAGTGCTCTTCGCTCCTTGACCACGTTTAATAATTCTTGCTTTTCCCCCTCCTCGTCTCTTCTCTTCTGTTTACCGCTCTTCCTATACCTTAGGCCAGTCTCACATCCCTGCATTTCACATTCTCCTAACTGGAGACCCTTGGGCCTTAGGCAACTGCTGGGTCCTAGTCTGCCTTGTTTGTGCCTCTGTAGGAGGTAAGTCCTTCCTTTTCTCCTCTGGCCTAGTAGGGGACCTTGGGTAATGTCCCATTTTGGCCAAGGTGAGGTATTCGTTTTAGAATAAAAAATTCACCATAAATTCTCATTTACTTAAATTTCCACAGAAATCCTGTTAGTGTCCCCGTTTTGATTTCCCTAAGTTGCTGGTTCTCCCTCTGTAAAAAGAGAATGATTAGACCCTGCCTGTTTACCTCAGGATTGTTGTGATTGTAGAAATGAAGCTATGTGAAAATTGTGTAAGTCTTACAAAGGTGAAATCCTTTTGCTTAAAAAATAATAATCTTCTTTTTTTCTTCTTTAACTGATTTTAAGCTCATTATGAAATATTTAATCTACATAAAAAGTATAAATGACAGTACAATGAATATTCATGTCTTTACCACCCACCTCAAGAAATAAATTATCAATATTGTGGAAGCCCCTGTGTATTTAGGATAGTTCATTACTATCCTAAATTTGGTGATTATTCCCATGAATTTCTTTCTCTTCCTCAATTTTCTACTTTGAAAATTTTAAAGCCTACCAAAAAATAGTAATACAATGAACACCTGTAGATCTTTCATCCACTTTTACCAACTGCTAAAATTTTGCTATATTTGCTTTATATACACATATCATTTTTTTCTGAACCATTTGAAAATGTCAGCCAGGTGTGGTAGCTTACGTCTGTTATCCCAACACTTGGGAGGCCGAGGAGGGTAGATCGTTTGAGCCCAGGAGTTCCAGACCAGCCTAGGCAACATAGTGAGACCTCATTCTACAACAAAAAAATTTTTAAAATAGCCAGGCATGGTGGCGGGCACCTGTAGTCCCAGCCACTTGGGAGACTGAGTAGGGAGGGGCCCAGGAGTAGGAGTTGCAGAGCCAAGATCATGCCACTGCACTCCAGCCTGGATGACAAAGCAAGGCTCTGTCTCAAAAAAATGGAACAGCAAGGCATTTCATCCCTCAATAATTTAGAAGGCTTATGCTAAGAATAAGGACTTGCTCCTATATTATCACGATACCCTTCTGACACCTATAAAAGTCAGCATTAATTTGATAACATAATCTAATACAAAGGTATCCAATCATCTGGCTTCCCTGGGACACACTGGAGGAATTATCTTGAGCCACACATAAAAGACACCAACAATAGCTGGTAAGCTTAAAAAAAAAAGGCACAAAAAAAATCTCATATGTTTTAAGAAAGTTTACAGATTTGTGTTGGGCCACATTTAAAGCTGTCCTGGGCTGTGGGTTGGACAAGCTTGGTCTAATACAGAGTTCATACTCAAATGTATGTCATTATCCTGGGAAGGTATTTTACATCTATTCGTTGCCCAATTCAAAATACAATCAAGCTTCACACATATTTGGTCATTAGTCTCTCAGACTAGGACTTTTTTCCAACTTTGTATTTTTATAACATTAACTTTTTTGAACAGTCAAGGCCTACTATCTCATCTCTGGATTCTGGATTGTTTCCACATGCCTAGACTAAGGTTAAATAATTTTAGTAAGAATATTACAGGGAGATGATGTGAACAACTTATTCTGTCACATCAGGAGACACATAATATCAACTGGTACCAATACTGGTAAAGTTAGGTTTGACTGTTTGGCAAAGTTTCAGAAGGCCCCCCTTACATTTCTTTTTACTTTTCATATGCATGTATGTCTGGGCAACATATATTGTTTCGTATAATTTTGTTTTTGTTTTTTTCTGAGACAGAGTCTTGCTCTATCGCCCAGGCTGGAGTGCAGTGGCACGATCTCGGCTCACTGCAACCTCGGCATCCTGTGTTCAAGCAATTCTTCTGCCTCAGCCTCTCGAGTAACTGGGATTATAGGCACATGCCACCACACCTGGCTAATTTTTTTTTTTTTTTGTACTTTTAGTAGAAATGGGGGTTTCGCCATGTTGGCCAGGCTGGTCTCGAACTCCTGACTTCGTGATCTGCCCTCCTCGGCCTCCCAAAGTGCTGGGATAACAGTCGTGAGCCACCGCACCCGGCCTATAGTTTTAAAACTTCATAAAAATAGCATCCTACTACATTAATGATTCTAAAGGTTTTTTTTACACACAGATTTGTGAAAATCTTCCATGTTTAAAAGTGAGCTCTAATTCACTCATTTTTCACTGCTATACAATATTCTGTCATATGAATGTATTTGCCTGTTCACCTACTGATGGATATCTAGGCTGCCTCTAAATTTTGTTACAAAAAATACTGTTACATTCATTCTCGTGCTTGTCTCCTTGTACATACACGTTAGGAGTTTAAGTTGTGTGCTTTCTGAGTGAGAAGGTATACACAACTTAAACTTAGTAAATTCTGTCAAATTGTTCTCTAGAGCATATAATTTACATTCCTATTTAAGTGAATTCTATTAAATGCCACTGTTTAAAAGAGATATTCCATTTCTACCCTCAAAAGCAAAGTTTTATGAAGAAATATTTTCTGAATCTCTTAGTTCTCTAACTCCAAGTTTACTTCTATTTAAATCCGTGGAATATTTTAAATGTTAAAAAAAGAAAAGAAAAAAAAAAGCCAGGCGTGGTACCAGTAGTTCCAGCTACTCTGGAGCCTGAGGCGGGAGGATCACTTGAGCCCAGAAATTTGAGGCTGCAGTGAGCTAAAATCACCACTGCACTCCAGCCTGGGAGACTGAGAGAGACTCTGTCTAAAAAAAATTTAAAAAATAAAAAAATTAAAAATCCCAGAAGTAATCCAATCAATAATCTACAGCCCTTTCAAAAAGCCTATAATCATATCAGGTTTTTCCTCTGAAAACTGGCTTTTTAAAAAGGTTGCTACATAGCTCTCTTTTCAGACCTTAAGTCCTTTAAATTTACATGTACCTCCAAGATTACCACCATTCATATAAGTTTTTATTCACACTATTTTGATGAGTAAGTTTCAGACACAATTTAGTGGCCAGTTTTACTGTGCTTTGTCTGCCAAAACTTCCAACCTAAACCATAGCAAATTTTTTAAGTTGGCCAATCGATTCCTATCCAGGGTTAAGGGTCTTTTGAGAGAAAAGAAGAGCTCTTGGACGTAAACAGGTATAAACAGGATATACCTCAGAGAAAAACTCTGGTACAGGACAAATACCACAGAGAAAAGAGTTTAAAATATGGGGAACCCCTACTTGAAGTTCTGACTCAATAAAACTGCAAAGAAGTTCAATGCTGGCTTGGGGAGAAGTGAGAAAGAAAGAACAGTGTGGTGCGCTGGCTCTTGAATCCTACACACCTGCTCGTGCAGGGGGAGGTGCAGCCCCCACCTTAGAGCCGGGACCTCGAACGCGAACGCGCTCACGCGCGCACCGACCCCAGTTGCCGGCCTAGCGCCAGGGCAGTGCCTCACCTGCGTTCCGGTTCCACGGGGCGGTGCTTGTCCACGATGACCGGTTTCGGCGGCGGTTGGAACGCACCGGGCTCGGAAGGCCCAGTGCTCTGCTGCCGGACAGGCCCCGCGTGGACCCCTGCGGGAGCGGACGACGGAGGTCAGAACTCTCGTGCCAACCCTGAGATCCCGCAGAGCCCCGCAATCTCCCCCAACCCGGCGTCCCACGGGGGACCAACGCTGGGGTTGCCTCTGATCTCCAGGTTCGCCTCCCCCATCCTGACCCTGGGCCCCTAACGCGCCCCAGCTCGCAAGTCCGGCTCCACTTACTGCAGGCGATAGAGGCCGGCGGGGGGAGCAGAGTCCTGGCGGCTTGGAAACTCCGGCCTAGGCCCATTGCAGCCCAGTGCCCCGCTGCAATGCAGGCCGCCATGCCAGCTAGCTCACGTCAAGACTACAGCTCCCAGTAATCAGTGCGACGAGGTTGTTGCTGTCTGCCACCATATGGCGGCTGCTATGGGACAAAATGGATAAGTCTCTCCTCGCTCCTTTCCTGATGTCTTAGGAAAAGTGCACGTTTCTCTAGTTCCTCGTAATGCGCCAAGTTACACCCCTCCACAGGGGTGTTCTCCCAGCCTAGAAAGCTTTTTCCTCCCCCTATGAATCCACTCTATCTTCTCAGACAAGCTTTCGCTATGCGAAAATCCCATTGTAGGCCGTCTTTCCCACTGGGTGCCTTCGATTGGCAGCTCTGATCTCATTTGCAATTCTTTCTTGTGTAATTATTAGATTAGTATTTAAATCTGCCATTATACTATAATGAGGCAAGGGAAGGGATAAAGTCTTCTTTTTGCTCACCATGTTATCCCAGCACCTAGCACCTACCTGGGCCCTCACTAACATCTTTTGTTTTGTTGAGACAAGGTCTTCCTCTGTTACCCAGGCTGGAGTGCAGTGGCGCGATCATGGCTCTGCAGCCTCCAACTCCTGATGTCAGGAGATCCTCTCACCTCAGCCTCCCGAGTAGCCAAGACTACAGTCTCGCACCATCACGCCCAGCTAATTTTTCTAATTCTTTGCTGAATGCACAGAAAAGAGAATAGAATAGTTCCTGACAGAACTGCTGGCCCATAGTCCTTGAGACTACACAAAGCATTAACCCTTTGAGGAACCCAAATGAATTTGGGCTGGGCAACTGTGGGTATGGATAGGTGGGAGAAGTAAAGCTGGAAAAGGTAAATTGTAAGTCTTGTTAAGAAATTTGGAAAATGACTGGGCGTGGCCAGGCATGCCTGTAATCCCAGCACTGTGGGAGGCCGAGACAGGAGGGTCCCTTGAGCTCATGAGTTGGAAACCAGCCTGGGCAATATAGTGAGACCGTATCTCTAAGAAACAAACACACAGCCGGGCGCAGTGGCTCACGCCTTTAACCCCAGCATTTTGGGAGGCCGAGGCGGGCAGATCGCCTGAGGTCAGGAGTTTGAGACTAGCCTGGCCAACATAGTGAAACCCCGTTTCTACCAAAAATAAAAAAAATGATCCAGGTGTGGTGGCAGGCTCCTGTAATCCCAGCTACTTGGGAGGCTAAGGCAGGAGAATCGCTTGAACCTGGGAGACAGAGGTTGCAGTGAGCCGAGATCGCGCCATTGCAACAAGAGCGAAACTCCGTCTCAAAAAAACAGAAAAAGAAACACACACAAAAAAAGAAATTTGGAATTTGTTATTTCAGCAGTGGTTATATAAGGATTGAACACTTAGAGTAATGTGATAATTTAACTACATAATAGTCATTCCAGTTGCATTAATGTCCCAAAGCTACCTCAAATTCAGCCTATCCATACTGAGTTCATCTTTTTCAGCTCCAGACTTCCTTCCCAGTATTGGCTATCTCAAGGAATGGCTTCAGCATCCACTCTCTTGCCTAAGCCAAAAATCTCAGTGCCATTCTTGATTCCTCCCTGTCTCCTCCTGGATGAAGTTCCAAAAACTATGCCTGACACCGTCAAATATCTCAGGAATCCATATACTTTCTCATCCTCCCATCCATATTTCCAATCTAGGTCAACATATTTTCTCTCTTCAGGATCCCTGGAGATCCCTGCAACAGCCTTCTCATTAGTCTTCTTGCCTCTGGTTACCTCCAGTCCTTCACGCAGCAACCAAAAAAAGATGGCTCAGAAATGCATACCCTGTTCTTTCCTTTCCCCAGTTTAAAGCCTTACTGTTTACTTTTGACAGAAGTCAAATGCTCATAAAAGCAACCAACCTCTGCAGCTTGGCCTCTATACTCTGACTTGCCATCCTGAAGAACATGAGCTGTTACATCAGCCTGAGGAACAGGGCCATGTTTTGAGCACAGAATTCAAGATGCTGTGAAGAAAGACAGGGCCTTCTATTTTAACTCTAGCTTCTTTGATTAGAACAAGAATTTATTCTATAAATGACAAGGAATCTCACAACCAAAATTTCAGATGAGCAATATTTTGGCTCTTCTACCTACCCGAAAAAGTAGACTTCAAGCCCTTAAGAGTAAAAGGGAGGAGAGGCAAAGATAATCATGACTGGCAGTGGTGAAGATTTTTCTGTATTAACCATGCCCAGAACACGTGGCCTTCACTCTTGCTGGGATTGGTCCTAAAGGTAGGGGCAGAGAAATAAAAGACAGACCTTCACAGGAGGACAGCAGGATTTACTAGACATTGCCAAGCCACTCCTGCTGCCCTCTCCTCTTCCACAGATGAAGGAATAGTTGTGTAGAGTTTTACAAAATTGGAAGAATGAACCTAAAGAATCTTATCTAATTTTCTCCCGTATTCTTGCTCATCCAACATATATCAGGCCGTTTTGACCTTATCTTAATTTGGAGAACAAGCTGGAGTTTAAATTATTCCAACTTAAGTTGTTATTAAACAACTTCATAGAGCAAAATCAAAGAGCACAGAGCTGGCTCAACCATTTTATGAGCTGATCACAGGAATAGAACTTTAATTATTTACTTCTGTGTTTTACACCCTTGGAAAGGAGATCATGAACATCATTACATAATGTTCAGCCAAGGGAAGAAAGTATTCCAGGCAAACTGGCTGCTTCAGGTTATTGTGACATCAGGATCCTTGTCGGTTTTGCTTGTTATTACATCCTCTATATTTAGTAGAGTATCTGGCACCCAATAAATATTTCTAAGTAAAATTAGATAGATCATTCTGATTGTACTTTAGAAAATGGCTGGGAAGCAGGAAATTATTGAAATATTCCAAAAGAGAGATGGTGCTAACCTGGAACAGAAAAAAAAAAAATGGTTCTTAAAGTGTGAGCCCTTGACTAGCAACATCAGCACAACCAGGGAACGTGTTAAAATTACAAATTCTCAGGTCCCGCCCCCAGACTTACTGAATTTAAAACTCTGGGCACAGAACCCAGTGATCTGTGCTTTAGCAAATCCTCCGGTGATTCTGATAGTTGTTCCAATTTGGGAACAATTGAGGTAGAGGCAATAGAGATAGAAAGTGGTATTTTTTTTTCTGTCTCTCCATCTATTTGTGAGGTAGAGTCAGTAAAAAAAATTTCTGAAATGTACTAACTGGAGTCTTTGAGAGAGGTTCCCATCTCTGCCTTTTCTTCTTCATGGGTAATAGGATAGAGGTATGCCTACCTCATTGGGTTGGTATAAGGATTAAATTGTGATAATGCATAAAGTTTGCAGATAAATGTATAGATCATAATAAAATTCTTTTTTTCCAACTTTACTGAGACATGATTGAAAGATAAAAATTTGTATATATTTAAGGTGTACAACATGATGATTTGATATATGTATGCAATGTGAAATGATTATCACAGTTTAGCTAATTAACATATCCTTCACCTAATTAAAAAAAAAAGCTTTTTGTAAAACTTATTTTAAAGATGCCAGCAAGAGGAAACTATAATCTGATTCATGTATTAACACATCCAAAAAAAGAATCTCCTATTCCTAGAAAACCGTAAAGATGCTACCAAAAGACGCCTAGACCTGATAAACAACTTCAGTAAAGTTTCAGGATACAAAATTAATATGCAAAAATCAGTAGTATGTCTATTCACCAACAGTGTTCAAGCTGAGAACCAAATCAAGAATGCAGTCCCATTTACAATAGCCACCAAAAACATAAAATACCTAGGAATACACCTAATCAAGGAGATGAAATCTCTACAACAAGAACTACAAAACACTGCTGAAATAAATTATAGATGACACAAACAAATGGAAAAACATCCCATGCTCATGGATTGGAAGAATCAATGTCACTAAAATGTCCATATTGCTCAAAGCAATTTACATATTCAACGACATTCCTATTAAATTACTATCATTTTTCACAGAACTAGAAAAAAAAACAATTCTAAAATTCATGTGGAACCAAAAAGAGTCCAAATAGCCAAAGCAATCCTAAGCAAAAAGAGTAAAGCAGGAGGAATGACATGATCTGACTTCACACTATACTACAAGGCTACAGTATCCAAAACAGCATGGTACTGGTACAAAAAGAAACAAACAGACCAATGGAACACAATAGAGAACCTACAAATAAAGCCGCATACCTACAACCAACTAATCTTCAACAGTCTACAAAAATTAGCAGTGGGGAGATGACATCCTATTCGATAAACGGTGCTGGGAAAACTGGCTGACCATATGCCAAAGAATGAAACTAGACCACTACCTCTCACCACATACAAAAATTAACTCCAAATGAGTTAAAGACTTACATGTACGACCTCAAACTACAAAAATCCTAGAATAAAGCCTAGGGCATACTCTTCTGGACATTCACCTAGACATAGAATTTATGATTAAGTATCACAAAGCATAGATGGAGTGGTGAGATTAAGCGTGTTCCCTGCTTTTGCAATTTTTCTAGCTACATTTTCTGTAATAGGTACATTTTGGTTTTACAATGAAAATCAATACACTATTTTAAAAACACAGCTGAGCGTGGTGGCTCACACCTGTAATCCCAGCACTTTGGGAGGCCGAGGCAGGCAGATCACAAGGTCAGGAGTTTGAGACCAGCCTGACCAACATGGTGAAACCCCGTCTCTACTAAAAATACAAAAATTAGCAGGGCATGGTGGCGTACCTGTAATCCCAGCTACTTAGGAGGCTGAGGCAGGAGAATCACTTGAACCTAGGAGGCGGAGGTGGCAGTGAGCCGAGATCGCGCCACTAGCATGCCAGCCTGGGCGACAGAGCAAGACTCCATCTCGAAAAAATAAATAAATTTAAAAAAATAAAATAAAAACACAAATGCACTGACTATGATAGTTCTTACTTCCTTTGCTTCACTCTGAGGGAAGCCAGGTACCTGTTATGAGCTGCCCTATGGAAAGGTCCATATGGCAAGGAACCAATGTCCCCAGCCAACAGCCAGCAAGGCTGCTTCTTGCCACAGGAATGAGCTGGCAAGCAGACCTTCCCTTAGTTGAGCCTTGAGTTGACTATAGCCCCAGCCAACCTCTTGATTGCAGCATTGTGAAAGACCTGGAGTCAAAATCACTCAGCTAAGCCACTTCTGGATTTCTGACCCACAGAACCGTACAATAATAAATGTTTGTTGTTTTAAGCTGCTTAATTTAGGAGCAATTTATTAAATAGTAATAGATAGTGAATAAAGGAGTGTATGTGTGGTGGGGGTGAGCTTATGTGGCAACATGAAGTTCCTTCATCCAGGCAAAATATATACTTCAAGGCCTCACAGATAATATTGACTTTGGAGAATTTGTCATGGCCTTGGGTCTGACTTTTGATTTTGGAAGCCCAGAACCTGATTTTCAGCACAGCATTAAATAGATACATCATTTAGGGCAGACTTACATGAACCAAATTTTTGAAATTGATATGACAAAACTAAATGCTAGTTTATTAACTTATAAGTGAACAAAAAATAATATGCTGACCAGAATACCAGAACATTTATGTCTTTGTGACCACGACTTTCTCTCTCGGAAGGCAAAATTTAATGTCACATATGGAAGGGGTTGCTTGATGAACATGGAACAAAGGGAGTTTAATATAGGTTTCAAGTGTTTATTGGCAACAAGCTAAGTCTCCTATTAGGGAGGATTTCATCAATGGAATCAGAGAACTTGACAACTGTTGTCTACAACTTCCTTCATTTATGTCTGCACCAGAATGGACTCATCAGTGGGCCTGGAAATTCCCCAAATTACTTGGCTAAGGCTCTTTCCTTTTCTGGCTGGGCACTGGCCAACTTCCTTTGCATTTTTCTCTACAAAATGACTAAAAAGATGCATTGATTTCATATTAAGCAGATACCTACAATGACAGAAAATGGTGAGACTAACTCACAGGAAACAGTTATAACAATCAACTTATAATGGGTAGGAGATAATGTAATATATTTGACAATGATTTTCCTCCACGTGGCTGGAAGAAAAAAAATTGTTTCTCAGCTGTGTGGAAAACATTGCACCCTCAGGGCTCTGGAAGGCAGAGTTCCACAGCATGTGTGGTTAGGCTGTCCTCTGGTGGCCACAGCACCACACAGCAACGCTGGACGGTCTAGGTCCCCTCTAGCTTTTCTCTTTTTTCCCTTATTAAAAAGTCTCTCTCTTTCCTTTCTTTTAAAAATTGGGACATCATAGTATATATTTTGGGGATACATGTGATATTTTGATACACTTATACAACCTGTAATGATCATATCAGGGTGGTTGGGATGTCCGTCAACTCAAACATTTACCTTTATGTTGGGAACATTACAATTCTCTTCTAGCCATTTTGAAATATACAGTAAATTATTGTTAACTGTAGTTTCTCCACTGTGCTATTGAATACTAGAACTTATCCCTTCTATATAAATGTATTTTTATACCCCTCAACCAACTTATCTGTGTCTCCCTGCTCCCTCAACACACATACACCCCCCCAGCTTCTGATAACCACCAGTCTATGCACTACCTCGATGAGACCCACCTTTTTAGCTCCCACATATGGTGATAATATGCGATATTTGTACTTCTCTGCCTGGATTATTTTACTTAATATAATAACCTTCAGTTCCATTCATGTTGCTGCAAATGAGATAATTTTATTCTTTTTCATGACTGAATAGAGTTCCATTGTGTATGTATATCACATTTTCTTTATTCATACATCCATTGATGGACACTTAAGCTTATTCTATATCTTGATTATTGTGAATAGTGATGCAATAAACATGGGAGTGCAGATATCTCTTTGATATATTAATCTTTTTTCTTTTGGTTATACACCCAGCAGAAGGATTATGGGATTTTATGATAGTTCTGTTTTTAGTTTGTTGAGGAACCTGCATACTCTTCTCCACAGTGCTGTACCATCCACCAACAGCACTGGGATTCCCTTTTTCTCTGCATCCTCACCAGCATCCATTATTTTTTGTCTTTTTGATAATAAGCATTCTAACTGAGGTGAGATGATATCTCATTGTGGTTTTGGTTTACATTTTTCTGATGAATAGTGATTTTGAGCATTTTTTCATATATTTGTTGGCCATTTGTATATATTCTTTGAGAAATGTCTATGCATGTCTTTTGCCCATTTTAAAATTGGATTATTTGTGGGATGTTTTTTTTTTTTGCTATTGACTTGAGTTCCGATTTTCTCCAATTCTGTAGGTTGTCTGTTCACTTTGTTAATTGTATCCTTTGCTATGCAGAAGCATTTTAGTTTGACGTAATCCCATTTGCCTATATTTGTTTTTATTGCCTGTGCTTTTGAGGTCTTACCCAAAAGATCTTTGCCCAGACCAATGTCCAGTAGTGTTTCCCCCAAATGCTTTCTTCTAGTGGTTTCATAGTTTCAGATCTTACCTATAAGTTGTCAATCCATTTTGAGTTGATTTTTATACATGGTAAAAGATGGGGATCCACTGTAGCTTTTCTACAGAGTCCCTTTAGAGTGTTTCTTTCTACAATTGAATGCCTGGCACTGCCCACCCAAGATGATAAGCTGGAGAAGAAATATTGGAGCATAAATAGAAAGTTTTATGCCATCATATTTTGCTTAGTAACCCAATTCTTACTAAGACTACATCAATACTCAGTTAAGCCTTACCACCACGTTGTAGGCTGTGTTATTCTGGAATGACGAGAAAACTGAGGATTACAGAAGAGCAATGACTTGGCAAAGGTCACACAGTACATGTGTTGGGTGTTCCACATAGTCAGCAGATAAATAACGTGTACCTACTATAAGCTAGTCACAGAAGTGGACAAAGAGAAATAATTTTCTCTGAAGACAACATTATAATACAAAATGATAATTGCTGGGAGGATGTGTGTTCTGTGGACTGCCATAGCACATGGGAATGCATTTTGCCCAGGCAAGGTCAGTTGGGAAAGTTTCTCAGAAGAAAGGAGACTTGAACTGAGTCTTGAGGATATAATACTATATATATATAACCAGGGAAGCCAGAAGAGGTTAAGACTAATCAGAATAAATTAGAGAATGTTTTCCTCCCCTCTCACCCCATGCATGAGACTCCAGTTAGAAGACAGAAGTAGAATACTGTGTTATCCTGGAGTCTTCATTATGTTGGACAACAAGTTTTGTAGAAAGCTGAAGGTTACTGCTTTGAACAATATACATATATTTTTAAACCAGCAGCAAATACTTTAAAAAAGCATTACAGATATCCTTATTACCAAAAGCAGATCCTTATAATTTTCCCTAGATTGTTCCTCCTCCTGGTTCTCAATCTCAAGAAATAGCAAATCGAACTCCCTGACCACCCTTCCAAATGGAGTCTCCTGTTATTCCTGTTTTCTATTTTCATAGTACTTAGCATACATGATAGATATATTTTCAGTGGTTTGTTTGCTGCTTTTTCATTTTCCTCCCCTGCTCAACTGTAAGTCTTAAAAATCAGGAATCCAGCTTGCTTTATTTGTTTGCATATTACCTGAGCAGAAAATGAGAGTGGGAGGTGGGCTGGGTTTAGGGAATGAGGGAATTTGGAAGTCATAATAATGAGTGTAAGCTTCTTCAGGAGGGCACTGAGGAGTGTTCAGATAATTTTTTAAAAAAGAATGACAAGGCCAGGCTTACATCTCAGAAAGTTTCCTGTCACTGCAGAGTGGAGAATGGGCTGGAGCTGCAGCTTATGGAGCTAATTTAAGAGGTAGAGGCAGTGATCCCTGCAAGATGTGACAGTGCTCTCGACTCAGATGCCTGGGGCTGAATGAGAAGTGGTGGTAGAAGTGGGCGCTGAGGACAGGGAATT
Source organism: Homo sapiens (assembly GCF_000001405.40). NCBI lineage: Eukaryota > Metazoa > Chordata > Mammalia > Primates > Hominidae > Homo > Homo sapiens. The sequence goes on along the minus strand of NC_000002.12, from coordinate 75,637,974 downwards.
AACAAGCCCTGGTGATTGACAGGTTATGGGGGAAGCCCCCGGACTCCTTCCTGGGAATTTGGTGGATGGTGGCATTTCTGTGAGATAGAGGATGGGAGAAGGAGCAGATTTGTGGGAACAGGCTGCATGTGTGCTGGAAACATTGAGCTTAGGGTGCATGTCTGTCACATGCAAGGAAAGAAGTCCACTAGAGGGCTGGAAGTGAGCCTGAAGTTGAGGAGACAGACCTGGGCAAGAGGGACAGCAAGTGGAGCCATCTGGATGAGGCCACACAGGAGGGGCTGTGTGTGAGAGAGGAAGGGGTCAGGACAGAGCCCTGGAGAACAGCAACTTCTAAGGGATATGTGGTTGAAATGAGCAGCAGGGATGCAGAGAAGGAGCTGTCTGAAAGAGAGTCAAAGGGAGTCGGGAAGGCAGTAAGCTGATGAGAGTGAGGTGGTAGGAGAGGGCTGGCTGACAGCCAAAGATGTCCTGAGATGCCCAGGCAGAGGAAGCTGAAAACTGGCCTTTGGATATATAATTGTTCCCTTCCACATCACTCTTTGAACTGTATGGGTCCACTTATATGCAAATTTTCTTCTCCCTCTGCCACCCCTGTGACAGCAATACTAACCCCTCCGCTTCCTCCATCTCCTCAGCCTACTCCACATGAAGACGATGAAGATGAAGACTTTTATAGTGATCCATTTCCACTTAATGAATTGTAAATATGTTTTCTCTTATGATTTTCTTAATCACATTGTCTTTTCCCTAGCTTACTTTATTGTAAGAATACCATATATAATACCTATAACATGAAATATGTGTTAATTAACTGTTTATGTTATCAGTAAGGCTATTAGTAAAGTTTTTGGGGAGTCAAAAGTTATACACAGATTTTCTTTTTTTCTTTTTCTTTTTTTTTTTTTTGAGATGGAGTTTCACTTTTGTTGCCCAGGTTGGAGTGCAATGGCACACAATCTCGTCTCACCGCAACCTCCACCTCCCGGGTTCAAGCGATTCTTCTGCCTCAGCCTCCTGAGTAGCTGGGATTACAGGCATGTGTCACCACACCCAGCTAATTTTGTATTTTTTGTAGAGACGGGGTTTCTCCATGTTGGTCAGGCTGGTCTCAAACTGCTGACCTCAGGTGATCTGCCTGCCTCAGCCTCTCAAAGTGCTGGGATTACAGGTGTGAGCCACCGCACCCGTCCTATACACAGACTTTCAACTGTGTGGGAGGGGGTCGGTGTCCCAATCCCCATATTGTTCAAGATCAACTGTAGTGCCAGAGACTTGAATGATATCATTAGTGTGAGGACTGTTTAGTTTTTAGTGTTGGTACTATTTAGTTTCCATTTATTGCCAGTTTTTATGTATTTATTACCTTTACCTTTTAGGGAGGGCACAGGAGTTGAGGAATAAAACATTGAGTATGGATGTTACAGAGTAATTTGCTGAGATAGAGGTTCATTGGTTTTAGCATTCCCCAAGCTGATCCCTAGGCAGGTCTCCTTCAAGTTTCTAAAAATATGAGTTGGTGGGTTCCTCCTTCCTACCCACCTTCTAACCCAAGTCCAGAGCTTATGAGTTTTAGGACTCTGAGAAGATGATGCTTCTCCCTAAGAAGAAACGATAGAGGTCAATGTTTAGAGAAGGCAAGGTTGAAGCCCCTGGACCTAGGAAAATTAGCAGCTTTAGCTGCCATTGAATAATGAGGGATGGGGATGAGGAATGCACAGTGTGTGAACAGAGACCTGTGCCCACTATCAGGCATATGTGAGGCTAGATGGGGAGCTCACTGCAGATGCCAACCTTGGAAAGAGATGGCTGCAGGGCCCACCCTCAGTCTAAGCAGGAGAATTATTTTTACTAGAAAACTGAATTTTGCTGAGAGCTGAGGAATACGAGCTTGAGAAATACAGTATTTTTTAAAATCTGAAATGAAGTATTAAATATAATGACTTAGAATCCCATTTTTTGTCTTTTGTTTAGAGAAACGTATCAGTGCTTTTTAATCATGGCTACCAAGAGAATCTTGGAAGGAAATAACAATTTGTTAGAAAAGAATATTTTCTAATTTTGTAATCATAGCAACTGATTTGCTATTATAAAAGTAACACAAAATTGAAGGAGCTGGGACTTGATTTTACCCTACTTTAAAAGTAAATAAGTTAGCATCTTGTTTCATGAACACTGGTAGAAGACATAGACTCTTGGGCTGGAGACAAAGCACTTTATTATTCATGACATAGCGTGAGCATCAGCATGTTTGCAAAGGTTCCCCTTGTCCTCAAGTCCCAGATGGGTGACACCACAGGCCCAGATGAATGGTGCCCACATAGTAAGTTCATTTCACAGTGAAGGAGCACTGAGCTTAAGGAATATGCTGCTTTTACGGGAAGCAATAAACACACCTATTCTTTATTTCAAGTGACACAACCTCATCTCTTATGGTTGGCCACAGCAAACCCACACCTGAGAAATGTCCTGGGTAAAGAGGGCTGAGGGCCTTGCATTCTTGGTATACCCAGCAAGACGTGTAGGAGCTCAAAAAACAAAAACAAAAAATATTTACTATAGGAAGTGTGCATAATAATAATAACAATAACAAAACCCACTTCCTACTTACATTGCCCAGAAACTACAAATGGTTAATTTAGTCCTACAAGCTAGATCCAGAGTTGAGAGAAGTTTATGGCAGCTGCTGGAGTCACACTTGAAGTTCAGGTGATAATATTATTTTTTTCATGTCAAATGAGTAAGATGTCAATGTTGTAATAAGGTTAGAGGGAGGCACATCTCACACAGGAGTGTGAAAACTCAGTCATCATGCTTATGAATCATAACAGGATCCAGGTGATAATATTTCTGAAGCAAATATTCCTGTTAGGACAGCTGAAGTTCATCAAATACCTTTGCGCTCACTACTTGGGGTTGGGATTAGTCTTTCAGGCTGAAGTCACTAAGGAACCATGGTCCATTTCCTCAAATTTCAAGGACTGTCTTTCAGATGTCTCAGAGATAGCACTGTCTGTGAATACAGTGAGGGCTTCCTTGCATAGTCGGTCTAAGATTTTCTGTTTCTAAGCCCTTGCCTCTTCCCAAGCATGTAGTGAAATCTGAGCTAGTTACAACAAAACAGGTTAGAATAAGGCTTGATCACCACAGCAGGCAGGCTATCCACCTTTTTTTTTTTGACAGAGTCTTGTTCTGTCTCCCAGGCTGGAGTGTAGTGGAGTAATCACGGCTCACTACAACCTCTGCCTCCCGGGCTCCAGGGGTTCTCCCATCTCAGCCTGCCGGGTAGCTGGGACTATAGGCGCCTGCCACCATGCCCGACTAATTTTTGTATTTTGATAGAGACAGGATTTTGCCATGTTGGCAAGGCTGGTCTCAAACTCCTGCCCTCAAGTGAACCACCCGCCTCGGCCTCCCAAAGTGCTGGGATTACAGGTATGAGCCACCACACCTGGCCTCTACCTTCAATTCTGAGCTCAGAAAACTCCCTGTTCCTCAAGCTTTGAGGCCTATTTACTTTGCTTCATCATGTATTCATTATTAACCCTTCCTTCATCCTGTTTAGTAAATATATGTTGAGTTACTACTAGGCTGGGAGCTCTGCGAGGCAATGAGGGCACATTCTTCCTGCCCTCGGGACACCAAAGCCGAGGAAATCTCATGCAAACATTTTTTTGGATGAACTCTGGAATGTTGTATGGAAACAAACCAAGTGTTTTCTATGCTGTTAGTCAACTATGATATGTAATTTGTGTGTGTGTGTGTTTTTAAAAAAATAGCCAAATAAAACCCTATATTACCATTCAAAATTAAATTTGCAGGAAAAATAATCGCTTGATCTGTATAAAGTGCTTGAACATGTTTATATCCCTTGAAATTATTAGCAAAGATGCACTTGTGATTTTAAAAATGTAACAAAAAATGAATTAAATTATACAAGAAATCATCAACAGATCTCTTGATAGTCTTTTTAAAAAGGATGAAAAGATTGAACAACTAACTAAAACTTAGATCTTAGAAATTAATGACTTAGGTTGTATTTTCTGCCTTTCACTTGCCCAAAGGAAAAAGAGAACAGTACTTAGGTGTCAGCCCAGGCTTGCCATGTGCATGCTCTCAGCTTTAACGCTGAGGTATGAATGAGTATTAACGCTGTTGGTATGAGTGAGCTGCAGGTCCAGAAATAACTCTCCAGTAACACACTTTAGAAATAATCCCTCACAGGGTAGCCATGTCACTTGTATTAGTTGTAAAACACACCACTCACTTTTTGATAGTGATAAAGTGATTTCTTCATTGACGTTTTGGAAAAATTGCAGCAACATACTGTCTTAGCAAATGCTTTGAAACAAGTTTTTTTATTTTTAGAGAAAAGTGTTTTGGACACTATTGATTAGTATTTATTTAAGAAAGTTTTATGGGCATGGTGGCTCATGCCTGTAATCCCAGCACTTTGGGAGGTCAAGGCAAGACGATTGCTTGAACCCAGGAGTTCAAGACCAGCCTGGGCAACATAGAAAGACCTCCATCTCTACAAATCATTTTAAAAAAATTAGCTGTGTGTGGTGGCATGTGCCTGTGATCCCAACTACTCAGGAGGCTGAGGCAGGAGCATTGCCTGAGGCTGGGAGTTTGAGTCTGCAGTGAGCCATGATTGTGCCGCTGCACTCAAGCCTGGGTGACAGAAAGAGACCCTGTCTCAAAAAAAAAAAGAAAAAAAACAGCCAATTACTAGCCACTAGATTTTAGCCAATGGCACCAACATTCCTTAGGCCAACTTATCAGAAAAGATGTGAAATGCTGGCAATTGTAGGGACAGAATTTTATAGGGAATAAACTTTTGACGTGGCAGAAATCTAACTAAACAGTATTTGATTGAGGCTATGCCCCCACCTTTTTCTCTACTGAGGAGACAAAAGCTGAGGGCTCCAGTCTGATGGGCCTTGGTACCCAGCCAACCAAGGGAATGCATTCAGGTCAAGGGCATGCTGGAGAGAACTCTCTGTGTTAGCTATTATTAATGGTTCCAAATTTATAGGAAGAACATTAGTTTGATAACTTGTCCAAGGTCACTTTGCTCAGCTAAATGAGTGATGAGTGTTTGATTCAAACCAGGCCTATCAAATCCCTAAATCTGTGCTTTTCAGGGCCAGGAAGAGAGAAAGTTTGCTAAGGTGGAAATCGGAGGGTGGAGCACCAATCCTTACCTCTTCCCTCCCCAGCCAGAGCAGCTCTGGCTGAGATCACATTTGAAGAAATCCTTTTGCTGTTAAGAAGAAAAGAAAAGAAAGAAAATAAGAAAAAAAAAAGGAAAGAAAAGAAGAGAAAAATTCCAGCCTTGCACTAGTCTGAGAGATTTTGAGGCTGAATTAAATAAAACCAGATGTTAATTTATTATCAAAATTCTCAGCCTATAACAGTTCTCAAATCTTGTGTACTTAGGAATCTGCTTGAGTGCTTGTTTAACCTGGAGAGTCTTAAGCTCCACCCTCAAGAGATTGGATTGAATAGGTCTGGTCTGGGGTGAAGCACAGGAATTTGCAATTTTCACAGGAGTCCCAGGACAATTGGACACAGGTGGTAAGAGAACTGCATTTTGAAAAACTGAACAAAGATGTTTTGAAAAGAAAGAAAAATGAAAGCCGAGAGCGCCAGAAGTGGTTTGATCTCACCCATTTGGCATAAGTGCTACTCCCTTTGGAAAGCCCTCTGTGAATGACTCAGCAAGGCCTGTCTTAAATCGTGGGTCTCTTCCCTGGTTTGACATTGGAGAGAGAGTAGTTACCATCACGGAAAGGAGAAAGTGAGTCTTAGGACTCAATCCTTCGCCTGTAAGGGAGACTACTGAACAGGGGAAAAGAAGGAAAAGCTCAAGAGTGCTCCAAAGCCAGCGGAAGAATATGTGAGCAGAAACAAAAGAAATGAACAGAGCAATTTTCCTCCTGAACGATACTGAGTAGAATTTCTTAGGAAGGCAGAGGCAGGGGGCACATTGCTACCCACTAAATCATGGCCTGACAGCCAGTCACAGTCCAGTCTCTTTCAGCCAAGAGGAATGTTCTGAGAACCCTTCCTGCTTGGACTCAACATCACATCCCTGGCAAGGCTTCAGGACAAGAATATGGGCTCCAGGAAGCATCAGTGATGGGGTTGGTGGCAGCCCAGATTTTTGTTGCTGAAGGAGCTAGATGCAGTAGTCTGTAGGTAGGGAGAAGATGAAGGTGAATTTGCTGAGGATTTCGTATAACACTGAAAAAATCATAATCCATATCAAGTTCATGTCCTTGATGACATTAAGTGAGATCCCATAGTTGTGGCCACCCATGCACATGTGATAGAACTTGATGATAAGTTGGTTTCACTGTCTTTCCTAATCTCTGCTGTTTTCCCCAGGAGAGACATGGGTTGTGAAGGCTCCAGTGTTACTGAATTTTTACTCGGCTTGCCAAGGTTTGGTTCAGCTCCATATCAGGGAGGGCCCACATGGAGAGTCAAGATCAGCCCAGACTCTCCACATGCTGGATTCTCAAGGTCCCAGGTAAGCTGCCTTGGGGAACCATGGCTGGCTTAGGAACCAGGGGTCTGTGTGTGTTGCTGGAGCATTTCCCTCAGATGCTACTAATCCATCTGAACATGTAGGCCATGAGTGGTTTCTAAGCCTGCCTGTTCCCTGTCTCTCATGTGTGAATTTTTTCCATACCTGTTTCTTACATGTGCAGAAACTCTTGGTTTGCTGGGCATCCCCATACAATCTCCCCACAGCGACCTCAAATTCACAATGTTCTAAACTAAATTAACATTTCCTACCTATGTAGACCTGCTTCTGTATTTCTATCTTGGATGAAACAGCCACCCAGCTGCTCATACCACATCCTCGGGAATCTTCATTGACTCCTCTCTCTTGCTTACCCTGATCATCCAACTGAGACCAAGTCCTGTGGAGACTACCCCATAAATCATCCTTCAACCCATTCTCTCCCCTGGAGGCTTTGCCACTGCTCTGGTTCAGTCTTCATTTTCCCAGTAGATTTGCAATTGCTTCCTTACCAATCTCTCTTCTGGGGTTTCTCAAAGAACGTGTTTTTGGCATTTTCAGAAGGACAATTATGCATTTGTGCAAAATGTTTCCGACATTGTATTTTTTTTTTTTTTCAGACAGAGTCTCCCTCTGTGGAGGCTGGAGTGCAGTGTGCAATAGCACGATCTGTTACCCAGCCTGGACTGCAGTGGCACCATCTCAGCTCACTGCAACCTCTGCCCCCCGGATTCAAGCAGTTCTCGTGCCCTAGCCTCCCAAGTAGCTGGGACTACGGGCGTGCGCCATCACACCCAACCAATTTTTGTATATTTAGTAGTGACAGGGTTTCACCACGTTGGGCAGGCTGGTTTTGAACTCCTGACCTCAAGCAATCCATCCACCATGGCCTCCCAAAGTGCTGGGGTTACAGGCATGAGCCACCGTGCCCCAGCCCCATATGATTTTTTTGCATCTGTGGCCTGAATGCTGTAAATGTTGATAGTGCCTTTCAATTGTAAGAACCAACCTCTCCTTCCGCAAGTGGTGCTAGAAAGGAGTTAAGTTCTGTTCAAGGACTCAGGGATGTGAAAGGACAAATTAGAGCCACCGGAGCCATTGGGGTGATCTGAGCAAAATCTGAAGGCAGGAGCCTGTGCTTTGGGTGCGGCTTCTATACCCTCCTAGGGTAGGAATGCAGCTCCCACAGGGAGCTTTGATGCAGCACACATTGTATCTTTACCCCATGTCCTGTCCTCCTTCAATTGTGTCTTCTATCACCTTTATTTTCTTCTAATTCTACACAGTACCTCTAGGAGACTGATTTCACTTGTTATATCCTCCAAATATCATGTAAATGCCAATTTCTCCCAAACTTGCATATCTACTTCAAGGTATCTCTTCTCAGGGCTAGGCACAGTGGCTCATGCCTGTAATTCCAGCACTTTGGAAGGCCAAGGCAGGAGGATCGCTTGAGGCCAGGAGTTTGAGACCAGCCTGGGAAATATAGTGAGACCCTGCCTCTACAAAAAAGAAAAAAAATAGGCAATTGTAGTGGTGCATGCCTTTAGTCCTTACTTATCAGGAGCTTGAGGTGGGAGAATCACTTGAACCCAAGAGTATGAGGCTGCAGTGAGCTATGATCGCGCCACTGCTTCCAGCCTGGGTAACAGAGTGAGAACATGTCTCTAAAAAAATAAAAATTTAAGTTGGGCATGGTGGCTCATGCCTGTAATCTCAGCACTTTGGGAGGCTGAGGCGGGTGGATCACTTGAGGTCAGGAGTTCAAGACCAGCCTGGCCAACATGGTGAAACCCCATCTCTACTAAAAATACAAAAATTAGCCAGGTGTGGTGGCACATGCCTGTAATCCCAGCTACTCAGGAGACTGAGACATGAGAATCGTTTGAACCTGGGAGGCGGAGGTTGCAGTGAGCCAAGATCACACCACTGCACTCCAGCCTGGGTGACAGAGTGAGACTCTGTCTCGAAAAAAAAATTTTTAATAAAAATAAAAATTAAAAAAATAAAAAATTAGATATTTCTTCTCAGCTCAAGACCTTTGAGTATATTAAAATTTAGAATGTGAAAAAATTGCCTATTCAAATCAGTTCAGAAAGGTAAACTAGTCAACAAACACTGTTTATACACTCAGGAAAAGGTTAAGATAGATCCTTGAACCATTTATAGAAACATATACTTGATTGTTAAATAAATATAAACATAAAGTCATAGAAAAAATATAAAAGGTACGTAAAGTCTTCTTAAAACACAAATTTAAAGAAACATGAAAGAAGAGATTGATAAACCTGATTCTATCAGTATTGATAACTTCTGAATATCATATCATAAACAAAATTAAAGACGAGACTGGTCCAACCAAGAATTAATATTCAGAATATACAAAGATGTGCATGCAAAAAAGAAAAGCATGCACAATTCAGTATTGAGCTGTATACATATATTAATAGACATTTGCAGAAGAAAAAATATGAATGACCATGAAATATAATCATTTCAATCTAGTTAGTAAAAAGGGGAATTAAATTAGAGTGGTAATAAGGTGTTATTTCTTCTGTCCAGGTTGAAAGAGAGAAAGAGTGAGATTAAGAGAAAGAGGCAGAGAGAAAGAACGGAAGTGGGGACCAGATATGTACTCCACACACTGTTTACGGGGGGTATAAAATCTCAGTGCTGAATTGAAAGACATTTTGGTAGTAGCTTAGAACTTAAAGTATAGATACTCTTTGACCCAGCAATTCCACATCTTATTTACTATTAAGGAAAACTCATGGATGTGCAGAAAACATACAACGATGTTCATTGCAAGCACTGCTTGTTCTAGCAAAGAATTGAAAGCACTGAGAGAAAGCCAATGGTTAAATATACTATGGCACATCACTGGCTAAATAAATATACCATAATTTATTCATATCTTAAGATACTATACAGAAGATAAAAACTAATTAGATACATATGTACTGATGTGGATGTTTAGTGAGAAGACATGTTTAAAATTAAAACAGTATCATATATTGTTATATAAAAATAAGCAAAGAACTAACTGCTTTACTTGAAAAAGGAAGTTTTTGGTAAAGGGTGAGCAAGCCAAGAAAGAGATACACCTTCAATTTATCTTTTTGAGAGTTTTGTTGTCAAATGCATCCTTAGTATGGCCATAAGAAAACTGAAATAAAGAAGATACTAGATGTTACCCGTTTCCTTTATGGAAAAGTGAAAGGAACAATCCCTGAGAGTGAAGAACAAAATACAAGCAATCACATCAGAAAGGAACCCGCAGCTTGTGTTCTCTCTCTCTCTTATCCTTGTCCAAGGAGCAAAGAACGGTCATCGACAGCAAGCAGTGGCTACCACCAGGTGGCACCACCTGCCAGCTTCATGCTCAGGAGAGCTACTGCAGCTTTTCATTGAGATTTCTCCCCCTACTCTGTTCAGAAACATTTCTCTAGTAACCTACTATAGAATTGATCCCTGAAAGTATAAAGATCTGCCCTCTACCTTAGTTGGCACTAGGAATTTTATTCCTATTTTGTTGATTGAGAGATTTCTCCCACCTCCATCCCTACAACCAATATATATATTTTTAAAATGCATAATTACATATATAATAAATATATTATGTATATATAATATATAATTACATAAATTATGTAACATATTATATACATATATACATATATACATATATACACATATGTGTATGTGTATATATTATATATATTATCTATATTATATGTTATATACATATATGATTACATTCCACAAATTTAACATATATAGTATATAATATGTAATATATTTAATTATATTTTATATATGTATATATGCATGTAATTATATGTGTATATATAATTTATATTTTATATCCATGTATGTACATATATTTTATTTATTTATATATATATATATATATATATATATATATATATATATATATATATATAAAAAATTCCATTCCACAAATTTAACAAATACCTTGGGCTCTTCAGTATCATTTCTTGGCTGGGCATGGTGGCTCGCACCTGCAATCCCAGCACTTTGGGAGGCTGAGATGGGAGGATTTCTTGAGGCCAGGTGTTTGAGGCCAGTCTGGGCAACATAGCAAGAACCTGCCTCTACAAATGTTTCTTTGATTTAAAAAAATATTTTTTTAAGTTTAAGTCACAAAGTTCCCAATTAGCATAGCACCCTCCAACTGACAATCAGAAGCCATCACTATCCACCTGACAGCACTCCCTTAATGCTTTCAGGACGTTACTCTCTGCACACAGTACCTAGGTCCCCAGTTGGTGTAGGGCTCTTCTCTGTGGTGAGGAGATACTAGAAAGATGATGTTTTCTCCACAGAAACAAACCATATATGTCTTGCTCAAGTGTAGATTTGAGTTATTTCTAATTCTCCTTTGTGTCAGGAGTTCTGTGCCACTGAAAATTTTTAATGCTCAAAAGGGCAAAAATCACATCCTATCATGTTCCCTTGGATATCCAAGTGGACATGGTGAGTTGGCAGTTGATATAAGAGTCTGTTTGGGGTACAACAGAGTGATCTGGAGATATAAGTAAACACAACTATTAGAATATTTTGAGATACTAATTGATGTTTTCTTCCCTTGCATATTTCATTTAAAAAATTCTGAACTTTCCCCCTTACCACCTCCATTCAAGAAGGTAGACCTGTTTAAATCAACTGCCTTAGGGGAGGAGCACAACAGCAAAAGACAATCTGCTGACCTCTGGCTAAAGCCCACACTCAGATGCCTCTGAGGCTGAACATCATAGCAGAGGGAATGCGTTTGAGTCGAAAATCAGAGTTCTCTTCAGTGGTATGGGGCTGGGAGGAAGTCTGGTGTTGGAGTCTGAAAGGTTAGGAAGATCCCAGAAAGGAATGGCCATAGCCTCCTAGTGATTTCCAAGCCCCAGAGGCGCAAAGCAGTGGGTAGGTCCTGAGGAGACAGGCCATGCATGGTGCTACCCAGGCAGAGTTCTTGGGGGAGTGGGGAAGAGCAAAGGATGATAGGACTCCAGAGGGTCTTAGGGGGCCTGAGGCCAGTGAGCAGGCAGCAAGGGGAAATAGATGTTTTTTGTTTCTTTTTTTTTTTGAGATAGGGTCTCTTTCGGTTGCCCAGGCTGGAGTCTAGTGGCACAATCTTAGCTGGGACTACAGATGCACGCCACCACGCCTGGCTAATGTTTTAATTTTGTGTAGAGACGGGCGTCTCACCATGTTACCCAGGCTGGTCTCGAACTCCTGGGGTGAAGTGATCAGCCCACCTCCACTTCCCAAAGTGCTGAAATTGCAGGCGTGAGCCATGCCACCCAGCAAGATAAAGTTGATTCTCAAGAAAGGCACAGAGGAAGTAGAGAGCTGCTGCCTCACTTGAAAGGACTAAGGTGACCTCTGTGTGGCTGGGGTCAGGGTAAACCTGAAGATATTGGGATTCTTCCCATGGAAAAGAGGCAAGAGTGGGGCTCCACATAGAAATTAAGTTAAATCTAAATGAAGATATATTCCTTTTACATAAACCTGAGGACTGAGAGTCCTCCTTAAAACACAGACAGATCTTGTTTCCTTATCAGTGCTGCACAATAATGATAATTTATAGGGAACCTCCCAGAACATTTATGCTTTTTCCATCATGAGGTGGCCAGATGGCTCCCTGGTTTGCTGAATGAAGTCTGGAAAAAAAATTACTATGTGTAAAGAGACAAAACAGTCTAAAACTATAAGCAACAGGAGGTACTGGGCATTGGAGGTTGGCTGCAAGTAAAGAATAAACATAGAACGCTTCAATTAAATGATCATATATTCACTCATCCTTTATGCTTTGGCATCTTTTAGAAAATCTTCCAGTGCTTTCACCCAAGCCTTCTTATCTTCTCAGCAACACATTTCGCTTAGTTGGTATCCTATTCCTATCTTTGGCTTCAACTAACACCTCTTTGCTGGTGGCTTCTTGATCTACTTCTTCCCAAACACCTAAGCCAAGCTTTGGGTACAGACCTGAAACTGCCTGCTGGCCTCATTCCAGGACACATCCTGTGGGCAATACAATTTAGCATGTCCAAATCATAACTCATGTGGTTTAATTTTTCTGGCCAAATAATAAGACAAAAACCACAAGAGCATTGAAAAAAATAAAACGTTTATTAAAGTGCCTGGCAAGGAGTACACGTCAGTGAATACATCCACTGAGAACTTTGCAGAGGGGAAAAGTTAGGAGGGTTTGAGTGCTAGGAAAGGGAGAGTTCAGGCTAGGATGCTAATTAAGGGTTGAATGAGTCCATGTGTCTCTTCCATTGTTCACTGGTCAGCAAAGATCTTCCAGTAGTTCTGTTAGGTCTGTCTTCTTAGGGTCACTCAATTTCATGGTTCTTTCTCAATCAGTTGGAATGAAATATCTAATTTTATGTTGTCATCTTCTGGGGCAAGTGTAAGTGGAAAATTTCCCTTTGACAATTTTACCTCCTTTTGCCATTAAAATCATTGTTTGTTTTGCATCTAAACACTGCTTGTTTTCTATCTGTAGAATAGATCCTCAAAATGAGATTTCTAGTCCGATAGGTATGTGGATTTGTGATTTTATTAGAAATTGTCCAAGTAACGACTGGAGGCGGTGGCTCCCACCTGTAATCCCAACACTTTCGGAGGCCAAGGAGGGTGGATCACCTGAGGTCAGGAGTTTGAGATCAGCCTGGCCAACATGGTGAAACCCTGTCTCTACTAAAAATAATAATAATAAAAAATTAGCTGGGCATAGTGGCGTGCACCAGTAGTCCCAGATACTCGGGAGGCTGAGGCAGGAGAATCACTTGAACCCGGGAGGCAGAGGTTGCAGTGAGCCAAAATCACGCCACTGCACTCCAGTCTGGGCAACAGAGTGACACTCATCTCAAAATAAATAAATAAATAAATGTCCAAGTATCTTTCAAAAGTGTAGGGATTCACTCACCACCAACAATCATAGGCGTTTTTATTTCCTTCCTCTTTGTCAGTTCTGCATGTTAGCTCTTTTAAATTTTTGTTACAAATATGCAACTAGAAGAAATAAGACCTGTGTTCAATAGATCAATAGGGTGACCATATATAGTTAATATTAATCTATTGTACATTTCAAAATAGCTAAAAGAGAACAATTCAAATGTTCCTAGCATGAAAAAAAGATAAATGTTTGACGTGATAGATATCCCAGTTACACTGCTGATTGTATGAACATATCAAATTATCACAAGCACCCTGAAAACATGTACATCTATTATGTATCAATTTAAATCAGTAAAAATAGAAATCTTTTTTACTAAAATTATTTAAATATTTGCCAATCTTAGATGTGAAAACTATTTCATTTTTGTGTTAATTTACATCTCCCTACTAGTGAGATTGAGTTTCCTATTGTAGGTTTGTTAGTTATCTGCATTTCTTCATTTTATCAATGGCCTGTTCAACTCCTTTGCCCATTTTTCTTTTAGTCTGTTTTAAAATAAATTTGTAGGCATTCTTTGTATATTAGGTATACTAACCTGTGTATCACATGTATTAAAAGTATTTTGTCTGCGCTATCATTTGCATTTTCTTTCTGGTAACTTTTATCATAAACATTAAAAAATGATAGTATAATATACCAATCTAATCATTTATAACTTCTGGATTTTATGTCTTCTTAAGGAGTCCTCATTCTCAAAATTTTACACCAATTCTTCCAATATATAAATAAAGTACCCTCATCACATATGATTTTCTTTTTTTTTTTTTTTTTGTAGTGTTCTTCTTGTCTGTCTTGGTAGGGCACCCAAAGAGATGAGTTGATTCCTTCCTGCAGCCTGGTAGCCACTCAGATTCTTGGAGATGCTTCAGTTGACTGGAGCTTCCTATCTGATTACAGCAGTCCATGTGGGGATGTCAGATGCCAGTGCAGAGCCAGCCTTTGGTGAATGGAGACGTGAATGGGAAAGCAGAGAAGGGAGGCACGGATATGTGGATGTAGCTAGATACTGCATGGAACTCAACCTCCCACAGTGGAAGTGAAGTGGAATAAAGTGGGTGCTGAGGACCCACTTCGGGAAGGCCTCAGGTGCCTGCTGCATGTGGGGTCAGAGTGACTGATGCTTCGTGTCTCCGAATGATAAACCTCATGGAAGGTAGTGAAAGATCAGAGAGTTCTCCCTCCCGATCTGAGAGAATGACTCCTTTCCTTGCTAGTGCCCATAGTGTGGGTGTTTAGATTTTTTCTGCCTTACAAGTGCATGTGATAGAAGAGGCTGCATTTCCTTGTTTCTCTTCCCTCCCAGACATCAGCAACACCTGTGGCCACTCTCCAAGGTGTTGAAGTTGCACCCTGCCCTCTGGCCATGTCCACAGTGCTGAGATACTCTTTAGACACTTACTTCTAGATAAAGACCTTGATACATATTGGGCCATTAGGCAGCTTGTGGATTGCTTTTTGCTTCACCCTAGCTGGCCATATGTGAGATAGGGCACTACTGACGAGCAGCTCTCATTTGGGGGATATAAGATGAGAGGAACACACAGGCTGCTGTGGTTGGTCACCTACTCCCAGTGTTTTTCCTAGTTCTTTGCCTTTCCGACCTAGAAACTCCCACCATCACCTCAATTATCTAGATTCAAACCTTCTGCTGAGCTGTGGAGTAATATAATTCTGCCAAAGACTGTTTGGCTGTATCCTTTGTCTCATTCCTGAAATCCTACACATGAATCTAGCATAGAATGTTTTTGCAGCAGACCTCAGGAGAGCTGCCTTCATCACATAGCAGATGACTAGCCTTGCCTCCCTCACTCTGTCTCTTCTTGCTCAATTCAAGTCCCCATTTTGGAAACACTTCTCTTGCTATGCCTTGGAACCCTCTCCAGAACATGATGCTTCTCTATTTTTCCTTCGGCTCCATTTGCATGGCAAAGTTTGGGCAAGGGTTGCTCATGTAAGTACCTCCTTAGAATCAACTAACCATGCCTACTTCCTGACTAGTTCAGGGAAGGAGTCTATCACAGAGAAGGGGGAACTTTGGAAGGAGACTAAGGAAATACAGGTAGAGGCAGTGGAGAAAAACCAGGAGAGAGCAGTGGCATAGAAGCCAATGGAAAAAAGAATTCCAGGAAGGAAGAAGTTTTCTATCTTTGAAAAATGAAATCTCCCTGGCAGAGCGGATGAGAACAATGGACATTTCAAGGTGCCTGCATGTTTTGTGTTCCTAACTGGAGCAGTGCCTACCAAAGTGGAGCACAGTGGGCAAGGGTACCAGTGGGAGTGGGTCCTACTGGGCAAGGGTAACAGTGGGAGTGGTTCCAGTGGGGAGGAGTATTTTATTGCTGAGATTGTTAGAATTGCTGGCACATGGTGATAATAGAAAGCAGATGAATATTCAGTTGAGTTTATTATTGCTTTTAAATTATTTACACCCAGGCGCTCCCTTATTGCACCCAGGGCAGACCACTCCCATCCTCCATCACCCCCTTAGTACACTGCTGAAATGGAGAAACCCATTACGAACAATTTATTTTGTCCAGAATGGATGAGTTTGGTACAGGCAGAGAGGCCCAGAACTACAAGGAAGGCGAACTCTGCTATTTTCTGCTTAATAAAGCAAGCTATTGATTTTTAAGGCATACCGGAAGAGAGTGACATGCCTGACCTAGAAAACAGAGAAGCAGATAATATTTAGGACGAAAAGAACAGCTAGACTTATGGTGACATACATCTCCACTATCCCAAATTCTGGGGAAAAGCCTTGTGGATTGGCTTGGGTTGGGGTGAATGACGAATCCTGGAAATGGGGTAAAGAAAAGAGACAACCCATCACAGGAAACAAACACAAGTGATATCACGAGTTCATGAAAAGCTAGGACTCAGAGCCAAAGGGACCATGAAGAATCTTGGGAGTCTTGGAGGGGCACTGGACTTCACATGGCATCATGTAGAAGCAGAACCTTTGGAATGTGAGTGTAAAGAGGCAGAAATCCATTTGTTTCTTCCTGGCTTCTCTGTAGTAAGAGGGACAGGCGAGTGGGCCCGGGTGCATTCAGAAAAAGGAAGTGTAGAGCAGGCAGCCCTGGCCTGGCCTCTCGAGGTCTTAAGCTCACATACAGAAGATCCTTGAGGCTGATAGACCAAACAAAGAGATTCACAGTGGAAGCCTACCAGCAACACAGTGTGGGTTTGAATGCTGGGTCCCTTCTGATGAATTTCTTAAGAATCAAACATGGCAGCCAGAGCAGTAGAAACAAATTTGGGATCTTGGTTTCAAACATTAACCACAGTATACCTTCAAAAAAAGTCAGTTGCATTAATTAAAATGACCCAATAGGAGTGAAAAGTAGTGGGAAAAAATAGGATATAAGAACTCAAATTTACATATTTAGAGGTGGGTAGAGTTGGGCTCAAATAGGTCCTGGAGCAATTACTCAGTGGACACATAACAAACAATTACTGAGCAACTACTTTGTGTAAAACATTACACTAGGGACTAGAAATAAAAAATTTCTTAAGACCTTGTTCTTAACCTGTGGAGTTTCTGTTACAGAGCATGTCATTCTGACATGGGGCGAGTTGTGCCCTCCCCCAATTTTTTCTTCTCTACCAGGATTTCCTGACCATCTTTCAAGATCTTTCTTGATGAAACTACCCAACAATGCCATGAAAAAAAAATAGCTCTATCCCTCTTTGCTTCTAAAGACTTCTTTTAAACTCATATCATCTAAACTTTATTGCTGTTTCTGTACTCGTCTTCCTTGGTAGACAGTGTAGAAGAGAAACATTTTGTGTTGTTTAGATTTGAATCTGTTAGATTCATGATGTTTATTAACATGTGTGCATTGACCCATAAGTGGGGTGTGAAATTGGTAGATTTTTGACTGGTACTTTAAAAAACTGGAGTAGAAGAGAACGGAAACTGTCAAAGTGATTCACACATTAAGAATGAGTAATGCTTCATGAAATTTGTTTCTATTATTTATGTGAGTGTCTTGAGTCACAATGTAAAATATTTTTACTAAGGATCATTTAAAAAATCAATAAAACACTGGAGGCTCAGTAATTTGGGATAGACTATAGGAAGAAACCTAGACCTAGAGATTCTGAAGTTTTCAGATTATAAACAGATCTATACTATACATAGAAAGCAATGGGTTACACAAGTTTATAGCTTAAGTAAACCAATAAAATAGCAAACATGTCTATACATTAAGGCAGGAGTCAGCAAACTATTTCTGTAAAGATAGTAAATATTTTAGGTTTTATAGACTATAAGTTTCCTGTCACGACTCTGCAACTCTACCATCATAGCACAAACGCAGCCACAGATGATGTGTAATGGAATGACAATGGCTGGGTTCCAATAAAATTTGAATTTTACATAATTTTCATGTGTCAGGAAACAGTCTTTTGATTTGTTTCAAGCATGTATGAATGTAAAAGCCATTCTTAGCTCATGATGTTTTAAAAGATAGTGTATTAATAGAAAATTTGAGCTCCAGGAAGGCCAACAGATTGAGAGATGATTGCCTTCAAAAACAGTTTGTCGACCAGGCGCAGTGGCTCATCCCAGTAATCCCAGCCCTTTGGGAGGCCAAGGTGGGTGGATCATTTGGGGTCAGGAGTTTCAGAGCAGCCTGGCCAACATGGTGAAACCCTGTTTCTACTAAAAATACAAAAGTAGCTGGGTGTGGTGGTGCACACCTGTAGTCCCAGTTACTCAGGAGGCTGAACTAAGAGAATCACTTGAACCTGGGAGATGGAGGTTGCAGTGAGCCAAGATCGCACCACTGCACTCTGGCCTGGGCAACAGAGTGAGACTCTGTCTCAAAACAAACAAACAAAAAAGAAGAAAGAAAACATAGTTTGTGACTTGTTACTCGCAGCTCCCAAGAGAAGGAGGCATGTCACACCTTGGGGGCCCACACAGGGCCTGTGTGTTGGAAGCATTGGGGCTGGTCAGGAGGCAAAGGGGGAGGGAAAGATTGCTAGAGCCTTTATTGTGATTTTTGTGGAAAGGAATGGAGTAAGCTAGATATGCAGGTTTAAGCTTGGCTGGTTTGAATAATTACAGTGGGCTCTGGGGATAAAAACTATGCCTGGTTGTCTGATACCTGGTCCTGGGGTAATTAGGGCAGGTGGATAAATGCCTGGAGTGTGAAAGCTCAATAAAGGAGATGATTGGGGTTGTGGGCTCTGGATTTGGTTGGTTTGTATTTGAAAATCACACTCATGGGTGAGTTCATCTTTAGGAGTTAGCTAATCCTAGGAGAGGCAATCTCCAGTGTTACCAAGGCTCCAGATGTCAAAGCCTCAGAATATAGAAAAGATGAGGTTAATACACATGGGCTGTGTACAAATAGGTGATGGGCTGGGTTTGGCTCATGGGCTATAGATTGCCAACCAATGGGCTAAGAGAAGAAAGATAATGTCAAATACCAAACATGCAGTTGTAAAAAATAAATTAAGAGTAAATTAGGAATATCTCATGAAGCTTCCTATCTTTGCTAGTAAACACTGAAGAAATTGTTATTTATCATAAACACTGAGCATCTCTAATCTGAAAATCCAAAAGCCTAAATTCTTTGAGCACTGACACGACACCACAAGTGGAAAATTTCACAGCTCATCTCATGTGGTGGGTCCCAGTCAAAACACAGTCAACACTTTGTTTCATGCACAAAATTACCTAAAATATTGTATCAAATTAACTTCAGCCTAGGTGTACAAGATGTGTATGAAACATAAGTGAATTTTGCGTTTAGACTTGGGTCTTATCCCCCAAGATATCTCATTCTGTAAATATAAATACTTCAAAATCTGAAAAACCTCAAATCTGAAACATTTCTGTCCCAGAAATTTCAGATAAAAAATACTCAACCTATAATAAGAAACAGCCTGTATCCACTTAAACTTAAGGAAGACTTTTCCCTGATTTGGCCAATTATTCTGTTCATTCTGCTCCTGTAGCCCCCAAAACATAAATATTTCCTAACCTGCTCTTTTCTTATCTTCACTGAGAAGGGAAATAGCCAGAACAGACACAGAATTCTCCGAGTGTTTAGCGTCACCCTGAATATATCTTCCCAAGCCCTGTTTTAAAATAGTAGTATGATCTCTTTTTTGTGTTCTCATAATTTTACCCAAGGCTAAATTAACATTTTTGGAGCTTCTAATCTAATTATACCATTGTGAATTCCTTGAGGGCAAGGATGATTTTTTTTTCTTATTACTTCCTTCTCAAATTCTCTCACTGTCTTCTCATTGCAGTTGGGGGGCAATCCCATGTCTGTTCATGGCCCTACACCCTCCCCAATCTAGTGCCTTTCCCTCCCTGTTGTTTCAGATGCATCTCTTGACAAGTTCTCCCATTTTCAGTAGCCATGTTGTTGGTCTTCTGATGGAGAAATGTGTTGGGCCTTTTTATTGGCTGTTCTTTCCATCTGCAATAACTTCCACCCTGTCCCCATCTCATTCCTAATTCTTGAGGTCTTATCCTTCTCATCAGATTGTTTCCCTGCAAGTCTTTCCCTCAGCTGCCTGTGATCTTCCTTCATAGAACATTTTACAGTTTGTATCTGTACAATTATAAATGTCATCACATTCTGATGCTGGTCTCTTCCATCAGGCCTCAGGTCCTTGAGGGCTGAGGGCCTGGTACATAGTAGCGACTCAATAAACATTCATGGAATGAATGAATGAGCAAAAGCAAATGCAGGGCCCCTTGAGGAACAGTGAGGAGTCTGGAGCGCAGGGTGAAGAGTGATCACTGTGCTGTGTATATTGGTTCTCAGATATTTCTATTAGTTTTGCAATCCTCATTCATATTTGACAGCATTTTGAAGCAATAGCAGCCTAGCAGAAAATGCTTCATGCAAACTCGGTGAAAGAATTCTCAGCCTGTATAGGAAGATAAGGAATCGGACAGAACTTTAGGGCATTTTAATGATGATCATAGGTGTGCATGTGGGGGTAGGGCAAGACCCCTCAGTGATGATCTCGCCACTCAGAGAGCAGGAGAAGGTGAGGCTCATAATCCTTATTTAGTGTAGTTTGGCAAAACTCTTCATAAACACTGTTATGGTTTGAATGTGTTCCTCAAATTTTATGTGTTGGAAACTCAACCCCCAAATTTATGTCTTAATGGCATTTGCAGGTGAGGCCTCTGAGAAGTAGTTAGGATTAGATAAGGTCATCAGGGTGGGGCCCCCATCATGGGACTGGTGGCTTTATAGGAAGGGGAAGAGAGCCCTGAGCGGATACGCTCTTGCTCTTTCACTATACAATGCCCTTCACCATGTTTTGATGTAGTGAAATGGCCATTGCCAGATGCCAGTGCCATGCTCTTGGACTTCCCAGCCTCCAGAACTGTAAGAAATAAATTTCTCTTCTTTATAAATTACCCAGTCTGTGTTATTCTGTTATAACAACAAAAAATGGACTCAAACAGACGCTTTAGACATTTTCCCCAATAGTATTCTTGCCATATTTACTTCAACATCATCAAGACATCAACTGATGGCTTTACTGATCAGCATAATTGCTCCAATTTTATCTTACTGGATGTTGTGAGTAAATGAGAACTTTTACACTGGTTGGTGGACCCAGGGTTCTCCCTGTTTTTCATTATGTTCATATATACATATACATATATACATATGTATATATATACACATACATATATACGTATGTGTATATATACGCATATATACATATGTATATATACATATATACATATATACACATATATATACATATATATACATACACACACACACATATATATATATATGCTCATTACAAAATGGAAACTTCATTTCTAAGAAATGAATGCACTACCCACACCCAGATCTTCACTCCGTCATGTACTTTTCTTTGCATAATGCTGATCGGACAGCTGAAGTGTAGTGTGAGCATGTAGGCTCCAGAGCTATGGTGCTAGGGTTTATATGTTGTGATTTGTGGCCTTGAGCACCTCATTTAACTTCTCTGGACCTGTGTCCTCATTGGGAAAACAGGAGTAACAATAGCACCTATTTTCTATAAATGTTATGAAGACTTAATAAGCCAATGTAATAGAATATTCAGAATGGTGTCTGAAACATACCAAGGCCAAAGTAAATATTAGCTAACATTACGATTTGTATATGAAGTTAATACCTAAAAAGATAAAACATAGTGAGCCTAACTTGACACACAATGGTTAGAAAACTCATTTACAATGTTGTGTAAATTTACACAGTTTAGAAAGCTTTCCATTCAAAATAATTAAAACAGTTTTATTGCTCAAAACAGCACCCTGAAGTATTTGGGAAAACCCAGTTCTCCAAACCATGTGGGGGCTCAGAAAGACCAAGGTTTGACCCTTCAGGCTGCCTCCAGTGGGGATCTCTCAGGAGAGCTGGTGGCTTAAGGATAACTAATTTTTTTTTTAGACAGGGTCTCCCTCTGTCAGCTAGGCTGGATAGCTCACTACAGCCTCAAGCTCCCTGGCTCAAGTGATCCTCCCACCTCAGCATCCTGAGTAGCTGGGACTACCAGCATGTGCCACCACAGTGGACAGTTTATTTTTAGTTTTCATGGAGACAAGTTCTCACAATGTTGCCCAGGTTGGTCTTTAAATCCTGGGCTCAAGCCTCCCAAAGTGCTGGGATTGCAGACATGAGCCACTGCGCCCAGCTCATAATCTTATTTAACACAAGATAAAAACACATACACACAAGTCCTCTTTACTGCTTGTACAAAGTCATTTTAAAAGTGAACTTTCTGTCTTATTAGCAAATAGCCCAGAGCAGGGGCAGGAAGAAGAAACCTGTGGTGTGGACTCCAGGCTTGATGTTCACATCTGCCCTTCCTGTGAGGACCACTATGTCTCTACACTGTTCTTTGCTGCACAAAACATTTGTTTAATCCTTACAGCTACTCCTGGAATGGGCGCATTTATGCCCTTTTTAATGATGAGGCCAGTGAGATTTATAGAGGGGTGAGGATGTGTCCAATGCCACACATCAAAGTGTTGGGTCATTCATTTATTCAATGTGTCAAGTAGACCTGGGGACAAGGAGCTGAATAACTCCCTCAAAAGGGCTCATACTCTGCTACGAGGAAACCATCACAATACCCTATAGTGGTTGCTGGAGTGTAGGGGTTGTCAGTGGGCTGGGGGAATGCTCGCAAATAACATTTTAGTTGGGCAAGAAAGGTCCCCAGAAATGGAGCAATTGTGCTAAGTCTTGAAATAGAAGAGGCACTTTGAAAGGTGATAAAAGTGAGGAATTTAGGCCTCCAGACTCAAATTGTAATATATGTAAAGGTGACCCATGACTCACTAACTAAAATATATATATTTAATCTTAAATTACTACTTTTTCACATATAATTTGCTTATTATTAAAAATTTTGAAGAGTACAGAATAAAGAAAAACAAACATTTTGGTGTGCGTATTTCAGCCCTTTTTTTCTGTACAGAAAGTCATGTGTGGCCGCGTACGGTGGTTCATACGTGTAATCCCAGCACCTTAGGAGGCTGAGGCAAGAGGATCTCTGGAGCTCAGGAGTTTGAGACCAGCCTGGGCAACATGGTGAAACCCTGTCTCTACAAAAAAAAAAAAAAATTACCCAGGTGTGATGACATGCACACCTGTCCCAGCTACTCAAGAGGCTGAGGTGGGAGGATCGCTTAAGTCCAGGAAGTTGAGGCTGCAGTGAGCCATCATGG
The DNA here is from genome assembly GCF_000001405.40 of Homo sapiens. Lineage (NCBI taxonomy): Eukaryota > Metazoa > Chordata > Mammalia > Primates > Hominidae > Homo > Homo sapiens. The sequence continues at coordinate 75,614,739 of NC_000002.12, read as the reverse complement.
TACCACTGAACTCCATTCTGAGTAACAGAGGGAGATCTTGTCTCAAATAAATAAAAAGTCATGTGTATGTAACTTAAGAGGCTATCATGAACATTCTCCTATGTCAGTAACCATGCACCTTCGACACCATTGTTAATATTTGCCCAGTGTTAAATCATGTGGTTGCACCACACTTCATTTGGCTGAGGCCCTATTGCTGGACATTTAGGCCAGAGAATGAACAACTCTGAAGCTATGCCAAGCTGCACTGGAGAATGTGGCGAGTAGAGGCAGCTGGGGACAAATCAGGTATAATTATTTGTGACCCACTTCTGCCTTTCTTATAAGCCATTTGCTTTAGATTTAGCTGCAATTTTGAAAGCTAATCTGGGTGTTTTGCAAGAAAAAAAGATAAGCAGAAGTACCTTCTGGAGCCTGGCAAGGTAGGGATTGGTTGTGTGCAGTGAAATCTCAGAGCTTGCTGAAGTGGCCTCTAGGAGCAGGCGGAGATAGGAAAATGCCAGGGAAACATCATCTCCCTGAGGGCGAGTTCGTCATGCTATGTGGGTAGATTGTGAAATGCAATATAACCTTGAAGGAAACCATAGAATATTTACATCGAAGATGAAATTTATATTCACAAAAGTGTGGTGTGTTTACATCTTAATACAACTTCGAAAAGTTCTCTGTGTTCCAACATAAACATGAATATTTTCAAAAGTTGCAGTGGTATGACCTTGAAATCAACATACCTTGGCTGCTTCTTGCCTGTCTTCCTCCTTTCTCCACCCTCTTCCAATTTTCTGAGTGCCACTTTGTGCCATGTGCTTTGCAGGCATGAAGGATACATAGGGTAAACATGAAGGCATTCCCTCAAGGACCTTATTTATAGGTCCTTGGAAGCAGTCGGCTGTAGAAACAAATCCATAAATACATGTGTAAGTGCAATGTACAAAGGTCTTAGAGGATCATAACTTCACTTAGGGACATCAGAAAAGTTCACAGAGTAGTTGACATTTGAGCTGAGCTTTACCAGGGAACAAGTGAGAAATGCTTGTGCAAAGGCACCGACAAGAAATAGTGAGCACTATGTCCACAGACAGAAGTATAGGGCGCCTAGAGTCTCAGGGGTAGACTGGAGGTGGAGCTGAGGCTGGAGACAGCAGGGCCTTCTACTACCTGGAGAGGGTCTTAGATTTTCTCCTATACACAATGAGGAGCCACCAAAGGATTCCTTGTGGAGAAGTCGTGATCTTTCTCTGTCCCTTGTCTTCAAGCATCCTCTACCCTAAAATGGCCTTCCCAAACCCACTCTCATTTTCATCTGGTTAACTGATTCATCCTTTGCATTTCAGCTCAGATGTCACCCCCTCCGAGAATCTTTATTTATCTGCCCCCCCCCCCCCCCCCCCCGCAGGCCCTTCCCAGCACCACATAGATCCCTAATCCCTTACCACACTGCACTGGAACTATTGGTATAGCTTATGGGTGTCTTTGGGCTGTGATTGTCCAGTTTGATTTTTTCCGCCCCAGTTCCCAGCACAGAGCATGTCCTGGAAAGACCATGTTTGCTTTCAGATCCCCGCAGCTTCTCTGCTCTGCGTCACAGAGGCTCACCCTTGCAAGCTACATTTCCCAGGATCACTTGCAGGTTGGCTTCCTGCTGGGTTTGGCCAATGGGAGGTGCTGGTGGGAGGAAGGGAAAGGTCAGAGTATTTCTCTCCCCTTTGCTCTGCTTCGAGAGGCACCACTGACAATGACGGCATCTCCTCTAAGGCTCCAGCTCCTACTGGACAACCCCTGTCTCCAAGGCTCAAGCTCCTGCCAAGTGGCCACTGCTTCCAGCTCTGACAACACCATCTTCCTCCTTTTGTCCCTTTAGCATTGGGGATGTTAATGGGCTTCTGCTGTTGCCAATTCTGGCCTCATTGTCTCCTGCTTGGCTTTTCAGCTCTCCCTACACCATTGTAACTAGTTCTTTGTATTCAGTTTCCTCTGTTGAACTCCCTGGCATGGCCCCTGCATCTCGACTAGACATTGATACACGTAGTGCCCAACAGATAGGATTGCTCAGTCAATGCATATTGAGTGAATGCTTAGGAAGGACACTCCTTGGAATGGGGAGCCAGATGGGTGAGGGGAGCAGATTTGATATAGGGAGAACATTTGGGAGCTACTGTATTTGTTAAAGTGGTGAGGTCTGAGCTGAGGCAGAAGCAGCAGAAACTAAGAGGAAGGGAGGGAATCCAAGGATGCTGATGATGTGAGGGGTAAGAGACAGAGGCAGCAGCTATGACAGCTCTCAGGGTTCTGGCTTGGGCCCTTGGGTGTAAGAGTGTGACCATTCACTAGGACATGGAACACAGGAGCAGAAGAGCCTTTGTAGGTCTGGAGGAGCTTCAGAAAGGCACTTCATTCTCTCCCCTTCTCCGCGGCCTCATCTCTAAACTGCAAGTCATGCCTCAGCTGTGCAGGGTAGGACCCCGTCCCACTGTGCTGAGTTAGAAATGCGAGGGCTACGGTTGATAACTGAAGAAATGTGAACAGTTGAGAAGTAGAACAATTGATAGAGAAGATTTAATAATGGAATGTGTTCTGTTAAGTGAATATACCCCAAGCCAGAGACACCCTTTGTAGTTCTGACACCACTAATCGGCATTCATAAGTCATTGCCCACCCTGGGTAGAAGATCCGGTCTCCCTCACCTGTAACATGAAGATAATGGCAGGGTCCCAACTCTGTGCAGGGACAGGATGAGAGGTGGGAGGGAAGACGGACTTCAGATGATGGTGATTACTGATTGATCTGTCCCAGCAGCAGTAGGGAGGATGAAGGAGCTAAGTCAGAGAGGAATGGATGCTAGAGAGGCTACAGAGGCAGGGCAGGCTGTGAGCAGAGGGGAGACATGAGGCACTGGAGAGGGGCTGGTACCACGAAGATGGTTGGAGGATGGTGGTGGGAGATGGTTGGAGGATGGTGGTGGGAGATGGTTGGAGGATGGTGATGGGAGATGGTTGGAGGGTGATGGTGGGACATGATGGAGGATGGTGGTTGGAGATTATTGGAGGGTGGTAGTGGGAGATGGTTGGAGGATGGTGGTGGGAGATGGTTGAAGGATGGTGGTGGGAGATGGTTGGAGGGTGATGGTGGGAGATGGTTGGAGGGTGATGGTGGGAGATGATGGAGGATGGTGGTGGGAAATGGTTGGAGGATGGTGGTGGGAGATGGTTGGAGGGTGATGGTGGGAGATGGTTGGAGGGTGATGGTGGGAGATGATGGAGGATGGTGGTGGGAGATGGTTGGAGGATGGTGGTGGGAGATGGTGGGAGATGGTTGGAGGGTGATGGTGGGAGATGATGGAGGATGGTGGTGGGAGATGGTTGGAGGATGGTGGTAGGAGATGGTTGGAGGATGGTGGTGGGGGATGGTTGGAGGGTGATGGTGGGAGATGATGGAGGATGGTGGTGGGAGATGGTTGGAGGATGGTGGTGGGAGATGACTGGAGGATGGTGGTGGGAGATGGTTGGAGGATGGTGGTGGGAGATGGTTGGAGGACGGTGGTGGTAAAGTAGGGGATCTATCTTCTCCTTCTCCTCTTCTGTCCTTCAAAGCCTCAGCACAGACAAAATTCCAGATAAAGATTTGTTGTACATACCACAACCTGAATGTTGAACAAACGCAAGTGTGTCCTAATCAAAACCCATCTTTAGTTTTGGCCTCCTACTGTCCTTTCAAAATGTATTTGCCCTGGACTCTTGGCTTTTCTGCTCACAATCAGGTTGTAACAATATTGCAGTTACTTAGTTGCAAATAGTCTATAAAAGACTAGTTTGTGTAATAGTAAGAACTCAGAACCTGGCTGAACCTGTAATTCCAGCACTCTGGGAGGTCAACGTGGGAGGATTGCTTGAGTCCAGGAGTTTGAGACCAGCCTGGGCAAGATGATGAAACCCCTTTCTGCAAAGTAATAATAATTTAGTCAGGCGCAGTGGCATGCACTTGTAGTGCTAGCTACTGGAGAGGCTGACGTGGAAGAATCCTTTGAGCCCAAGAGTTCAAGGCTTTAGTGAGCTATGATTACACCACTCGGTGACAGAACAGGACCCTGTCTCTTAATTGGGAACCTAAATTACCATTCAGTCTCGTCCCCTCCTTCCAGCTGGAGAGAAGGCATGGAAAACCCTGCTTTCTGAGAAGACACAATGGTCAGCTTATCTCGTTCTCAGCTCATGTTCCCCAAACTTGCTAAAGAAGGTTGGCAATGAGGCTGGAGGCAAGGTCATTAGGGAACAAGGGCAGGGTCTCTTGCAGTGGGGACCTGTGTCTGATGGAGCCTGCTTGCAAGGCCGATATCTGAAGCTGGCTTCTTCTCCAGTGGTGCATTCCTGGGCTCTTTAGAGGCTCCCTGCCGGTGCCTCTGACCACAGCTCTGTGATGTGGGCAGTGCGTTCAGCCTTCTGGATGTCTTCTTCCTCTACTCCTAAACCCCTGATTCAATGATGGCCCATTCAGCACTGAATCTCACTGTTGGGGGCCCCTCAACTCCCCAGGCTGTGCTCTTAGGCAGGTCTTGCAACTGCACCATCTGGCTTTCCCACCTCTTCGTGGTCTGGGAAACACACACCCCTGTTCTGAAGAATTCTGGGAGTGCAGCCCAGTTCCAGAGAAGTATTGTCTATCCCGTTGCACAGACTCTCTCAGTCATCTCAATGTGAGTCAGACACGCATTTTCTGTGTCCCCAGCCTGTGGGAACACAGTGCAAGGCCGCTTACTGCTCCCAAGGAAGCCCCCTCACTAGGCTTGAGTGAAGGAGGCATTCCCTCCACACTCCTCCAAAGGGAAGTGGGGACTTGGCAACAGTGCACTCCAAAGAACCTCTCACAGCTCCCCTCCCTTCCCTCCTCTATGGATGCTTATACAGATCCTTCTATGTTCTCAAGTAGGGGACAGTGTTCAAGTATTGTTTAAGCTGTTCCTGGAAATTTTTTTGTGAATTGTACATATTTTGAGCCGTCTCACACTCGAACATACCTGTGCCTTGGTGGAGGCAGGGAAAGTCCTGTCTAACAGATCTGCAGTGGGAATGAAAACCCTAACAGGGTTCCCGATGGCAATTCAGAAAGTCTCAATTCACTCACTCCTTTCCTCGTTCACTCATTTGCTCACACGACACTTGTTCTTTGAATCAGGAGCCTGGAAACATCCCAGGGCCTGGACATCCCTAATGTTCAAGCAGTCTTTATTTCATTCTATTTGAATTGTCTTTAAGTCATCAATTTTTAGCGTGGGGCTACTACTGCCTGGGACTAAATTCAGCTGCTCCACACACTTGGAGTGAAAATGTGAGCAAATCTCTCTCATTTTTCCAAATTGCATAGCAAGTAGTGATCAGAAAACCAGCATCTCCTCGAGACTCACCTGTCTTAGAAGGTCCAGGTGTGTGTGAGAACCGGGATGCGCTGTCTGCCGCTGCCCGGCGCCGCCACACGGTGGCGCCGTTGGACGGTCCCACAGTCTTCCACAAAGCGGCTTTTGTCCGTATCCCCGCACAGCCGCCGAGGTTCTCTAGGGAGGATGACCCCATTCCCTCAGTGGTAACCTCAGCCAGGGGTGACCCCCCACTTGAGCTCACGAGGTTGCAGCTCAGCTGAGTTCTGCCGCCAGTTTTCTTTCACAGCCGCCTTCCAGGTGCCAGCTCGTCCCAGGAGCCCCAGGGCAGCGCAGGCTCCCATGAATCCCAGGGATCCTTTGTTTTCAACTCAAAACACAAAGGGTCCTGTTACCCCCTCCCCTTCCTGGACAACAGAGCTACTTGCTATCCATCTAGACGTCTGAGAAAAATACCGTCAGTGACCTCTTAGGGGATCCCAGGGTGCTCGACCTCCTCCCCGCCCCTTCTCCTCTCCCCCAGGTTAGCACCCCTCATGGAAGCCAGGCTGGTTTTCCCTCTGGTCTACAAGCCAAAGAAGCTGGCGCTATTCTTACCAGGAAAGGGGACTACAGATTTAATTTTTAAATCTTTTGCAAGCACCCCTCTTGTAAGTCACTTGCCTTAGAGAGAGTAACAATGTGTCTAACATGCTTTGAAATCTAGAACAGTCGGTAGCCCTGACCTTCAGAGTAGACCTCTGGGAGCACATTTGAAAGCCGTGTAGGAGGCTGACCTTTCTGACTGTTAAGGAAGTGACTTTGGATTCCAAGAGCTTGTTCATGCATGACAATTAGTTTTTAAAGCTTCTAAGAGCAAAGGGTAAACTCCATGGAGATGCAGAGTGGAGAACCCAGTGTTTTTGCATCAGAGATGGAAGTCACAGAGAGTCCCAGCTGTCATGACAGGCACTAAGCCACATCCCTCCTTCGCTGAGTAGCAGCCAGTCACTGAAGGGAGCAGAGGGTTCTTAGGGTGAGACAATCCAGCTCACAATCAGATAACATGATCTGCCGTCCTTGGACATAAGCTATATGCAAAGCATTTTGAGGAGCACTTTATATCTGTTATTTCTAATCCTCATGACCACACCATTTGGAAAATATTATTATACCTATTTTACACACGAGGAAAACGTGGCTCAGAGAGGTTAAGTAACTAGTCCAATGTCACACAGCTAGTTATTAGCCGAGCTGGGATTCAAGATCTTGAGACTCTAAAACTCATTCTCTTCTCACAATTAAATGTTGCCTCTGAGAATGGTGTCCATGTTGGAAGAGGAAGGCAAAGAGAAGGTAGTTGGGAATGGATCTCACCAGATAGGAGATTTCCTTGTGAGATTTCAAGTTTCGACAAATGATAACTTTGAATATGTCAGTCATGAAAATGGATCTGACGTGCAGCCCCTGGGGAAAGAGAATCAGTGGGTAGGAGCAAAGGGCACAGAGTAAACCTGACCATATGTTTTCCTTGGCAGTGGGTGGGTTTCTTGTTCATCTGGCTGTCCTCGTGACATTTCCGTGCCTTCATCCTCTCACGCTGATCCCCCTGCAGAAAGTCTGACAAGCCACCTTTTCTGGACAAGGCTTTCTTCCCCTGATGCCTCCCAGCAAACACACACATGGGGTTAGGCACTCTCTCCTCAGCATTCCCATTGTTCTTGCCCATGCATCAGTACAGCAGGTATTATTCTAGGTACAGTCATTGTTTGTGTAGGCCTGGGGCTGCCACACCTGGAGGGGAATCTTTTACCCAAGACGAGAGCAGATGCCAGGAATCATCAGAGTTCCACTCATTCAAGAACAAGGAGATCTGAAGGGAATCTGCAGAACCCCACAACCAAAGAGGGCTATGGTCATGGGTGAAGCAGGGACCATGAATAGGAACTTGGACTGGTCGATGGGAGCAATACTAACAAGTTAGGCCTGAAAGGGCAGCATCTAGCATGGCGCCAGCACATAGATGGTCCTCAGGAAGTGAGTGATAAATCGGGGAGGAATGGATGGTACATGATGAACAGTCTTTATTAAGCCGAATCTCAGGCTGTATTTGTTACAGGCAGTTACCGCAGTCTGGGTTGAAGTCATAATTCTCTCAAGAACTTTGCATGCTCCTGGAACTTCCCACTATATTTCTCAACTGATTTCCCCATGAGTTTGACTAAGGATGTGGACCACTTGAGTTGGTAAACCACACTGACCATCCCCGCCACACTACAAGCAGCAGCAGCTCCCTATCCAGGCTCCTGTTTGCAGAGCTGGAAATGGCCGAGCTCTGCATGGTGGTTCAGCATGACTCAACCTCCTTGTTTGGGGGCCAGCCCCCACTCCTGGCCATGAATCTAACTGAGCCTAAAACCCCCTTGTTTTTCTAAGTGGGTGTTGGGAATTTCCTTGGTTAAGCCTCCAGGTCTTCCCTCCTTCCGGATTTAATGAGCTCATTTATTTTACTTTTTCACTTAGCAGGTTTTAGGGCCAGTTAATGAATGGTGGGGTTCTCTTTAAGAGCCAAGTTGGGCCGGGGCTCAGGGCACTTTTCTTGCCATTTCCCACTCTCAAGTCCCCTGTGTCTCTAGAAGTCTCTCCACAATGCTGGCAACTGCTCTTCCCACTGCAATCCCCATATATCGAACTTTCTGGAACACAAGGACAGGGAGACCTCCAAATATTTTTGTGGTTGTTGTTTTGTAGTTTGTTCTGCTTTGTTTTGTTTTTCCCCTCCACACATTTTTCTGGGATGGCTGTTTCAATATGAGCTTGTGCTTTCTAAAAAGAAGGAGGTGTGGATGCCTCAGGAAAAGAGATCCATTTTTAAATGCAGGGCCTCCACTCTGAGTTCTGTCTGAAGTATTTGGTAGATTTTTGGGGTGGAGCAAGCTGGTTGTGAATTCCAGGGAGACTTGCCAGATGCTGTTTAAACCTCCTTTGTGTGAAGTTGGCTGTAAAGAGCCGCCAGGAGGGCGCACTAGTGGAAAGGAACTTGGAAGCCAACCTTTAGCCCAGAAAGAATGAGAAAGAATCCAGGGTCCACATGGCAAGAATGCATGCCTGCAGCAACTCAATGACTGACTCAGTTCCTAGAAGCTCCTCTTGGTAACGCCCTCTCTTCTGCTAGGTTGAATCACATACTGGAGAAAGCTTAGTCCAAAGAGTCTCCTGTACCTTTGTCCATCTATCCACCCATCCAGTAAATAAAGATTGAGCATTTACTGTGGGTCAGACACTGAGCTAGGCACTAGGGCATCAGGAGGAACAACTGGCCACAGTCCTAATGAATGCCCACAGGTCAGAAGAGTCAGGATTCCTGTGTGGTGGGAATGACAGACAGTGGGGGAGGCACTAGAGGATAAGTCATAGAAACCTCAGCATGTCACGCTTGGATAGCTTGCAGAGCAGTTGCTAACTGCTTGTTTACTGCTGAAGCACCAAAGCTTGGATACGATGCTCCCAACTGGCAAGGCAGAGCCCACGGCTTGCTTCTGCCTGGGGACCAGGCTGTGGGTGGCAATGGGAGCCTGAGTTTCTCTGCTAAACCTTCATACCAGGCAAGAGTCTGGGGCCAGTATTATTAACCAAAAACACATTTTGAAGCTTGTTGTGATCTGACTCCCTACGTGACCCCAGCAAAAAACAGAGAGAAGGGCTCAGGTGGGGGAAGGCAGCCCACCTTCATCTGCATTGGGTTGCTGTGTGTATTGGCTCCCTAGAGCTGCTGCAACAAAGTACTACAGACTGTGTGGCTTAAACAACAGAAATTTATTTTCTCACAGTTCTGGAGGCTAGAAGTCCAAGATCAAGGTAGCAGTAGGGTTGGTTCCTTTTCAGCGCTATGCAAGAGAAGCTGTTCCCTGCTTCTCCCTTAGCTTCTGGTGGTTTGTTGGCAATCTTTGGCATTCTTTGGCTTTTAGAAGTGTCACCCTAATCTCTGCCTGCATCTTCATATGGTGTTCCCCCTGTGTGGATGTCTCCATGTTCAAATTTCACCTTTATATAAGAATACCAGTCATATTGGTTAACCACACCCCACCACGACTTTATCTTAACTAATTCAATCTGAAATGACTCTATCTCCAAATAAGATCATATTCTGCAGCACTGGGAGTTAGATTTCAATGTATGAATTTTAGGGGTATACAATTCAACCCATAGCACCATGATTCTGACGTTATCCTTCTCCTCCAGCCATCAGCAGTACCTATGAGGAGGAGGTCAGGGCTGAGTCCATCTCAAGGAGGATCAGGAGTGGTGTCCTAGGGAGAACCAAAGGGTAGTCTACAAGCAGGGAAACAACTACTAGAAGGAGAGTTTGGGCTAGAGAGGAGTCTGGCACATGGATGTCTCATAAGCAGCTGCAGAAACGTAGAAGAGCAGTTATCAGGGTGCACAGATTTGGTCCTCTACCCCATTGTGCTTGGAGATAGCAGGAGCCTAAAGGAGAAGAAAGCCCCAAGCGGGCAGCTATTTTTAGCCTGGGACAGAGTTGTCAGAGGATGGCAGGGGGCAGAAAGGCCCCTGGGATCTGGGTGAGAAGACCCTGGGACTTTGAAGAAAGGGGAGAATAGCTATCAAGGTCCAGAGCTCCGGAGGACTTTTGAGTCGTTTAGTGTGCAGGAATGAGAATGTGAGACTGTGAGCGAGGGCACCTGGGGTGACTCTGCTTGCATGAATGACTGGGTGTTCATTCATAGCCATCCAGGGTTAGCTAAGACTCTTAGCCACTTCCTCTTTGAAACACAAGATTAATTTAATTAAAAAGCATAATTGTGGTGGGATATTGTCATATAGCCTTGTAGACTTTGGCAGATAATTCTGAAAAAGAAAATAGGGTACATTTGCCTTACCAAATATTGACATTTAAGATAAAGTGATTTTCATCAAAATAATATGTTTTGGCACATGAACAAGTGGTCCACTGGAACAGGCTAGAATCCAGGAATGGGTACCGTATGTTTGCAAAATTAGTATTTGATAAAGACAACATTTCAATTCAGCAGGAAAGTTAGGATTGATTCAAGAAATAGTGCTGACCTAATTGGCTCTTCATCTGGGGAAAAAAAGTGAGATGGGTTTTGGTTAAAGATATAAATGTAAATAAGTAAACACAAAGGATTTGAAGAAAATCTAGTGGAAAGTTTCTATAACTTTGGCATAGAGGGCATAAATTTAATGGTAGCAAGAATCCCAAAATCCAACAAGGAGAAAACAAATGACATATTTTCTCACTTTTTTTTCAAATTACAAGAACAAAACATTATAAGCAAAGTCAAAAGACAAGCTATAGTCTCAGACAAACATTTGCAGCATATATGAAAGGATATGATCCTTAACTTACCCAAAGCTCATAAAAATTGGTAATGAAATGGCCAAAAGCAACAGGAAAAAATATGAACAAGCAATTCACAAAAGAGGAAATAAAGATTTAGATGGGATAGAGAAGTTAGAGAAAATAAAATTTAGTTCTTTATTCCACATATTGGGCAAAAATTAAAAAGACCAGAAACATCCTATGAATGAGCACTTTTATATCTTGCCAGTGGGAATGTGAAGTACTCAAGTCTCCAGGGAAAAATAATCTAGCAATGCCTGTTAAAGCTCAAAATGCACACCCATTAAATCAGGAACCCTATTGCGGGCAGTCATTCCAGTAGATATAAAGTCATCAGTACCCAAGAATATGTTGACAAGGGTGTTTACAGTAGCATTGTTCACTGTGGCAAAATATTGGGCAATGCACAATTATTCACCAATAATAAAATGGCCAAATAAGCATGGTAATTCCATGCTGTGGGCTATCCTGTAGTTATCACAAAGAAAAATGAATGAGTTAGATCTATGAGCATATTCACATGAGCCAGCTGCAGTGGTGGGTGCTTGTGATCCCACTCACTTGGGTAGCTGAAGTGGTAGGATTGCTTGAGTCCAAGAATTCAAGATCAACCTGGGAAAAATTGCAAGATCCTATTAAAAAAATGTACACACACACACACACACACACACACACACACACACACACACATATTCTCAACATGTGAATCTATATGTTATATATTACATATATATGTTTATGCATGGAGAGACATGCTAGTCTTATATTAAATGAAAAAAGCAAGTTATGAGAAAATGTGTATACTATGACTCAATCGTTATAAAAATGTTGAACAAGCAAAACAAAACTCAACACACATGTCTGTTCTGTGTTTGCATGTATTTATACCAATTTGGATAAGCACAGTTTAACGGTGTAAGTTGCCTCAGGACATAGAAATAAGAAGTGATTTTAAACTTCCTGTTTCTCTATGTTTGGCTGTTTTGCCTATTACAAGCATTTTTTTTTTTTTAATTAAAAGCTATTGGATACAGGCAATTTAAAAGGGAAAAAAAGGACAAAGTACTTGAAACACTCCTATGACTCACTGGGCCCTCAGGATAAAGTCTGCTCTCTTTAGCTGACTTACAAGGCCCTTGGAATCTGGTCCGTGCGGCACCAGCCGTTCCCTTGTTCTGCCGTTTCCCTCTGTTCTCCAGCTGTACAGGACCAGGAGCATTCTTGACACAAGGCTGCCCTCTTATACACCTTAACCTCATCCACCTTGGGAATCTCTGAGGCTCAGCAAGGTACTCCCTACCTATTCCTATAGCAGCTTGTACCTATCTCCTTGGTGGTATTGTTGGCTTCCTTGTGATCACCTGTTTACTTTAGTCTTATTCCAAATTAGACTGTATGTTCCAGGAGGGCAGGCGTAGTGTTCCTCATGGTGTTCCCAAAGACATGTTTAGGTAATTGTAGGTGCTAAATGCAACAAATATTTGTTGAATGAATAAATGAAAGAGGAAAGAAATGAATGCCAAACATTAGAGATGCAAAAAAAGAAACCCCACAGTCTATTCCCTTAAAATTGTGTAGGGCAGCAGCAAGCATGTAAACAGCCTAGTTACAGTATAAGAAGATAATTACTGTCATAGAACAGAGGGAATATAACCTACCCAAAATAGCCTGGGGAAAGTCTGGAAGCAGTCACCACTGAGAAAGCACTTAATCAAAGACCTGAAGGATGAATAGATATTTACCAGGAAAATAAGAGGATAGAGTGATGTTTCTGGCATAACGACCAGCTCCTGCAAGAGCAAAGAGAACGTATTCTGAAAATCTCAAGAAATTTAGTCTTGCTTGAGAATAAAGTTCAAGGTTGAGGAAAGGAGTATATGAAGGATAATAAATGGAAGCAATCATACTGAAACCAAATCATTCAAGTAGGGTCCTGCAGGTAATGCCCATGGGTTTAGAATTTATATTGAAGGTAGACACAGGGAACTATTGAAAAAAGACTTAAGCAACGGTGTGACATGAAGGGCTTTGGATCACACTGACAAAATAAAGATGGGTTAGGGTGGGGATAGGAGATGATGTCAGATAAAGGGAAATTGGCCAGGGGCACAAAAGAAAGGAGTTTTCTACAATCTCCTGATGAAGTTATCAGTCTGAACCAGGGCAGAGACAGAAGTGAGCTCAATCAAGGAAAGATTAGCGAAGTACAAAGGAGATCAAGTTGACATGACTGGGTGCTTGATGGGCTGTGGTGGGATGGAGAATAAAAATGACCCTTACATTTCTGATTTGGCAACTCATTTCATTTATTATAAGAAACACTGGAAAAGAAGGCACTTTGAGAAAAATAAAAATGAACTCAGCTTCGGCCACTCATTTCATAGGGCTGACATAGCAAGGTTACACTAACTATGTGGCTGAAACAAAATAAATCTTCTCTTTTCTCACAGTTCTGGAGGCTGGAAGTTCAAAATATAGGCGCCAGCAGGGCCGTAATCCCTCTGAAACCTGACGGGGAGAAGCCTTCCTTCCCGGCCTCCTCCCTGGCTTCTGGCAGTGGCCGACAGTCCTTGGTGTTCTTGGCTTGCAGCTGCATCACCCCAGCTTCTGCCTCTGTCATCACACAGCCTCTCTGTGCATCTCTGTGCATTTTTGCAAAATGTCATATGACATTTTCTTCTTCTTATAAGGATACCGGGCATGTATTGGATTAGGAACCACCCTAATGACTTCTTGATTACATCTGCAAAGACCCTATTTTCAAATGAGGTCACATTTACAGGTACAGGTTAGGCTCCAACACATCTTTTGGGGAGGGGGTACCAATTCAACACCTAATAACAGTTTAAAGTTCGAGTTTGAAGGGACATGGGACCTTTGGGGGAAGATGTCCAGGAGGCCTTGGATAGATGGGGGAGAGGGCTCAAGGGACAGGTCTGGTCTGCATAGCTTTAGGATCTACAAGCAAGGAGACACAGCATGGGGTACTCACAGCAAGTAGGTGAGTGACCTGAGAAGAGAAGCCTTGAGGAAGGTTGTGGTTAAGAATCCCACACAGGGAGTGACTGTGAAGGAAGGACCAGAGCATGTGTGTCTGCCAAGAACCCTGTGTGCATGGCTGTCACTGAGCCAGCCTGTGTCCCTCCTTTCCTGAGAGCTGACCTTTGCCCCTTAGAACCCCAGACGCTGTGTTTTCTGGTTCTTCCACATGTGAATTCCTCCCTTAATATTTGACACTGCTTCTCTTCCTTGTTCAGCAAGCACTGGTGAGACCTGCAGCCACCTCTCAGAGTCAGCAGGGCTATTACAAGATGTTGGGGCCAGCCGCCTCCTTAAACTCAGCACTACAGTACAGCATTGATAAAGCAAACAAGGCAAGCTTGTTTGTACTTCGTATGTCTTCAGAAATGAGCTGGCAGTTTTGTAGTAACACTGAGGAATTACACTTTAGTGCATCACTGAACTATTCCTGCATGTCCATACAAGTGTTGTCCACAGAGTACACATCTTCCCCGTCCTATCCCATACCCCCAACCCTAAGACAGTCTGTCAAGCCAGCTTTCAAGTATCAGAGAAAGCTGCAGATTCTATCTAGAAGGTGAAATGGGAGGTCAGAGCAGACCAGAACGAGTCAGCCAAACGCCTCTATACCCATGCCTCTGAAAGGGGTGCCTTTCAAGTAGGGTAGAGCAATGGAACATGTTCTCCGTGAGGGCAGGACGCTTGGCTGGCTAGCCTCAGCACATTCAGCATCTGGTGGGCTCATGGTAGACACTCAACAAATCTGCCCAGGCTCTGGGTGGCCTAGGATATGAGATGTTTGTCCACACTGGGATCAGAAAATGACTGACCAGTGATGCCTGGCTAATGTGGGATTCCCACTCTGATGCTTGGAGAGCAGGAGTGAGATGCTATCTCTGTCATCTTTTCTTTTCTCTGGGGATGTGGAGGAGGCAGTGGTCAGTGGCCAGGCCTACTGCAGTACGGCAGTTCTGAGCCTCCTACTGCTTGCTCCCACAAGGTCCACTCTCTTTGCCTCTGGGAAGTGAAGAGCAAACAATGGTCAGGATGAATGTTGCATTAAGATTTAGTAAAAACAATGGCTAATATTTATCAAGTGCCTGTTAGGGAGTAGGCTCTATGTGTCTTATATGCATATCTCAGGTAACCCTTGGTACAACTCTATGAGGTAAATTCTATGTCTATCGCCATTTTTTATTTTATTTTATTTATTTGTTTAATTTTATTTTTTTGAGACAGAGTCTTGCTCTGTTGTCCAGGCTGGAGTGCAGTGGCACAATCTCAGCTCACTACAGCATCCGTCTCTCAGGTTCAAGCAATTCTCCTGCCTCAGCCTCCCAAGTAGCTGGGACTATAAGCACATGCCACCGCATCTGGCTAATTTTTGTATTTTTAGTAGAGATTGGGTTTCATCATGTTAGCCAGACTGGTCTTGAACTCGTGACCTCAGGTGATCCGCTCGCCTCGGCCTCCCAAAGTGCTGGGATTACAGGCCTAAGCCACCACACCCAGCTGTTTTTATTCTTGAGAAGGAGTCTTGCTCTGTCGCCCAGGCTTGAGTGCAGTGGCGCCATCTTGGCTCACTGCAGCCTCTGCCTCCCAGGTTCAAGCACTTCTGCCTCAGCCTCCTGAGTAGCTGGGATTACAGGCGTGCACAACCACACCCAGCTAATTTTTGTATTTTTAGTAGAAACGGGGTTTCACCACGCTGGCTAGGATCTCGAACTCCTGACCTCAAGTGATCTGCCTACCTGGGCCTCCCATAGTTCTGGGATTACAGGCATGAGTCCCTGTGCCCAGCCTTCTATTACCATTTTAAAAATGGAAAAAATGAAATTTAAAAAGGTGAAGTCACTCTACACCAGGTTTCACAGCTAGGATGTGATGGTGCAGGTGTTTGGACCCAGATTGTCTGGATCTAGAGCCCACTCATTGAACCCTTTCATTCCACTTGCGAGCTGTGTTGATCTCTTTTTGAAATCTCCTCCACTGGTTACACGTTTTGCTTATGAGTTATTGCCCATGAGAAAGGGCAAGAATGATGTGGAAGGTTAGGAAACCCTCAGGGCCAGTGTTGTCAGGTTCCAGGAATTAGAAGACGACTTCGGCTTCGTGAAGAAAAACAGCAGTGAGTTTGGAGGGAAATGCAGAGGAGCCTGGGTGTGTAGCGTCGTTGCTGCCCGGGAGCTCTGTGTGTCTGGCTGGCTGAGATCAGCTGTCACCATGTACAAGCCTACAAAGGATGTGGACTCACAGACTGTACTTGTCAGTCAGCAAATTATACATCAGAACCAGTGATTCACAGCCTTTGAAGATTGGTGGGGACCTCAAAGATAATCCAATTTGACTCTAATTTCACAGGTGAGAAGCCTGAGGCCCACAGGTCAGAGCAAGGATTATGGTGGATTAAAAATGACAGCGAATTGGCCCAGGTACACAGGGCTGCCCTACATGGTGGGCGTCCTGTAGGCGTCTCAGTTGGCTTGGAGGACCTGGGGCTTATAATTGGGCGCCAGGGTTGGGGGTGGCTGCTTCTGCGGGGCACCGCAGCCTTGGAGAGGTGGCTGGTAGTTGGAGGGCAGCGAGTAGGCATTCTGGTGGGCTTTGCGGAAGGAGGGCGGGGGTCATGGACTGCAGGGCGTTTCTGAAGTCGGCGTGGACGGCTTGCTCTGCCAGGGAGAGGGGCCCCCCACAACGAGGCCATCTCCTTGGCCCATAATCCTACTTGTACTTCATGCGCCGGTTCTGGAACCAAATCTTGATGTGGTGCTGGCTGTGGTACAGCAGGTTGGCCATCTGTAGGCGCGAGGCCCACGCAGGCGGCATGGAAGTGGAACTCGCTGTCCAGCCCCACCCACTGCGCGCTCCTAGGACTCCCTGGGACTCGTGTCTTCCTCACCGCCGCTGCCGCCCCCTGTTGGATGCAAAGGGCAGGGGTGGGAAGGGGAAAAGTAAAATATAATAACTGGGGGGAGGGGCGAGGAGGCTGGGAAAGGTGACTGGAAAACAAACAAGGTGACCGAAAATGCCTTGACATTTCTCCCATTTAGTGGTGGGAACTACATCCCTCCCGCACCACTTCGCCCCACCCCACCCCGATTCTGGACAGGTTCTGTAATTGCTTGGCCTGCCTAAGTGACACTGTGCCAGTTTATGGCCTCAGGCCTTACGGGACCAGCGGCTTCCACTTCCTGCTCTGGGAATCTGGACTCTCGGAACCCAAATGCCATACTGCGAGGAAGCTTCAGCAGCCCCAGAGACACATGTGGGAAGGAGTTAGGGTCCCTGGTCAGCAGCCTCTGCCGACAGTCAGCATTTTGGAGCTAACTAGGAAGTGGATCCTCCAGCTCCATTCAAGACTTCCTTGTTGGAAATACATGGAACAAGAACAGCCGTCTGCTCAGAGTTCTCCCCAAAATGCAGATTAATGAGCAAACTAGATGTTTGTTGCTATGTGAAGCCACTGAGTTTTGGGATGGTTTTTTTGTTTGGTTTGGTTTGGTTTTTTGAGACGGAGTCTCACTGTCGCCCAGGCTGGAGTGCAGTGGCGCAACCTCGGCTCACTGCAACCTCCGCCTCCCGGATTCACGCCATTCTCCTGCCTCAGCCTCCTGAGTAGCTGGGACTACAGGCGCCCACCACCACGCCCGGCTAATTTTTTGTATTTTTAGTAGAGACGGGGTTTCACCGTGTTACCCAGCATGGTCTCGATCTCCTGACCTTGTGATCCGCCCGCCTCGGCCTCCTAAAGTGCTGGAATTACAGGCGTGAGCCACCGCGCCCGGCCGGGATGGTTTTCTACACAACACTAGGTAACCAGAACAAGGACCGAGTTGTGGGCTTTCTGACTCTCAGCCAGTGTTTCTTTCACTCTATTTTGCTGGAGCTCAGTGGTTCCCTGTGAGTCTCCTGGTCACTCAGTAGTCTCAGCGCTCTGTGAGGTTGGACATGCTGGTAAATCACCCTGCATAAGGACGGCTGGATGACTCAATGTCTTCAGCAGAAGTCACCAAACCTAATGATCATGAGAATCCCTGGGGTGTGAAGTAAGAGGTGTCCTCTACTCAACGAATTCTCTGACTCATCTATTAATTCAATTTTGACACTAACTGCCTGGAGTGAGTGTCAGGCAACACAGGGTTAAGGTCTCAGACCCACAAGACTGCTCTCACTTCAGGAGCCAGTCACAAGTATCAAGCCCCCAAAGTTACCAAATTGGCCACAAACTTGGGGGTTCTCATAGCTTCTCCTGGCCCAAGTTTTGATAATTTGTTAGAACAATTCACAGAACTCAGAAAAATGCTATATTTACTATTGAAGTTGATTATAAAGGATACAAATGAACAGCTAGGTGAAAAGGTACATAGCACAAGGTTTGGGAGGGTCCCAAGTGCAAGAGCCTTTGGGGATGTGTTTGCCAGTTTGGAAGCTCTCTGAGCCCCATCTTTTAGGGTGTTTTTTTTTTTAATGGAGATTCTGTTACAAGGGCATAATTGATTAAATTATTGGCCATTTGTAATTTGACTCAATTTCCAGCTCCACTCCCCTCCCGAGAGGTTCAAGAGTGGAACTGTGTAGCTCAAAGTTTCAACCCTCCACTCACATGGCTGATCCCCCTGGAACCCATGAGAAGCTATCTCAGGCCCACCCTGAGTCACCTCATTAGTATAGACTCAGATATGTTTGAAAAGAGCTTGTTATGAATAACGAGACATCCCTAACACTTCTAACAGTCAGAAAATTCCAAGGGTATTAGAAGCTCAGTGCCAGAAATGGGGGACAAGGACCAAATAAGCCTTTTTATTTTACTACAGAGGATTAAGTATGTAGATTCTTGGGACCTATTCCAACTGTATATTGAATTAAAATTCTTAGGAATAAGACTCAGACATCTCTTTTTTTCTTTCTTTTTTTTTTTTTTTCCTGCTGGTTTGTTGATCTTGGACATTCCTAGTTTCTAAAGCATCCCCAGTGATTCTGATGACCAGCTAGCTTTGAAAATTACTGATCATGAATCATTTGTGAGGAATTTGGAGAAACATCCCAGCATCACCTACATGCACAGATTATTCTAAACTAGACATTACTGGATTTTTCCACTTATGTTAAGATTCTTGGGCAGGATGAGTTTTTTCTACTTCTTGGTTAAGCCAACCTGAGGCCTCCAGGTTCTCTCCAGACCTGTGCTTCAACTTGGTGTTGGCCTGGGATCCTCAATATAGATGTCTCTGATGCCCCTGGGCCAGGCTAATGTGAGTTATTAATGTTGTTTGCCAACTATTTATAGCTCTTCTCTCTTCTGGGCACATGGCAGAATTGCACTTTCTTGCATCCTTTGATTAAGTGGGCCCATATACCTAGCTCTGGCCAATGATCAGAAGTGATGTGTGTCACTTCTGGGCCAGAACATTTTATTACCAGTGCAAGATCCTCCAGAATTCTCTGTCTTTCTATCTGCATGGTGGGAGTGGCAACTTTCTGAATGGCAGTTGCTCTGTTAGTATGAGTTCCTGAGTGACTGTGATGTACAGGACCTCCTTGCTGACTTACGATGGACGTGTAGTATTAGCAATAAAGAGATTTTTATTGTTTGAAGCCACTGAGATTTGGGGGATGTTTGTTATGGTAGCATAGTCTAGTCTAGCCTGATTGATCTAGGCAGAGATTGTAGGCTTATCCCTCTGAAGCTTTCTCATTCTTTTGTGGCTTTGGGATTAGGATCATGCCTCTTAACCAATTTGGGTTTTTTTTTTTCTACTTCAAAGACTTATTAATGACAAAAGTCTCTCCTTATTAATGCAGGAATTAGCACTCTTTCACCCAGTAAACTTGTCAGGGGCCTGTCAGTATTCTCAGAACAACCAGTAACTGTTGAGAAAATGATGCTATCAGTTGAATGGTAGTGGCTTTTGTTTGCTTATCATGTGCAACTCATAATTATGAATGCCGGGACATAAACTAACAAAGAAAATTCTAGTTAACAGTGTTTAAAATACTTCATAGAGTATTGTCTTTTTAAAGGGCTGTCTTACAGACATGCTTCACAATTTTTCTGAAAAGCCAGTGGTGTGAGATAATCTGTCTGTCAGTGAAATTAGTGTCGTTTTCCTACCCTCAGCAAAGGTGATATTTATTAAAACTGTTTTTTAGAGATTATTTTTCTCTCTTACTTTAGTACAGAAGTCAAGACCCCTGGTAATCAAAGAGAGGAAGCACTGCGTTACCTCCTGAGTCAGCACATAGATGGGGCTGCGTCTATGCAGCTGTGACTTGTCATTGATTGCCATTCTTTTCCTTGGGGGAAGAACATAAACTTTTTTATGGCTGCTTTCTTTCATCTTTTATGCAAAAATAGCCACCAATGCTTCTTGTGTTGGTATCCTGGGTGATGAGTTTTCTTTATTCAGTTTATAGGTAATTATCTCCCTATTAGATCAATCATTTAATTTTATTTCTACATATAGAAGTTTTTACCTTTTGTACAAGTAATATGTGTATACATTCTGTTTATAAATAATTCAAGTACTGCAAATAATGCTGAAATCCCCGTTTGCCACTTCTCATTTTCCTCTCCAGGGTGAATTATATGTGTGTATCCCTTCGAATTTTTACATACATATTTACATGCACATGTGTACTTGTGAAATTATAATATTTTTATGTTTTAATTTTTCACACAAATGGAATTTATTGTATGTACTGTTCTAAAATGGCTTTATTCACTTAACATATCTTAGAGAGTTTTCCATATTGGTATAAATGGAGAAAACTCATTCTGTCTGTTTATTTTCTATAATATGCATGTGCCATATTATTTAATAATTACCCTACTCACAGACACTAAGGTTATTTCTAAGATTTTATTATTACAATAATGTGGCCACAAATGTTTTTATACACATGACTCTGTACAGATGTGAATGTTTCTCTAGAATTGATACAGAGCAATGAAATGGCTTTGTCAAAGAATCTAAAACTTTAATTTTAGCAGATATTTCCCAATCTCCCTCCAAATTGTCTGAATCATTATGTAACAACTATTTCCCCTTATTTTTGCCATCATTTTATATTAAGAAACATTTAACTCAAAGGTAAAAATATTTCATTTCAATTTTCATTTCTTCAATTAGTAGAGAGGTTAAACTGTTTCTATATTTTTATTTCTATTAATTATTTCTTTAGAAAATTTGTCTATTTTCGTATTGCATTGTTTGTCTCCTCCTCATTCTCCTCCTCTGTCTCCTTCTTCTTAACTTAAATAACAGACTTTTATTTCTCACTGTTCTGGAGGCTGGGATGTTTGAGATTAGAGTGCCAGCATGGCTGGGTTCTGATGAGGGCTGTCTTCCTGATTTGCAGATGGCTGTCCTCTAACTGTATTCTAACATGGTGGGGACAGCTTTTTCCTTTTGACTTATTGGAATTCTTTTTATATCCTGCATACTATTCCTTTCATATTCATTGCAAATATTTTCTCTGAATATGTCTCCTTTAACTTTGTCTTGTGGTTGTTTTTTCTGCTCAGCTTATTACCTCTGTTTTCCATTAGTCAGATTCATCTATTCATTGAGTTTGAGAGTGCCTCTTTTTAATGGTGCTAGCTTTTCTCACATGTTTAATGATTTGTGATTGCAAGTGATTCTTTGTATTTGTTTTTTCCTGTTAATTGCTATTCATTCATTATGTACTCACAAGTGTACATAGGATAGGGTGAGAGGCAGGAGAGAGAGGCATTCCGTGATGCTGCACTTATACTTTGTGTGTGTAGTGAGCCTAGGGAAGGGCCAATGACTGCCAGCTATGTTACTTTGATAGTTAGACTGCTTCTCTGTCCAAATGCACATACTCATTGCTCATCTCTAAGGGCAAACAGCTCTGTTGCCTAATTGCCTTGGGCAACTGACAACCCTGCAAGTATGAGAAGGAAGGGTGGGAAGGTGGGAAGTTGGAAGGAGAGGAAGATTCCATATACCTGGTGGCTCTTTCTGCGGGACCTTAAATAATAAGCCTGTTAGTGATTCCAGTATACCGTCGTCCTGTGAGTAACTGCTCCTTCCTGGTAGGGTATGCCCGGTAGAGTTATCTCACCTTTTTTATTTGCCCTCTCCTGTGTGCATGTTGCTTGTGGTTTTCTTCTTCAGTCTAATTCTATACACGTTCTATGTTTTAGTGATTTTTTTTCCCGATTTTTGGTCCACTGAGGGTACATCTTATTTTCCAGAGTAAGTTATCCTTTCTAAGAATTTGGGGTGAAGAAAGAGGTTGCCACATGTGATCTGTCAGCCATCTTGAACCAGAAGCTCAGAAGTCATCCTACCTGATTTATATTGCACTATTCAGTCAGATACTTCTGAAATATTAAACACTTCTCTTGGACAAGAAAGAACAGAAGGAGACTGGAGGGTTTGCCTCATTAATGTAAATATTCTCATCCAGGCCTAGTTCTCATCAGTCCATCTAGGCTGGACTGATTATTTAATTAAGCTAAAGAGGGTAAATAAAAGGAGGAAAACCAGACAAAGTAAAAAAAAATCCATCTTCAAATTTATCTCTGACTGTATTTTCTACTGGAATTTCCCTAAAGCCCCCATCCTGGCTTGCTTATAAGCTGCTTTTATCTATTTTGTGTCTGAATATAATTTGCATATTCATGTCTGAGTCAATTTTCAAGTTGCAACACTTCCACGGCCTTCATTCACTGATGATTCGTCTGGGAACAAAACTGTCCTTTAACAAACCTGGCTGTTAAGTGGAAACAAACAAGTCATAAATCACACAGAGCAGGTTTGGCTTGTGGCTTATGGCTCAGGGGCAGTATTTTTGTAAGTTGCTCATGCCCATGACAAATATGTGCCCTTGCAACTTCTCCTTGACCAGACCTTGCTGCATGGGGGTAGGGTAAATCCTGCTCGTGGCTATGGGCCTTGGCGAGCAGTCCTTAATTTCTCCTTTGTCTTTTACTTACTATGAGGGGGTCCAAGGCCTCTATTTTCTGATCCTGCCTATGAGAATGGGAAAGGATCAAAAATATTTACTGTATATCTCAGTCAATGTGTTATTTGATCCTGGGGTAATTTCTAGTGGGCTCCCCTTCTCCCTGATAATATATACAATACCTTGGAAAAACTTAGTTTACATGCCACAGGTGAGCCACACCAATTAAAAGAACTGGCATCTACATTTATATCAACAAAGAATATGAGCGACCCCAACTTCCATTGATCTTCTATTCACGAATTTTCTCCTGTGAATGTTTATATCTGTTTTCTCACATGGTTAGATAAGGTAAGCAAGACTGAATTTTTTTCAGGACTATACTTTCATCAGTGCTAGCTTAAGGAATACTTCAATAACTTGAAGCAGAAAATAGAAGTTTATTTTATTTAATGTAGTCAGAGGAGGTTTACTTAACTTTGTTCTCAGATCAATGATTTTGGAAAATGAATATGCCCTGAGAGACCCCATCCATCAGGCTCCCAATGACTCAAAGAATTGTATATCTTTAATGATGTGAAAAAACATCTGAACACATTAACCTTGAAATTATGAGGGAAAAGTAAAGAAGATCTGTAATTTTTTTTTCAGCACCGAGATGGAATAGAAAGACCTGTAATTTATTGAATGAAGTTGAGTATTTAGATTCAAACTGGGCATATTTTTCTTTATCAAACTGCCCTGAGTTCATTGGAAATACAGATTTGTGGAAATTGTAGATATTTCCTGGAAATGAAGTCATTGTAAAAGAGCATCCCAGAATTTTTAAAAAGATGTATATGAATCATTCTTTAATTTTGTGTAGCTGCTTTTGGAATAGAAACCTCAGGATATTCAGAACTGCTAAACATTAGCTTGAGCAGCGTGGATGTTTGCATTATAAGTACTTCGTATGCACTCTACTATAAAGACACATGCACACATACGTTTATTGCAGCACTGTTCACAATAGCAAAGAGTTGGAACCAACCCATATGCCCATCAATGGTAGACTGGATAAAGAAAATGTGGCACACATACAACATGGAATACTATGCAGCCATAAAAAAGGATGAGTTCATGTCCTTTGTAGGTACATGGATGAAGTTGGAAACCTTCATTCTCAGCAGACTAACACAGGAACAGAAAACCAAACACTCCATGTTCTCACTCACAAGTGGGAGTTGAACAATGAGAACACGTGGACACAGGGAGGGGAACATCACGGGCCTGTCAGGGTGTGGGGAGCTAGGGGAGGGATAGCATTAGAAGAAATGCCTAATGTAGATGATGGGTTGATGGGTGCAGCAAACCACCATGGCACATGTATACCTATGTCACAAACCTGCACATTCTGCACATGTATCCCAGAACTTAAAGTATGTATAGATATATACCTATGGATATCTATATCTATATATATGTGTATATATATATATAGAAGTACTTTGTATGCACCAAGAGCATATATATATATATATATATATATATGTACTTTGTAGGCACCAAGAGCTTCACATACCTGAAGTTTTGGGACAAGGATATACATACTAGACTAAATTGCGAATATATTCCATAGTTTTGATAATGACTCAGCTTGTTGATACCAGTTCTATAATTAACAACACCGAAGGTGAATTGAGACTGGTACCAGGCCTATGAATGTTTTGTAGAAACAACATTTATTAAAAAAATGTGCTTTGATCTGCTTTGGTATTGGAGCTAACAAATTTATGTTTCTAGCTAGCACACAGACCCTCAGTAAAACTTATGAACAGTACACACACACATATGACATATGATCCATCACTGGAAAAATGAAATGCCCAACTGGATAGGGTGTCTTTGAAAGGTTTATGACTCATGGCTAATCTCTGCAGCCATATTAGGATTTCTAAATACCCAGGACCATTATGGAAGATGGGCACAGGTCCTGTTATCATTTGGCCATACCACCTTTTCCCTATCTAAATAAGATAATGCTCTTTCATCTGTGCATGAGGTTCTGTTTTCATCAGCGTTCTCTAAGGAACCCTCATGGGGAGGGAATGACTAGCTCATTCAAGTAAAGTCTCTTCTGGATACAGTTGCAATCCTTGCATACTTTGTGTTCTGTTTTGCCTGTGACATTACAGCTCTCTGACTTGAATTTTCTCTGCTCTGTCTTTGACCATTACATGAAGCATTTTTGCTAATGAGACGTAAATCTTTATGCTGGATAAATGCCATCTGCCACTATATACTTTTCAGGTTGGATTACTGCCACACTTCTTTTAGAATATTTGTCTGCACTAAGATATAATTTTGGTTTATTGTCCAAAGTCTGGAACAGATTCTAATCCTTCTCCCTCTGGTTTGTTTTCCATCTTTGTGTGTAGTACACTTATCTCTCATTGAGATATCTTTGGCATGCTCCTCTATCTTGCCTCTTAAGTCATTGTGACTGCTTAGAAGCACCAAGAGTTTCTTTCCAGGACTAATAGATTTAGCTATATCCTATGTTCTTAAAAAAATCCTTCCGAGTTATTTTGTGTTGTGCAATCTTATGGCTTTCATTCTCAGCCTTTTAACATCGTATAGTTAGTCAAAGTCTGGGGGAGAGAGGATAGATTTTGACCTCTAACTATTTACACGATGAAACTAGCTCAAATCCTTTTATGGATTTTTTTTTGGATTATCAAAGTAATATATGCTTGTTAGAGAAAACTATAAAATAGAGAAAAAGAAAAAAGAGAAACAAAACAAAATCCAGAGAAAATACATATTGTTTTTGAGTATCTTTTTTTTTTTTTTTTTTGAGGCAGAATCTCGCTGTGTGGCCAGGCTGGAGTGCAGTGGCGCGATCTCAGCTCACTGCAACCTCTGCCTCCTGGGTTCCAGAGATTCTCCTGCCTCAGCCTCCCAAATAGCTGAGACTACAGGCGTGTGCCACTAATTTTTGTATTTTTAGTAGAGATGGGGTTTCACCATGTTGGCCAGGACAGTCTTGATCTCTTGACCTCGTGATTTAAGTAGTACAGAAATTTGGGCTACATTCATATTTGTATTCTGCTTTTAAATTTCATATTATATCATAAGCATTTCCTCATGTTAATACCAGCTTCACAAACATCTGTAATGGCTTTAAGACATTTAATCATAGAAATGTACCATGATATAAGTACTCATATATAGTTGAACATTTTGCTTCCAAATTTTTACTAGTGTACAACATCTTTGTATGTATGGCTTTTTAAAATGTTTCAAAAATTAGTTTTTTAAGTTGGTGATTTGTTGACTAGAACTTGACTAGAAACTTCAGAAGTATCATCAACATAAAGTTAAAATATTTAAAAGAGAAAAACAGAAAAATCTGAATAAATATATTACATAATCATGGCACATTTATCAAAACTAAGAAACTGACATTGGTACCATACACTGACTACAGTATAGATTTTTTTCAGATTTCCACAGTTTTTCCCTCATATCATTTTCTTCTTTCCTAGGATGCAATCCAGGATACCATATTGCATTTAAGATTCAACTTTTAGAGGCTGGTGACAAATAGATTATTCAGAAACGCTGCTGAAGTGTACATTTTCTGGGTTTTTGCATAGCTAACAATGTGTTTCTCATACCTTGTAAATGGCAGCCATTTTGTGGGTGGATTCTTGAGTCACAATTTTCCCTCTGTGTTACGTTTTTAAATATTTTAACATCATGATCATTTTCCTTAAACATTTCTTTTTATTCGGTCTAATCATTCTGAGTCCCTTGGATTTTTTCTTTATGATTCAGTTCCTCATATAATCTGGCTCCTCCTGTGATATTTGAAACCTTCACAAATCTGCTTGTGCCTGGCGGAACCTCACTGGTTGTTTGTTGCTGAGACCTGGACTCAACACTCTGGAAGTCTCACTAATACAGAGTACTTGAGAATTCCCGCTACCTATTCAATACTTGGCTTCTGTCATCAACACTTGGATTTATGACACAACTCATGACTATAGTACCTCCTTAGCAGCTGTATTTCTCTATTGACTCACACTGATTAGTGAAGAAACCTTAGAATTTACAATGGTTTGTGGCTCTCCAAAGCTCAATCTTACTCAACCAAATCTTATTCCTTGGTATTTAATTTCTCTCAGGGAGAGAGTAAATTAAATTAAAATGTTCTCTTTAGGGGAGGTGACAATGAAAGTTATACAGTTACTGTCTTCCACAGAATACAGGTTATCTTAATCTGACAGTATAATTTTAATTCTACGAAGGCTTAAATGTTTATGTATCTTTATTATGAATTGATCTAAACCATCAATAAAAAATAAACATGTTAAACGAAGCAGCACCTTGGTTTTAAACACCTTGGCCACCCTTAAGACTGACATAGTGGTAATAGCTTTGTATGATTATTCACAGACTGAAAGATTCCTCCTCATAAACAACAATATCATTCTTAGTATAAAAATGTGATATAATGAGAGATCGGCTAAGGTCTGCCTGATTTGAAAATTCACACACTTAACCACTTGAATAGTATCTCTCATTCATATTTCTATTCCCACATTCACTAATATGTTCTAGGCTCCATCTAATTGGCATATAATTACTGGGATTCACTTTTTCCTATTTGAAAATTTGGTTATTTTATCAATCTCTACTTTTTCTCGGGAATTACTGCCTACTTCCTTAATCACATTCTGCAAGTTCCTTCAGCAAACTGGCATGGTATAGATTTGGGCCTGGGAATTAACTTCACTTAATTGATATCAGCTTACCACTGCCAGCACAATTATAGTTAGAACTTAGTATAGAAAGAGTTTGGGAACCATCCAGATTAGGTAATTAAATCCCTTGGGAGACTGAGCATTTACTGGAGAAATAAACCCCTCCTTACTAATCCTGACTCCCAGGGAATTCAGCCAGGTGGATGCATGCTCTAGTTTAGGAATTAGTATGGCTGCAAATTTTATGCACCACTGGACTATTTCCTGTATGCATCCCTGGCCGGATTTTCCTAAATTTTGCCCATGGGTTGACCTGAACATGGTTAGCACATGAGTTAGGAGGAATCTAAAGGAAAGAAGACTCCTTTAAGGCAGCTGATGAAGGCAGGTTGGCGGCATTTGACATTGCTCTTCCAGAGTGGGGGTCTTCTAACCAACTCAAGGCCACTAATTCCATCATGGTTGTTTTCTGAAACTCTGGGGCTTCTAGATGAGCTCAGACTCAGTGTTTGGTGCTATTCTCTTTGACGCTTAGCACATCTCAGACATAAGAAAACATTAAAACATTTTTATGGTTTCACATGTTTTGATAGAAAGGGAAATATCCCTTTGATGTCTTTCTTTTTTTTCTTTTTCTTTTTAATTTCTATGGGTATATACAAGGTGTACATATTTAGGGGTACATGAGATATTTTAATACAGGTATACAATGCATAATAATCACATCAGGATAAATGAGGTATCCATTACCTCAAGCATCTATTTCTTTGTGTTACAAACAATCCAATTATACTCTTTTAGTTATTTTTAAATGTACAATACATTATTGTTGACTATGATCGCCCTGTTGAGCTATCAAATACTAGATCTTATCAATTCTAACTATATTTTTGCACAGATTAACTATCCATACTTCCTCCCCAACCCCCACTACCTTTCCCAGCCTCTGATAACCATCATTATCCTCTCTATCTCCAGGAGTTCAATTGTTTTAGTTTTTAGCTCCCACAAAGGAGTGAGAACACGTGAAGTTCGTCTTTCTGTTCCCGGCTTATTTCACTTAATGTCCTCCCGTTCCACCCAAGCTGTTGCAAATGACAAGATCTGATATTTATTATGGCTAAATAGCACACCATTGTATATGCATACCACATTTTCTTTATCCATTCGTCTGTTGATGGAGGTTTAGCTTGATTCCAAATCTTGGCTATTGTGAATAGTATTGCAATAACCATGGTAGTGCAGATATCTCTTTGATATAATAACTTTCTTTCTTTTGAGTATATACCTAGCAGTGGGATTGCTGAACCATATGGTAGTTCTATTTTTGAGTAAGCTCCCTAATGTTCTCCATAGTGGCTGTACCAATTACCTTCCCACCAGCAGTCTATGAGTGTTCCTTTATCCACATTCTCAACAGCATTTGTTATTGCCAGTCTTTGCCACTGGCTTTTTGGATAAAAAACACTTTGACTGGGATGAAATGATATTTCATTGTAGTTTTGATTTGCATTCCTCTGATGATCAATGATGTTGAGCACATTTTCACATATCTGTTTGCCATTTGTATGTCTTCTTTTGAGAAATGTCTATTCAGATCTTTTGCCCATTTTTAATTGGATTATTAGACATTTTTCTATAGAGTTATTTAACTCCTTATATATTTTGGTTATTAAACCCTTGTCAGACGGATGGTTTGCAAATATTTTCTCCCATGCTGTGGGTTATTTCTTCAATTTGTTGTTTTCTTTGCTGTGCGGAAGTGTTTAGACTTATGTGATCCCACTCGTTCATTTTTGATTTGCTTGCCTGTGCTTATGGGTGTTACTCAAGAAACCATTGCCCTGACCAATGTCCTGGAGCATTGCATCAATGTTTTCTTTTAGCAGTTTTATTGTTTGAGCTCTTATATTTAAGTCTTTAATTCATTTTGATTTAATTTTTATATATGACAAAATAGGGGTCTAGTTTTATTCTTCTGCATGGGATATCCAGTTTTCTAGCACCATTTATTGAAGAGATTATCTTTTTCCCAATATATGTTCTTGAAACCTTTGTCAAAAATGAATTCAATGCAGATGTATGGATTCATTTCTGGGTTTTCTGTCCTGTTCCATTGGTCTATGTGTCTGTTTTTATGCCAGCATTATGCTGTTTCTGTTAGCTCTATAGCATAATTTGAAGTCCAGTAATGCGATTCCTTCAGTTTGTTCTTTTTGCTCAGGATGGCTTTGGCTATTCTGGGTCTTTCATGGTTCCATATAAAAATTTTAGGATTACTTTTCCTATTTCTATGAATAATGTCTTTGGTATTTTGACAGGGATTGCATTGAATCTGTAGATTGCTGTAGGTAGTACGGATATTTAAACAATATTGATTCTTCCAGTCAATGGATATTAATGTATTTCCATTTTTTGTGTCCTCTTCAACTTCTTGCATCACTGTTTCATAGTTTTCATTGTAGAAATATTTTATTTCTTTGGCTAAGTTTATTTCTAGGTATCTTATTTTATTTGCAACTATTTTAAATGGGATTACTTTCTTGATTTCTTTTTCAGGTTGTTTGCTGTTGGCATATAGAAATGCTACTGATTTTTCTATGTTGATTTTGTATCCTGCAACTTTACTGAATTTTGTTCATCAGTTCTAACAGTTTTTTGGTGGAGTCTTTAAGTTTTTCCAAATATAACGTTATATCACCTGCAAATAAGGATAATTTGGTTTCTTTCTTTTCAATTTGAATGCCCTTTATTTCTTTCTCTTGTCTGATTGCTCTAGCTAGGACTTCCAGTATTATGTTGAATAACAGTGGTGAAAGTGGGCATCCTTGTCTTGTTCCAGGTCTTAGAGGAAAGGCTTTCAGTTTTTTCCCATTCAGTATGATACTAGCTATGTGTCTGTCATACACATCTTGCCTTGTGTTGAGGTGTGTTCCTTCTCTACCTATTTTTTGAGGGTTGGGTTTTTATCATAAAGGAATGTCAAATTTTATCAAATACCTTTTCAGCATCAATTGAAATGATCATATGATTTTTGTCCTTCATTCTGTTGATATGATGACACTGATTGATTCACCTATGTTGAACCTTCCTTGCATCCCAGTGATAAATCCAACTTGGTCATGATGAATGATCTTTTTAATGTGTTATTGAATTCAGTTTGCTAGTATTTTGTTAAGGATTTTTGCATTTATGTTTATTAGGGATATTGGCCTGTATTTTTTTTTATGTGTCTTTGTCTGTTTTGATATCAGGGTAATGCTGGCCTCATAGAATGAGTTTGGAAGTATTCCCTCTTCCTCTATTCCTCAGAATACTTTGAGTCAAATTGATTAATTCTTCTTTAAATGTTTGGTAAAATTGAGCAGTGAAGTAATTGAATCCTAGGCTTTTCTTTGCTGGGAAACTTTTTATTATGGCTTTGATTTCATTACTTGCTATCAGTCTATTCAGGTTTTTGACTTCTTCATGGTTCAAGCTTTGTAGGTTGTATGTATCCAGGAATTTATCCATTTCTTCTAGTCTTTCCAATGTATTGGCATATAGTTGCTCATAATAGCCTTTAATGATCCTTTTAATTTCTGTGGTATCAGTTGTAATGTCTCCTTTTTCATCTCTGATTTTATTTATTTGGGTCTTCTTAGTCTGGTTAAAGGTTTGTTGATTTTGTTTACATTTTGAAGAAACCAACTTTTTGTCTTGTTGCTCTTTTGTATTTTTTTATTTCAATTTCACTTACGTATGCTCTGATCTTTCTTATTTCTTTTTATCTACTAATTTGGTGTTTGGTTTGCTCTTGCATTTCTACTTCTTTAGGATGCATCCATTATGTTGTTTATTTGAAGTTTATCTACTTTTTTTGATGTAGATGCTTATTGCTATAAACTTTCTTCTTAGTACTGCTTTCATTGTATCATGTAGGTTTTGGCATGTTGTGCTTCCATTTTCATTTGTTTCAATAAATTTTTAAATTTCCTTCTTAATTTCTTCATTGACCCCCAGGTTATTCAGTAGCACATTGTGTAATTTCCATGTATAGTTTCCAAACTTTGTGTAGTTTCCAAAGTTCTTCTTGTTATTGATTTCGAATTTTATTTCATTATGGTCATATATGACTTCAATTTTTTGAATGTTTTAAGACTTGTTTTGTGGTCTAACATATGGACTGTCCTTGAGAGTGATTCATGTGCTGAGGAGAAGAATGTGTGTTCTGTAGCCACTGGATGACATGTTCTGTAAATATCTGTTAAGTTCATTTGGTCTATACTGCAGATAAAATCTGATGTTTGTTGATTTTCTGTCTGGATGATCTGTCCAGTGCTGAAACTAGGGTGTTGAAGTGTCCAACTATTAGTGTATTGGGGTGTGTGTCTCTCTTTAGCTCTAATAATATTTGCTTCATACATCTGTGTGGTCCAATGTTGAATGCATATATATTTACAATTGTTATATTCTTTTGCTAAAGTGACCCCTTTATTATTATATAATGACCTTATTTGTCTCTTTTTATAGCTTTTTTTTCTTGAAATCTATTTTGTATAATGTACATATACCTATTCCTGCTTTTTTTGGTTTCTATTTGCATAGAATGCCTTTTTCTATTCCTTTATTTTCAGTCTATGTGTGTCTTTATTAGTAAAGTGTGTTTGCTGTAGGCAACACATTGTTGGGTATTATTTTTATATCCTTTCAGCCACTCTATGATTTTTGATTGAAGAGTTTAGTCCATTTACATTCAATATTATTATTGATAAGTAGGGACTTACTCATGCCAGTTTGTTGTTTGTTTTTTGGTTGTTTTGTTGTCTTTTCTTTCCATCCATATTTCTTCCTTCCTGTCTTCCTTTTTGTGAAGGCGATTTTCTCTGGTGGTATGTTCTAATTTCTGCCTTTTTCTTTTTTTGTGTGTATCTATTGTAGGTTTTTTTATTTCAGGTTATCATGGGGCTTGAAAATCACAATCACATTTTATAGCCCACTATTTTAAACTGATGACAATTTAACAAAGATTGAAATACAAACTAAAAAGCAAAGAGAAAACTAATAAAAAAAACTCTACACATTAACTTCATCCCCCCACTTTTAAACCTTTTGTTTCTATTTATATATTATTATACTGTCTATGACTTGAAAAGTTGTTGTAGCTATTATTTTTGAAGTTAATCTTTTAGTCTTTCTACTCAAGATATGAGTAGTTTACACACCACAATTACAATGTTATAATATTTGGTGTTTGTCTGTGTACTTACTATTACCAGTGAGTGTTATACCTTCAGATGATTTCTTATTGCTCATTAATGTCCTTTTCCTTCTGATTGAAGAACTCCCTTTAGCACTTCTTGTAGGACAGATCTGGTGCTTATGAAATCCCTTAGCTTTTGTTTGTCTGGGGAAGTCTTTATTTCACCTTCACATTTGAAAAATATTTTCTCTGGATATACTATTTTAGGATAAAAGTTTTTTTTCCCCTTCAGCACTTTATATATGTCATAATTCTCTCTCCCGGCCTGTAAAGTTTCCACTGAAAAGTCTACTGCCAGACTTATTGGAGCTCCACTGTATGTTGTTTGTTTCTTTTCGCTTGCTGATTTTAGAATCCTTTATTTATCCTCAACATTTGGGAGTTTGTTTATTAAATGTTTTGAGGTAGTCTTATTTGGATTAAGTCTGTTAGGTGTTCTGTAACCTTCTTGTATTTGAATGCTGATATTTTTCTCTAGGTTTGGAAAGTTGTCTGTTATCATCCCTTTGAATAAACTTTCTACCCCAATCTCTCTCTTTACCTCCTCTTTAAGACCAATAA
Source organism: Homo sapiens (assembly GCF_000001405.40). Classification (NCBI taxonomy): domain Eukaryota; kingdom Metazoa; phylum Chordata; class Mammalia; order Primates; family Hominidae; genus Homo; species Homo sapiens. The sequence goes on along the minus strand of NC_000002.12, from coordinate 75,581,500 downwards.
GTCTTAGATTTGCCCCTTAGAGGCTATTTTCTAGATATTGTAAGCATGCTTTATTCTTTTTTATTCTTTTTCTTTTGTTTTCTCTGACTGGGTATTTTCAGTTAGGCTGTCTTCAAGCTCACTAATTCTTTCCTCAACTTGATCAATTTTGTTGTTGAGACTGATGCATTCTTTTTTTTTTTTTTTTTTTTTTTGAGACAGGGTCTCACTCTGTTGACAGACTGGAGTGCAGCGGTGCAATCTCAGCTCACTGCAACCTCCGCCTTCTGGGTTCAAGCGATTCTCCTGCCTCAGCCTCCCAAGTAGCTGGGACTACAGGCACGTGCCACCAAGCCCGGCTAATTTTTTGTATTTTTAGTAGACAGGGTTTCACCACATTAGCCAGGAAGATCTCGATCTCCTGACCTCGTGATCCGCCCGCCTCGGCCTCCCAAAATGCTGGGATTACAGGCGTGAGCCACTGCGCCCAGCCGTGAGGCATTCTTTAGTATGTCAATTGAATTTTTCAGCTCTAGAATTTCTGCTTAACTTTTTTTAAAAAATATTTGTTTATTTGTTAAATTCATCTGATAGGATTATGCATTTCTTCTGTCTGTTATCTTGAATTTCATCGAGCTTCCTTGAAACAACCATTTTGAATTATCTGTCTGAAAGGTCACATAGTCACATATCTCTGTCACTCTGGGATTGGTTACTGTTGCCTCACTGAATTTGCTTGGTGAGGTCATGTCTTTCTGGATGGTCTTGATGTCTGTGGATGTCATCAATGTCTGGGCATTCAAGGTTAAGTATTTATTGTAGTTTTTAGTCTGGGCTTGTTTGTACCCTTCCTCTTTGTGAAGGCTTTCCAAGTATTCAAAGTGTTGTGATCTAAATCTTTGGTCACTGAAGCTATATCTGCATCGGGGAGCACCCCAAGTCCAGTAATGCTTTGACTCTTACAGATTCATAGAGGTACCACTTTGGTGGTCTTGGGTAAGATCTGTGAGAACTCCCTGGATTACCAGACAGAGACTCTTATTTACTTCTCTTACTTTCTCCCAAACAGTCTCTGCCTCTATGATGAGCTGCCAGGAGCTTGGGGAGGGGTGACACAAGCACTCCTATAGCCACCACCACTGGGAGCGTGCTAGGTCCTATCTGAAGCCATTACAACACTGGGTCTTGCCCAAGGCCTGTGGTGACAACTGCCTAGCTATCACTGATGTTCTCTTGAGGCCCAAGGGCTCTTCAGTCATAAGGTGGTAAACCCAGCCAGGCTTATGTCCTCCTCTTCAAGGCAGTGAGATCCCCCCTGTCCCAGGGCAGGTCCAGAAATCCAGAAACTAGGCCTAGAGTTGGGAACTGTAGTAACCTACTCAGTTCTCTATTCTGCTGTGGCTGAGCTGATACGCAAGCCACAAGACAAAGTCCTTCCTCCTCTTCCATATCATTTTCCTATGTAGGAGGCATCTTTCGCCGTGGCCATTGGTGTTCCAGGCCCACCATGAGTACTGCCAGACTACTGCCAACGTTCACTCAAGGCCCAAGGGCTCTTCAGTCAGCTTGTGGTAAATGCTGCCAGCCTGGGTCTCTCCCCTCAGAGCAGGAGGCTCCTCTGTGGCTCAGGGTGGGTCCAGAAATGCTATCCAGGAGCCAAGGTCTGAAACTGGGGACTCCAGGAGTATGCATGGTGCTCTACACCACTTTGGCTCTACTGGTGCCCAAGCTTCAAGACAAAGTTCCCTTTACTCTTCCCTCTTCTTTCCTTAAGCAGAAGGAGCCTCTCCCCTTAGCCACCACAGCTGGGAATGTTATGGGTCACTGCTGAAGCCAGCACATCTCTGAATCTTACCTATGGCCTGCAGTGAGTACTACCTAGGTGCCACTGATGTTTACTGAAGGCCCAAGGGCTCTTTAGTCAGGAATTGATGAACCCTGTCAGGACTGGGTCCTTCTCTTCAAGGCAGCAGGTTCCTTTGTGGCCAAGGGTATGTCCAGAAATGTCCAGGAGCTTGGACTTGAATGAGGAACCTCAGGACTCTGCCTGATATCCTGTTCTACTGTGGCTGAGCTGGAATCCAAGTTGCAAGACAAAGTCCTCTTTACTATCCCCTCTCCTCCCCTCTAGTGGAAAGGAGGAGTCTCTCCTGGAGCTGTGAGCTGTGCTTCTAGGGGTTGGGGGAGAGGTGACACAAGCACTCCCTTGGCTACTCAGGCTAGTGTCTGACTAGGTTATATGCATCTCACATCCACTGGCTCTGGGCCCAGCACAGGCCAGCAATTACAGTCCCTGTGGCCTAGACTCCCTTTCAGGTTTATTTAGAATCCCAGAGTGCTTTAACCTGTGGTGTAGGACTCAGGCTCCAACTGCTGGAATGGACAACTTCCCTCTGGCTAGGCTTGGTCTAAATGCTGCCTCCATGGATTCTAGCTGAATTCTGGCCTGTGTTGTTTTCTGCTGTGACAAGTCAGCACTGAGTTCCAATGCAAAGTCCCACAATCACTGCACTTTCTCTCCCCCGAGCACATAGATACTCTCTCTGCACCATGCAGCCGCTGCTGGGGAATGGGGTTGGCAATTCAAGATTGTCTTTCCTGCCCTCTTCAGTGCTGCTCAGCTTACTTGATTTTAAAACTAAGTACTGTGATTGCTAGCCTGATTTCTGTTTTTTACCAAGGTACTCTCTTGTGTGGATAGCAATTCCATTTGGTGTTCCTGTGGAGGGTATGATCACTGGAGGGTTCTCTTTGGTCATCTTGTTCTCCTCCCTCCCTTATTTTATTTGTAAAATAATTACAAATAATAAAAATCAATATACTCAACTATCCTAGTTTGGGTTGCTATAACAAAATACCATACACTGCGTGGCTTATAAAGAACAGAAATCTATTTCTCACTGTTCTGGAGGCTGGGAAGGCCAAGATTATGGTGCCAGTAGATTCAGGCCTGGTGAAGGTCCATTTTCTAGTTTTCACTGTGTCCTCACATGACAGAAGGACCAAGGGAGCTGTCTGTGGTCTCTTTTTTCTTTTATTATTATTTTTAATTAACATATTAATTGTGCATATTTATGAGATGTGGTATGATATTTTAATACACAACATGTATTGATAAATCAGGGTAATTAACAAATCTATCACTTCAAATATTTATTTCTTTGTATTGGGAAAATTCAAAATCCTCTCTTCTAACTCTCTGAATAGGAGTTACAATTGTGAATTTTAATCACCCTATAGTGCTATAGAACACTAAAACTTATTCTTTGTATCTAGCTGTACTTTTGTTTCCATTAACTAACCTTTGGCTATCCTAGAGTTTCTCTTATAAGGATACTAATCCCACTCATGAAAGTTCTGCCCTCATGACCTAATTACCTTCCAAGGTCCCTATCTCCAAATACTCTCACATTAGGGATTAGGTTTCAACATATGAATTCTGTGAAAACACAAACATTCAGGCTATAACATCAACTCCAAAAATAAGTAAATGCCAGCATTTTATCTTATTTGCTTATTTTTAAATAAATAAAACATTACAATAAAGTTGAATTCTCTTTTGCTCCCATCTCCAACTTCATTCACCTTCTACCTTCCCCGTAGCAGCAGTATCATGCATTTGTTATATAAAAGTATGAAAACATATAGTAGCCATGAAGAATATAAAATTATTTTTTGTAAAATATACATAAATGGTATCATATAGTACACAGTGTTAGGCAACTTTTTCTACACAATGTACTTTGTTGGAATTTATTTTCATTGCTATATGCAAATTATAGTTCAGTCATCTTAATTGTATTATGATATTCTGTCATAGGCAATACACCAATACTTATCTGCTTACTTATCTGGTTTCCTTCTGATGGACATTTGGGATGTTTCAAATATTTTGTGACTCTAAACAGAGCTGAAATAAATACTACTCTGTCTTCTAGAGTACAGGTACAGGACTTTGTCTGATGTATTAACCTATAACTGAAATTACTGGATTGCCAAATTCTGCGTTCCAGTTATTATGAAACAGGTATCCAAGGTGACTGAACCAAATCATACTTCTATTTGCAGTGTTTGACAAGTCTTGTTTGTTTGGTTTTTTATCCTGGCCAACAGGAATATGTCAGGCTTTCAGCTTTTGTCCTATTGAGAAATGTTAAATGGAACCTCAGTGTTGTTTTACATTTCATTTTCCTGTTACTTATATTTTCATATGCTAATCATCCATTTATGTTCTTCTTTGAACATAAGGAACACTTGCTCCTCTTTTTTTATTGCATTGTTTGTCTTTTTCTTATTTTGTAGAAGCAAGTCTTTCTGAATAAAAAGTAGAGTTTACTTAATTTATTACTCCACTTTAGTAATTAAATATGTTGAAATTGTCTTCTATTGTGTCAATTTCTCTTTTTAAAAACACAAACTTTTAAAAAAGTGGTCTTTATTGTACTGAAGTTTTAGTGTTAATATAGCCAGATAAATTAAACCTTTACAATTTCTGCTTTTTTGTATCTTGTTTATAAGTTCTTCTTTCCAAGGTCATATAGGTACAATTATTCTTGTAATGGTATAAAGTGAAGATCTAATGGTATTTTCCAGCTATGGAAATTTCCATATGGAAATAAAGTTCTCCCAGTTCCATTTATTGAACACTCTGTCTTTCCCCCAGTGATTTACACTGCCTCATCTACTTTATGCCAAAGACTTTTTTATACTTGGAGTTGTTTCTGGGTTTTTAATTTTGTTCCATTGAGCCATGTGTCTGTTGCTGGTCTGTTGCTGTCTTACTTGCTTACTGTCTTATTACTGTACTTCATAGTAAGCCTGTATCGCTTGTAGGTAAAGTTCTTTGTTTCTGCTCTTCTTTTTCAGAATTATCTTGGTTAGATCTTAGCCCTATAAACAATTTAGAATCAATTTGCTCATTTCAGTGAAAATGCCTATTGATGTTTTGGTCAGAATTGCGTAGAATAGCCGGGCGCGGTGGCTCACGCCTGTAATCCCAGCACTTTGGGAGGCCGAGGCGGGCGGATCACGAGGTCAGGAGATCGAGACCATCCTGGCTAACACGGTGAAACCCCGTCTCTACTAAAAATACAAAAAATTAGCCGGGCGTAGTGGCGGGCGCCTGTAGTCCCAGCTACTCGGGAGGCTGAGGCAGGAGAATGGCGTGAACCCGGGAGGCGGAGCTTGCAGTGAGCCGAGATTGCGCCACTGCACTCCAGCCTGGGCGACAGAGCGAGACTCCGTCTCAAAAAAAAAAAAAAAAAAAAAAAAAAAGAATTGCGTAGAATATGTAAATTAATTTGAAAATTATATTGTGTCAAATAGCTTCTATGTCCTCCTTCAGATTCACACTTCTCTATCTTAATCTTTTTTCTAGAAGACTGACTTTTACTCAATTATTTTTCTGTACAGTTTCCTGATCTATAATGTGTGGATAATAAAAGTACTATTATAGAATTGATACCAGGAATTAATATGCCTAGCACATAGTAAACGCTACAAAATAGGCTATTAAATTAATGAATACAATATCTCAGAAGTAAAAGGACAGAATAATATCTATTAAAAAGTACAAGGAATTGTGAAACAAAAACAATTTAGATGTGAATCCTGGACATGAAAAATCCCGGCATAGAAAAAAAAAAACAGAATCATCAATCTTGGAAATGTCAATATATCGTCCGAAATTTAAAATATAAATCAACACATGGGATAAACTCTAGATTGGAAACTCTTTAGAGATAATTGGTCAGCTGGGATATAGTTTGTTAGGAATCACACAGAACTCTAAATCACACAGAGAATCACACGGAGAGCTAAAAAGTTGTTTAAAAAACGAATAAGGTGACATGTAAGGCAAGTAAAAGTTTTCAACACAAATTAAATAGGGAATTAAAAAGTACAAAATAAAAGAAATGACACATGGCAGAAAATTGATACTATAAGAAATCATAACATGTTAGAATTAAAGTAAAACATGAGCTTTATGAGTATAAGAACACACAGGGTGCTGGGCAGAATGAAATAAACTCACAATCAGAAATATTAATTAATTAATATTAATAGACTAAGAAGGATAAAGAGAAATTCTTAAAAGTTAATAGAGAAAAAGGAAAGAACAATTAGACTAACAAAAGACATTTCATTAGTAACAACAGATGCCAGGAGGTATAGAACAACATCTTCAAAGTTAAGAAGGAATATCACTGTCAACCTAGAATCTTATACCCAAATTATTTTACAAGAGGGGAAAAAATAAAGATATTTTCAGAAACATAAAAATTATTAGCATTTACCTTTTATAAACCCTTGAAGGAGTTACGAAAAGATGTACTTTAGCAAGAGGAGATGTAAATTCACAGGAAAGAAATGGGATGTAAAAAACAAGGAGCAAAAATGTCAGTAAAATATGTTGGCAAGTCTAATAAAATAATTTGGGGAGAGGGTCAAAAAGATGAAGCTAATATAAGGAAGTGGTAGATGTCAGTGAGGAAATGATACACATAAGGCCTTTCTCTTTTTCAGACTAGGGATGAGTGACAATCACTTGGAATAAGGCCGTAAGTATGCCATTTGAACAAGCCATAGCCTTAGCCGGTGGCCTCATCTTTCAGTAACCTTCTTTTCAGGACGGAGCTCCACTCTGATCATTTCTCAGGCACAGGGTGCTTGTAAATCCCATCACCCTTCAGGACATGACCCACTTAAAGGGGTAGAATTCTAAGCATATCTTCCAATTTTGGGATCTATAGCTTCATAGCTTCATCTCCTGTTCATTACTGTCTTGTTCATGGAAATGCTTTTTTCCATTTTCATATATACATTTATATATTTACAGTTTATTACTATTTTGGAGCAGAGGGAGAATTTCAAGCCAAAATGCGTAGCACATACATGCTTCATTGGCTGGAAACTCCCCCAAGTCTGTGCGAGATTACCTGTGCTCAGCTTAGCATCACCACCACCTACTTCCATAGACTCCCTGCATCACCAGTAAGAGGCCAGGAATGACATTTCCTGGAATCTTCTGCTTCTTGTGATCTTAAATTGATGTCAGTCAATGGGAGGGATTTGCCTGAGAGGGAAAGGCAGAGAAGTGAGAAAGGCCACACTCTCTGGAAGTACTTGTAGGCAGAGGCAGAAGGCAGATATAAGGTTCTTAGCAGCTGATTCAGGATACTTCCTTGTGAATGACCTTCTTTGGTGCTGTGGGAACCTGAGATAGCCCAGCGGTGCCCTCTAGAGAATCTCTCACTTCAGAGCTGCTGGCTGAGATAGATGGTAGGAGTTTCCTAAAATGTTCTGATATTTGAAACAGCTTTCAAATGATTGCTTCAGAATTTCTTAGGTTGGTAATGCAGGCTGGGGTCATCCCAAATGACTTCTTTAATCTTTGTTCCTTAGCCCTACAGACACCTATAAAAACCTCAAATGTCCTGCTTTAAAGCTTCAAAGCCAAAGTACTTAGAATAGATAGAGAAGTATGGTTGCCAGTCTCTAAGATGGCCCCTAATGATTGCTTTCTCCTTGTATTCATGATTTTGTGGAGTCCCCTCCCACATTGAATCAGAGATGACCCTAGGTAATCCATAGAATTAGGTGGAAGGGTTGATGTGTGACTTCTGAGGTTACATTCTAAAAGGCACTGTGGCTTCTGCCTTTTGGAAAACTTGCTCTGTGGGAAGCTAGTTGTCAAGCCATGAAGACACTCAAATAACCCTCTGGAGAGGCCCACCTGATGCAGAACTGGGGCCTCCCACCAACAACACGCACCAACTTGCCAGATGAAGGTGTGAGCTGCCTTGGAGTGGACCAGTTCCAGGCAAGTCATCAGATGACTTAAACCCCAGCCAACAACTGACTACAAGTTCCTGAGAGACCCCAAGCTAAGAACTTCATAGTTGAGCCACTCCTAAATTCCTGATCCATCAAAACCATGAGACATAATGAGTGATCATTGTTTTTATAAGCTACTGTTTTTGTTTTTGTGGGGGTGATTATACAGAAATAGGTAACTAATACAAGTGGCTTCTATTTTCCTCAATAAACTCATCATTTTTATTCATCCCAAATTGTCTTATATACCTATATAGTCACTGAACAATGAGAGTTAAACCTATTGCCATTGTTTTGCATGGAATTATTTGACAAGCCCAGGCAGCTTGTGGTTTTTCAAACTGGTTGACAATTTGCAGCTGGAGAGTTGTTTGTATCTGTCAAGATTATCAGTACACCCATTGCTTATTCACCTTGTAGAAACAAGATGGCAGATTTGAGAGTGTTCAGAATATAACTGGCTTGAATTCCATCTCTACTATTTTCTGGCTGTAAAATCTTGAGCAAATTTTAAACCTTTCTAAATTTTAGTTTACTTGACTATTAAGTATGAATAATAGTACCTACTTAACCTGGTTTATAAGCAGGTTAAATTTTAAAAGTTATAAAAACTTACCTCATAGTGTCTGGCATTTAGTGATCATTTGCTAATAGTTTCTATGATGATGGTGATGAATTTAGACTATGGTGTTTGATGTTCAATGCCTCCCACGAATCCCTTCCTGTGTCAGTTATCTAGTGTTGTATAATATACCACCGCCAAATTTGTGTCTAACAGCAGGTGACATTTTATTATCTCTCAAAATTCTGTGGGTTTACTGGGATCAGTTGGGTGGTTCTTCTTCTCCAAATGGGACTTCAGTCATCTGGGGGCTTGATTGGGTTGGAATATACAACATGGATCACTCACGTGATTGTTCTTATTACTGTCTGTTGGCTGGGAGCTCAGCTGGGCTTTTGATTGAAGAGTCACACATGGCTTTTCCATTTGGCTTGGGTTTTTCACAGCATGGTGGCTAGATTCTAAGAGGCAGTGTCTACAGAGCAGAAGTAGCCAGAAGCAGGAAGCAAAAGCTACTGATTCTCTCCAAGGCTAGGTCTGAAACTGGCACAGCATCATTCCTGCCAGGTACTATTTTTTAAGCAGCCACTGAATCTGCCCAGAATCAAGAAGAGACATAGACTCTATCTGTCAATGGGCAGAGTGATGGAGAATTTTTCATCATCTTTAACTCACCAAACTTCCCAATTTCCTTTCCAGATATCTCCCCAAAATCCCTTAAGGTGTACCTACTTAAGTCAAATAAGTGTATTGCCTTTTCCTAGCTGTTCCTTGCTGCTCTGTCCAAAGCAAGCCCAGCCCTCTCCACAAAGCTTTACTTAGCTATCTCAATTCTCTGGGGGATTCCTAAGACAGACTGTCAGGACTGGCCATTGATCAGGGTCTCATGTGCAGTTTTATGACGTCACATTTGCCTGTTATTTGGCACTTTTCAGGCTTGAATCTTCATTTCGAATGTCATTTCTTATTGAGTGGGTTTCATACTTGGCTTCCTGCATAAGCCTGCTATAAGTCAGTCTTTCCATGAATCAGTGCTTAGTAAGTGTTTTCTGATTTGAATGATGCTATGGGGTGGCAGTGGTGGAAGGGAATTGATATTTGAACACTCAGAGTCAAGCATGATCCTAAATGTTTACATCCATCATCTCATATATTCTTCATGACCATCCTGTAAGAGAAGTATTATTATTCCCATGTGACAGAAGAGGACGCTGAGTACTTAACTTGTCATGCTTAGTACAACTAGTAAGTGGGAAGTGGGAGAACCAAGACTGAATGCAAGTCTATCTGATGGCACGGCTTTCATCTTTCATTGGCATTGCCCTGCCTGCAACTCCCTTGGAATAAAACTATCTGGGAAAAGAAGGGGAAACTATGTGAGTAACTAAGGACTGTGGTTTCTAGAGCACTTGAGCCATAAACTCCCCGTGTTGAGGGCATGCTCTTGTCAGCCTCACTGTGTGCAGGCATTTATTTTGCTTGGGACCAAAGCTAAACATTAACCCACTTGAGCTTTGCCTTTCCTTTCCCATTTTCAAACTCCCATGGCTCCCAGTGGCTTTAGTCATGTATACCCTATCTATTATTATTCCCTTTTTAACTGCTTCTGGGCATGATGACTGCATGTTTGCAAACACCGTGGCATATTTGTGGTAATTAAACTTCACACCGACGTCTGGATCCAGGGCTTCCACAGGCCTCATGCTCCAGCATTGCCTGGGAGCCCCTCTGTATGCCTTCATTTGAGGAATCTCAAGTGAGTGCTTGTGGCTCCTTCTCCCCAGCCTCAGAGGGGAGAAAAATTGCTGGCCAGGCATTTCCAGAGGGCTTCAAGGGGATCAAAGAGAGAAAAGCAAACACTGAGGGAAAATGTGCTATTTATTCTTGGAACAAAGTTACATTGGCAGCTTTCTCCTCTCCAGTAATACTTGTTTTCCTGAAAGGATTACACTTGCATTTGCTTCCTCCCACAGGATTTAGCTGCCACTCAGCTCATGACCTGTAACTTCTATCTCCCGCCCCCTCCCAACCACGCTTTCAGTTTTCTCACAGGCTGGGCAAAAATTAAAGAGATTAAAATCATCCATGAGAAAAAGTGGGTTAGTGCAGCTGCTGCAAATACCCTGCGTCAGCAGCCCAAGTCAGCAGCTCAAGTCAGCAGCTCAAATAAACTTGGCCATGTGAGTAGTGTTCCTGGGCCACAGACAGGGAATCCCAGGCCTTTTAGGGCTTCCTCCTTAGGAAAGGAACGAGAAGGAGGATTAGGCTTAGTGGCGAGGGCTGCCAGGTAGAGGTGTCTTTCTTTGGGAGAGCAATTCCATTTGTGTTTTTCATGGCCATTTCTGCTTTTAATTAAGTAATTAAAGAAATTAAAGAAATTCATGGGTGGTTTTATGGCAGAGCAATTTATCGAGATATTTACCTATGTCTTGGTTTCTTCACTGAGGGTACTCTTTGCCTCAAAAAGGTAGCAAGACCCTGTCATGCCCTTGTCTTTGAGAGCTGTTTCGTTGCGGGGCTGAAAACAGGTTTTCCAGTAGGAGACATCCCTATTTCTGTTTTTGTTTCAGCTCCCTATGCACCTTGAGGAGAATCATGCTGCTCTGTGATGGGCAGGAGTGGGAGCTTTGCATTTCTGAAGGTGTGCACCCTGACTGGAGACTGAGGGAGTCTCTGAAAATGAGAGAAAGAACAGAGTCACTGGGGTGCCCTTGAAGTATGATCATCTGGACCTTGCTTTCCAACAGCACGAACAATGAGGGCAGCTGAGGGGCTGAAAGTGGCACTGGGGTAGAAATAACTAAACATTGAAGTCTGTGACCTTGAGAACCTCTGTGAAAAGAATCCCCAGGCCCAAGCCTTAGAAGAACTTGCCTCAGGGTTCCATGCTGTTTTGGAAAACAAGCCTGGATATGGTGACCAGGTAGACAAAGTCTCTTTGCATGCTCTGCGTCATGCACCTCTACCTGACACTGGACTTCCGTCTGACTCTGGGGAGGGGACATGCCCCAGTAATAACTGAGATTAAAATTTTCTATGAAATGAATAGAAAGCTCAGGGCAAATTATGTTAAATTAGAGAAGTAAAAGAAGCATGCATTTCTTGCACCCTAATCATGTGGTAGGTGGAGTGTGCAAACCTGAGACAGAGAGATGAACAAGAACCTATTGACCTCACAGGACTCGGATATGGGAGACGTAACAGGGTGCAGAGCTCTACAGTGAAAATGTGTCACAGATGCCCAGGACTCAGGTGGGGTTGCTGCCTCTGTTTGGGGGCAGACAAAGCTTCCCAGAATTGCTCACCTTTGTCCTCAGTCTTAAAAGATGAGCTGGAATTCCTTAGTGGAGGATGGGGGTGGAGTCAAGAACATTCTGTACAAAGGTACAGGAGCGTGAAATAGCATAACCTGTTTGTGAAACTGCAAAAAGGTTGACATGGCTGAAGCAGAAGATGGGTTGGTACTGAATGGTTGGGAGAGATATGTAGCGGCTGACCCTGAAGGACGTTGCAGCCCATGCTATGGAGACCTGATTTTATTTTGTAAGAGGTGGGCAACCCCTGAAGCATTTTAGTGATGCGAACAGATGTGTCTGTTACCAAGCAAAGCCAGTTAAAGAAGGTCACAGAGGAGGAATGATCACAAAGGTAGGAGGGGATCTAGGAAATGGAGAAGCACAGAAGTGAAAGGAGGAGGGGGTGTGAAGAAGGACGTGGCTACAGCAGCAAGTACTGCAGGGAGATGAGGAGCATTAGCAGGAGGCAGCCATGGGGGACTTTAATGAGGGCAGTTTCAGTGGCGTGTTGGGGACAAAAACCAGACTACCGTGAGCTGAGGATTGAAGGGGATTAAGAAAGTGAGGCAAGTGAATACCATTTATTTGAGAAGTTTGGTTATGAAAAGAGTGAAGTATAAATAAAAGTATCTGGAAATAATTAAAAATTATTAAAATATTTATTAAATTAAAATTAAATAATTAAAATGTCAAAAAACAATATATGTTGGCATGGACGTGATGAAAGGGGAATAATTTTACACTGCTGATGGGAAAGTAAATATGGAAAACAGTACGGAGATTCTTTAAAGTTCTAAAAGTAGAACTACCATTCAATCCAGCAATCCCACTACTGGTTATCTACCCAAAGGAAAAGAAGTCATTATGTGAAAAAGACACATGCAACACATGTTTATAGCAGCAGAATTTGCAATTGCAAAGATGTGAAAGCATAGTTCCATATCTTTGCATATTTAAGTGCTCATCAACCAACCAGAGGATAAAGAAAATGTGGTGTATGTACATCATGGAATACTACTCAGCCATAAAGAGGAACAGAATAATGTCTTTTACAGCAATGTGAATGGAGCTGGAGGCCATTATTCTAAGTGAAGTAACTCAGGAATGGAAAACCAAATATTGTATGCTCTTACTTATGAATGAGAGCCAAACTATGAGGATGCAAAGGCATAGAACAATATAATAAATTTTGGGGACTTGAGGGGGAAGGTTGGAAGGGAGGTGAGGGAGAAAAGACTACACACTGGGTACAGCGTATACTGCCCGGGTGACAGGTGCACTAACATCTCAGAAATCACTACTGAAGAATTTATCTATGTAACCAAAAATCACCTGTACTCCCAAAATAATAAAATAAAATAAAAATTAAAAAAAGGACAATATCTAGAAATGGGTCCAGAATCTTGAAGGTTTATTTAATAATTATTTATTTATTATTATCTAATAATTATTACTTAATATTAAACAATATCCTTTAATTATTAAATTTTACTTAATTATTTAATAATAATTATTGATTGGTAACAATGATTTATTATTCATTATCAAATAATAATACATTATTAACATAAACATGGGGGAGCTTCAGGTATGTTCAAGGCAGAGGAAGGAGACAGTGGGAAGATTAAAGAGAAGGAAAGAGGAAATAAGGATGAGGAGGAAAGGCCTGGCAAGCAGGGGCTTTGGCACAGAGAAAAGCCCCCCAGACCAAACTTCCCATGTGCCCAGGGAGTTTGAAGTCATAGGAAGCTCTGTTGCCCTGCACATCTCATTACAAGTAAACCTTATGCTTCTGGGAAGTATAGCAAGCCATTTAAAATAAATCAAGAGTATTGTATTGTTAATACATTAATCAAACCTGCTAATTTAACAGATTCCCAGTGTGGACTAAAAATGAAGCAAGTGAATCAGCCTTTCATTTATTAGCTCTTCTTCTGTTAGGATCAAAATCTTAGATTCTTCATTTACATCTACAGTAGATCCCAAACTCCATCAGATGTGTTCAGACACAGGAGACCGACTGGTTGCTGGTCGCGGACACTGGTTTAAGCAATGGAAATCACTCCGATTTGGGCACTGGGGACATGAACACATTGCCATCCAGTTGGTTTGATTAGATCTAGCATACCTGTGCATAAGGAAACCGTGTTCTAGAATTTGCAACCATGAAATCTATGAATGGAAGAATGGATTAAAAGCATGAACTATGCGGGTTTCAGAAATTTGGGACCCCTTCAATAATCTGTTCTGGTTAGTGTACACTCTTCAGGGAGATTAAGAGCTCGGTATGATTTGTTGTCTGTCCTGTGTTTTGCCCATTTATCTTTCAAACCAAATCACTCTTAATTTCTCAGGTTGACAACTTTCACAGAGTTACAGAAAATAAGTCTTTGAGGAATTTGGAAGAGTTGCAGGCAGTCTCATAATGAAACCCTAACATAGGGCTCAGTGTCCAGTTCAGGTATGCTATGAGGTTGAGCTATTTTAACTCAAAACTTATACTTTATTCCAAACTCTTATGTATCCTTTTTCTCTAAAAATGTATAGTTTTCTAGACATGCAGGGTAATTTTTCAAACAGGTCATGAGATTAAAATGTAGTGTGATATCTCAATTTTATAATGAGAGTCAATGGTATTTTCAATATAAAAATAGATTTATCTTATTTTAAAAATATTTATCTTATTGACAACTTTTTGCGGCCCATGTATATTGTGACTTGGGATCTAACTTGAATTTTCTTAAAGAACAACTATTAGCATTTTCTCTAGGCATCTTTCATAGTTCCGTTGTCTCATTTTTTATCATTGAAATCTCTCAATTTTACAGTGGCTTCCTGTTGGTTAGAAAGAGAGTGTTGTGTATGGATGATTTGTTTAAGTTCTGTTTATGCTTATTTAACCTTGTTAGCCAAGATGAAAAATGTAGAAGAGGTGTCAGCCTGGGCATGAGAATTCCCCTATAGAAAATAGAAAAAAAAATAAAGAAGCAAATTTTATACTAAGCTATGTTTATGTTTTAAATGGTGAATATGTTTTGATTAAAAACCTATCATTAATCAGAAGAAATGTTGTATTGGGCAGCAGCAACTGGCTAGAGAAATATTTTGATTTCTACTCTATTGCCCCAAGCAAGACAAAGTGTTTGATCCAGGAGTATTTAAATCTCTATTCTTCTGACTAGGGCCTGTGAGGAAATAATTCAACAAGATAAACCCCCACTCCACAATAGAACAGATAAAGAGGATACTTAATTGCTGCTTTTTACTCAATATTTCATCCTTTTCGGGCACATTACATTTAAAAAGGTGAGAGAAGTGATGAGAACATGTGGAAACTTAGCTGTGTGGCTTATATTCCCTAGAGGTCTTAGTTCCATGAAAAGTTCTTTTGAACGACTGACGTGTGCTCCTGGCATCCTCTCATATTCCTTTGTACAGGTAAAACTTTGCTTTCTGAAAAAAAAGACAAGGCCTGGAGAACGTGGGTTTTTATAATTTGGTTGTCTACATCTGGAATCTAGGACTGCAGAGGGGGTATAACTGTCAACATTGATTTATTTGGCAATTAAATGCATCCATTAGACCTTATAAAAATTTGGCAAAAGGTTGGACTATAAATAAGGCATACTGCATTCTTTGACCTTTGGTGTCTAGGCGATGTTAGTAGCTAATACTATCAAATGACTAGTTTCATTTCAGCAGGCTGTCGTGGAATGAATGAATGTAAATGCCACTTGGTTAATGACTATCCGTGGACCTTAACAGAAGTCCCATTACTTTGCCAGGAAATGTAATACCAAAGGTGAGACAACTGGAGAAAGAGAGAGATAGAGAGAGAAAGAGAGAGAGAGAAAAAGAGAAAGGTTGTCCTCATTTCTCCAAACTAACATTTTAAACAAGTATACATTTTCTTTTCAAATTCACTTTTGTTAAGATGAATAGATAGGAAATAACTGTAGGGCAAAGCATGAAAAAAAATTTTCGGCCTCCTGATTTTCCTAAAGTGACATCATTAATGGTGACACATTGGTGTCTCTGTCTGCACATCCATTAGCCTCTCATCAGGCCATGAGGCAATTTCCTTTGTCTTTCATTATTTGCTTTACATGCCTGCCTTGCTCCATCACTCCTGGAGATCATTTACTACTTCTGGAATTAATAAGAGCTGGAAGTTTGAAGGCTTCTTGTAAATAGCAGTGCCATAGTGGAAGAAGGCAAGGATTCTGGTTTCAATCATTTGTACTTTCTTGGGACAAAACCAGATTTCCTACCTTGTGGGGTAGGAAAATCCCCACATCCTACCACATGAGGATGATTTCAGTCACTTACGGCAGAGAAAAGTCCAGGGATTTTTGTCTGTTTGACATTGTCTTAATACTCCGCACACAGGAGAGCAGTTTTGATGTTCTCCTTTTCCTGGTGACGTTTGAAGATCATCTATTACTAGACTGAGCTCCTTACTGTTTGGAATTTGTCTCTGCATTTCCTATAGAAGTGGCTTTCAATCCTAACAGCACATTGTAATTATCTGGAAAGGTTTAAAAAAAAGCCCTACTCATAGAGATTCTGATTCAATTGGTCTGATCTGGAGCCCAGCTTGTGATTTCAGAACATGCCCCAGCTGAGAGCTGAGTGTATCGTGCAGCAAGGTTGCCTATGGTGTCTAGGACAGTTCTCTGTGAAGGGCGAGCAGTCTCCAGGAAATGACAGTTAAGCTGAACTGCATTGATAGACACACGGGTTACATAGTGCCAGATGATTTTGGGTGAGGACATATCGGGACATATTCTCACTGCAAGCATCTTGTGGTGCCTTTGGCAGCTCATCATTTTTGGGTAAACCATAGGAGTCTAAGGGTTTCACCTTCACTCAGCTGGTGACTCAGTTTGTTTTTGTTTTTGGCTGCCTTTGGGTGTTGTGCCTTAGTTTGTTCATCAGTAAAATGGGGGTAATCAAAGTCTGAGGTTGTATTTCTGTTTGAAGCAAAAACTAGTAAATATTTGCCACAATGAGCTTGTGTAAAATCATCAAATTACTGCTATGCAAATGCAGATGGAGTTTTGGAAGCAGAAGCAATAGGAATGTGGCTAGAGTCTTGTCTAACAGTAGCTGATCGGTGGTGCTCAGTGGTGTCATGGGTGGAACACGATCCTCCTATCAAATCTTGTCATCACGACATTTGCGCCACTGAGGGAATGCCACAGCCTCCACTCACTGAGAATTAAAACTATCACATCTTTGTATTAGCTGAAGGGGCCCTGGCTTCTAGACTTTTTCCATGAACTGGATGTGCTGTTGGCCACAACATCAGTGTGGGCGGATTGTGGTTCCCTGCTCTGACCACCAGCGCCATGGGAGCCCTGTGCACTCTGCTGGCATTACCTGCCCACATCTGCAAGGCTGCTCACACTGAGAGCCCCAGCTATCAGCCTTGGGCCGAGAACCGGGCATGAAGTGGTTACTTGAGATCCTGAGCTGCAGATCCTAGTTTCCTGGGATGAACCCTTTTCTTCCTCTAATTCTTCATCTCTGGTTAGAACTGGAGCTGTACGCTGTGCCTGTGCACATGGACTCCCTACTCCTCTGCCCTTCCTGTATCAGCCTGTGCGTTCCAACCTCTCCTGTGTTCCCTGACCACCTCCACCCTGAAGGTCTATCCAGCAGACCCTATGAGACCAGGATAGGGAGCTTCAAAAGGTAGCCATTGAGAATTTGCCCTAGTCTAGCAGAGGCTTAATGCCCCTTTCTCACATCTGACCTAAGGTCTTAATTGATATTTGGCACTGTTCCATAAATATGTCTCCCTAGAAATGGAAAATAGCTATTTCCCTCTTTTATAATAATTTTGCCATTAATGAAGCAATGGGCCCTCTCATCTTAGAATAAATCACCCCAGTGTTCAGTTTCTCTTAACAGTCTGTGGGTTATCTCTCCTCATCTCCTCTCAGCCTAGAGTGTCAAGCCACACACGGTACCTTCAAAAAAGAGCAATCAAAGACAACTTATTTTGTGGGTAGGAAAATGAGGCACAGAGAGTTTTGATGACTTGTAACCATAACAAGCGAATGGGACTTGAAGTGAAGATTCTTGCCTCCATAGAATGGGGGTGGGCAGAGGTGGTAGACAGGAACAACAATGCAATAGAATGTATACTTAAGAAACGGGCTACAGAGATGAACAGATCTTCATGTTGTTCCAGTTTTCTTATTTATAAAATAACAGAACAAGAATACTTAGCCAATCAAGATGCTGTGTTGATTAAAAGAAATGTATGTGGAAAGGATTGGCGTAGAGTTCGGTATCTATGAGGCTCTCATTAAAAGCATACACACACACATGAACACACGTGTGCATGCAAGCATGAAGTTAGTAGCTTTGAGGGGTTCCTTTCCAAGGTGCAGCCATAACCCATAGGTCCTCTGACATAGCTCCTGGTAGAATCTACCTCTGTAGGATCCTTAAGTAGTCATTTATCTCAATGTTGGCCTTCATGCAGGGATGCATGTTCTGGAGAATGACCCGTAGGAACCCCAAGAGGGGCTCTCAGGCTAGCAACGGATGCACTTCTGTCCTGCTGCACAACCAGAAGTAGATAATCTAGATGGCAGCTCTAGTCTCTCCATACCTGTGATTCCTGAAATCTGTTGAAGTGTAGGGGGTTCAACAGTATCTGCTTCATTTTAATAAAATGAGGCAATGTTTATAAGTGAGACACAGCCCAGTGACTGGCACGTACTAAGTACCAACACATATTAGCAGTTCTTAGTAGTGGTAGTATTTTTAAATCCAAAGGTAGATTGGGTCAGAGTGCTTCCAGGTGTCCTTTCTCCAGCCTGGGGGCAAATAAGTAGGCTCAAGATTAGGGCCCATCTATAGAAAGTCTGTGCTCACCTATTGGCACCTGTGCCCTATCTATTTATTTCTTTACTAATTAGTTCATTCAACACACATTTACTGAGCACTGATTGTATGTGTGCTCCTGTACTCGGCACACAAACCTCTGATCTCTGATATTCGTACAGGGCTGTGCCCTTGGCTAACACACGTAGTATTACATCAGGAAACCCCGCTTCTCATCACAGCCTCTCCATATGCCTGCTGGAAAGCTGGAGAGTTAGGGGGAGCTCTGATGATGGCCCTTGCATGCCAGAGTGTGGAATTTGGAGTCAGGCAAGTATGTATTCTTTTTACAGATAAGGAAACAGAGGTCGGAGAGGGGAGTACTTTCTCAAGTTCAGAGAGTAATTTAGTGCTGTCTGAGGCTAGAACCTTGTTCCCTGATTAGTTTAGGAAACAAGGGCCCTTTCTACCAGACCAGTTGCCTCTGCATGAGAGTGGAATAACCTGTCTTTACGTTTTCATCTACAGATAGGTGTTGTTTTCCTTTTGAAGAGCAGCATTTCAAGGTAAAATGAAGTAGCTCTTGAGTAAGTCTGAAACAGTGGCTCTCATCTCTG
The DNA here is from genome assembly GCF_000001405.40 of Homo sapiens. Lineage (NCBI taxonomy): Eukaryota > Metazoa > Chordata > Mammalia > Primates > Hominidae > Homo > Homo sapiens. The sequence continues at coordinate 75,562,370 of NC_000002.12, read as the reverse complement.
GCTGTATGAGATCATCTTGAGAGCATCTGAAAAAAAACTGATGTGGGAGCTCCACCCCAGACAATTACAGAAATATTTGTGAGGGTGGAGCTGGGGCCACCTATTGGTTTTTAAAGCTCCCCAGGTGTTTCTAATAGACACCCAGGGCTCCATAGTCTAATATACAATCAGTCCAATATACAGCATAATATACAGTCAGTGGTCTAGCAGCCAGTGCTTCCAAATTCTAATGCACATTTGAATCATCTAGGGATCTTGTTAAGCTGCAGATACTAATCCAGTGGTTCAAGTGCGGCCCGAGGGTTTTCATTTCCATAAAGCTTCCATGTGGTGTTAGTACTGCCAGTCTCTGGACCACACTTGGAGTAGCAGCTCCAGAAGGCACTCTGGGATTCTAGTCATCCACGTGGTCACTGGCTACTCTAGCCAGAGGCCTGGGAGTCACCTCTCTCCTTCATCCTCTCCTCATCTTCTCCCTTTCAAGCCCTTGGTCATCAGATCTTGTCAGTTCCATCACACTGCTTCTAGGAGCTCCTCTCCTTTCCTAACGGACTGGCACAATATTTTCCTCCCTGTTCCCCACCATCACTCACTGCCCTGGCTGTGCTCTTTGCTAGACCGCCTCCTGAAGGCTTTCTTATTCCGTCTTCCCTCTGTCCAAGCTTTTATTTTGATTCTGTAGAAGGCTCTTTCACTCCGTGACCCATCTCTTAAGAGACCACCGCAACCCGGGACCTGTTCTCTCCCTGCACTCTTCCCCTATGACGATTGTATAGGAACAGGGTGTCCCTCTAGTTGTTTCTGCGTTTCCAGCCCCCAGCTGAGCGCCCATCACTCTCAATAAAATACTTGTTGATTTTAACAAACAAAACCCCAACCCTGAAAGAGAAAGGCCAAACAGAGGCCTCAGCTGCATTTCTTCCGATAAAAATGAACATTCCTTCGAGATTATGCATCAGGCTTTAACTTCCCACTCAGAAAAAAAAAAAAAAAAAAGTTGATCAAATTTAACAAAGTAAGTGGTTATTTCCTGTCTGAGTTGAGTAGCTGAATACAGGCTCAAAGCAGGCGACGGGACAGGAATGAGAGGATGGATGCTGGCAGGGGCTTGGAGGTCTGCTTTCAAATCTGGGCTCGTCCCAGCAGGGGGAAAGCCTGGAGGACCGGGATAGGTTGGGGACTGCCGATGGGGAACCTCCCCGGTCCTGCGGACAGTCGGCAGCGCGGGGAGGCAGGCAGGAGTTGGGAGCGTGAACTAACTTGGCGCGGAGGGAGGTGCCGCACGCCGCAGCCGTTCAGGTTTCGCGTCTTGCGGGCGCCCACATGGGCCGCTGGCTTGCAGAAGGGGGCGGGGGAGAGGGAGGGCAGGTCCGGAGCCAAGCGGGTGGAGGAGGGGGGAGATCGAAGGAAATGAGACAACCTTTTCCTCCCACTGACTCGGGCTCCTGCAGCTTCTGCGGGGCTTGGCGCCGCCGTCCGTGAGCACCCAGGCCGGGACCCCACATCCCCAGGCCAGCCCTGACCCCGGCGGCCCCTCCGCCGGGATTCCTTTCCGAGGTACTGGTGCCGGCCCAAGACCCGGGCAGCGCTTTGTCGTGTCCGCCCCTCAGTGATCAGCTCCGGGTCCCCCTGCTCGGCCCCGCGCGCCCCAAGCGCAGTCCCCGGAAGTGCGCGCCGGGGCCCCAGCAAAGGTAAGAGGTGCCCGAGAGCGCTCCCTGAACTCTGGGGGCGCCCGGCATCCCCAGCGGGCTCCGGCTTCTCCGAAGCGCCCTCTTTTCGGAAACACCCAGAGCACTTCTGACCTGAAGCAGCTGCTTTGTTCCCAAGTCCCTGCCCAGGTGTTGTAGGCTGGGTCCCACAGGGAACTCTGCTTCCCAGCGCTTTCTTTTTTGCCTCCTCTTCCTCCCACTTTCCTGTTTCTTCTCTCGCCCCCCCTGCTTCTTTCTGGATAGAACAACTCTCAACTCCCTGCCTCTGCAGCCCAGCTTCGGAAAGCAGGTCGTTCCCAAATCTAGCGCTTCTCTCCTGTGCCTCTGGGAGCTGGGCTGAGCCTGACTGGCTTCTATCCCAAGCCTGCGCGGGGCGGACCTGCCAGAAATGTACGTGCTGCACCGTGGACTATTTACCTGGTTTGTTTCGGAGGCAGCCAACTCGCCGCGCGCATTTGGCGACCCCCAGGACCCCGAAAGCCGAGTGCATCAGGGAGTGAAAGGCTGTTGGCGCCCCCTAAAGTCCCAGTGGGACGCTTTGCTTTTGGAGAGGGGCGCGCAGACAGTCCACGCTGCTCTATCTGGGAGGTCTGCGTGGGGGTCCCCACCCCTACTATTGAGGGGTAAGGGGAGGTGTTGGCACGCAGTACGGAGCGCGTTGGGACATGGAGGAAATGAGGATGTCCTGGAAGGAGAGGAGTGCCAACCACATCGTGCTGGCTTGCCATGTTGTTCTTATTAACTGCCTGAGTTCTCATAACAAGCCTGTGTGTAGGGACTCTTACCCCTATTTTACAAACGGGCAAAATGAGATGGGGCCACACAGCTAGCTAGGAAAGGGCCCAGCCAGGATTTGGGTCCTAGCTGGTCTATACCACACATACACTTCAAGTCCAGCCCTACAGAAGATTCTTCTTTTTAGTCTGAGCAAGAACCGTCCCCCCAACTCCCCCGCCCCCCCCCCACCTCCTTTCTCATAGTACAAGGGACCAGGCTTTTTCCGTTTTGACCTAATATACCTTGATTATATTCAAACCCAAACTACTTATTATCTACTGTCCTCTGAGTTCAGCGGCAAGCACTGAGGTTTCACCTTTGAATCTTATTAATTCATCCCCTTCTTGTCATCCAGTCTGTCACGAAATGTGTAATACTGTTCAGAAGGCTGGCTTGAATCTCCTTTCCATAAAGGCAGTCAAGCGCAGTGGCTAAGAGCCCGGGCCCTGGAGTGAGACCACCAGCTTGAATCCTGGCTGGGGCCTTCCTGTACCTTTCTGTAGCTGGATTTCCTCATCTGTAAAGCAGGGATGCTAGGGCTTAAAGTAATGGTTTTCAACGGAATTTTGATTTTACTTCCCAAGTGACATCCAGCAATGTCTGGAGACATATTTGGCTGTCATCATGTAAGTAGAAGAGGATCTTATTCATCTGGTGGGTAGAGGCCAGGGATGCTGCCACATCCTGTATTGCACAAGACATCTCCCCCCTCCCCCACTCCGCTTCCAAGATTTAAGAATTATCTAGCCTAAAATGTTAATAGTGCTGAGGTTGAGAAGCCCAGGTTTAATGTTTCACTTCATGAAGAGTGCCATTATTTCCAGCTCTCATCCTTTTATCTGCTCTAGTTTGGCTGATTATACCAGTCTCTGTCCCAGTCTTTCCCTCCATTCCAGTGCCAGAATTCTGTTGCCAAATCCACAGCAGGTCATGCGGCTATATTGCCTTAGCACCCTTGTTGGTCCCCTATTGCTAGCAGAAGGGATGGGAATTGGGAATCTGCAGGTGTTTTACAAGCACTGAAGGTAATTCCTCTGCATGTTAAAGTTTGAAAATCACTGTCTTTACAGAATAAAATGTAACCCCCGACCTTGTACACATGGCTCTTCACAACTGGCCTCACCTTATGCCACTTCGTCAATGTTCCTGACATTCCCCCAACCCACTATTCTTTTGGTATTCTAGGTCCTGACTTTTTGGAATGCCCTTCTTCCTCCTTGGCTGGCAATCAATCTTTGAGACTAGAAGTTAAGTCTCCTTTTGGGTGAAGCATCATTCTTCAGTTCCTACAGACCATTTTGTTGCTCCCTGCCCTGCCCCAGGTTGGGGGAAAGCCTCAGCCTCAGCCTCAGCCTCCCCTCTCCCCTCCTTTTTTTTAAAAAATAAATATGTATCTCTTGCAGTATTTTGTTTATCTCTCCCCTGGTCTTACATACTTAGAATCTAGCTTAGTGCCGTCGATGCTCACAGTGATGGTTTCAGGCTTTGGCGTCAGGCTTCTTGCGTTCAAATCTCAGTTCTGCCGCTTATTAACTCTGTTAAAAGTTAATTACTTGACCTTGGTCAAGTTGAATCAGTCTCTCAAAGTCTTCTTGGTAAGAAGAAATAGCGTACCTTCTCTGCAGACTAGTATGACTAACTAATGGAATAATAATCATTCATCTTAATACTGAGTGCCTACCTAATTCCAGGACATGGTTCAAGTTTAGCATTTTATACATTTTTACTCATTTAAAACCTATAATGTCCTTTACAGTTACTACTGGTATTGCCCTTTTTTCCAGACAAAGAAACAGAGGCACAGAGAGGCTAAGCACTTTGCCCAGAGTCATGGAGCTAATGAGCGGTAGGGCCAAGATTCACGCACACATCTGGATTTCAAAACACATACTCTTTACACTATGCGGGTAAAGGGCTTAGCCCAGTGCTTGGCATATAATAAGTGCTCAGTTAATGTGAGATAAGGTTTGCTAAGTGCATTAATGAGAGCCTAAGTCCATTGGGTTTTCCACCTGCATCATGCTTGTGATTTAAGACTATGCCATTATTTTTACAACTCTTGCTCCTTTCCTTGCCTCCTGGCCCTGCCCCCAGCCACAGAGGGGCAGGACATTGGGGTTAGTTCCTAGCACCACTGATCTTGATGCTAAATTGAGCCTATGTACATAGTCAGGGCTAGAAGAGGATTAACTTTTTTGGGATGGGGGGATGGAGTCAACACACACCTGCCTGGAGGAGAGAGGTGCAGACTTGGGGTCGAAAACTCTGTGACTCCAGCTTTGTCTTTACTGTGCATGTGCCTTTTGCAGTGTGCACCTAGCATATAAATATTGGTGAAACCAATTGATGCATGAGGGATGGATGAATAAATGCCACCAGCTGAGTGTCCCACATTATACTTGATCAGATGCAAAGTACACCTTCTCTCCATGTATTGTAAGGCTCATTTATCTATTGAAGGTAAAACTGGCTAAGGGAATTTAATGACCCATATGGGGTGTTGGAGAAGCAGATTTGGAGCCACTCACTTACCCTCTGGGTAAGTTGTGTTTGACACTGGATACTTGGTTACAACTGATCACTAAACTAACTTGGAATCTTCTATTGCTTCTAATGCAGCCTTGGCTTTGAAAACCGAGCCCACTTGCTAGTCGCTGGGCCACTTGCTCTGTGGGCTAGACTGCCTTACACAAATACCTGCACATTTGTGTACTCTGGCTTCCTCCACAGCTGTCCTGCACAGCTGTAATCCCCCTGAGTTTGCTTGTTTTGGCAGGTTGTCTCCAAAACTTCAGTGGGGTGAGGTCACCTAACCTGGCATGTGTAAAGCCTTGTGGGTTTTTTAGGGGCCAGGGAAACATTCTAGTAAGTGCTGCTTTTGAGGGTGGAGTAGGGTGAGAACTCTCCTATCCATTGACATCCAAGACTCTTCAGATCCCCATGGTGAGGTCCTCAAACCCCTTGGCTGGTCCCTGGCCTGTTAGGAACAGGGTCATCGCCTGAGCTCCGCCTCCTGTCAGATCAGCGGCTGCATTAGATTCTCATAGGAGCATGAACCCTATTGCAAGCCGCATGGGTGAAGGATCTAGTTTGTGCACTCCTTATGAGAATCTAATGTTTGGTGATCTGAGGTGGAACAGTTTCATCCTGAAACCATCTCCCCCTATCCGTGGAAAAATTGTCTTCTAGGAAACTGGTCCCTGGAACCAAAAAGGTTGGGAACCGCTGCCCTATAGCACTGCCTTCCCTTTCCCACACCAGACTCGTACTGTCTCCTGGCATTATCCCCTCTCCTAGGTCACTAGCTGGCTGACCTGAGAGACAAATTCCTGTAGGATTTTAATGCCTTGAATAAAAGTTAGACCCAAGATCTTTGGGCATCACTTGTATTTATACTGAGGCTTTTATAGCTTGGCACAGAAGATAAACTAGCCCAGGGTAGAAAGGTTAGGGGGATGTCAGGATTGGTGCCAGGTCTTGAGGCCTCTGATGTCACACTTCGTTGGCTGCCACTTTGGGTAGCACCTCTTAAGTGACCTGCAGCAGACTTTCTAATGAAGCTGGCCCCTGCTTTGTGTCTCTAGTTCTAGGGAGATACACTTTGCCCCATTTACGTCTTGAGCTGTATTCTCTGTGAAATGCACTCTGTTGTTTGACTCTGTGTGAAACCCTGTTTAGTGCTGTAAAGGGCATTTGGATTCAGACTAGAGTGGTGGCAGAACCTTGAGGTATTAGTGTGGACTTGGAATACACGTGCAATACGTAGCTCTGTGCAGGTGCCAGAGACACAAAGATGAAGACCTGGTTTGTACCATTAAGATTGCAGTCCATGACATATGAGGGACGTGTGAATAGATCATCAGAATGTGTTAAATAGAATAAGAGATCTGAGCAGAGAACTGGGAGCTCAAAGGAACCAGCACCATCTCTGCTAGAAGAGTTAGGAAAGGCATCAGAGAGAAGAGGATGTTTGAGCTTGGCCTTAACGTGTAAGCGGGAGCTTGGCGGGTTTGAAGGGACTGGTGATTAAAGAGCATTACAGATAGGAAACAGCATGTGTAAGAGTCAAGAAAGGGCCTGGAAGACATGTAGGCATATGGTGGGGACTGGAGGGCAGAGATGGGCCTGGGGAGGTGACTTTGACATTTTACCAGTGCAGGAGTCTGTCTCTGTACTGTTTTGAGACAATGGAGTGGGCATTTAAAGCTCAGGTGTGCTGAGCTCTTTGAATAGGGGCTCTGCCTCTTATCTCTGCTGGCCTTGTTTCCTCCTGGGGCAGTGGAACCAGAGCCCACGGGTCAGGGAGAGACACTGTCTCTAGTAAGCAAAGAAATCACAATCAAAAACAAAGCTGAGCTGGGAGGTTGTGGGTAGTTGTTTTGTTTTCTTTTCAAAGTCCTAGCTGATGAGCTATGTGAGTGGCCCCTCCAGAGTCTAGGTTTTACCTTTAGAGCATCCAAAAGTCTGTATGAATTGCTAAGCAATTGCTAAATTTCTCCAGACTTAGAAAGGGATGGAGAAACAGAGGGAAAGAAGGGGAGATGGGGGAGAGAGAGAGAGAGAGAGAGAGAGAGAGAGAGAGATTGAGTTTTGATGCTAAAGTCTGTTTCACATAAAATCCAGCCTGTGATCCAGCAGGTCAACAGCTATTAGGATTCACACATTTCCTGGGAATTGCATTCCCATTTGCAGTCTTTCTTTGAGCCCAAAGCCATTTGCATGTGCTGATTGCACTGAGCTCCCCACAGAGGATGGGTGCATATGCTTATTGATTAGACAATTGATGTAGGTCCTTCTATAGGTCATCCCCAGGCTTTACTCATTTATTCACCACTTAGTGACCCCCTGGCACATAGGAGGCACTTAGTAAGTGATAGATGAGTGAATGAATGCTCTAGCATGGAAGTCCCATTCCTGGACCTCAAGATGCTCATGGTCTGAAGGAAGAGATAGAAAAGAAAACAGACAACACAGTGTGGTGGATTAGTGCCATGACAGAGAAGATATGAGTAGAGAAGAAGACTCAATCCAGCCAGGGATCAGGGACTGGAGACAGGGAGAAGAATCCTCTCTTCTGGGGACCATCCTTCCTCCAGGGAAGTGGTCCCAGGAGTGGTTCCTAGAGATCAATTATAACCTGGGGTGGGTGCCAGGCACTGTGTTAGGGGCTTTAGCTGACTTAATTGCATGGATCCTGACAAACACCCTCTGAGGTCTGTATTAGAGGAGGAATCAGGGTCACACCCACAACTAAAAGGCAGAGCCAGGATCAGGTCCAGGGCACCAAACTCTGAGCCCTTTATCCCGCTCCAGATAGTCTCCAGAGAGCTGTTATCATCAAAGATACTTTTAGAAAATCTGCTTTCGAAAAAGAAGGTGAAAGAGTGGGCCGCTGTGGTTGGGATAGGAATGGCCATTTCCTCCCCGCTTTTCCCCCTTTCCTTCTCCCCAGCCTGGCATCTGAGGCTGTGCCTGGGGGCAGTGAGATGCTCTTTGTTCTGGGGTTCAAAAACTCTCTTCCTCCTCTTGCCCCCTCTTTGATCACCAAGGCAGCCTGCACTTTGCCCTCCATGGTGAGAGGAGAGGGAAATGCTGCTTAGTAGAGAAGCAACCATAAACTTGCAAGGAAAAGAAGACTTTACAAAACACCTGCTGTAATTTAAGCCTCTCCCCTTTTGCCTTGCCCCCTCCTGCCCTTGTCATTCAGATGGGGCTGGTGGTAGCTGCAGGGAGCAGACTTCAGGGGATCTTGTTTCTGCAAGGGGACTTTGATCAAAAGGGCTGCCTAAAGCTGTCTTTCTCTGGGCACCTCCACAAACACACTCATCTTGTCAAGACAAGACAGGCCATAGCAGCCCATGGGAGGAGACGGGTAGGGCCTGTTACTGGAAGAAGCATTTCTTTCCTGAGTTCCCCCATCCTGAGTGCCACTTGGCCAAGCAACCTCTGACAGTGGCATCCTTCTTTGCTGCACTGAGATGTCGCTATGAACCTGAGAGTGGGCGGAATGAGCACTGGAGGAGAGTCAGCAATGCCATTTACTTGCTATGAGACCTCGGTCCTTTAATCTCCTAGTGGGTCAGTCACACAGGGCAGGAATGGTTGGCCTGGACATTCTCCAGTGTTAGACCCTGCTGCATGTCAAAAGCAGGGTGCACTGTAGGATCTTGTGGAACTTCAGAAGACAATGACTGGACATTTAGTCTGAAAAAGACACACATGAAAGTAAAAGTGTTCCTGTGGGTGTGCTAATGTGCTCACAGAGACAGCTTGGTGGCCTTGGTGTGTCTGCTCAGCTCAAGCTGCCAACACTTATTGACACCTTCATGTGCCAGGCACAGTTCCAGGCTCTGGAAACAGGGATGAACAAGATACTCTTTGTGCCCAAGGAGCTCAGCAATCCAGTGTGGAGACAGATGAGGAAATCAGAGATAGTAATGCAATGTTTTGCTGTCCATCTCTCATTACAGTAAGTTCTCTGAAATCAGGACATATGTCTTGTTGATTCCCAAATCACCAGAGCCTACTGTAAACTGGCCTATGGCAGATGCTCAATCAATGAATGTTGTACTACCCTAAAGTACCACACTAGAGGCAATCACAGGGTGCTATGTGCACCCACAGGAGGGACACCTAAACTCAGCTTGGAGAGCAGGTGAGTCCAAGACAACATGCATCAAAGAGGCTGAGATGGAGCATCCAGGCTGATGAGAGGAGAAGTGGAGCCTAGGCAGATGGGCCGGTGAGAAGTCCAGCATGTCCAGGTGAGCAAACCAGGGCTGCTTCAAGAAGGGAAGGCAGATAGGCATGGCTGGGGACAAAGGAAGTCAGCCTGTGAAGGGGCAAGGTAATCACATCTGGATTTGTTAGAGAATTGGAATTTTACTTTGAAGATAGTGGGGAGCTACTGCAGGATTTCACACAGAGGAGAGACTGGGTCAAAGTTTTGTTCTAATACTGTTCTGGCAATAGAGTAAATATTGGAGAAGAATAAGATAGGTGGCAAAAAGACCAGTTAGCATGTTATTGCAGTTTAGGGGATGAAAAAGCCTGAGATTTGGAGTCAGATACATCTCAGCCTCCTTCCCAGCCACACTCCCTGTAACTTGGGCTGTTTAGCAAATGTCTCTGAGCCTCTGTCTTATCTGAAAACAGTGGACTCTACTTCCTCCCTTATGGATGGTATGCATGGTAGACAGGGTTACATACAATGAAGTATGGGAAATGTCTACTACAGTGGTTTATTTGTAATTGGCAAGTCATACTAGTGGCCAGTATTATTTTTAATATTGTTGTGACTTACTATCATCTAGGTGAGAAATAATGAGATTCTAATAAGACACTGGTAATTAGGGTGGAGAATTGGGCAGACTCAAGAAAGCCTTTGGCAATAAAGTTGGCATGATTTGGTGACTGATTGAACAGGGGAGTAAGGGAGGGGCAGGAGTCTAGGATGATTCTGACATTTTGGCCTGGCATCCAGTGGGAAGGATAGTGGGGCTATTCATTAGGAGAGAGAAGGGACAGGGAGGAGGGAGCAGCATTTATAGGAAGGATGATGAACTCAGTTTCAGATATGTTGAGTTTGAAATATTAAGATAGTTAGGGAGAGATGGCTAGTGGGCAGATGTTTTCTAGGTTTGACATTCCCGAGAAAAGTCTTCAAGATTTACAAGAAAGCTAACTTTTTTTTTTTTAAGAGACAGAGTCTCACTTTGTGACCACGCTGGCATGCAGCAGCACAATCATAGCTCACTGCAGTCTTGAACTTGAACCCCTGGGCTCAGGTGATCCTCCTGATTCAGCCTCCTGAGTAGCTGGGACTACAGTTATATGCCACTATGTCCAGCTAATTTGTAAAACTTTTTGTAGAGCAGGGTCTCACTATGTTGACCAGGCTGGTTTTGAACTTCTGGCCTCAAGTGATCCTCCTGCCTCAGTCCCCCAAAGTGCCAGAATTACAGGCATGAGCTACGGTGCCCGGCCCACAAACAAACTTTAACCAAAGGTAGTGAAGTCATGGCATGGATCAGTTGGTTACGGAGGGTTATGGAGTATGGGAAGAGGAATTATAATAGCTAATGTTTATTGAGTGTGTACTGTATGTTCTAAACACTTTACGTGTATTAATCCTCTCAACAACCATTGTTAGGAAGGACTACTATTGTTTTACCTATTTTACAGCTGAGTAAACCTAGGCACAGAGATGGTAAGTAATTTGCCCAAGGTCACACAGCTATAAGTCATGGACCTAGGATTTTAAGTCAGCTATCAGGATGCCAGGCATGTGCCAGATTGCTTCCGAGAGTGGCAGTACTAGGGCACAACACTGACCTCAGGGAAGGAAGGAGAGAACCCAGTGAAGTCAACAGGGAAGGGGATGTGCAGAAAGGCAGGAGGAAATGGGAGACTGGGATGCGGAAGAGGAGAGTTTCCAGGAGAGGGGGATCAACAGCTTCAAATGATATGGAAGAATGAGAGATCTGAAATGTTCACGGATTTGGAAATTCCAAAGCTATTGACGACTTGGTGAGAGGAGTCTAACAGATGAGGGGAGTCTAACAGATGAGGGGAGCTAATGAACAAATGTGAGGTGAGGAAGTGGACATACCAAACTTTAGCAATTGTTTTTAGAGGCTTGTCTATGAAAGTAACATGCAAGAAAAGACAGCAGCTAGAGGTATTAGGTAGAGACAGTGTTTTAAAGATGGAAAAGACCAGCACGTTTTTTTTGGTTTTTTTTGTTTTGTTTTGTTTTGTTTTTGAGCAGAGTCTTGCTCTGTCGCCCAGGCTGGAATGTGTGGTGCGATCTTGGCTCACTGCAACCTCTGCCTCCTGGGTTCAAGTGACTCTCCTGCCTCAGCATCCCAAGTAGCTGGGATTACAGACACACACTACTATGCCTGGCTAATTTTTTGTATTTTTAGTAAAGACAGCATTTCACCATGCTGGCCAGGCTGGTCTCGAACTCCTGACTTCGTGATCTGCCCTCCTTGGCCTCCCAAAGTGCTGGGATTACAGGCGTGAGCCACCGTGCCTGCCCGACCAGCACATATTATAGAGTGGTCACAAATGGACTATGCACGCTGGGAGAGGTGTCTCCATGTTTGCTTCTCTTTTCCACACAGATTTCTAATATTTCTCTTCATATTCTGGATGGCTTCCATGTTGATAGTTGGATATCATTAAAGAAATTCTGGACAGGTGTTTCAGGTCTTCAGCTTTTATTAGATGGAGCAGAGAAAATGTCTTTCACAATGCCCAGTGGTGACTTATCACTTGTTGTTAAGTCCAGACCATGTCAAATTCAGGTGCGTTCAGTATATCACCCACTCAATTTGCCTTCAAAGTATTCCTCAATAGAGCATGATGTACTGAAGCTCCACTTCAGGCATGGGGAATTGGCATCTGCTGTGTAGATACTTGGAGGTAAGGATGGCAACAGCACCAAGGTTTCAGGAGGAAGGAAGAGGACCTAGACCATAGTGGGGTTATGGGGAGGAGACACCAGCTTTGGACTGGAGAAGAGACACCTGCTTCTCTGAGCAAAGGGAAAGGTAGTTGGGGATGAAGGCAAATATATGAGAGGAGACAGAGAGTTGTTTAGACCTTGTAGGAAATGAAAGGTCCATTATAAGATTTGCTGGAGTGACAACCCTCTGCTTGGAATGACCCTAGAGGATTTGACCACTGCCATTTAAAGTTCTTAATAATGGAAAAATAGGGGCATTTCCTGTGAATTCTTTGTTACCAGGTTTAGAGACTGCATCCCAGAGCCTCCCAGAAGCCATCCCAGAAGATGTTTTTATCTAGGGGCAAAGACAATCTCTGTTTTCATACTTAAGATTCTTTTGTTCAGACCAGAGGCAGATACCATAGAGGGTTAAAAGCTTGACTTAAACAAGAAATTCAGCTTTGCCTTGGTTCATGTTCATGATGCTGACATCCCTGAGGCTCAGGGCTGGAATTAGAATTTGGCTGCCAACTTCAAATATTTGCTTTGGTTGAAATGGCATCTTTGCTCTTCTTGGAAACATCTCAGTGAAATGCACACACCTTCACAGAGGGCCTTTATGGAAAGGGCTCTCCCAAAGGGCACCATCCTGAATCCAAAAGGCCACACGGGAAATGGCCTTGGGGTATTTTTCTTTCCCCACACAAAGCAGCAGCTCAGCTGAATTATTTGTTTGATCTTGAGCCTTCAGGTATCAGGAAAAGTAAACAGTACATCATTCAAGAGTCACATTTCCAGCTTGAAGGTTCCCTGGAGGACAGCTTGAAGGTACTGGAGGACACTGTAGGAGGCAAGGAAGGATCATCCCTGCCGGACCCCTCCCCACTCTCCTCCCAGCCAGGTCTCTCACCTGGATGTGGGCATGTGCAGAGTCCCTTTGGCTGGGTGTGGGTGTGATGGACAGACAGGGCACTCTCCTTAGGGACTCTTTCTTCCATCAGAGGGAAGAAGCTGCAGGTGTTTTGCCCCACTTTTCCTCAGTAGACAAAGAGTGGTGGAAGTGCTTCCCCAGGAAGGTGTGGCTGGGATGCTGTGTGGCTCCGCACAAATGTGGTTCGGTGAAGTTACATAATCCCATACTTGGCTTTATTCCTATTCCACAGGGTCTGAATTTTCTGTCATGAAAAAGTCCTATGTACATGTTCCACACTGATTCCCACAAATGAGTGCACAGGGCTGTATACATGTGTCAGATATCCACATCTAAGCTATCACTGGTGCTTCTGCCCATCCAACCTTCTGGATTGTGGCAGGGTGCAAAAGGGTTTGGGAGGCAGTACACTGTGTGCCCATAAAGCAACAGCTGTGATACCTTAGATTCTCTTTCATTTGTATTTGATTTATTAGTAAAAAAAAAAAAAATATATATATATATATATATATATATTTTTCATTTAGCCAGTCATCAGTTCATTTAATAATTTGAACAACTATGTGGCTGGCTCAAGGCTAGATGATGGTAAAGTGATGGTGATTCTGACAGTCTTAGTTCCTGCCTTCTGGGGGCTCACAGTTATTACGGGATGGGCATTCAAGAAGTAAATACACAGATAAAATACATGATGATTATAAACTGGTAACTGCTATCCTGGACAAGAACAGGGTGCTCTAGGAGGGAATGAGAGAGGTTTAGGTTGGGGGTGTCCAGTAAAGGAGAAAGATCTGTAGGCGCATATTCATTCTTTACAACATGCTGTCTATTGAAGGGATGTCACAGGGTGCTAAGGGAACTCTAAGGAAGGAGTGCCTGACCCTTGAATAGGGCTGAAAAGCTTCGGAGGGAAGGGACATTTAAACATAATCTTAAAGAATATGTGAAATTTTTTCATGTGGAAAGGGAGTAGAGATGTTACAGGTGGAGGCAACACGTGGTGTTTGGGGGGACTCTTAATCAGCAAGAGTGGGACATAGGGGAGTGGCAAGAAATGAGCAAGGAGGCCAGGCAGGGTGGCTCACACCTATAATCTCAGCACTGTGGGAGGTCAAGGCAGGCAGATTGCTTGAGCCCAGGAGTTCAGCACCAGCCAGGCCAACATGGCAAAACCTCATCTCTACCAAAAATACAAAAATATTAGCCAGGCATGGTGATGTGAGCCTGTAATTCTAGCTGTTTGGGAGGCTGAAGTGGGAGAATCCCTTGAGCACAGGAAGTGGAGCTGGCAGTGAGCCAAGATCACGCTTCTGCATTATAGCCTGAGTGACAGAATGAGACCCTGTCTCAAAAATAAATAAATAAAAGAGAAATGAGCTAGGAAAGACAGGCAAGGGCCAACTACTCAATGTAGGTTTTTTATGAGAGGCAAGTCACTGAAGGGAATGGCAACTTACCCAGGGCCTGGCAGACTTTTTCTGTAAAGGATCAGATAGTAAGTATTCTAAGCTTTGTGGACCTACAGTCTGTCATAGCTATTCAGCTCTGCCACTATGGTGCAAAAGGAGCCACAGACAATATGCAAATGAGTGAGTGAGTGTGGCTATGTGATAGTAAAACTTTATAAACAAAAACAGGCAGTGGGCTGGATTTACCCATGAGCAGTAGTTTACCAGCCCCTGCTCTAGAGTGATAATGCTGGTGGGTGACTCTGTGAATGCTGAATTGGAGGATGGGGAGAGAATGGAGGTAGGGAGCCAGTTAGGAGCTATTGCTTTAATTCAGGGAACTTAAGGAAGGGACGATGGGGAGAAATGGTTTGTGGTGTGCTCCAAAGTGAAAATGACAGGACTGCAGACCAATTTGATGAGAACATGTCTAGTTGTTTCTTTAATGCTCAGTGGACTGATTCTTCCAGAGAAGGAAAAAAAAGTCTTGGGTATTCTGGGTGTGTGACTCAGAATCATGCGCACATCTGGGAGGTCACCTGCTGGTCACTAGACATCGTGCTTGGTGCATTACATAGATTATCTCCTTGTTAAGCATAATTCTTAAGAATTCTTTAGAATGTTAAGTTGTATTTCCTATTTCAAACTGAAGTTTGAAAATTGCAAGTCATTTGCCTAAAGCTGTATCGCTGGTAAATGGAGCTAAGATTTAACCCAGGTCTGGTGTCAAAGCCTGTACCATTCCTGAGATGCAGAATCTTTTCTCCTCACCCGGTGGGTGGCATGAAGCTCCATCCATGAACCTGTGCAGCTCCATTCTTTCCCCTCTGTTCCTTCTAAGACCCATCCAGCAAGGAGGACAAGGGAATGCACGTAGGGAGGACAAATACCAAAGTCGGCTGCAAGTGTTAATCTGTTTTAACTGCCAGCCTGTGTGCATTTCCTAGGGTTCCTATAATAAAATATCACAAATTGGGTGGCTTAGAATAATAGAAAAGTATCGGCTCATGGTTCTGGAGGCCAGAAGGCCAAAATCAGGATGTCAGCAGGGCCATGCCCTCTCTGAAGGCTCTAGGGAAAGATCTGTCCCAGGGTTCTCCAATGGCTTCTGGTAGCCTTAGGTGTTTTTTTTTTTTTTTTTTTTGGCCTATTGATGGCTGTCTTCTGTGTCTTTTCACATCATCTTCGCTGTGTGTGTGTCTGTGTCCAAATTTCCTTTTTATAAGAACACCAGTTATATTGGGTTGAGGCCCGCCCTAATGCCTTTGTCTTAATTTGATTAAATCTGTAAAGACCCTATTTCCAAATAAGGACATATTTTGAGGTGTTGGAAGTTAGGAGTTCCCCATATTTTTAGGGGAAAAGACACAATTCAACCCCTAACATGACCCTTTCCCAAGAAGAATTCAGGAGCTTCCTCTGACCAAGATCCCTGAGTGGATCTCAATTCAGTTCCTTCTCCAAGGTGTCTTCATCTGTGGTCAGTTTTTCCATCCACGTCGTATATACACTGCTTGGGACATGAAGATTTTGTCTATATTTACATATGCTTTTATTACTACAGTTCAGATGGATTTCTGTTCAAACTCCTTAGCCTTTGCATTTGACAGTGTTCTCTCATCTTCATTCACTGCATTTTCCCCCCAGCCTCTTCTTTCCCTACTTGGCACTTTGCTCATTCATTCATTAGTTCATATAACAATAAGTGCTAAGTTCCTGTTGCATTCTGGGGACTATGCTAAGCTCCAAGGATATAAAGGTGAAAAGATGAAAAAAATAGTTCCTGCTCTTGGCGATGTTTATGGGAGGCCACACAAGCAAATAGAGTGGAGAAATTGAATAGGGAAGTGTGAGTGCAGCTTCCCAGCTTAGCATCCTCAGTGGCTCCCTACTGTTGCTAGGAGAGAGTCTGAGCTCCCTTGCAGAACACACCAGGCCTCCCATGACCTGGCCCCAGCCCCCTCAACAGTTTCCTCTCTCACTTTCCCTTCCTTTCACTTTGTGCCTCACTCATTTTCATCCACTTGCTCTTCCCCAGCTATACAATTCTCTCTCTCAAATCGTGTCTTTCTCCAGGAATGCTCTTTGAGTTGAGAGGTGCTCATCCTCCCCCATTCTCAGCTATTATCTGCTTGATTAACTCCTACTTCTTTGAGACTGACCTCTGGGGGTACCTCTTCCAGGAAGCTATGACCCCTTCCTCTGCCATCCTTATAGCTCCTTGGGCTTCCCCTTGGTAACAACCTCTCCTCCCCCTAGGAGACACTGACTGAGGCTTATTTATCTTTGTAACTGCAGTGCCCAATCAAATGCCTGTATTAATAGGAGCTTCATTAATTAATGAGTGAATGAATGATTTCTGTGTCCTGTGCTTTGCTTCTGCCCTCCAGGCTGCACTTTCCCTTTAGCCTCCTTCCCCGGAATCACATGTCTGGTCACCACTTTTTCTCTACCACAAGTCCAGAAATCTCACTGCTTAAGGCCTCCTTTCTGTTGTGCTGACACCTCAGTTACGCTGGCCCTAATGATCAGTGGCTACACTTGGCTACCCAAAGACCATCATCTCTTTGGTCTGCCCTGCTTCCCACAGAGAAGCCTTCTTATTTGCCTATGGGAAGATGGTTCTCATCGGGAAAGCAAAACTTCCTCTATGGCCTTCTCTGTTTCTCCAGTCCCAAAGTTTCCCCTCTCCCAATTCCAGGAGCAAGGGACACACTATTTCTGCTTCATTGATTAATTCAAAAAGCATTTTTTTTATTCTCAAGCTTGTATCTGGAGTTGTGGTTGAATTACTCTCACCCTTTTCTACTTCTGCCTTTCTAACCAAAAAGATCTGTTTCTTACATCTTTTCCTGCTTCATATTTTGGGTTTTTCCTATATATTAAATGTTACAGTGATTTTTGGAAACTTTTCAGCATTAAAACTCTTCAATGAAATCTTATGTGGAATATTAATGACTATAACAGAGCAAACCAACATTTTGTTATATATATTAGCTTGATAAATTTAGTTTTTAACATACAGTTAATGAAAACAATGAGAATGTTATGAAAATTTGAAATTGAGGGTTTGGGATGAACACTGTAG
This sequence comes from Homo sapiens, assembly GCF_000001405.40. NCBI lineage: Eukaryota > Metazoa > Chordata > Mammalia > Primates > Hominidae > Homo > Homo sapiens. Next base: position 75,544,963 of record NC_000002.12, on the reverse strand, counting down.
CCTCATGACATTCTCACTATCAAGTGTACCCCTGTATTTTATATTGACTGTACAACATGCAACAGCTAGATATTGGAAATTATAGCACTTTTAAACAAGATACCTTACAGATTCAGGCTATTCTGATTTCAATGATCTAGAAACATGAAAGATAAATATAGGAAGAATTGGTTTTAATGTTGACTCACTAACACTATGTAACAATTGTTTAATTATAAGAGGTCTAATGGAAAGGAACAGATTCTTTCACTTAGATTCACCAATTTATATCTTTGGCAGAAAATTCTTCCCAAAATTATGTTGTATCATCATGAGAGGTTAATTATGTTGTTAATTTTTTTTTCAGAAACTCCAGTGTTTGTTTCTCTGTAGTAATCACTTAAAGCCTTTAACACAGCAAAACATGTTTAATCTGGCATTTTGAGCTCAAACTTCAGTTGTCAGTTTCATCATGGACGCTATCGGCCACAAGAGAAGCAGTAATAGAATGGCCCTGCATTACTGTTGGTCTTGATCAGTCTAACATCAAAATAAGCATGCTACTAGTAATGCTAATAATACTAATAATAATGCTACTGGTAATACTTACCATGGTACAGCATGTTATGTGGTCACATATTACCGTATAGTTTAGTATTACGTCTTTATAAGAGCATACATTCCAGGGAAGTCCCTGAGCCCTTCCTGGCCTTTAATTGAGCATGGCGCTAGGGGGCCAGGGTGATGGTAGTGTACTTGCTCATACAGTTTTACAGCATAAGAATACTTGCATGGATCCGAACAGTTGAAAGATCTTTTTGGAACTACAGCTTTCCCAATTAATGACACATCTACATGTGTTCAAACATATTCATGGTTTTGGCAGGAGAACCTTTATTCTGAAGCGGGCATGAGTATATTATAACCTGTGGCTCATGTAAACCACTGGGGTCTATGATTGTTCACATTTGGTATCACACACTTGTCTGTGTTTACCATTTTAAAAATATTTTTAAATGTAATTTGAATCAAACATTTCTAGAACCCTTGAAATGAATAAGTTGACCTCCATTGTGTTAGAATAAGGTGTAAGAAAATTGTGGTCTCAGGTGGGATCTTTAGCAGGGCTGGCTTGGGAGGACCTCCCTGTTTTGATCAGGTAAACATCTGCCCAGGTCAGGGCTTTCACCTCCGGGGAGCTCAGCAGTTTGTCTGTGCTGAATTCAATTGAATTGACACGGGGCAGGTCCTATGTGGTTGTAGGACTAGTTCCCCCTGGTGAGGAATGATTAGGAAGGTCTCAGGTAGAAGCCGCCCACCTCCCCAAGAAGCCACACAGGTCCCACCCAGGGAGGCTGGCACAATCCCCACCCAGAACTTCTCTCCCCCCAGCTCCTTGCGGGGTGGGGTGGGGGTGCTGCTCTGGGCTTCTAGACTTCCAGGTCAAGGTTTTTTTTGTTTTTTTTTCACCCACTCACCTCCTGCTGACTTCCTCTGGGTCCCTGTGCTTGTTCTCTGGTTTTAATAATTGTAATGACCTTAGGAGTCACTTTTGGGACTGGGAAGCCAACACAGAAACAAATCAGATGACCAGGAATACTCCTTGTTCCCATTCGTGTGTTCCTTGGTCAGGCGTTACTTCTGCGAGTTCTACATATTTGTAGATGTCTCCGGTGTACTGGGTTTGGGAAGCCCCACTGATTAGGAATAGAATGTGGGCAAGTGATTGCCTTTTTAAAATGTCCTGAATTAAGGATCCACAAGTCTGTCAGCATGGTCTTCCCTATTTGCAATTCTAGAGAAAAAAAAAGCCATACAGGATTCGGTCAGAATTATTCAAGCGCATGTATCGTGGCTGACCAACAGGGCTGAAATTCTTTTTATGCCCAGTGTGGTATGGATGTTGTGACTGACTTCCATTCTATACAGCCATTTCCTGCCAGTCTCCATGATTTTTTATTTTCCAGTGGATACTTGCAGGCTAATGTTCCCTGTGGTTCCAGGGATGGGCACTTTCCCTTCACATTTGATATTTTTTCTCAGGATTGCCTCATCTAGCTTCATACGTCTGCAGATGACTCCCAAGCACTTTTAACTATTACCCTGGAGTCACAATATGATTCCAACCTACCTTTCCAAAATTATTCCCCCAAACTTTGTTACATTTCCTACAAACCAGCCAAACTCCAAGTTCTTGGGTCTCCCTACATCTTCTCCATGAAGGGTGAATCTGTAAGGGCCTTATTTTCAAAGACCTTATCACCCAATGGAAACATATGAAATGCACATACTTTTACTCAGTGCGAAAGAGTGGCACACAGGGTTGCAGGAGTCCAAAAGAGGGAGTGATTATGCACGCAGGAGAGGATCAGAGAATGTTCTTGCAGGAGGTGATGTGACATGAACTTTGAAGGATGGGTAAGACTCGGAAATGCAGTGATGCAGGAAAACACATGCCAAACAGAGCAAAACCCAGAAGTAGAACCAAGTGGGAAATGAACGGAGAAGACAGTGGTTCTGTTTGCCTGATGTTGGGCTGTGATGGAAAGGTAGGTTGGGAAGAACTCATGAAGCGCTTTGATTTACAGGCTCACATTTGAATTTCACTCTAGGCAGTGTGGATCCTTTGGCAATTTTGGAACAGATGAGTGGCATTGTTAGAACACTGTTTCCAAATGCTCAGCCTGGCACCATGTATTAGTCCGTTTTCACACTGTTGATAAAGACATACTAGAGACTGGGCAATTTACGAAAGAAAGAGTTTCATTGGACTTACAGTTCCACGTGGCTGGGGAGGCCTCACAATCATGGCAGAAGGCAAGGAGGAGCAAGTCACATCTTACGTGGATGGCAGCAGGCAAAGAGAGGGCTTGTGCAGAGAAACTCCCATTTTTAAAACCATCAGATCTCGTGAGACCCATTCACTATCACGAGAACAGCATGGGAAAGACCCACCCTCATGATTCAATCATCTCCCACCAGGTCCCTCCCATAACACATGGGGATTATGGGAACTACAAGATGAGCTTTGGTTGGGGACACAGAGCCAAATCATATCACACCACTATATGAGATTGGGGTGCATGGGGGAAGAAAGGAGAGAAATTTCTGAATTAGAGGAGTGACAGTGGGATGGAGGGTTAGAAAGGATAGGAGGTAGGATTTTTCCGGACAACGGAGAGGAAGGATCCGGGGTGATCCTCAGGTTTGAGCCTGTGTGACTGGAATCCTCAGGATACTATGAACACTGTAGAGAAAAGAGGAGGCAGGTAAGCTGGGGGAATGAACTTAGAACATGTTGAGCTGGAGGGATCTCTGGGAAGTGCAAGTGGAGACTCCTCCCCCAATAACCTCAGTGTTCTGGACTCCAGGTCAGCACAGTCTAGCTTCCTCCTCCACTCCTCCTAGTTAGGACCAGCCCACCTTGATGCCCAGACTTATCTGACTTGAGGCAGTAAATAACTCAGCAGGTCTCCCTGACCCCATGAGGGCATAGAGATTAGGGCATCAATTCTGATGGACTGATCTTGAGAACCTTCCTGCCTATGTCCATCTCCTGTGTCTTACCTCACAGGACTAGCTTTTGATTGTCTCTGAAAATTAGTGGTCCCTTTCTGAGGTTCCGACTCGTATAGTCCCTCTTGGGACAGAAACCTCTGCCTCCAGGCTGGTGCTAGGGCCCTAATACTTATGGACAGAATCTAGAGTCTGAAAACTGGTTTTTAAAGATAACTTCTGAGTTTTCTATCTGTTGCATCAGCCAAGGGGACATCTTGTGGTTGCCGATTGTTGACAGTTTTAAAGCTCTGCAGGTTGGCTCAGCTCTATTGTATGCAAGGCCCAGTCCATCCCCATGCCTGTGTTGTCCTCAGGGAGGGGCCCTGGCCCTCTCTGCACTTCCAGATCCTACTTCACATTCAATATCACACCATGCGAGTGACTCCCAGGAAGTATGAGATGTCCAGCAGGTATACAACACACTCTGCATCTTGTACTCACTCGGGACCTTTGATGAAAGCATCTTGCATGCTGCGTCCCAGGTTTTTGACAATCCTGTGGATTCTCACCCTTCTGTCCCTACCTTGGTTGTAGGGAACCATGAATAGACACCTGCCTTTATGTTATACTGGAGGTCTCTGGACTGCTGGTGTTGGTGTCTTCTGTTTTTATTGCTAGCTGCATCTTGATTCGTACAGTGCCATCATCCGATTCCATGGGAGCTTCCTTTGTGTTTGTAGTTTGGGGACTGCAGAAATAAACCAAAGTTGGAGAGAGTCTTGGAGCATCTACAGCCTCCATGACTGACTTAGTTAAACATCTTCAATCACTTTCTTCTCATTCTGAAGACTTCACATAATTAAAACCATGCCCAGCCAAACGCAAAATAAATTTTGCACATGCTGCTTGAATTACTGTGCAAGCTTACCCCAGTGTGGCTTTTTCCGAGATTAATATTTCAGGAAAACTATTCCTCTGGGTAGGCTGAAGCCAGCAGCTGTGGAAACTCAACATTTGCTTTATACAATGAAACTTTAGGACAGGGCTGCTTTTCACATTTCTCAGATGTGCTTCTCATTTGGAAAAAATAAGTACTCTTGGCAAAGTCTACATGGAATGAGCCCCAGCTTGTGCTTCCGTCTATTCAGATAGGAAATGATGAGAAAATGTGGCTCTAAATGTCATCATGCAACATTGGCACTGAAAAATAATAATTGCCATTTCTTGAGCACCTATTACTCTGTGCCAGGTATCTTACAAGCCCTGCATCCTCACAAACACCCTGTGAGTGTGCCACACCTAGGTGTGTCTATCTTCTGATTCCTGCTTTGCCCTTGATAGCAGGGGCTGACCTGGAAGGCTGCCTTCCCCAGGCTCCATACCTATGGTTTCCTTCTAGAGGAAGGTTGCTGCACCTGTGGAAGGTTGCAAGGTAGTGAAAAGAGGAAACCAGAGTATTTCTTCCCTCTCTCCCTTCTTAAATCATCCCTGCCAGCAATGTCTGCATCTCCTCCATGGCTCCAGCTCCCACTATTTGTGTCCTCCATGGTTCCTGGTTCTTCCTGGTGACTCTGGCTCCTGGGCTTTGGCAACATTGCCTCCTACCTTTATGCCTTCAATTACCCACTGCCTACTATTGCTAATATCTGATTACTTCATGACCCCATCCCAAGACCTTACTCCAACTAATTTTATCTTTTTAAAGTCATACAAACTTAATTTTTTTATTTTTCATTTTTAAAAATTTTTTAATTTTTTAGTTTTCCCATTTTGCCTGATCCTTAGTAAGTATGCAAGGTTATATGAACTTAAGAAGATCTTTGTACTCTTGACTTCATTATCTATTGCAATAATCTTCAAATCTCAGCTTTTCTATCAGCTGTAACCTATATTTCTATCTTCACCACTGCCACCAATTCCCTGCGTTAAATTCCTTCTGCTGCAAATACTGAAGCAGTGTCTATTTCTTTACTTAGATGCTGATTGATGGATTGAGGTGGGAATCATTAGCCTCGTTTTAAAGATGAGGAAATGGGAAGTCAGGGAGGTTAACTAACTTGTCTAGTCTTAAAGATAGGGCATGGTGGAGCTTGGGTTTAAACCTATGCTTGGTTAATCCTGAAGCTTGTGCACTTTCTTGTATATCAGCCCATGTTCTGTTTACTGGCATCATACCAAGTTTAATTTCTTGTGTATAATCACTTCATATTCTGGAAAAAGAAAACTCTCATAGTTTTCTTCAGGATTTCCCAAGATAAAACATTTTCTATCCCTTCAGCTGTTCCTCATGAGAAAGAGGATATTTCCCCTAATATCCTGGTTGAACTTTTAGATCAATATTTCTCAAGATTTAATGTGCAGATTATGGTTCAGGAAGACTCTAAAGATTATGCATTAAAATGTATTTTTAATTAGACTTTTTTTGGAGATAATTTTAAATGTATATGCAGTTGCAAGAAATAATGCAGAGCTCCCATATTCCATTTAGCTAGTTTCCCCAGTGATGACATCGTGCAAAACTGTGCTACAATATCACAACCGGGATGTTGACATTGATACAGTCAAGATACAGAACATTTGCATCATCACAAGGATTTCTCATGTTGCCGTTTTTTAGCTACAATAACTTTCTTTCTCACCCCAATCCTTCCTTAACCTCTGAAAACTACTAATTTATTCCCTATTTCTATAATTTTGTCATTTCAAGAATGTTGTATAAATGAAATCATACAATATGCAGCCTTTTGGGATTGCGTTTTTAAATTCAGAATAATCCTCTGGAATTCATCCAGGTTGCCTTGTGTATCAACAGTTTGTTCTTTTTTTGTTGCTGAGTAGTATTACATGGTATAGATGTACTACAGTTGGTTTAAACATTTACTCTTCGAAGGATGTATGAATTATTTCCAGTTTTGGGCTATTGCAAATACAGCTGCTATAAATATTCATGTACCCAGTCCCAAAAAGTTGCATATTGTGCTCTCATTTATACAACATGCTGTCATTGACCAAAACTTCATTAATGTGGTGCAGGACTGTATTTCATTCTTTAGGCAGCAGTAAATGGTGTTGTATTTTTTAACTTTAGTGTTCACTCTTAGTATATGGAAATACAGTTGATTTTTGTAAGTTTATGTTGCCTGCAACCGTGCTGAACTCACTAGTTTTATTTTATTTTATTTTTTGTTGGTGGGAATGGAGTCTCGCTCTGTCACCCAGGCTGGAGTGCAGTGGTGCAATCTCAGCTCCCAGTGGTGCAACCTCCACCTCCCGGATTCAAGCAATTCTCCTGTCTCAGCCTCCCGAGAAACTGGGACTACAGGCACATGCCACCATGCCCAGCTAACTTTCATATTTTTAGTAGAGACAGGGTTTCACCATATTGGTCAGGCTGGTCTTGAACTCCTGACCTTAGGTGATCCACCTGCCTCAGTCTCCCGAAGTGCTGGGATTACAGGTGTGAGCCACCACACCTGGCTAAACTCACTAGTTTTAAGAGGTGTATTAGTCTGGTTTGCAGAAGGAACATCTGAGGCTGGGTAATATAAAGAAAAGATGTTTATTTGGCTCATCATTCTGCAGACTGTACAAGCATAGCATCAGCATCTGCTTGGCTTCTGGTGAGGCCTCAGGAAGCTTTTACTCATAGCGGAAGACTAAGGGACAGCAGGCATGTTGTATGGTAAGAAGGAGCAAGAGAGATGCTAGGCTCTTTTAAACAGTCAGCTCTCGCATAAAGTAATAGAATGAGAACCCACTCATTACCACAAGGGCAACACCAAGCCATTCATGAGGGATCCATCTCCATGACCCAAACACCTCCCACCAGGTCCCACCTGCAACATTGGAGAACACATTTTAACATGAGATTTGGAAGGACAATGTCCATGGCATACCTGGAGGTTTTTTGGGTAAATTCCTTGGGATCTCTATTGACAGCCATATCACCTGCAAATAGGGACAGTTTTATTTCTTCCTTTCTCATCTGTGTGTCTTTTAGTACCTTTTCTTGCCTCAAGGTAATGGTTAGAACTTACAGTGTTGTGTTGATTTAAGAGTGGGGAGGGTGGGCATCTTTACCTAGTTTCTGATCTTAAAGAGTAAACATTGAGTATTTCATGATGAAGTATAATGTTAGCTATAGGTCTTTTGCAGACGCTCTTTATCAAGTTGAGGCAATTCCCCTCTATTCATATTTTTCTGAGAATTTTTAAAAATCATGAATGGGTGTTGAATTTTTGAAAAAATTTTTCTGCTCAATTAACATGACTTTTTTTCTTTAGCCTATTACTAATGGCAGTTTATATCAATTGATTTTTGAATAAGCCTTGCATTCTTGAAATAAGCCCCATGTAGTCATGTCATAAAAAGTCATTACGAAAAAAAATCCTTTTTATACGTTCCTGAATTCTACTTGCTAATATTGTGCTAAGGATTGTTTTTATTTTATCTATGTTCCTGATGGCTTTGAGTTTTCTTTTTTTGCACTATCTTTGTCTGGGGTTGGTATCCGTGTAATGCTAGCTTCATGAAATGAATTGGGAAGTATCCCCTCTTCTCTGATTTTCTGGAAGAGATGGTGTAGAAGTGGTGCTAATTCTTCTTTAAACATTTGATAGAATTTTCTAGTGAAACCATCTAGGCCTGAAGTTGTTTTTTTTTGGAGCGGGGGGGTTAAAATTACGAATTCAATTCTTTAATAGCTATAGGGCTATTCAAATTATCTCTGTCATATTGGATGAGTTGTGGTACTTTGTGTTTTTCAAGGAACTGGTTCATTTTGTCTGAATTGTCAAACTTATGTGTGTAGGAGTTGTTCCTAGTATTTCCTTACTATTTTTTGTCATCTGCAGGGTCTGTTAGTGATATCTACTGTTTTGTTTCTGATATTGGTAATTTGTAACTTCTTTCTTTTTTGGTCAGTCTTGCTATAGGTTTGCCAATTTTATAGATTTTTTTTCAAAGACCCTCTGGTAATTTTCTTTGCTCTAAAGTCTACTTTATAGACTTAATAGATATCAATGTAGACTTGTTTTCTATTGGTTAATGGTTGCATAATATAAAAATTTTATCCTTTTTCTTTAAACCTGACAATATTGTTTTTGTGCTTTGTTTTATTTGGGGGGGAGGTGTTTTTGCTTTGTTTTGTTTTTAAGACAGGGTCTTGCTCTGTCACCAGGCTGGAGTGCAGTGGCGTGCTCTCAGCTCATTGCAACTTCTGCCACCTGGGCTCAAGCCATCCTCCCCCTTCAGCCTCCTGAGTAGCTGGGATTACAGATGTGCACCATGCCTGGCTAATTTTTGTATTTTTTGTAGAGACGGGGTTTTGCCATGTTGCCCAGGCTGGTCTCTAACTCCTGGGCTCAAGCAATCTGCCCGCCTTGGCTATAAAAAACCATGTACCAACTATACACTATAAGAAACTAACTTCATATATAACAATACTGGCAGTGGCTGGGTGCGGTGGCCCACGCCTGAGAAAATAATCAAAGAAAGGACTTTTATAGTTTCTTATAGTGTATAGTTGGGACATGGTTTTTTTTAAAAACATTTTATTTCAATAGCTTTAGAGGTACAAGTATTTTTTGGTTACATGGATGAATCGTACAGTGGTAAAGTCTAGGACTTTAGTGTACCCATCACCTGAATAGTGTGTGTTGTACCCAATGGGTAGGTTTTCATCTCTCACTCCCTCTACCCTTCCCCATTCTGAGTCTCCAATGTCTATTATATCACTGTATGCCTTTGTGTACCCATAGCTTAGCTCCTACTTGTAAGAGAACACATGGTATTTGGTTTTCCATTCTTGAGTTATTTCACTTAGGATAATGGCCTCCAGTTCTATCCAAGTTGCTGCAAAAGACATTATGTTATTCTTTTTATGGCATTCAACTGATGAATGAATTACATACACATCACATTTTCTTTATTCATTGGCTGAGGTTACTTAAGTTGATTCCATATCTTGCAATTGTGAATTGTGCTGCAGTAAACATATGTGTGCAAGTGTCTTTTTATATAATCATCTCTTTTCCTTTGGGTAGATACCCAGTAGTGGGATTGCTTCATCAAATGGTAGATCTACGTTTAGTTATTTGAGAAATCTCTATATGGTTTTCCATAGAGGTTGTTCTAATTTACCTTCCCATCAGCAGTGTATAAACAAGAGTTCCCTTTTTTTTTTTTTTTTTGCCATATCTATGCCATCTATTGCTTTTTGACTTTTTAATAATGGCCATTCCAGTAAGGATAAGTGATATCTCATTGTGAGTTTAATTTGCATTTCCCTGATGATAAGTGATGTTGAGCATTTTTTCATATATTTGTTGGCCATTTGTATATCCTCTTTTGAGAAATTTCTATTTATATCATTTGCCCACTTTTTAATGGGATTTTTTTTTCTTGCTGATTTGTTTGACTTCCTTGGAGATTCTGGACTGATCTTTGACAAGGCACACAAAAACATAAACTAGGGAAAGGATACCCTATTTAGTGGATGGTGCTGGGAAAATTGGATAGTCACATGTAGAAGAATTAAACTGGATCCCTATCTCTCACCATGTACAAAAATTAAGTCAAGATGGATTAAAGACTTAAATATAATATCTGAAACCATAAGAATTCTAGAAGAAAACCTAGGAAAACTATTTTAGACATTGACCGAGGCAAAGAATTTGTGACTAAGACCCCAAAAGCAACAGAAACAAAAGAAATAAATGGAATCCAATTAAACTAAAAGGCTTCTGCAGAAAAAAAGAAATATTAACAGAGTAACAAACAACCTACAGAATGAGAGAAAATATTTGCAAACTATGCATCCAACAAAGGGTCATTTTTAAAATCCACTTTGCCAATAGCTATCTTTAATTGGTGTATTTAGATTATTTACACTTAATGTCATTACTGAGATGTTAGGGCTGATGTTTGCCATTTTGTCTTTTGTCTTCTGCTTTTTGTTTGTTTGTTCCTCTGTTTTCTTTTTTTAGTTACTTGAACATTGTTTTAGAATTCCATTTTGATTTGTTCGTAGTGTTTTTAAGTGTATTTCTTCATATAGTTTTTCTAGTGGTTGCTCCAGGTGTTACTACATATATATATTTACCATCTGCTGGTGCCATTTCACCAGTTTGAGTGAAATATAAAAACCTTACCATGCTTTGCTTCCCTTTGCCCTACTCCAAAGTGGGTCTTAAATATTTCCTTTACATACATTAATTTTTCATTTTAACTTAATTTTATTTTATTTTTGAGACAAAGTCTCTCTCTGTTGCCCAAGCTGGAGTACCGTGGCACAATCATAGCTCACTGCAGGCTTGAATTCCTGGACTTAAGCAATCTTACTGTCTCAACATCCTGAGTAGCTGAAACTATAGGCATTTGCCACCATGCCCTGCTAAGTGCTTTTTTAAATTATTGGGAGGCTGAGGTGGGAGGATCACGAAGTCAGGAGATCGAGACCATCCTGGCTAACACAGTGAAACCCCGTCTCTACTAAAAATACAAAAAAATTAGCCGGGCGTGGTGGCGGGCGCCTGTAGTCCCAGCTACTCGGGAGGCTGAGGCAGGAGAATGGCGTGAACCTGGGAGGCGGAGCTTGCAGTGAGCCAAGATCGCGCCACTGCACTCCAGCCTGGGCAACAGAGCAAGACTCCGGTCTCAAAAATAAATAAATAAATAAATAATAAAATAAAATAAAATAATAATTATTATTTTTTAGAGATTGGGGTCTCACCATGTTGCCCAGGCTGGTCAAAACTCCTGGTCTCAAGTGACCCTCCTGCCTCCACCTCCCAAATCGCTGGGATTACAGGTGTGAGCAACTGCACCTGGCTTCCTTTATATACATTCAGAACCACATCAGAAAGTGTTAACATTTTTGCTTCAACTGTTAAATACGAAAACTCATGAGGAAAAGGAAAGCCTATTGTATTTACCTATATTTGTGCTTTCTTCTTTCTTGATATCTCATGATATCTTTTTAAAATTCTTTTCTTTCTTTTTAGAGGACTTTAGTAATTCTTTTTGGGTAGGTCTGCTGGTGACAATTTCTCTTAGTTTTCCTTCATTGGAGAATGCCTGGTTTCCCCTACATCTTGAAGGGCAGTTTTGCTGGGTATGGATTCTGGATTCACAGTTCATTTCTTTCAGCCGCTGAAACATACATTGTGCTACTTACTGCCTTTTGACTTCCATGGTTTCCAATGAAACATCCTCTGTGTTCTGAATTGTTTTTTCCCTATAGCTAGGACGCCGTTTTTCTCAGGCAGCTTTCAATGTTTTTGTCTTTGGTTTTTTTTTCTTTCTTTTTTCTTCTTTCTTTTTTCTTTTTTTTTTTTTAAAGACAGGGTCTCACTCTGTCACTCAGGCTGGAGTGCAGTGCAGTGGGGCAATCTTGGTTCACTGCAGTCTCGATCTCCTAGGCTCAAGTGATCCTCTCACCTCAGCCTCCTGAGTAGCTGGGACCCACAGGTGCATGCCACCATACCCAGCTAATTTTTGTATTTTTAGTAAAGATGGGGTTTTGCCATATTACCTAGGCTGGTCTCAAACACCTGAGCTCAAGTAACCTGCCCACCTCGGCTTCCCAAAGTGCTGGGATTACAGGCTTGAGCCACCACACTCAGCCTATTTAGTCTTTAGTTTTCAAAAGTTTAATTACAGTGTGTCTTCACATGGATTTCTTTGGCTTTATTCCATTTGAGATTTGCTCAGCTTCTTGAATCTGTAAGTTCACGTTTCTTGACAAATTTGGATTTTTTAAAGCCATTATTTCTTTGATTACTTTCTCAGTTCCTCTTCTTCCTCTTTCATTCTGGAGCTCCAGTGACACAAATGTTAGGTCTTTTGTAATAATCTCACAGGTCCCTAAGATTCTGTTCATTTTTTTTCCAGTCTATTTTTCCTCTGTAGTTCAACTAAGTAATTTCTATCATTCTGTCTTTCAGATCACTCATTGTTTCATCTGCCTCCTCCATTTACTATCAAGCCCATCTGTTTATTTTGAGCTTTTTATTTTGGTTATTGTATTTTTTTACTGTGTGGAATGTACTTAATAAACGTTGGCTTTTATTATTGTTGTTAATAAAAATAAACATAACCTTTTCTTTTAATTACCAGACCTACAATACCAAGTTTCACTCACATAAACACTGGCTGTGTTACAAGTATTTCCTTATTCAATTCCTTTATTCCTTTAGTTCTTTTCATACGCCAAGTGTCCTGTCCTTTCTTTATTTTAAAATGTTTTTTATTTCAATCGTTTTTGGGGAACAGTTGCTGTTTAATTACATGGATAAGCTTTTTTTTTTTTTTTTTTTTTTTTTTTTTGAGACAGAGTCTCACTCTGTCACCCAGGCTGGAGTGCAATGGCCTGATCTCGGCTCACTGCAAGCTCTGCCTCCTGGGTTCATGCCATTCTCCTGCCTCAGCCTCCCGAGTAGGTGGGACCACAGGCACCCGCCACCACACCCGGCTAATTTTTTTGTATTTTTAGTAGAGACGGGGTTTCACCGTGTTAGCCAGGATGGTCGCGATCTTGTGACCTCGTGATCTGCCCGCCTTGGCCTCCCAAAGTGCTGGGATTACAGGCGTGAGCCACCGCGCTCAGCCATTACGTGGATAAGTTCTTTAATGGTGATTTCTGAGATTTTGGTGCAAGTATCACCCAAGCAGTGTATACTGTACCCAATGTATAGTCTTTTACCCCTTACCCTCCTCCCAGCCTTCCCCGAAGTCCCCAAACTGCACTGTATTATTCTTATGCCTTTGCGTCCTCATAGCTTAGCTCCCACTTAAAGGTGAGAACATACAATGTATGGTTTTCTATTCCTGAGTTACTTCACTTAGAATAATGGTCTCCAACTCCATCCAGGTTGCTAAGAATGCCATTATTTCTTTCCTTTTTATGGCTGAGTAGTATTCCATCATATATAGAATATTATATATATATATAACTACATATTATTTATCCACTCATTGATGGGCATTTGAGCTGGTCCCATATTTTTGCAGTTACCAATTGTGCTGCTACAAACATTCATGTGCAAGTGTCTTTTCCATTTAATGACATTTTCCTCTGGGTAGATGCTCAGTAGTGAGGTTGCTGGATCAAATGGCAGATCTGCTTTTCGTTCTTTAAGGAATCTCTGTACTGTCGTATAGTGGTCGTACTGGTTTACATTCCCACCAGCAGTGTAAAAATGTTCTCTTTTCACCACATCCATGCCAACATCTATTAGTTTTTGATTTTTAAATTATGGCTATTCTTGCAGGAGTAAGGTGAGTACTCCTTGGTTATGTATATTCCTAAATACTTTATTTTTGTTTTTGCAGCTATTGTAAAGGTGACTGAGTTCTTGATTTGATTCTCAGCTTAGTCACTGTTGGTGTATAGCAGTGCTATTGATTTGTATACATTGATTTTGTATCCTGAAACCTTACTGAATTCATTTATCAGTTCTAGGAGCTTTTTGATGAGTCTTGAGGGTTTTCCAGGTATATGATAACATCATCATCAAACAGTGACCATTTGACTTCCTCTTTACCAATTTGAATGACCTTTATTTCTTTCTGTTTCTGATTGCTCTGGCTAGGACTTCCAGTACTATGTTTAATTGAAGTGGTGAAAGTGGGCATTTTTGTCTTGTTTCAGTTCTCAGGGGGAATGCTTTCAACTTTTCCACATTCAGTATAATGTTGGCTGTGAGTTTGTCATAGATGGCTTTTATTACCTTAAGGTATGTCCCTACCATGCTGATTTTGCTGAGGGTTTTAATCGTAAAGAGATGCTAGATTTTGTCAAATTTTTTTTCTGCATCTATTGAGATGATCATATAATTTCTGTTTTTAATTCTGTTTATGTGGTGTATCACATTTATTGACTTGTGTATGTTAAACCATCCCTGTATCCCTGGCATAAAACCCACTTGATCATGGTGGACTATTTTTTTTGATATACTGTTGGATTCAGTTAGCTAGTATTTTGTTGAGGGTTTTTGCATCTATGTTCATCAGGCATATTGGTCTGTAGTTTTCTATTTTGTTACGCCTTTTCCTGGTTTTGGTATTAGGCTGATACTGGCTTCATAGAATGATTTCAAAAGGATTCTCTCTTTCTCTATCTTTTGGAATAGTTTTAGCAATATTGGTACCAATTCTTCTTTGAATGCCTGATAGAATTCAGCTGCCAATCCATCTGGTCCTGGATTTTTTTTTTTATTGGCAACTTTTTTGTTATTGTTTCAATCTTGCTACTTGTTATTGATCTATTCAGAGTTACTGTTTCTTCCTGGTTTAATCCAGAGAGGGCTGTGTATTTCCAGGAATTTATTCATCCCCTCTAGATTTTCTAGTCTGTGCGCATAAAGGTGTTCATAGTAGCCTTGAATGATCCTTTGTATTTCTATTGTATCGGTTGTAATATCTCCTGTTTCTTTTCCAACTGAATTTATTTGGATCGTCTCTCTTCTTTTCTTGGTTAATCTCATGAATGGTCTAACAATTTTGTTTATCTTTTCAGATAATCAGCTTTTTGTTTCATTTATCTTTTGTATTGTTTTTTGTTTATTTCAATTTCATTTAGTTCTGTTGCGATCCTTGTTACTTCTTTTCATCTCCTATGTTTTGGGTTTGGTTTGTTCTTGTTTCTCTAGTTCCTTAAGGTGTGACCTTAGATTGTCTATTTGAGCTCTTTCAGATTTTTTGATTTAGGCATTTAATGCTGTGAAATTTCCTCTTAGCACCACTTTTGCTGTATCCAGGGGTTGTGATAGATTGTTTCATTATTATTCAGTTCAGACAATTTTTAAATTTCCATCTTTATTTCATCGTTGACCCAAAGATCATTCAGGAGCTGATTACTTAATTTCCATATATTTGCATGGTTTTGAGGGTTCCTTTTGGAGTTGATTTACAATTTTATTCCACTGTGGTCTGAGAGAGTAGTCAATATAATTTTGATTTTCTTAAATTAATTGAGACTTGTTTTGTGGTCTATCATATGGTCTATCTTGAATAATGTTCTGTGTGCTGATGAATAGAATGTATATTCTGTTGTTGTTGGGCAGAATATTCTGTAAATATCTGTTAAGTTCCTTTGTTCTAGGGTATAGTTTAAGCACATTGTTTCTTTGTTGACATTCTGTCTTGATGACCTGTCTAGTGCTGTCAGTGGGGTATTAAAGTTCCCCACTATTATTGTGTTGCTGTCTATCTCATTTCTTAGGTCAGGTGGTAATTGTCTTATAAATTTGGGATCTCCAGTGTTGGGTACATATATATTTAAGGTTAGTGTTAGGGTTAGGGTTTGCTGAACTACCGTGCTCCAGGCTGGTACTGGGGAGTGTCTGCAAATAGTCCTTTGATGCGATCTATCTTCAGGTCTCTCAGCCATGGATACCAGCACCTGTTCTGGTAGAGGCAGCAGTAGAGTGAAGTGGATTCTGTGAGAGTCCTTGGTTGTAGTTTTGTTTAGTGCATTGGTTTTCTTAAGTGCTGGTTATGCTTATAGTGAAGTTGTCACACAGACAGATTCAGGACCTCTGGTTAGCCAGGATGTTACAGATAGTGAAATTAGCTGTTGTTTTCTCCTTTCTTGGAGCAGGGTTGTTCTGTCATGAGTTACTGTAATGGCTTGAGTTGGTTGCCCTCCAGCCAGGAGCTTTCAAGAGAGCATCAGCTGTGGTTATATTGGGGGATGCAAGCTTGCCCTAAGGTCACCTGGATAACTTCGGGTTTCTCAGGCAATGGGGGGTGCTATAGAGCTCCTGCAAGTTTATGTCTTTTGTCTTCAGCTACCAAGGTGGGTAGAAAAAGACCATCAGGTGGGAGTAGGGCTAGGTGTGTCTGAGCTCAGACTCTTCTTGGGTGGTGCCTGCAGAGACCACCTGGGGGGACGGGGCAGTGGTTCTCAGGCCAATGGAGTTATGTTCCAAAGGGGATTATGGCTGCTTCTGATGTTTCATACAGATTGCCAGGGAAGTCGGGGAAAGCCGGCAGTGACAGACCTCACCCAGCTCCCACACAGCCAGCAAGGCCAGTCTCACTCCTGCCAACAGCCAACAGAGCTGAATTTATTTACAGGCCTCTGGTGCACAGGGCTGAGATCTTGCCCCAGGCTACAAGCCTCCCTGCTGAGAAAGCAAGCAGGGCTTTCAGGCCTCACCCCTCCCTGACTGCCACAGCTTCTGTGCTCATCTGCACCTCCTATTCGCCTCCACCCCTCAGATTCTGCCTAGGAATCTGAGGAAAATTCATACTTGATCAAAATTATTACAAAGTTCAGCTGCAAGTCTCTTTCTCCCCGTGGCCCTTCCCCAATTCCACTGGCTGCCATCCCCTAGGAACCCTGTGAGATAAAGTGAGAAATGGCTTCGCTGGGCTTCCCTGGGGATCAGGAGTGCCTACAGGGCACTTCCCACTGCTTCTTCTACTTTTATATTTTGCTCAGCTCTCTAAATTCATTTCAGCTCTAGGTAAAGTTAAATCCTTCTTCCATGATCTAGATTTCCAGGTTCCCCAGTGAGGATGTATGTTCAGAGGCAGACTTTCCTCCCCTCACTTCGGGCACTGACTGTGTTTTTGGCTGTTTCTTGGAGTTTGCAGTGGCAAGCCACTGCTTTCAAAGGGTTTGTGAATTCTTTCAGTTGCCCTGGTATGTTCCTGTGGTGGTTCTTGGAGCAAAATTTCACAATGTGAGTCTCCAAACACTCCTCATTATTGTATTTTTTTAATCATAAAATTCTATTTTTTCCTTATATCTTCTCTTTATTTGCAGAGACTTTTTATTTCTTTGCTGAGGCTTTTAATTTCTTTATTTGTTTTAAGCATGTGCATAATTGCTTGTTGAAGTATTTTTAAAATCATGGTGTTTAAAAATCTTTGCCAGATAATTCTATTATCCCTATCATCTTAGGGTTCACATCAATTGATTGACTCCTCCTTACTGCTGGATGGGGATGGGAGTTCTGGATCCCATGTGGTCTCCACAGATGTGGGGCTCGTAACCACTGGTAGTGATGAGAGTCCTGACTAGGCTGCCTCTGACACCCCAGTGGAGAGGGGGAGGGGGAGGAGGATCTAGTTATTTCTAGGAGGGGGCGGATGTCCAGGCTTCCCATGTAGTCCTTACTGATATTGCCAGGGAAGGTAGCTCATTACTAGCAATCTCAGATGAAAGTCTCATCTCTCCCCTTGTGCCTTCTCTGACATCACTCTGGCAAGGGTGTTGGAGTTTCTTGCTATGGTCTCTTAAGGGTGAAAGTCTAGGCTATCTACCCAGGCTTTGCTGGTGTGGGTGTGGGTGTGGATGAGGCCATGGGTTTTTTGTTTTTTAAAATGATGTTTGGCTAAAGTAGAGTGGCTATTGTCTAAGAGTTTTCTGTCTTGCTAGAACACTCCTTTCCTGGTCCTCTGGCTAGAGAGAGCAGGCATTTGTTGGGAGTCTGTTTGTCTGCACCAGTTGTGTTGGGTTTCTGGATTGCTGGCTTCTTCAGCTACCTCATCTCCTTGGTTCTTAGTGTGCATTATCCTTTACCTGGACTACTGAGTTGAACCCCCAACAAGTCTTTCAGACCATCTCTGGCTTCTCCAACACATCCTGCACACTTCTGCCAGTGTTTTCTTCCTACAAGGCAGAACTGACCATGTCACTCTCCTGTTAATATTATTTACTGTCCATAAAATAAAGCTCAACCTCTGTAAGGCACTGCAGATCCACCAAAATGCAATTCCATCTTTGCCTTTGCAGCTTTGACTTCTGTTCAATTTCTCTGCCTATCCCTTTGCTCCTGTGCTAAAGATGTGTCGTGTACTTTAGCTCCTGCTCTTCCTTCTGTCTCCAGTGCTTTTCTTTACTCTAGCAAAGTATAGTTTCAAAGTTAAGAGCACTGGAGTTGGACTGACTAAGTTTAAATTCCAACTTTACCATTTTCTAGCTAGGTGATCTTAGGCAACTTTACCTCTCCATAGCTCAGTTTTCCCATCTGAAAAACAAGGATAATAGCATCTACCTCATGGGACTGTTATGAAACTTAAATTAAGTAGCACTTAGCAAATTATCTGGTTGAAGAGAAAGGTCTCAAAAAATGTGGACTATTAGTATAATTCCTTATTAAATTAATACTCAGTAGTTAAATTAATATGCAGTTGCTCAACATTCAATTTGAATGTTACCTCTCTATGAAGTCTTTATGGGTCCTCTGCATTGCTACCTTATTATTGAAATTAATTATTCTTTTCCCAACTGTCCACTTAATTTACATCGCATTTACATTTGATTCTGTTTGCAGTGCAGGTAGGTAGATCGCTGACCACATTTGCTCATTTCTGGATTATTCATTCAAAGGAAGCACTATGAGTCAATCATTGGGCACAGAGGTGAGTAAGATGTGGATCTTCCTTCAGAGAATTCTCAATTCCTTAGTAGCTGCAGATTGCTTGCTAAATAAACGGTTCTGGTGGGGCTTAATAAATATTTATTGATTTAAGACAAGCAAGCTCTGCCTTGGGATAGGAAGGTAGGCAGCCTCCAGGCTAAACAGCATCACAGTGTGTTAAAGTTAGAAACTTTTTGTGAACCACCCTTGGTACTGACCTCTGCATAGTGCTAAGTGAAGGCTTCAGGCTCTGTGTTAGAGCCCTGCTGTAACAGCATTGGTATTCCTGTGGTCTGTGGCCACCACCACGTAAGTCTTGACTAGGACCATATCATTTCTTAACCCTGGTCCTTTTATGTTCAAATCAAGACAAAGATTTTTCTTGAGGTCTCAGGAGTTATATCAGTGTCATTGAGGACATTGTTCATTCTGTTTTAAGGCCCATGTCTGACAATCTTAGCCTCACACACCTTGACTCCCATCATTGAGACAGAATTTGTTTTAAAGCACTTATGTGCCAGGAACTGTGTTAGCTACCACAAATGCAGAAGGATGGAACACAAGAGCCCCCTCAACAGCCAGGAGCTCATAGTCTCCATGCTGGAGCAATCGTTAGAAGCACAAAGCTGATTGTTTCACTATGGCCACCTTACCAACAATGCTTTGGTAGACAGGCTGGATAGGAAGCCAGATATTTTAGGCCAAGGAGGGACTGATGGAAGAAATGGAAAGAGGAAATATAAGTTCCTATGAAGATGTATGGCTGTGAAGGGAAGTAGAATGGGTGATAAGAAACCACAGTGGAGGTTGAGCAAAGGGAAGATTGCTTAAAGGTGGGGGAAATTAGGTAAGTTTATAGTAGATAAAAGGAGATAAGGGCAGTAGATCAAAAGATAGAGAGATTGAGATAGTGATTTGGAAAGAATAAGCAAATATTTGAGAAAGAACAATAGATATTCATGTACACATACATATATACATGCGTGCATACATACATATATACATTGTATATTTATATATGTATGTATATAAGTATAGAATGTATATATGTATGTGTGTTTATATATATGCATTTTGTATATGGGGCAAGAAGGTGAGGAGAAAATGAAAGACTAAAATTTTGAGAAAGAGAATTATACATATATATGTAATCACTCTATATACATATTATCTATTTATCTACCTACCTGTCTATCTATCAATCCATCTATCTGCCTACCTATTTATATAGAGAGATGGAGATCAGCCAGAAAAGGGAAAGTCAAAGAAGAATCATTCATTAATGGAACCATGTCCTGTAGGAAGAAGGAGGAAATAATTTGAAAGCACAGGTGAAAATTCCTTAGAGACAGAAGGAAGGAAGGTCAGAATGAGATGGAAGGGAGGAAAGTTAGAGTTCATGTAGGGTGCCCTCTATTTCTCTGGAAAGCTGAGAAGATGGAATGAGAAGATTGAAGAATGAGAAAGTGAGAAAGTAAGATGTCAGGGACATACATGTAAGCTTTCCTAGCAGCACTGGGGGCCTCCATTGATTTTGTAAACTCAGCATTTGCAATGCTGCAAATATGAATGATTATATTTTTTCAGAAGCACTAGCCTGTAGGGAGGAGAGCAAGCAGGTGAGGGTTGGAGTGCTTTGGGAGTTAGGCGTGAGGTTGAGGAGAGGGCAGCAGAAGGGTCCTGGTGAGAGCAGCATGTAGTGTAGTTGTAGTAGCCAGGCTGTGCAGAGAAAAGATGAATCTAGGATGACAGTGATAAACTGAGTGAGCAGGGAGGGGATGAGAAGATAGAAGCCTCAGAGAGCTTGGGGAGCACGTTTACTTTGATTCAGGTATGGAGAGTGCATAGCAGTATTCTCAGCTAATAAAGATATACTCAGCTAATAAAGCAGATTCTAGCTGCTAATAAAGATATACCCGTGACTGGGTAATTTATAAAGGAAAGAGGTTTAATTGACTCACAGTTCTGTATGGCTGGGGAGGCCTTAGGATCATGGTGGAAGGGGAAGCAAACATGTCCTTCTTCACGTGGCAGCATCAAGAAGTACTGAGCAAAAGGGGGAAATGCCCCTTATAAAACCATCAGATCTCATGAGAACTCACCCACTATTAGGAGAACAGAAGCATGGGGGTAACTGCCCCATGATTCAATTACCCCCCAGCTGGGTCCCTCCTACAACAGTTGGGGATTATAGGAACTATATTACAAGATGAGATTTCAGTGGGGACACAGCCAAACCACATCAGAGAGGTAAGATAGAGGTTCCGATTGGAGAGTGAGATTTCTCAGTGTGAGTCATTCATCCAGCAAACAGTCCCTGAGCATTAGCTCTATGCACTTATTGTGGGAAACTCTGAGAACAAAGATAAGAATTAAGGCATGGTCCCTGCCCTTACGGAGTTCACAACCCAGTATTCAGAGGTAAAACCTTTCCAGGTGATGACAAGGTCCAGGATACATCTCTGGAAATGATTCACTGTGATGGTTGGGAGGGGAAGGTTGATGGGGCAGTGGAAGCCAAGTGGCTGGCAGGCTGGCATGTTAGATGTATCATCCCCAGGTGCTTATCAGTGCTACAAAGAAAATCGGGGTTTCTCTCAGCTCAGTTATTTCTCTGGGGCCATGTGTATCCTCTCCCCAGCCGGTGATATAAGGACTGTTTTTCCATTTGAGCTTTTGCTCTTCAGACTCCCTGTGACTGTCCTAGGGTCAGTGCCTGATAGTTTTCACCAGTGTAGAGTGGAAGGTCAATGGGCCTCAAAGACCTACTTCTGCACTTTGGTACATGAGTCTGTAGACAGTTACCCATCCCATGCTTCCAGTTTCCTTTTCTTTCTTGCCCTTATTTTCTTGACCTGTAAAATTAACGTAGGATAGTGACACCAATCCATTTTGGGGAAGAAATAGCTGAGATGTGTCTCTATAAAGTAATCAATAAGCAGAAGTCGGAAGCCACAGTAGTTGGAAGGGTGTGATGATGACGAATGAATGAGTGTGCACACGTGAAGTGGGGACAGCTCAATGCTCAGAGCTCCATGACTGATTTCATTCTTCCTGCAAGCTTCTAAGTGAAGCTAGACACAGAGAGGAGATTTCCTACCTGGGCCTAGCAGAGGCCTTGACACTTTAGCAAGGAAGGCATAGGGTGTCGGAATCTACATATCAGCATTTCCAGGATTCTAGTTCCTACAGAGCTGTGTGAGACTTCATTTCATGGCCCATCTGGGCATTGCTAGAAGGAAACAGAATTCCCTCCCTTCCTGTTCCAGAGAGGCTGGCCTGCAAACTTCACTGATGAGGGGCCAGATTGGGACATCCCACACTAGCTGTTTTGTGGATTTTGGCTGACAGGAGCAGAGAGGAAGCATGTTTCTTTGATCTTTTACCTCTTGCATCCTTTCTGGTATGACCCTGGGAGACTGGTTTATCTGGCTGTCTAGTTCAAATTCCAGATTACACTCTGTCAATGGGCTTTCTCCTCTCTGGGGATGCTATTCATCCTTCCAAGGATCCAGACACTAGCCACCAAAGCTTCTCTGCTGGGTTCACACACATACCAGGTCTAAGGTATGATGTGATCTCCTGGGTATATGATGGTTTTTGTGCTGCTTCTTTTTTCTTTCAGAGTCTGAGAAGCCAACTGGGGCCAAACAAGTTTTAGAACCTCTACTGGCTGATGCCAACATCATCAGAGATGAACTGTTCTTACCAGAAACTTCTCTGCTCCTGACACCCCACCTCTCCCCAGGTAGCTAAAGGGATAATGAGATTATTACCCCCTGAACACTATGTATGGGGGTGACATACCAGGGGACACTCAGTTCCAATTGCAATATCATAGGCACAATATTAGAAGAATATTTGGACACTTTGATAGCCAAAGAAAGGCATTTGGAAGATTAATAGGGGGCTTCACTGCAATAGGTCTTTCCTTTGCTTAAATCATGAATTTTTTATTAAATTTTACACAAATACATTTTTTCATCTATTCATACGATCTTTTTCCTGTTAATCTATAAATATGGTAGAGTACACTTATTTACAATCCAATTTTTAAAAATAAATGCAATAACATCTCTTACTTAAAATTAAGCCATATCATAATGTGATATGAATTAGAATTTTATTGACTTCAAATTTAATACCGCTAAAAGATAACTCTGCCATCATTCTTATTAACTTAAAACCAAAATTTGATTGCAAGATTCTTTAAATAAAGTAACCTTCAAAATTCCCTGTTTTACCTCACCAACACAATTTTTAAATTGTGGTAAAATACATATAACAAAATTCGTCATCTTAAATTACTTTTAAGTGTATAGTTCAGTGGCATTAAGTATATTTACATTATTGTGCAACCATCACCATCATCCTTCCCCAGAACTCTTTTCATCTTGCAAAACAGAAACTTTGTACCCTGTACCCTGTTCAATAATTATCTTTTCCCTGCTCCTGTTCCTGACAACCGCTACTTTCTGTCTCTATGAATATGACCACTGTTGGTGCTTCATACATGTGGAATCATATAATACCTGTCCTTTTTGACTGGCTTATTTCACTTAGCCTAATGTCCTCAAGTTTAATCCATGCTTATGCCTTCCTTTTTAAGGCTGTGCGTAATATTGCATTGTATGTGTAGACAACATTTTATTTATTCATCCATCTGTGGATGGACATTTGGGTTACTTCCACCTTTTGGCTATTGTGAATAATGCAGCTCTGAACATTGGTGTACAAATTCTGTTCAAGTCTCTGCTTTAAAATCCTTTCAGTATATACCCAGAGGTGGAATGGCTGGGTCATACAATAATTCTATTTAAACATTTTTTAAGGAATAGTCATCCTATTTTCCACAGTGGCTGCACAATTTTACCTTCCCATCAACAGTGCACAAGGGTTCCAATACTTATTTTCTGATTTTTGATAGTAGTCATCCTAACGGGTATGAGATGATATTTCATTGTGGTTTTGATTTTGATTTCATTAATGCTTGGTTATGTGGAGCATCTTTTCATGTGCCTATTGACTACTTGTATATCTTTGGAGAAATATTGCTTCAAGTCTGTTGCCCATTTTTAAATTGAGCTCTTTGTTTTTAGTTGTTGAGTTGTAGGAGTTCTGATATTAGGAATTAGGATAGGTAGCAGTCTGGATATTAACCCTTTATCAGATATATTATTTGCAAATATTTTCTCCCATTTTGTGGGTTGCCTTTTTACTCTGTTGTGCCCTGTGATGCACAGAAGTTTTTAATTTTCATAGAGTCCTTTTCTTTTTTTTTACTTTTGTTGCCTGTGCTTTTGGTGTCATATCCAAGAAATCATTGTCAAATCCAATGTCATGAATCTTTACCCCTGTTTTCTTCTAACAGTCTTCTAAAATTTTTAGCTGTTACATTTAGGTCTTTGACACATTTTGAGTTAATTTTTTATATAGTGTAAGGTAAGGGTCCAACTTCATCCTTTTGCACGTGGACATCCAGTTTTTCCAACACCGTTTGCTGAAAAGGCAGTCTTTTCCCATTGAATGGTCTTGGCACCCTTGCAAAAATAATTTGAACATATATATATGTAAGGGTTTATTTTTGGATGTTCTATTCTATTCCATTAAGCTACATGTCTGTTTTTATATGCTAGGCCTACACTGTTTTGATTACTATAGATTTATAATAAGTTTTGAAATCAGGAAGAGTGAGATGTCTAACTTTGTTAATTTTCAAGATTGTTTTGACTGTTTGGGGTCCCCTGAGATTCCATATGAATTTCAGTATGGATTTTTTTATTTCTGCAAAAACATCATTGAGATTTTGGGACTGCCATAAAACTTCTGAATTCTTTCTTATAGGAAACATTTGCCAGACAGATGAAGAGAAGGGGGGCATTTAGGCAACAGGAAGAGTGTGACCAAAAGCATGAAGAGGTGAAAGAGCTTGCTCTACTTGGGGGAACTAAAAGTAATCTAGTATTGTTGAAGCTCTAAGCATTCTTATTATCTGTGTGTATATGTGTGTGACTGTCAGCTTGGATAGGAGATACATTAGGAGGTAAGGCAGAGGTCAGATATTGTGAAAGTGGATGTGTATTGTGTTAAGAGGTCAATGGAAATTCATTAGAGTTGGGTTGTGGAGTGATGTGATCATATTTGTACTATAGAAAAATGACCCTGTTAATAAGAATGGGTGCTATATTGAGAAGGAAGGAGGTATCATCAGAAAGACCAGGTAGGAGATTGTTGCAAAACTCCCAGAAATAAAATGATAAGACTTGCAATCTGGTAACATTAGTGGAGACAGGAAGGAGGGAATGGTTTTGAAATACACATGGCTCACTACAAACTCAGACATATTCCAGTAGCTTCACTCTTTTCCTGGGTCTTGAAGTCCTCAGATCTGTAGAACAGCCTCTGAACTCAGTTTGATGGCTCTCACCATTCACGTGTATCATCCAGTTGCCACCTTTTAGGAACACAAATGACTGTTGAAAGAGGCGCTGTGTTCTGGCTCAGCGGCTCAAGGGTCCCTTAACAGCAGCCAGTCTCTTTTCAAAGTCCCTGGAGCTCCCACTCCTTCTCCTGTCACTCTCAGAGCCTCTGGCCGCTCCAAGGACTTTATGGTTGTTTCTTTGTGCCTGTGAGTTGGTTGGTGTTTTCTTGTTTTGGTCTTTCCTGAAGCCTGCTGAAATCTACCAGCCAGAGAGTGTTCTGTTATAGCCCATTCTATTTACCTCACGGAACTGCCGCTCTCCAGGCCTTCTAATTGTGGCCCATGTTACTCATATCTGTGACCCACTGAGATCCCAGGTTCATTCTCCAAGCCTTGACACCCTTCTACACTCTGTGACTCAATTGCCTGCCTTGAGTTCATAGCAGCATCGAATGAGCTGTTCATGAGCAGTTCATAGCAGCATCGAATTGGGTCTCTGCCACCTCTCTCCCACTTCGTGCCCAGGAGCTCTCTGTAAAGCCTTTGCTGAGTAACTGGGCAATGCTAATGCCAGGCTTGTGCTGCAGCAGCTGGGGAGAGGATGTGCTCCTCCAGCCAGAGGCTGGAGCACTGAGATCCCAAGTCCCTGTTCTGATCCCTGGTGGGATGGTTCTATGGATGGGCAGTCTGGGCCATGTGTGTGTTCTACTGGCCCATCACAGTCACAGGTGGAGTCATGGAGCTAGAGGCAGGGAGCAGCTCGAGCTCTCAAATTCCTGTAGATATTTTAGAATGAGAACTGCTTTGGCAGTTCTGGGATAGCCAGCTCTGAACCACTGCCAAAGGCACACATTTAGTGACCTGAGGGATGAGGCAAACTGATCAAGGTACACAAGTGTCATCAGTGCAGGCTCCCGGGAAAGCACAGCAGGAGAGGAGAGGGCTGTGGCTTGTAGTTAAAACGCAGTGATGAATGTGACGATGATTTGAACCCGATGGGCTGTGCCTCAAAGGTGAACCAGGGAGAATCAAATAAAGAGTTCCAGAAGTGGTAAGGGGGAATTGTTTACTGGGAATTAGGAAGATACAGGGCAGAGAAAGGAGAAAGGTCAGGAAAATCAGGGATGTAAGGAGTTTCTACTTCCTTGAAAGCCAGGAAGCTCGCTTGAACAAAGAGCACAAGACCCCAAATCTTTGTGGCCCCACTGGCTGGGAGAGCTCGCTGGTCTTTCTTTAGGAGCCTGGCTAGTTTTTGCAAGCATAGTTTTCACAAGCAATTGAAGGATAATTTCCTTAGCTCTATAGTGAAGCTATACCCCCAAAAAAGTGGGGCTGGCCAGAGAGGGTCTGTAGTTTCCAAAGCCCCAAAGGACACCTGCAAATCAGCTGTTGCAAAAATATGTCTTTAGGAGTCCAGGCTACCTGGAACATGGCCTCAGGACAGCAGAATGTTTCTTATCACTCACTTTATGTTCCCAAACAGAAGAGAAGAAGGAGAGTGGCCACGTTGATTCAGCCAAGCACCTCCAGGAGGTCCCCTCTGGATGTCCCATGAGGCTGCCCCTCAGCCACAGCCCAGAGCACGTGGAGATGGCTTTGCTCAGCAACATCCTAGCGGCCTATTCCTTTGTCTCAGGTAGGTGCCTGGTTTCCACTGGGCCAGGACTGAGGTCTGGGGCTGGGTCCAAGGTTGTCTCCTGGGTGGCCATCTCTGGCCTTATTCTCAGTAAAGACACACTACGTAATCAAAGCTACTGCTCTGCTTTGCTGAGCTTTGAGATGAAAGGTCTCCAGGTTGGGAGTTAAGCTTGTCATTCTCTAATTTGAAAAATGAAGGGTTCTAAGAGCTTTGTCTTGCAGAAAATGTTTAGCTGCTCAAGTGAGTGATTGAAGTGGCCCAGGGCTACTGTTGGCTTCTGTCACTATGCATTAACTCTGACCAAGGAGGGGGCTGATGGAGTACCTCAGCCTGGTTATTCTATGCAGTTAACCTCACACAGGCTGCCTGTGTGTGAGACTGTGTGTGTGGGAGAGAGAGTATATGTTTATATGTTCTGTGTTTGGGGCCTTTCTGAGGTATTTGACGAAGCTGTAGATGAGATGAAGACAGAAGGCATGCGGAGTATGGAAGAGTCTGATATTTGTCCCTTCGTTGGTTCAAAGTTGCACTCTTTAGTAAGATGGCTGATTTTCTCCTCAAGATCATTTCTTGAAAACAGATGTTGTTCATATAAAAGGAGTCATTTAAAAATACATGAAAATGCTCACTGGTTTGAATGACTAAACTGTTCCTCTGTTGCTTGAATGAGTTTTTAATTTCTTGATACTTTTCTTTTGTTTTTGTTTTGTTTTGTTTTGCCTGATGTCTCTGGATATATTGTATAAAAAGGAAGGGACTAGGGTTTCAATTGGATTTCCTTTGGGCGAGGACTAGTTTTACTTTCTAATTCTCTAGGCAGGGTTGACACATGGTGGTCTAAGAGTTGAAATGCAAACCTGACATTATGATTTACAGTGGCAATTCTGAGCCAAGTGGAGGGTTCCATGAGCCAAGGAAGTTCATGGCTTCTCTTTGTAAGAGGATCTTGGATGACGCGCAACCTGATTTCAGAAAAAAAAAGGACTGCTCAGGGTCTTGTTCTGGGCAAGCTGCAGCATGTAGTCTGCTTGTGCCTCAGGTCCAGGGCTCTGCCTTCTTAGATCAGTGAAGGCCTAGGTCACCAGTCAGCTCCTCTTCCCCGTTAAGGAAGTCCAGGGCCTCCTTCTCCAGGCACTCACCCATTAGAGGAATCTCATCTTTGCTCTTGCTTCAAGGCAACATTGGAGAGAAAGGACACAAGAGCTGGAAGAGAGGTTTGAAATTCAGACATCGTTTTCACAAGCAATTGAAGCATAATTTCCTTAGCTCTGTAGTGAAGCTATCCCCCAAATGAAGTGGGGCTGGCAGAGAGGGTCTGTAGTTTCCAAAGACCCAAAGGATACCTGTGAATCAGCTGTCACAAAAATATGTCTCGCATGAGAGCAAACAGCACTGCACTTCGGATCTCTGATCAGCACAGGAGGTACCTGGCAATTTTCCATTTCAGTCAACATGACCCTGAATTGTGACCACTGAAAGTGGTAACTCATTGAATAGTCCTGTGTTTACCATGTGTCTTGTGATCTTGTCAAGGCTGAAAAGTACATGGCCCTGTTTTTCTCTCCCCTCCAAACTTCCTCCTTCCTGCCCCATACTCATGAATTAAATACTACTTGGGATGCAGGAAGACAATGCTTCTTTAAGTAAGTACGGGCTGAGATAAAAAGAAAACACAAGGAAATGGAAAAGCAGTGTGGCTAAAATAAAATTTGGATGCAGTGTGTAGACTCAGTGACTGAAAATCTATTCTGAAATGGGGAACACTCCCTGATTATAAGTGAAATTAATAAAGAAAATTTCAAATATGTATTTAAATATTCAAGATACAAATAACCATTGTTTTTAGTGAAGAAAATCAAATAAATGGATTGGAAGCAATGATGAAAAGTATGATGGAAGAAAATTGTGGAAAATGTCCTAATCTTGTAGCTGTCTCATGTCCTCATTCTGCTCTATCAGATCTTCAACCCCGCAGGGCCCCTGGCCCCTCGTATTTTCTCCCAGTGCATCTGTTGCCTCCTCTCCTATCCACGTGGTCCCTTATTTCAGCAACACATTTGCTAATACACATAACTGCCTTATTCTTTTGTGTAGCTTCTGAGTAAACCAGTAGGTGAAACCCCAACTCTGAGTAAATCCTGCTCACTTTCTTGTGTGTGTGTGTGTGTTCTTTGTTAGGGGGGTGTCTAAGGTGCTTGGTAACCTTGTGGGAGAGATGGAGACAGAAGAAGGCACGTGAGTTGGGAGAGTCTATATTCGCCCTTTTTTTACTTCAAAGTTGTACTCTTTAGGAAGACGGCTGACTTTCTTCTCAAGATCATTTATTGGAAACAGATACGGTTTATATAAAAGGAGGCATTTAAAATTACATGAAAATGCTCAATGGTTTGAATGACCAAACTGCTCCTCTGCTGGTTGAGTTTTAAAATATTTGATATTTTGTTTTTGTTTTGCCTGATGGTCTCTGGATTTTATGTAAAAAGAAGGGGACTAAGGTTCTGATTGGATTTCTCTTTGGGCAAGGACTGGTTTTACTTTCCAGTTCTAATCTAGCCAGGGTTCATATTAGATGACTTAAGAAAAGTGACCCTTTCTCACTCTGTACAAGTTATCAAACACCAGTATAATTTGCCATTTGAAGCCACTAGAAATTCATAGTCTCCAATCTCAGCTGAGCTTTTCACATCATACCTTAATCTCCCTGTTTACTTCTGGACACATCTTGTGCCCATTCTTCACAACAAACATTTCAAACCTTGACCATTCCAATAATTGTAAATATCTGCTTACCACAATGGGCCCTACAAGTAAATGACAAGTGTCAAACTAGGGGAAAATGAAACATTAATGAAGAAGAGTTAAAGTTTATAACAAATAAAGAGCTTTTATAAATCAATAAAAGTGTCCCAAAAGGAAAGTGGACAAAAAACAAGAATCAACAGTTTGCAAAAGAAGAAATACAAATTATCAATAAAACATAAACAGCTCAAATTCTGGCAGAAAAATGCAAAATGGAAACTGCAATGCGATTAACATTTTTATTTTATACATTTCTCAAAGACTTGACTGATTAAGTATGTAATTTTGGTCTTGGAGAAAGTCTGGGGAGATGAGTACTTACACATCGTGCTGATGGAATTGTGAATTGCTACAACCTCTCTAAAAAATAATTTGACAATATCCATCAAAGCCCTTAAAAACACATACGCTAGCCAGAAATCCCACTTCTGGAAATGTCTCCTAAGGAAAGAATTAGGGATATAGGCAGAAATTTTACTGTGAGGATGATTGATCTCAGAATTATTTATAATACATGTAGTAAAATATTAGGGAAAATTTGTATTAATTGAAATAGATGTTTATGACATGCTACTAGGTAAATAAAGCCTGTTGCCACACACCATATATATTATAATCCCATTTATATATGTATATTCATATGTATAGGTAACCACATTTTTGTAGGTGAAGGTATATGTATTTTTAATTTTCTTTTGCTTAACTGTATTTTTAATAACAATTCATTGATATTACTTCATAAGAAATGTTATTTTATTAAAATATTATATTTTGAATTATACCATACATATAGTAGACAATTATCACACCTCTGTCTTTCCTAACTTCCTGAGCTTCTTATCTAAGTGTCCTGAAAATAACTATTTGGTTGTGCTATAAGCATTTCAAATTCACTCCAGCCTAGAATAGAATATTGTCCTTCTCTTTAAATATGCTCTTTCTTTTATATACCCATCTAGGGCATCACCTAATCCAGAAATAGGATTTTTAACCTTTGATGCATCTTCTTCACTGCCCATATCCAACTGGTTTGGGTCGATTCATTTTGCCTCTTAAAATGTATGGCGTCCACTTTAGTCCCACCATCATTGATTGACTGGCTCCAAGCCCCATCATGTTTTCGCCTGCCTTATCATAATGGTATTTGCTGTGGTCTTGCCTCCATGATCTTGTTTCACAGTCTATATTTTGTAGCAAAATGATGTTTCCAAAATTCGGATGTGATGATGCAATTCTTTTTATTTTTTAGCATCCCTTAGTGGATTCTCATTATCTCTGGGATAAAATCCAAACAATTTTGTGTGGTTTAAGAGTCAGGATTGTTTTCAACTGCAAAAAATGAAAACCTCAACTTGGTGGCCTAAACACATAGACGTTATCTTACCCACATAGTAAGAAGTCTGGAGGTAGGTGGTTGCTAACATTGGCTCATTAGCACAAACATGTAGAGGCCTGTCTTTTTCTTTCTCTGTCTGGCTTATTTTACTCAGTGTAATATATTCCAGCTTTATCCATGTTGTCACAAGTGGCAGTATCTCCTTCTTTGTTAAGGCCGAATAATATTTCATTTTGTAAATATACCACAGTTTTTAAAATCTATTCATCCATTGATGGACACTTTGGTTGTCTGCATTTCTTGACTATTATGAATAGGGCTACAATGAGTATGGAGTGCAGATATCTCTAAAGATACTGATTTCACTTCCTATGGGTATATACCCAGTCAGAGACAGAAATAAAAATACTGTATGATCTCACTTACACATAAAACCTAAAAAAAATGTTGAATACATAGAAACAGACAGTAGAATAGTAGTTATCGGGCAAGGAGGAAGATATGAGAAGTATGTCCAAAGATACAAACTTGCAGTTTTCTGGGATGAATAAGTCTAGAGTTCTAATGTATAGCATGAGGATGACAGTTAAAAATATTTTATAGTATACTGAAAATTTGCTAAGACAGTAGATTTTAGGTGCTTTTACCACACAAAAAATAAAAAGAAGGTGATGAACATGTTTATGCACTTGACTGGAGTAATCATTTAACAAAGCATATGTGTAGAAAAACATCAGGTTGTACACCTTAAATATATACAATAAAAAATGTAGGGGCCAATATCTCTGTGATTCTCAAAGCCTTTTTTCTGTGTTTGTCATCTCATGGCTGCCAAATGGCTGCTGTTGTTCAGGCTGATTCAAGATCAAAAAAGGCAGAAAATGGAAGGAGGTTCCAGTAGATCTCCTCTCAGATTTCATTGGCCAGGACTGTGTCACATGGTCATTTCTAGCTGCAAGGGAGGCTGGAAAAATGAGAATTTTAGCTTTTTCAATCTTTAGATCAGTAGTTCATATCAGGTGTGATTTTGCTCTGCAAGGGGACTTCTGGCAATGTCTGGAGGTATTTTGGGGTGTCACAGCTTAGAAGTGCAGGCTGCTACTGGCATCTAATGGGTGGAGAAGCATCCTACAATGCACAGGACAATCTCCTGCAACAAAGAATTATTGGGGCCAAGACATCAATAGTTCTGAGGTTGAGAAAGCATGCCCTAGAGCAGAGGCAGGCAAGGAAGAAAGGACTTGATGATGGTTTGAGGCATCCCACTCTGAAGGTCCTTCTGTGGCTTACCAGAGCTTTTAATGTCTGACCTTTACTACTCCATGCTTTTATTTAGTCACTACCCTCTCTGACCAAGACCTCTGCTCCAGTTATTCTAAACCACTTGCCAGGTTTTTTCTTACCTCATTGCTTTTGCACACTCTTTTCCTTTTCCAAGAATTCTCCCTTTTAGTCCTGGACTGGCTGACTCCCTCCCAGTCTGCAGAACTCTCTTAGGGTCATCTCTCCTCAATCTACCCCACCTCGAATCAATGGGCTTAGGCACCCACCCACACTCTCCCACATATGTTTTATTTCCCTGTATATTAGCACTTGGATTGGAGGACTTAAGATTTCTTTTTTAATTGTTTGTAAGGAACTCATTGGGACCAGAATATGATAGTTTATAATGAAGATAATATCATTAATAATACTGACCTCATTAATAACTCCTAACAAGGTTGTTAGAAAGAGTAAATGGAATGATTACTCATTTTAATTTAATGATTTGAATATTTAGCATATTTGCCTGGCTCACTCTTCTATTTCCTTTAAGTTTTTTTTTTCTCAAAAGTCACCTTTGGGTACCCCATAAATATGTGTAGCTTCTATGTACCCATAAAATTTTAAAATAAACAAATAAATCACCTTCTCCTTAAATTTTGCTCATCACTCTCCACTTCTCCCCAAAACACACATTCAGCATTTCATATCCTTCTTCCTATTTTTCCCATTCTTTCCTCCTTATCACCTTACCATCATCCACCATACTATATATTTTATTTATTTGTTTAGTATCATCTCCCCTGCTGGAACTCCTAGGAGAAGAGAGATTTTTGTTTCTTTTGTTGACTGCTATATCCTGCGCATGTAGAATAGTGCCTGGCACCCATCAGATGCTCAGTTAATCAGTGAATGAATATGGCTCAATAACCAAATAATTATAAAAAGACATGTAGCAAGGAGTCTTACCCAAGAGCTGCTTCCTCCATCCAGTTCCCAAACTTGACCCATCATCAGGCTCTTATGCATCCTTCCAGAGTTCTTTATGCAGATATTAAGAAAATACAAGGGTATAGTTTTCTCCTCCTCCATTTCATGCACAGGTAGCACACCATGCATACTGTTTTGCCCTTCACGTTTTTCACTGAATAATATATTATGGAGATATTTTAGATCAGCATGTGGAGACCTTTCTCATTCTTTTAGACAACTATGTATTATTCCATTATATAGATAGACATCCATAGTTTAACCGGTTCTTTACTTATGTCCAGTGAAAATGGTTTAAATCTTTCCAAACTGAGCAACAAACAGAGCTGCAATAAATAACTATGACATGTATGTTCAAGTGCTGTTGTAGAGTAAGTGCCCCAAAGAAGAACTGTGGGAACAAAGTATGTGTAAATTATCAACTGAGAAAAATATTAATAACTTATCTTTTAAATAATTTTACCAATTTACTCCTAAAAGATATATGAGAAGCCCCTGCAGCAGTGTTTTCAAACTTTTGAACTTTGACAATCTGATAGATGAAGAACGATATCTAAGTGCTATTTAATTTCTGCTTCTCTAGATCAGAGGTCAGGAAGCTTTTTCTTTAAAGGGTGAGACAGTAAATATTTTCAGGTTTGTGAGCCAGTCTCTGCTGTAACAACTCAACTTTGCATTGTAGCACGAGAGCAGACATAGACAATGCACAAATGAATGGGCAAAATTGTGTTCCATAAAATTTTATTTACAAAAACATATGGCTGGGCAGACTTGGCTTGTGAGCCATAGTGTGCCAGTCCCCATTTTTCATATGTTGAAGAGCCATTTGTATTTCTTTTTCTGTGAACTGTCCATATGTCTTGTTCATTTTTTATTGATCTTTTTCTTAATACTCTTTCTAGGCACTTTTCCTATATTAGTCCTTTGTGTCTGTTACATATTACAGATATTTTTCTTAATTTATCACTTGTCTTTTGACTTTGCTTATAGTAATATTTTTCAGAGCAGGAGTTTTGGGTGATTATTTTTCCCTGTTTAACCAATATTCATTGAATGTGTAACTGCAAGTACAGTTATGCTGTTTAGTATTTAACCAGAATTCGAATCATGTTTCCCATGACATTGGTATGAGGGAGGCAGTCTCTCAACAGTGAGGGAGCCTCACCCCCCACAACTTAATTGATGATAGTCACGAATTTGGGCATTTGAGAAGGTATTGTAGTTCTGGGTTTTCTCATTACCCTTTATACTGTGAATCCTGTGAGGGCCAAGGGCCTTTGTGTCCTTAGCCTTTAAGCTATGCCCAAGGCATTGGAGACTTGCAGTAAATGTTTATAGAATGAATATAAGTAACCATGTATTAATATATATAATTTGTAAATTTTTTAATATTTAACTTTTTATTGATGTATAACATGCATACAGAAACATATGCACAAAACATTTATGGAAAGCTTGATGAATTATTACAAAATAAATACACTTGTGTAACCAAGAAATAGAATCACACTTGCTCATGCCCCTGATAATCACATTCTCCTTCTCCTTCCAAAGGAAACCAAGATCTTAAGAACTAAGTATAGATCAACTCTGTCATTTCATAGAAGTGTTTTATTACAGAACATTAAAAACATATACAAAATACCAAAAAGTATAATAGACCTGTCACCCAGCTTTAACATCTACTAGTCATATGCTGTTTTTGTTTAATCTATATTTCAAACCATTTCCCACCCCCCACTTCATTAGGTTTTTGATTATTTTTTAGATAAAATGCATACACATTGAAAGGTACAATCTTAATTGTACCTTTTTGACAAATCAGTATACGTAAACTTCCCCTCTTTTAAGAATTGAATTACCCCCCTTAACAATCATTAATATGCATAGAGATTACCTCAAAGTATTATTTAAGATCCAGATTTTTGTAAAATAGGTGTGAGTTTTGACTGAGAATTTGTATTTCTAACAAAGTACAGATCCGCAGAGCACATGGTAACTACAGTGTTTCTTTTATCTACAGTAAATACAATTTGATGAATAAAATTAAGGAAATTTGACCTAGGGTGAAAGAACGGATCAAAACAACTGTACAATATGCTATCTATAGGAGCATTTGGTTAACAATAACATAAACTAACCAAACAATTTTATTATTTTAATAACCAAAATTAGCAACAATCTTACTATTGTTTTCATAGAAGTGCTCCCTCAAAATAAAAAATTTTAATAACATGAGAGGGTATTGGTTAACTGGTTAACTGGTTAACAGCAAATATTTGAAAGTAAATGTCTGATAAAATTAAGTAGCGGGTATCTTTTCAAGCCCATCAATAATCTTACATAGTTACCCAAAATTCAGTCATTTACACAGCAAGTGCAGATAATTTTCATAGCTTCCTATTAAAATTATATTTTAATGCCCTTATACATTTTAACTCAGTTTTCTTATAAAATTCACCAACTTAAATTTTTATAGGACATATGATAAGTTCCCCTTAAATTCAAGGTAAATTTACTGAATTTTATTAGGCAGTGTCTGTGTGTCCACCACCCAGTATTATTTGGGTTCCTCGATTTGCACAGGCATCACAGCTAGGGAAACAGGAATTCACAAGACACGACACAGGCTCTCCTCTGCATCTCTTTCCTCCTCAGGGCATCAGTTCATCAATCAATCAAGTCATGTGAGAGTAGAGGTTATATATTTTGTGGCACAGAGGGTATCATTCCTCCCCTCAGAGGAGGAAAAGACCAGAAGGTCTATCTGGGAACCCGCCCCGATAGTCACGTAGGTTCTTTTCTATTTTCCCTAAGCGTCCGCCAGCTTGAGAAATAAAGGGACAGAGTACAAAAGAGAGAAATTTTAAAGCTGGGCATCCGGGGGAGACATCACATGTCGGTAGGTTCTGTGATGCCCCCCAAGCCACAAAACCAGCAAGTTTTTATTAGGGATTTTTAAAAGGGGAGGGAGTGTGCAAATAGGTGTGGGTCACAGACATCAAGTACTTTACAAGGTAATAGAATATCACAAGGCAAGCGGAGGCAGGGCGAGATCACAGGACCACAGGACTGGGGCGAAATTAAAATTGCTAATGAAGTTTCGGGTACCATTGTCATTGATAACATCTTATCAGGAGACAGGGTTTTGAGAGCAACCGGTCTGACCAAAAATTTATTAGGCAGGAATTTTCCTTTTCCTAATAAGCCTGGGAGTGCTATAGGAGACTGGGGTCTATTTCACCCCTACAGGCCGTTTATAGACCCATACCCCCAGGCATGTATTCTCTTTCCCAGGGATGTTCCTTGCTGAGAAAAAGAATTCAGCGATATTTCTCCCATTTGCTTTTGAAAGAAGAGAAATATGGCTCTGTTCTGCCCGGCTCACCGGCAGTCAGAGTTTCAGGTTATCTCTCTTATTCCCTGAACAATTGCTGTTATCCTGTTCTTTTTTCAAGGTGCCCAGATTTCATATTGCTCAAACACACATGCTGTACAATTTGTGCAGTTAATGCAATTATTACAGGGTCCTGAGGTGACATACATCCTCCTCAGCTGACAGGATTGAGATAAAAGTAAAGACAGGCATAGGAAATCACAAGGGTATTGATTGGGGAAGTGATAAGTGTCCATGAAATCTTCACAATTTATGTTTAGAGATTGCAGTAAAGAGAGGCATAAGAAATTATAAAATTATTAATTTGGGGAACTAATAAATGTCCATGAAATCTTCACAATTCATGTTCTTCTGCCATGGCTTCAGCTGGTCCTTCCGTTTAGGGTCCCTGACTTCCCGCAACAAAGGTCCTCTTAGGGAACACTTACTGGGAGGGCTGAGCCCCCTGAGGTGTGAGGCTCTGATCAGCAGGTATAGACTTTTCAGGAGGGAGGGATGAGGCAGCCATTCTGAACCTGCAGCTCTACTGTCTCCTGTCCCATCTCAAGACAATTCTGAAGGGCCGTTTTGGGCTGTCTGGATGGTGGAGATTGAGGAACAGTTTGGGCTTTGATGTGGCTCAGATGAGGTGTGTCATAGAGGGCCCCTATACTCAGTATCTGGGCTGGTGCCTTTGAGGTCAGTAGGTTGCCTCTTTGTATCCAAGTCCATTTTCACTAGGGAGGAGGCTGGAGAGTCTAAATGGCTTCCAGAGGCCCCCTCTGATTATCTCTGGAAGATGGGCACTGAAAGGGGCAAAGTCATTATCTTTGGAAATTCTAGAAATTCTACTTGGAAACCTGGGAAGACCTCTTGCCTGGGGCCTGAATACTCAATTTGCAGTCCTAGCCACATAGATGGTTGGTAGGCATAGAGCTGGGTTTGCATTTATATCAGCACAACCTTGCATCAGGTTTGAAGAAGTGGCCAGGACTAGTGTCTTGGTTACAGGCTGGAGAACATCATGAAAGCAAACTTCAGGCCTGTTGACTTTCATCTTGGCAATGATTGTTGGGTCCTAGGCAAAGTGCTGGAATGCAGCATGAGTCTAATCCATAGATCCACCTCCACACGTCAGTTATCCATAAGGTAAGAGGGAGCCCAGTTTATGTCTTGATGGGAGGCTCTGCCAGGTAGAAGAATCACATCTCAGGTTTCTTGACAGCTGGCTGACTTGTTGAACACAGATCCAGGACAGATCTACTTTTGGATGTGTGGACAGGCATTAGCCTTTCAGTTTTGCTGATGCTTCAACTTGAAGTCTCCTAGGAAACTCCTGTGGTAGGTTCTTCCTCTGCAGTTCTTGCCTTGCCTTTGCCTTTGTTCTTTCTGTGAGTCTTGGTAAACGGCTATGGAGTCTGGAGTTGCTGGGGCTTCCTCAGTCCCAGGTTCTACTTTTCCTTCTTATTTGGCCCAAGGGTTGTGAGGCAGGGCCCCACCCCAGCACTTCACTGGGCACCTTCTGGTCCTGGCCATGTGTCCTAAGACTTGATAGTTCTTACACATTCTCTTGGAAATGAATTAAATTTGTTTCTTCCAAATCTCACAGTAAAATTGCTGCTCCAGAAAGATGTATCATGGATATTCTGCTTTTGTGCATCCTCCCTGCATAGAATTGAGGCTGTGCCTACTCTGGTTTCAGAAGCATGCAGCAGAGTACATAAAGTTAATCTGCAAAAGGTTTCAGACACTCATCAGGGAGCTTCCTGCATGGGCTGAGAAATGCCAAGACCCCACGCCTCCAGTACCACCCCTAAGGAGGGGCTCACAATTTGTAACATTTTTAAACAGTTGGAATATCCTCCACTAGAGAGGGTTTGGTGAAAGTAGTACTTTTGTACACAGATGATAGCAAGATAAATTAG
Organism: Homo sapiens; assembly: GCF_000001405.40. Classification (NCBI taxonomy): domain Eukaryota; kingdom Metazoa; phylum Chordata; class Mammalia; order Primates; family Hominidae; genus Homo; species Homo sapiens. The sequence continues at coordinate 75,506,363 of NC_000002.12, read as the reverse complement.
TGTAACACTTTTCAAAACCCACTTGGCAATGTGTATCAAGAGCTATAATAGTATGTATCCTGTTTGACACAGAGATTCCTTTCCTGAGAATCCATTGCAAGGCAATAAACAACAAGCAAAAAAGGAAGTAGCATTAAGCACAAAAATATTTCTTGTATTACTATTTTTCAAAAATATTTCCTCATAACAACCTAAATATCCAAAGGCAGGAAGGAGTTTTTGTAAACTGTGGCACTTTCACTGGGAAGAATACTATGTAGCCATTATTAGGCATGATGGAGGGAGACCATGGAGCAATATTGAACAGTGTTATATGCTGTGTACATGTGAAGTGTACATGTACAGTATATGCAGAGGAAAAGATATGAATTATATATACATGTCTATATATACTCTGACTATAAGCAGGTAAATGTGAATAAGTATGTGCATGTTTATATGATAGAGAAAGAACAAAGGAATATTCACTATACTACACACTGTATAGTTATATTCAGGTTGTGAAATTATGGTGATTTTATAATTAAAAAAATTCCCTACCCTTTTTTTTTTCTGAGACAGAGTCTCTGTCTTCCAGGCTGGAGTGCATTGGCACGATCTCGGCTCACTGCAACCTCTGCCTTCCAGGTTCAAGTGACTCTTCTGCCTCAGCCTCCCGAGTAGCTGGGATTACAGACGTGCACCACCATGCCCAGCTAAATTTTTTTGTATTTTTAGTAGAGACAGGGTTTCACCATATTGGCCAGGCTGGTATTGAACTCCTGACCTTGTGATTCACCTGCCTCAGCCTCCCAAAATTTCCCTACTCTTTTAATGTTATACTGGCACATATTTATACGCATACCCACATACGTACACATACATATGTATTTACATATAACAAATTTATTAGCTGAACTTTTGGAAATGGTGTCTTCATAATTTAGTTCAATGAATATTGTGAGATATGCACCATGAGGCAACACACTGTGCTGAATGCCCAGAGAATCGAAAGTGAATCAATCATATGGATTCTGCCTTCAGATTCCTCACTGTCACGTGGGAAAGATAATGGTTATATAACTAATTATAGCGCAACCACATAAAGTGCTGCCCAGACTGGAGGGGCTAATTAATCACACCCTTCTTCCAAACTCAAGGACCCAGAAAAGCATTCGAATTTTGAAGTTGACCTCATCAGTGTCAATTTCAGCAGTGGTAATGCTGGATGGAATAATGTGTCAGGGCCTTCTGCCTAGTCCGTTGAGTTCTAGGGCAGCTATGGGATTGTAGGTCTTTCCCTTGCAGGGGAAGAAAAGTGAGCCAGTGGATTGGGAGGAGGGGCAGGGCAATGGATGCTTCCTTGTGGGTTGCCTATTGCCTGTGGAAGGGGATGAAATGAGTGAATTCTTTCTTTTTTTATTTTACTCTAAGTTCTGGGATACGTGTGCAGAACATGCAGGTTTGTTACATAGGTATACATGTGCCATGGTGGTTTTCTGCACCTAGCAACCTGTTATCTAGGTTTCAAGCCCCGCATGCATTAGGTATTTGTTCTAATGCTCTTCCTCCCCTTGCCCCCCACCCCCCGACAAGCCCTGTGTGCCCCTCCCTGTGTCCATGTGTTCTCATTGTTCCACTCCCACTTATGAGTGAGAACACGTGGTGTTTGGTTTTCTGTTCCTGTGTTAGTTTGCTGAGAATGATGGCTTCCAGCTTCATCTATGTCCCTGCGAAGGACATGAACTGAAATGAGTGAATTTAAAGGAGCACACATCAGAGCCAGCCAGGTAGGAACAGAGATTTCTCAATACTCCTTCCTGGAGAAGAACAAGTCAGAGATGGAAGGAAAAGGAAGGAAGCTTCCTCCAGCATTTTAGAGAGGGCAGTAATGTTAGTGGAGGTCTTCCCTTTCCAATGGGGTGGGGCAGAATGCCATAAAGATATTTTGTTTGTTTGTTTGTTTGTTTGTTTGAGGCAGAGTCTTACCCTGTTGCCCAGGCTGGAGTGCAATGGTGCGATCTCATCTCACTGCAACCTCTGCCTCCTGGGTTCAAACGATTCTCCTGCCCCAGCCTCCCTAGTAGCTGGGATTACAGGCACCCACCACCACGCCCAGCTAATTTTTATATTTTTAGTAGAGACAGGGTTTCACCATGTTGGCCAGGCTGGTCTCAAACTCCTGACCTCATGATCTGCCCACCTCGACCTCCCAAAGTGCTTGGATTTACAGGCATGAGCCACCGTGCCTGGCAAGAGATGTTCTTACAGTGCCTAAAGAGTTTGGAGAAGAGATTTTGCTGAGCACTCCCTGACAACACACAAACCCCGTGATTCTCTTTAATGCCCACTTTTTAAAATTTTATTATTTTGGGGGGTTAAGATAGTTTTTTATTAATGAAAATTTATGGAGCACACGTGAAATTTTGTTACATGTATATAATGTGTAGTGATCAAGTCAGGGCATTTAGGGTGTCTGTTGCCCAAGTACAATACATTTTTATTAACTATAGTCACCCTGCTCTGTTATCAAACATTGAATTTATTTCTTCTATCTAACTGTATATTTGTACCGTGTATCCCGCTTCTCTTCATCCTCCCTCCTACCCTCCACTCACCTTTCCCAGCCTGTTATCTGTCTTTCCAGTTTCCATCTGCATATGATCAAACTTTTTAGCTCTCACATTTAAATGAAAACATGCAATATTTGTCAAAACCAATTTTAAAAGCCTTTTACTTTTCACTTAAGGAATTGGAAGCTCCAGAGCCAAGAAGAAAGCCCAGGCAGAGAGAAGGTTGCACTTGCATGGAGACCAGCTGGCCTGGTCTGGGCTGGCTGCTGCTGCCCTATCCTGCAAGGAGTCTGTTGGGCATGATCTGACCTCTGAGGGTGCAAATGAAATTAGCTTCAGGACCTCTACATAGGGCCTCTTCCTGCCCGTGAAAACAATGACCCTGCAGGAAACAAGATACAGCAATACATTTATTTTTATTTATTAAGGGAAAACAACTGACAATAGCCCTCCCCACTCTGCTTCCTGGGTAATTAACAGCTGTCTGGATCTGGTCAAGACCAGGGTGGATCACTGGCCAAGAGGAAGTGACCTGGAGCAGAAAGTATTATAGGAGAGAAAAAACAATCACCTTGGAGCTCCAGTTTTGAATTTTGTGGGAAAAGGATGAAGAGGCATGACATAAATTGTATCAGCTGTGAAAATCAGGCCTGAGTCACCAGCTTGGGATCCAGTGAATTCCCTTACCCAGTCTGGTTGCTCTTACTGGGCTTGTCCAGGAATCCACATCCGGATGCTAGAGACAAAAGGGGATGTTTTCTGATCTGGGAGGCAGGACAAGGTGGACTCATTAAGCTACAGAGGCAGAACAGTGGTTTCCAAGATGGAGTTCAGAAACTATCTTTGAAGTTAGGCCTATGTAATAGGTGGGGTGAGGGCAGTATATGAAAGCTAGAATGACTTGTTTTTCTCCCTTTAATATCGTTTTCTATTTTGGTCAAAGCATGAACTTTTGAGTATCAGGCAGAATTACATTTGACACCCTCATCTTGGCTTCCACTTTTAAACAAGAGTAACACTACTTACCCTGCTGAACAGTGGTAATGGCTGACGGTATTACAGATGATCAGCATAAAGGAATTATTCCAGATCTTGGCAAAGAGAAGCATTCAGTGAATGATAGCTCTTTCACTCACTCTATGTATGTATGTATCTATCATCTATCTAATGTCTTCCTCCCTCTTTCCCTCTTTTCCTTCTTGCCTTCCTTCCTGTTCTCATCCCTCCCTTTGTTCCCCATGAGTGCATATCTATGTCTCTTTGTGCATGCATGTATGCAATATGTATATCTGTATATACCCTAATATTTTTAAGCATTCTTAGATTGCAGAATAGGTAAAAGGGTGCATGTAGAGATGCCACTTGTCAAGGGCCTGGGAAGTAGAAGGAGTATAGCTCAAGCTCTGCTATGTCTGTTCAGCATTTGTAGGTTTTGACTTTTATTTCACTGGATTATGTGGCCATTGTTATTATGTTAGAAACCTTCATGGTCTGAAAACCCTTGTAGGGAACATAGGAGTCTCTAAGAAATGGAGATAGATTTATGGAGCTCCAGATTCATACTCCAGGGAGGACAGGGTTATGTTTGCTGCCTTAGTGGATACATAAGCTATCTAGAGGCTTTAAAAGACAGCCTATCCCAAATTTATTTCTAACCTACTAACATGGATTGGTTAAATTAAGTTCTTTTAATGCTACACACTTCTACTAACACAAGAGAGGTTGAGTTATTGCATGAGTTGGGCAATAAAGCAAGTGTAACTGATGTACTGTTTCTCTGTCGTGTCATCTTTCTCTCACTCTGGGATCCAGACAGATTTTCTCTTGGTTGGGGAATTGTCTTCCTTGGGTTGAGGGGACTGAGGGAAGATGCAGTATTGGTATCTCCTTCTGAATCATGGCTCCTTCTGAACCTAGGCAGGTTCTCTTCAAGGCTTCATGGTGTAGGAGACAGAGGACAAGACTTTGGTCTGAAGGATCATCCTCAGAAAATGGATGTACAGTGCCAATCACGGGAGCTCGCCTGCTGATTCCCACTTACTCTGCCTACAGGGTCCTTTCCTCTATCCATGAGAGCAGAGCCAGCTTCCCATTATGCGGCTCCTTCAAGGGCATTATAGCAGAAGTGGGCCAGTCCCTCTCTTTGGCTCATTTCATTCTAGCTCAGAAAAGCTGTGGCATAACTATAATTGGCTCAATTTCTTTTGCTTGATTAAGGAGGCAAAGCCAAAGTAAGGCCAGAAATCAAAACCTTTTTTGTTGCCAGGGCATACTAAGCAGTACAAACTCATTTCTAATTTATATACTCAAAGCCATACCTCCTAAACCAAAGTGTGTGAAGGATTACTTTAAATTCTTCTTTTCCTAAGGGGAGAATTTCCACAATATGTAGAATTTTTATTTCATACTCATAATAAAGTGATCTTTAATAGAACTCTAAGAAAATTCCTTTAGAATGTTTCATACTAACAAAAGAAGGAATTAAACATTTGCGAAGTTCAAGGCATGTCACTTGAGCACTACATCAATGTAAGAAAGACTCAGTTTTATTGAAGGTTAATTATCTATTGGAAAAAATTCACTAAGGGGCCCACACTCTGGCATTCCAGCAGAGGAGTCAGGGATGAACATGAAGAGGAGGGTGTGTTTGTGGGTCAAGAGTGGACAATGAAGTCTTTGGCTTGTCTGGACTAAAGGCTCCTGTGGAAGAGTTTGGGGGGATATGATTGAAAGGGAGATTGGAACCAGATTTCTGACAGCCTTGAGTGCCCTCTTTTTTTTTTTTTTGTAAAAGTAATAAGGTAAATAATAGGAGTCAGATCTTAAAATGTTGCCTTGACAGCCATGTGCAAAATTAATTGAAGGTGGAAGGAAGTGGAATCCAGAGTTAGAAAGCTGCAGGTGCGGGGAAATGGCAGTGAGTGGGAAAGAGATGGAAGGGACATGAGAATGGCTGAGATTAATTAATTTATGGCAAGAAGCCAAAGAGTGAGTCAAAAAATGACTCTGGGCATTGGGCATAATGACTGAAGGGAGCCTCAGGCAGAAAGGGGAAGGTTGAAAAGGGGAGGGAGGGAGGGAGGAAGGGAGAGAGGGAAAGAAAGGGATAGAGAGAGAGGTAAGAGAGAGAACTTGCTGTTTGAGATAAAAGAGAATGAGATCGATGTGAGGTACATTCTGTATGAAGTTGGAAGGTACATGGGAGTTTTTAAACATAAAAATTAAAATTTACAGGAAATGTATCTCTTAAAGAGATGGATGAATTTCCTCCTTTCCCCTCAATTTGTTTATGTATTTAGGTACTCATGAATAAATATCACTTATTGCCAGAAGGAGGCATGATTCAGTGACAGTTCTATTTCTGATTTTTATTTGTATAGCTACGGGTGTTGGGAAACTTTGTTCACATAAACATGTAGACAAAAACAAAAGAAGTTTTGTTATAATTAAGTCACTCCAGTCTTTGAATTAAGTTTTCATCGTATGCCAAAAATCAGAGTGATCCGTCATCAAAAGTTATTTTGATTTATCAGCTGACAACATGATTAGGCCTTCCTTCAGTTTTGTTGAAAACCAAGAATTGGAAACTTACTTGGAAAAGAATGTGTTACCAGTTATTAGGGGCTTTTGCCTCCTGTCATTGACATCAATTTTTCAATATTTGGAACAGTTATTTTGCTTGGTGGCCATTTTTGCACTCCGGGCAGTGCACCATAGTAAGATGGGATGTGGGGTGGGGGAAGGGTTTGACTTTAGCGAAATGGGGGAAGCAATGGGTGGTGTAGAACAGGTAAGACTGTGCCTTCCACCACAGGCACCTTCTCAGGCGGATCCAATATAGGAAAGAACAAAGAAAATGGCTGTGTAAGGTCTAGAAATAGATTTCCTTAAAACCAGCTATGCCTGTTCACCTCTTAGGCACATGTTCCCACTGTGAAGACTGCTTATCTCGAGTACGGCCGAGCAGTGAGATGAAACTCAGGCCCTTTTAGACCAACAGGGACTTAGGCATAGTCAGTGGACTGATGAGTCTGTGGGCAGAGGCAGCAACCTGGGCTCCCTGACCAGCCGTCACCCTGAGTAGAATGACCTTATTCCTTCCTGATGCAACTAGTGGCAGAAAATCAATTCTGTTAGCAATTGGGAGCAGATTTCTGAAGCAGAGTCAAGTCTCTTTCAGAGGAAAAGGGCTCCTAGGGAACTCTGGACAAAGTAGACAGGTCCAAGACCTGACCCTTGGGAGATATTTTATCTTGATAAACAGCAGAACCCATTTCTCCAGCAAATGGGCTTCATTTTGCTTTATCCCAGTGATTTTGACTTTTTTATTATCACTAGAACTAGGTTTTGTGAAGACCATTCTGGACTGACCCTTTATGGCTTTTTGGTTTTCCATTTCCTGTGCCCACTGACTTTTCTCCAATTCTGCACTCTCTGAGATTGCCCCAGTGGTGCCTCATGCCCACTTCCATTATTTCACTCGGTTGTGCTCAATTCCAATTATGTTTATTGCATGTCCTTTTCTCCTATCAGTCTTGAAGGTCCAGTGAGGTTGTGATTGGCTCAAGGTCATTTAACTAATAAATGAGAGTGCCTTCCTCCCACTTTACAAAAGAAAGGCAATTATTGGATTTAACCCAATCCAGGGAGGCCAAGTCCAGGGCTTTTATTTGCCCCAAGACATGTTCTCTCTATCTGAGGGCTTAAGAATTTTCTAAGTTGATCTAGAATCTAGATAAGACTCAGGCCCATTCCAGCCTGTCATCAGATAGCATGTTTTTATACACATTGTGCATGTTAATTATAATCAGGCAGACATGAGCAAATCACAAATAAATGCAGATTGGTGTGGAGTTCATGGGCTGTTCTGGTCATTATTTCCTCTGGGAAAATATAAATCTAAAGATAAAGGTGAGGCCTTTGATGTGATCCCATAGCATCTGGCGTAGGAATATGCTATTTGTAAGCAAATGAGTCTGAGAAGACCATCTTTTTAAAAAAAAAAAAAAAGGTGTGTGTGGTGCAAATTTAAATGTATTAAGTCACTCAGTAGTGCTACAACTAGAGATGTACAGATACATTGACAACATGTAGTTCACTTTTAAAAGTGAACAGCATCTCAATCTAATGGTGAGACATTAAGCTAATTGTTAAATAATATCTAAAACAGATCTTTTCCTGAAACAGTGTTGCTAGATTTAAAAAAATTAATACACATTATATACAGCTGTTTTGAATCAACATAAAAATTGAAGAGGTAGTGCAGAAGGTTCTCATATCCCTCCCTTATTAGTTTTTTGTTTCTGTTTTTTGGGGTTTTTTTTACTTTTATTTTAGTTTTGGGGGTACCCGTGCAGTTTTGTTACATGGGTAAATTGCATGTCACTGAGGTTTGGTGTACGAATGATCCCATCACTTAGGTGGTGAGCGTAGTACCTGATAGGTAGTTTTCCAACCCATTCCCCCACCCCACCCTCCCCCTCTAATAGTCCCTAATGTCTATTGTTCCCTTCTTTATGTCCACGTTTACCCAGCTTTTAGCTCCCACTTATAAGTGACAACATGCAGTATTTGATTTTCTATTCCTGTGTGAATTTGCTTAAGATAATGGCCTTCAGCTGCATCCATGTTGCTGCAAAAGACATGATTTTATTCCTTTTATGGCTGCTTAGTATTCCATGGTGCATATGTACCACATTTCCTTTATCCAATCCTCTCTTGATGGGCACCTAGGTTGATTCCATGTTTTTGCTATTGTGAATAGTGCTAGTGCTACAGTAAACATACAAGTACAGGTATCTTTTTTGTAGAAAGATTTATTTTCCTTTAGATATACACCCAGTAGTGGGATTGCTGGGTCAAATCATAGTTCTTTTTTAAGTTCTTTGAGAAATCTCCATGCTGCTTTCCACAGGGGCTGAACTAATTTATATTCCACTTTTTTTTTTTTTTTTTTTTTTTGAGACAGGATCTCACTTTGTCACCCAGACTGGAGTACAGTGGTACAATCTCAGCTCACTGTAGCCTCTACTTCCCTGGCTCAAGCGATCCTCCTGCCTCAGCCCCAGAAGTAGCTGGGACTACAGGTGTGCACCAGCATGCCTGATTAATTTTTGTGTTTTTTTAATGATGGGTTTTCCACCATGTTGCCCAGGCTTGTCTCAAGCTTCCTGAACTCAAGTGATCTGCCTGCCTCAGCCTCCCAAAGTGTTGAGATTATAAGTGTGAGCTACCATGCCCAGCCTGGTGTTCCCTTTTATGCACAACTTTGTCAACATGGTATTTTTTTACTTTTAATAATGGCCATTCTGACTGGCGCGAGATGGTATCTCGTCGTGGTTTTGATTTTGATCATGATTTCTCTGACGATTAGTGATGCTGAGCATTTTTTCACATATTTGTTGGCTGAATGTATGTCTTCTTTGCAAAGTGTCTTTTCATGTCCTGTGCTCATTTGTAATAGAGTTATTTTTTGCTTACTCAATTTTTTTAAAATAGATTCTAGATATTAGGACTTTGTCAGATGCATAATTTAGGAATATTTTCTCCCATTCTGTAGGTTGTCTGTTTACTCTGTTGATAGTTTATTTTGCTGTGAAGAGGCTCTTTAGTTTAATTAGATCCTACTTGTCCATTTTTCTTTTTGTCACAATTGCATTTGGAGACTTGGTCATAAATTCTTTGCCAAAGCCAGTGTCCAGAATGGTATTTCCTAGGTTTTCTTCTAGGGATTTTATAGTTTTAGGTCTTACACTTAAGTCTTTAATCCCTCTTGAGTTAATTTTTGTATAAGGTAAAAAGAAGGAGTCCAGGTTCAATCTTCTGCATATAGCTAGCCAGTTATCCTAGAATCATTTATTAAATAGAGAATCTTTTCCCCTTTGCTGTTATTGTTGACTTTGTCAAAGATCAGATGGCTATAGGTGTGCAGCTTTATTTCTGGGTTCTTTATCCTGTTCCATTGGTCTATGTGTTGGTTTTTGTACCACTACCATACTGTTTGCTTACTGTAGCCTTATAATATAACTTGAAGTTGGGTAATGTGATGCCTCTGGCTTTTCTTTTCTTCCCACCTTAGGATTGCTTTGGCTATTTGAACGCTCTTTTGGTTCCATATGAGTTTTAGAATCATTTTTTTTTCTAATTCTGTGAAAAATGATGTTGGTACTTTGATAGGAATAGCATTGAATCTGTAAATTGCTTTGGGCAGTATGGCCATTTTAACAATGTTGATTCTTCCAATCCATGAGCATGGAGTATTTTTCTATTTGTTTGTGACATTTCTAATTTCTTTCAGCAGTGTTTTGTAATTCTTGTTGTAGAGATCCTTCACCTCCTTGGGTAGCTATTTTTTAGGTATTTTATTATTTTTGTGGCAATTGTAAATGAAATTACCTTTTGATTTGGCTCTCAGCTTGGACATTGTTGGTGCATAGAAATCCTACTGATTTTTGTATTGATTTTGCATCCTGAAACTTTACTGAAGTCAATTATCTGTTTGAGGAGCCTTTTGGCAGAGTTTTTAGGGTTTTCTGGGTATAGAATCATATTGTCTGCGAAAAGTGATAGTTTGACTTCCTCTCTTGCTATGTGGATGCCTTTTGTTTTTTTTCTCTTGCCTAATTGCTCTAGCTAGATCTTACAAGACCACCTTTTGTTTACCCAGAAAGGAACGTTTACCAAGCACTTTCACTTGCATTATCTACACTGATCCTCCCAACAGCCTTGTGTAATATATGACACCTCAGCATTGACACTGATGCTGTAGAAGCACCAGGAAATGATGAGAAGGGAATAGGCTTTGAAACTGGATAGACTTGGGTTTGTTTGCCTGGGCCTTTCTACCTTGTCATGTGGCCTAGGGATGTAACAGTACCTCTTTTTGCTTCTGCCTTTTATTTCATAAAAGACAACCAACAAAGGAGGAAAGGAGGAGAAGAAAAAGAAGTAAGTGGGCTATTTTAAAGATTGAGGCTGATGATGTAATGGATTTCATGAAATTTTAGGAACATATTTGGACAATATTTTTTAATTTTCTTTTTATTTCAATAGTTTTGGGGGTACAGGTGGTTTGTGGTTACATGGATAAGTTCTTCAGTGGTGATTTCTGAGATTTTAGTGTACCCATCACCAGAGCAGTGTACACTCTACCCAATGTATAGTCAGAGAAATTAATTTGGATGACAACATCAAGATTATAAAAAATTTTAACAATCTGAAACCAGGGTGAGACAAAATGAAGTTTTTGTATTTGAATTGAAAAGAATCCTAATAAGTAGCACACAGAAATAGAAAACACAACTTAATGCCATTACCTTTGTGAGCGTGACCTGGAACAAGCCACTAGACCAGCATGTAGGTTAGTGTTGACTTGCCATATAAGGGAGAACACTGTGGTCTTCAGTAGGCTTGAATTTACCTAATCGTCCTAGCATTTGGTCGAAGTGTCTCCATCTCATCCTCATGCTCACAAAATGCCCCATGACTCCCTCTCTCCTAGGGCTGGTTGCCCCCACAATGTGCTTCCATCATTAACAGCCCATTGTTTTATTTTCTGTCCATTGCTTTCGTCTGTCTCCCCAGTAGACTAGGTGCATTCTGAGAACAAGAACTGAATCTTATTTAAGTCTTTGAATTTCCAGAACCTACAAAAATTGTCCAAATATACACAAAGGCATAAGAATGATATAATAGACTGTGGGGACTCAGGGGAAATTGGTGGGAGGGGGGTGAGGGATAAAAGACCATACATTGGGTACGGTGTACTCAAGGCCAGGCCTGTTCCTTTGTCCTCGTAGGTACCTAGAATGAAAACTGTTCACTCAAAGACTCCCATTCTGTTAAGCACATCTTACAGGGGTCACAACTAGGCCCCCTAAGCATACTGATCATTAACAGAATGACTGTTATCTTCTCTCACCAAGGAAAGAGCTCTAATTTCTCCTCCCCTTTCAGTTAACCTGCTGAGGCCACTCCTAAATACCTATACTGGCTTTCAATGTGTGACTGATTGCAACTATTGCTTTTTACAAAACTACCCCAAAACTTAGTGGCTGAAAACACACATTTATTATCTCCCAGTTTCTACAGGTCAGAAATCTGGGTGTGGCTTAGCTGGGTTCCTTGGTTCAAGGTTTCTCACAGGCCACTGCAAGGCCAGGACTGTGGTCCCCTCAAGACTAGATGGAGGGATGATTCACAACCAAGCTCATTCACATGGCTGTTGGCACCATTCCTCAAAGGGTGTTGGCCAAAGGCCACCCTTAGTTCCTTGCCACTTGGACTTCCCCATAAGGCAGCTCACACATGGCAGCTGGCTTCATCAGAACCAGCAAGTAAGAAGAGCCCCAGAGAAGGAGAGAGTAAGAGAACAAGACAAAATCACAGTCTTATGTAACCTAATCTTAGAATCACCCATTGCTTTTGCCATATCCTACAGTCGTCCCTCGGTATACGCAGGGCATTGGTTCCAGCATCCCTGTGTTTACCCCAGTCCGTGCATGCATACTTAAGTTCTGCAGATGACCCTGCAGAAGCCACATATTTGAAAAGCTGACACTCCTTATATGTGGATTTCTCATCTCGCAAATAATGTATTTTCGATCTACATGTTTGTTTGAACAAAATCCATGTATAGGTGTCCTGTGCTGTTCAAACCCATGTTGTCCAAGGGTCAACTGTATTTCTTAGAAGTCACTAGGTCCACCACTTGAGGGGAGAGGATTGCACAAGCGTGTGAATACTAGGAGATGGGGTTCATCTCAGAAGCTGTCTACCACTGTGATGAAAGGGTAATTCAGTGGGGGTGTATGAGCAAATTCTCAAGTAAAGCTGTTTTGGCCTAGGTGAAAAGAGGCTTTAGATAGATACATCTCTTAAACAAATGACACCTAAGCACGGCTGCTTGCGTACAGTAGGTGCTAAATAATTACTGTTTTTCTTTCTTTTACCTTTTCATTTGGGAATAATCTCTAAGTTAAAGTTGCAAGAAGAGTGAAAGAATTTCATATACCTTTCACAGATTCACCGTTTGTCAATAATTATATTTTGAATACATTATAAAATATGTCACATTGGAGGACAATATTTGTAACCATCAAAACTTTGGGGCCTGGTGAGAAGTGTAGGCTGGAGTCATATTGGATCTCTGCATATGGAGTTGTCATCTCTCAAATGCTTGCTTCTTCCTCTTCTTCCTCCAGAAAATCCTGAGCGAGCAGCTCTGTACTTTGTTTCTGGCGTGTGCATCGGGCTGGTGCTGACCCTGGCTGCTCTGGTGATAAGGATCTCTTGCCACACAGACTGCAGGCGGCGTCCCGGGAAGAAGTTCCTGCAGGACAGAGAGAGCAGCAGCGACAGCAGCGACAGCGAGGATGGCAGTGAGGACACCGTGTCCGATCTCTCCGTGCGGAGACACCGCCGCTTCGAGAGGACTTTGAACAAGAATGTGTTCACCTCTGCGGAGGAGCTGGAGCGCGCCCAGCGGCTGGAGGAGCGCGAGCGCATCATCAGGGAGATCTGGATGAATGGCCAGCCTGAGGTGCCCGGGACCAGGAGCCTGAATCGCTACTATTAGGGAGCAGCAGGACCCCGGAAACCACTGGAGGCCGCCTGGAAAGGAGAGCGTCTGCAGGGACAGTGGGCACAAGGAACTGAACCCAGCTCTGCTAATATTGTGATTTCAGAGAAAAAGCAGGACATGCCCCTTTTCTAGCCAGGAGGATTGCTCCTTTTTGGCCAAATGTATGGAGAAGTAGAAAAATCAAAGCAGTTCATCACCCTTTCCAGGTCTCGGAATGGTGCTGAAAAATCCTCTCCAACACTGTGGATGGAGATCGGAGAAACGCGACTGTGGTTTCTCTTGATTTCTGAGGATCTCAGAAGTTTCAGCAGACTTCCTTGCTCTGTGTTATTCCTTTGCAAAAGGAAAGATCATTATAGCATGAGGGCTGGGAATAGCAGGGTGAACTTAACCCAATAAATGCAATTTCCTAAATGACTTCATGCTATGGAGGTGATTCTGATTCAAATAGCATGATCCATGCTTATTATTTAAGGCTGATTTTTAAAATCTTGTGTTGCAAGGGCAACCTCGTCCATTTTAACTGGCACCTCAGGGATTAAAATCCTACTTTTTAGTGTAGTTCCCACCTCATTCATGAAAATGAATAGAACTATTGTATTATGGGAGATGTGTCAGTGAACTAGAAAATGTCAATAACCTCAAAGGATGAAGGGTTTTTATTTTAAATAGTTTATAAAATATATATTGACATGCATATTTGAAAATGCTGCATAAAAATAAAAGTGGTGTGTTTTCCCCCTCTTTGGAGACAAGAAAATTTTATTATGACTCTAGATAATTGTGATTTTAAACACTTTGTTTTTTTTTTTTTTTTTAATTGGATTTCAAAGAAAAGAATGGAAATGAGAGGTAAGGATTAAAGCCAAAGTTAGGATGGGAATTAAAAAAATAAACATTACATAAAATCTTTTTGGTTGCATGTCCGTCTCTGTGGTTACCCTTACCTTAAATGACAACCCTTTTATATACGTGGGTATGGGCTTTTGCCAGGCCCCTCAAGGATTAGAGTGGGGAGATGGTTCCCGTGTGATAATGGGCTTTTCACTTTCTGTAGGTTATATGTATGATTGCTATAGTTGAGTTGTTAAGCAGATAGAGGAATAGAAGACTTCCCTAAAGCTAGAAATAAGATGGTAGCCCTTATATGAAAAGAAGTTGGTAGGGAAGGAGGAGAAGCCAGGCTCTGCCAATTTAGAAATAGGTTACAGAGGACAAAACATCCCCTAAGCTGGTAAACAGGAAGAGTGAGACCTGTCTCTCTGTTGACTCCCTTCTCTTGTCATGGAGTAGATTCCTAGTCAGTCTATCTGGGTGCTCCAGGGCCTTCCTGCTGGGAGGCTCTCCCCTGTTCATTGACTTTGTCACCATGCTTAAGAGGATGGTCAGGAGACTTCCTCTGGTGAGGTCTCCACTGCTTTAGCAACCCACTTTTTGTTGTAAGGACTCTTGGAGGGCTCTGTTAAGAACTGAACAATCATAATCATAATCTTTGCTTGCCAAGGGGGCAATAAAGTTCACTTGCAACACTCAGTCGCTGGCCTGATTATATAATTTTGGGTGGCTAGCAACATTGGCTGGCTAGTTACAAGTGCCAAAATCTTGCTGAGTCAGCATCTCTGAATCTAGCTCCTTGCCCTTGTGGTTTCAGTCCCTTAGCAACAATTGCAGGAATCATCTGATTCCCCCGGGCTTTAGATTAACGTCATCTATCCTTGTCTCCACCTCTTAGAAAAATGGAACAATCGGGAGCTGATTTCCATCACCAGGGAGCATCAAAGCTGATTATGGGGTGGGATTATGAGCCTTATTGGGCAGGGACTGCAGTAGCAGAGGTGTTTGGGAGGGCTCCAGGGCAGATGCCTGTCTCAGTTCTCACTCCCATATCCTTTTGACCAAGTCCATAATGTTCTTGTAATTATGGTGGTGGGGACATTGCCTGAGGCATAAAATACACTAGGTAGCAGCTGCTTCACTTTCATATAACAAGGAATACAGATTTTCAACCTTCCTTATCTTGATTCAACCAATTCCACATTTTAGGTTTATCACTTCACAGCTGGTTTTAGTTTCTGTATTAGAACATTTGCATTTGCAACAGAAAGATATTCCACTTAAGAGCATTTATTGATTCACACAACTGGAAGGTCACGGCTGGATCTGAGGCTTCAGAGATGACTGGATCCAGGATCTTAAATGCTACCAAAAAGTTGGTCTTTCTCAGCTCTCCACTTTGCTTCCTTCTGCTGCTGGTTTCATTGTCTTCTACTGCAGATGAAACTGTAACACACTTGTACAATATAGTGTATTGGGGTGCTTGCTTCTGATCAAGCCCCCACACAGCTCACGGACTATGTATGTGCATATTTGGCACAGGTTCATGGCTCGTTTAGCTCAGAAGTCAGAAGCAAGACACAATGTGGAAGGGATGCTTTTGGTGCCGGTTTCCTGGTCTTTGGAAGTTTCACAGAGAAGCACTAGCTGACAAAATTCTGAGATAACTTTACGAAGTAAAGATGACTTAGGAGTCCAAGAAATCCTCTTCAGGCATTAGTGCTCCCACCAACTTCCCTTAAGAGCCTCTTCCTGAGCTGCAAGGGACAGGTGGTCATTTTCAACTCATGGCATCTCTAAATGCACTCAGCTGAACCTTTGCCTTGTGGCAGGGAGCACACCAAAGGGACTTTGGAAATAACATAGTTTCAATAAGGACAGAAGAGAAAAGAAACACCTTGCTCTGTGGCTTAAAATATGAAATCACAGGAAGGACTTTATGGTCTGGCTTGTGTAGGTCCATGGATGAAATCACCGGTCATTGTGGGCAAGAGACTGAGCTTCTTTAAGAAGAAAGTGGAGATAAGATGCTAGGCAGGCACTCGCAGTAGCCACTGCACCACTCTTTTCTGTCTTTCTTGGTTTTCCTACTCTCTCTCTCTTGGTTTTTCTATTTTCGTTTTCTTAATGCTTTATCTTCTTTTCCTCAACCCCTTCAATATGGGTCCATCCTTCTAACCTTGAAGAGCTGATCTTCTCACCCTACATCCTGGGATATCTCATATATTGCAGTGACTCTAAAGATCACCTACGCACTGATGACTTGAAAAATCTCTTTCCAGTCCTGACGAAGTTTCAGACACATACAGCCCACTGACCTTAACCACAGGAGACAGTTGTCCCACAGGATAAATTTGGCAGTGTCAGGGAGACATTTTGGTTGTTACTGCTGGGTGGGTGGGATGCTATTTGTGTCTAGTAGCTAGAGGCTAGGAATGCTGCTAGACATTTGATAGTGACAAAGCCAGCCTTTCAGTCCTCTCCACCAATGCCCCAGCAGTGAGTGAATAAATCTCCAAGTTATTCCAGCCCCCAGGCATATGACTCTTTCCAACTAAAGCCTTAGACATTGACGGATAGAGATAAATCACCTCTGTTGAGCCCTGTCCAACTTCTTAGTTCACAGAATCCATGAACACAGTAAATTGATGGTATTTTTATGCCTCTAAGTTTATTTTCCCACTTTTATGAAGGAGAAATATATTACCATACAACCTCTACCATAAGATTGGCCACCCTGGGGAGTCCTTTTTACATGTAGCATGTTATGAATGTATTCCTGTTCCCAAAGGATAGAGGAGCAAACATTTCTACACACAGTATGCCCCTAAGTTTACAATAGATAGCTGGACAACTTCCCAAAACTGCACTCACCTTCCCCCCAGACCTATGTCTCTACCTATATTTTTTGTCAGTTAATGATACGGTTTGGATCTGTGTCCCTGCCCAAATATCATGTCGAATTGTAATCTCTAATGTTGGAGGACGGGCCTGGTGGGAGGTGATTGTATCATGGAAGCAGGTTTCCCTCTTTCTGTTCTTATGATAGTGAGTGAGTTCTCATGAGATCTTGCGGTTTAAAAGTCTGTAGCACCCACCTCTTCTCTCTCTTCCTCCTGCTCCCGCCATGTAGGATGTGCCTGCTTCTCCTTTGCCTTCTGCTATCATTGTATGTTTCCAGAGGCCTCCCAACCATGTTTCCTATATAGCCTGTTGGATGATGAGCCAATTATTCCTCTTTTCTTTATAAATTACCCAGTCTCAGGTAGTTCTTATAGCAATGTGAGAGTGGACTAATACAGTTAATGACAAGGCAAGTTACAAGGTTACCCAAATCAGAAGCCTGGGACCATTCCAGTTTCCTTCTTTTCCTTGAAGCTTCAATATAACAATTAACAATCTTCCCAATTTTAAGTCATTAATATTTCTTGCATTGACTCTTCCTTTACAGCTTAGTTTAAGCCCTTATCAACTCCTGCCTAAACAATTGGAAAAGCCTCCAAATTGTTATCTAAGTCTTGCCACCATCAAAGCCATACGGAATACAGCTACCAAGGGGACCTCTATTAAATGCATGGCTACTCATATACCAATCTCTCTTTTAAATCTCCCATTTTTTCCCCATTGCCTATTTAAAATGTCCAAATACCTCTAGATAACATACTGGGCTCTCCATAGAAGGCTGCTGCAGCTCCATCACCTGCCCCTCCTTGCTCATTCCTTTACGTTCTGATAATATCAAATTGCTTATAGTTCTCTTCTACACTTTTTATCCCAATTGTTGCTTCTGTCTAAAATACATTTCCTTCTTTCTCCCACTTTTCTACCTATCCTCAAGGCTCAGCACAAGTGTTTCCTCTACCAGGAAGCCTTCCAAGACTTCTCCAGGCTGGGCTAAGTATTGTCCTCTAAGTTTCCACATATCCTGTGCTTGTTATGCCCCTTGTTCCTACTATACTGTTGTGAAATTGTTCACTTGTGCCTCAAAGGCAGGGAGTCTGCCTTGTTATTGGGTCCCAGCTGGATGCACACATCACATGCTTTCAGCAACTATTTGTTGAACTGTGGTAAAGACTACATTGTATTCACCAAACCCTGTTCTCTCTGCCTTCTGGACACGTAGATGGACTATATTTCCAAGACACTATTTTGGGTAGATGTGGCTGTATGACAGAGTTTTGCCAGTGGAAGATGGCAGGCCTACCTAATTGACATTTGCCATTTCAATGTTGGTTGGCTCATATGATCTTCTATCCTCTCTGCTGGCTGGATGCAGAAGATTCAGAAAAGAATTCTGAGGCTCTAGATGATGGTGGAGCCACAAAATGGAAGAAGCCTGGGTTTCTGAATGACCACATAGTGGGCCACTCACTGTCCAGGAACATCCACATTGTATTTTGTGTTAGGAGAGAGAGGCTGATGAAATACAACCCTGAAATGAGGGCTGGGAGGGCTCTTGAAGTCTCTGCTTCCAACTCTGTCTTCAGACAGGCTTATTCCTAACTCATTGTTCATTAGTAAAATTGATCCTAAAACTTCAAAGGGAATTCTATGGAGCAGAGTAACCCTCTTTAGGTAAGCATTTTCCTTTACTACTTTTAACTTCTTATGCTTCAGTTGGAGTTACCTTATGTTCAGGAAGGATATTCATTCATCTCCCCTTATAATAATTCACAATAATGAATATTCAAAGTTAACATGTTTCTTGTCTTTTTGTTCCTTGTGCTGAATAGTTTCTAATTTATTTATATGCTTTTCATGGTACTTCTCCCCTTTTATTCTAATATTTTATTTACATATATACATATATTCTACTTTGTTGAAGTAAAGTGAGTCAGGCAATACCTTCCACCTATTATCATAACTGTCACAAAACCTTCAATATCATGCTTATCAGAGTGACAGTTCTGATAAAGGCAGCTAAACTCATCATTCTAATCAGCTTTGAGCAGAGCAAAATTAGCCTTGTTTCCCATGTCTTTCCTTATCTTCTCGACCAATGTTGAGATTGCACAAATTGTAAAATGAACTCCTCTGAAAAATTGTGATCAGATATGGGGTGTCAATCTTTTAATTGTTTGCCAACCTGTATTATTCTGTTTTCACACTCCTAAAAAGAAATACCTGAGATTGGATAATTTATACTGGAAAGAGGTTTAAGTGACTCATAGTTCCACATGGCTGGGGAAGCTTCAGAAAACTTACAATCATGGCAGAAGGGGAAGCAGGCATATCTTACATGACAGCAGGTGAGAAAGTGATTGTGACCTTTGCTGCAGTTTGCAATAAATTCCTCATCTCCATGTGAGCCCATCTCATCCTGGATTTCATTATCCACAGGACTATCAGCATTTTGGCCAACACCATTCAACAAATCTTTAGGAAGGGCCAAACTTTCCTACATCTTCCTATATTCTTCTGAGCTCTCCAAACTCTTCCAATCTCTGCCCATTACCCAGTTCCAAAGTCACTTCCACATTTTCGAGTATCTTTATAGCAATGCCCCACTCCCGGTACCAATTTACTGTATTAGTCCATTTTCACACTGCTATAAAGAGATACCCAAGACTGGGTAATTTATGAAGGAAAGAGGCTTAATTGACTCATAGTTCTGTATGGCTGGGGAGGTCCCAGGAAACTTATAATCATGGCAGAAGGGGAAGAGGCAGATCTTACACGGTGGCAGATGAGAGACAGCATGTGTCAGCACAGGAAAAACTACCATTTATAAAGCCATCAGATCTCGTGAGAATTAGCTCACTATCTTGAGAACAGCATGTGGGGAACTGCCCCCATAATCCAACCACTTCTCTCCCTCCACACATGGGGATTACAGGTCCCTCCCTTGACAGGTAGGGATTACAATTCAAGATGAGATTTGGGTGGGGACACAGAGCCATACCATATCACAGCCCAAATCAGTATATATCAGGATACATTCCTTGTCATAAATATTAAATTTAACATTAAAAATAGCACCAAAAGTATCAACCTTCAAAGTGATAGTCTTCCCATGTCAACAGCAAATTTGAAAATTTATGGCTTTTTTGTTAATTTTAAAGATATGAATTTCTTTTTCACCCTGGAATAAGAATATCCTTCTTTCTTTTTCCAGATAGAGTCAATTCTTCCTTTGTGTCCCCACTGCTCCTTGCCACTTACACTGTATGTGATTTTTCTGTACCTGTCTTTGTCCCCTAATCTCTGAGCCCCTGACAGCTATACTGTATCTTACTCACCTCTGATTTCTCAGTGTGCATGCAGGACCTGTTTCATAGTAGTGTCTCCTCAAATGTTTTTTGAGTTAATAAAGTAATGCATAAAGTCTCAGAGAATTTGAAATACAGCCCATTGAAGCATGCTGTTCCATAGATCCCCAAGGCATTGATTGTTTGTGATGAAGATAATTTTCTTAAGTGTGTGAAGGTCTCTTTTATCTGATTTCATTTATTCTTTCCTCTACCATTAATCATTTCCTTGTCTCTTTCAATTTTAGAGTCTCTCCCATCTCTCCTACATTAATTTAGACGTGGCTGTGTGATAGAGCTTGCAGTTCATTTTTTCAAGTTCAATTTAGCACTCAGAATGTTACAAAATTCCTACAGGTCTTGAAGGCATGGGCTTTTCTTCTTGAACTGCAATGGCTGTTCTTAACTTCACGAAATACAGGTCCTCAGTCCCTCAAGGGTTGAACAAATAAAGGTAAACTTCTAAAACTTAAACACTGGAAGTATGCCTCTTGTGTCTGCAAAATAGTCACATCATATATTCCATTATTTCTGCCTTCAAGACCATCTCAGTCTCACTCATATGACACTTGACCCTCAGACACAATTTATCTCCTGTCTATAGGAAAAACCATCATTTAGTTACTGAGATATTGAACTAATATACAAAATGTCTTGGCTAAGGTGGCTCATGCTTGTAACTCAGCACGTAGGGAGACTCACTTGTGGCCAGGAGATGAGCCTGGGAAACATAGCAAGACCCTGTCTCTACAAAAAAATGTATAAAATTAACCAGGTGTTGTGACGCATGCTTGCAGTCCTAGCAACTCAGGAGGCTGAGATGGGAGGATTACTTGAGCCCAGGAGTTTGAGGCTGTAGTAAGTTATGATCACACTACTGTACTCCAGCGTATGCAACAGAGCAAGACGCTGTCTCAAAAAGAAAAAAAAAATTAAATTTAAAAAATAAAATAAAAGAAGAAAAAAAGGAAAGTCTCTTTTCCTAACCATTTATTACCTTTTCATTTTCTTTCTTTCAGTGGTAGGTAGAGATGAGCCTACTGGTGGTGACAGTGAAATTAAAAATAACCTTCACTTCCAGCTGTCATTTGAACAACACAAGGAACCTCTGAGGCTCTCAGAAGAGAGGTTTATCTGGGCCTGAGGCCAGGGCCCATATTAGGGACTCCATTCAGAACCAGAATCATGCAACTAGCTCCACATCATCAAAAAAGATGAGATGATTAACTAAAAATTTTCCGCTATAGTCCTGAAAATTTGTTTTTAGCCAGTCTCTAGTCTTTTTATGGAAAGTTTCTGATGCCTTATACCCTGTTACAACACTAAATCTGGCAGATACTTTGGAATAGAAAAACTGTGGCCATTTAGGGCAATACCTGGGTATTTCCAGGTGAATTTCTCAAATGAGAAAAGTGCATTTCTGAATCAGGAACTTTTTATAGAAAGGCGCTACATGAACAAAAATACATTTTCTCTTTATGATGTTACTGTTACTCTGTAGGATTAGACTTTTGCTTATCTGGAACTCAAGAGACTGTTTCTACGTTCTTGGATATGTCTTCCAGTGGGTAATTCATCCTCAATGTGTATTGAAGGGTGACCAGGATATAGATAAGTGACAAAGGCAAGATAAAACATAAGAGATTTAACTGAATGGCATGAGCTTCTAAGGAAGTAGTTTACAAAAGATTGCAGAGCAGAATTCGGCAAACTATAGCCATGAGCCAAATCCCACCACCACACGTTTGTGTACCACTTGCAAGCCAAGAATGGTTTTTCCATTTTTAAATAGTTACATTTTAAGCAGTTATGCAAGCACCTATATTATACCCTAGATTTTGTCTCTTGGACCACAAAGTCTAAAATTATTTACCATATGACCCTTTATGGAAAAAGTTTGCTGATGCCTATTGTAGAGAAATGATCTGGAGATATCAATAGGGAAAAAGACCAACGCAGAACCTAATCTCCCCTTCCCCAACTGTAGTAGAGTTTGCTGAATAACCCCCGACATCTGTCCACATCCTAACCTCTGGAGCTTGTGAATGTGTTACCTTATATGGCAAAAGGGACTTTACAAATATAATTGAGTTAAGTATCTTGAGATGTGAAGATGATCCTGAGTTATCTGGTTAGACCTAATGTAATCACGAGTCTTTATGCGGGGGAGGGTCAGGGTCACAGTCAGAGAAGGAGCTGTGACAGCAGAAGCAGAGGTTGGAGTAACGCAGCCGTGAGCCAAGGAATACAAGCAGCCTCTGAAAAAGGCAAGAAATAGGATTATCCCATAGTGTTTCCAGACATAACACAGCCCTGAGGACATCTTTCTTTAAGCCCCATAAGATTCATTTCAAACCCCGGCCTCCAGAACTGTAAGACAACACATTGATGTTGTTTTGGGCCACTAGATTTATGGTAATTTATTGCAGCAGCAATAGATAACAAACAACTTTTTCAGCCCTACACGCCCCGGGTTGTAGAAGAATCACAGGGTTCCCCACAGAGTCTCATGATGTATAATGAATTCCCATAGGCCAGCTGGGTAAGAGGAGAGGTACAGTTGTAAGAGGAAGTTCAGAGTGTAGAACATACAGATAATCATAGAATTCTAGTTTTAGAGAGCACTTTGAAAAGGAAGAGCCCAGTTGTAAGGTCAGTGGTAAAGAGAAGAACTGCAAAGTAGAATATGGCTAAAAGTCAAGGGGACAAAGATGATTGCAAGATGTGGGAGATCAGATATGGTTGCGTTAGCTAGCTTCAGGTTCTATGTGGCCTCTGCCCAGGTGTCTAGATGAAACTAAATGATATCCACATTGGCAGAAGAGCAGAAAGAAGAGAGCCCTAAAAATTATCAGGGTGTGTTTTTATGTCAGCCATATAAACCATGTGACTTTCTGTCCAATTAGAATCTTTAGCTCCACTTACCTCTTAAATTCAGATGAATTTTCCTCCCCGGAACCTAGAATCCATCTGCTTATTATAATCTCTGTAATTTGCACACAGTGGCATTCTTGGCAGCCAGTTATTTGTGGCAGATACAACATTTAGAGTTCAAAATTATGTCCTTTTTCCAGAAACTGTTCATTAAACAAACCAGTATGTCTTAAGACATTTCTCAAATTATATTCACCAGTGACCACCCCTTGGAACTGAGGAGCTATAGAGCAAACTTCAGGAAGTGCCTCCTTAAAGCATTTAAATTGAGTGCAGAGCACATATTAAAATTCAAATTTGGAGTGAGTTTCTGCTTGTGTTCCTAGCCTTAAAAGAGACACCAGTACATAGAATTCCTGAGGCTTTCTCAGAAATTTGAGTCCATAATGGTACAGGGCTCACAGTTAAAAATTATTTGTGAACAATATGAACATAAAAATGTGAAAATCCAAAGCTAGCTTTGGAAGTTCTCTCCAAATCCCTGAGTAGTTTCTGAACTTTCTGAACCAACTTACATGTATGTGCAATGATCCACAATGTTCCTTTACCCAGGATGTCTTCAACCACAATCACCAGCTCCCTTTAGGTGATGGGGACCACAGACAAGACTTCTTTAGGGACCAGCAAGGCAGCAGGTGTTGCTAAAGACCTCCTTGAGATGCAGAATGCCCACATCTGCTCCTTTGCCTAATGCTGAAAGGATTCAAGAATGCTGGTGTTTCCTGGGTGGAAATAAAACAGAACCCTGGGAATCAACCTGAATCAATCTTGATAGCCTGCAAATGAAAGAGGCAGGCAGTTTATTAATTGAATTTCTCTGCTGTTAATGCTGTTAATGCTGTTAAAGGATATTTAGTCAGGTAATTTCTTATTTGTCATCACAACTAGATTCTAAGTTTTATGAGGTCAATAAATTTTGTCTTGATATTCCTAGCACAATGCCATACCTTAGCATGTGCTCAGTAAACATGTGCTACATGAATGAAGGAATGTTAAGTTTTCACATCCAAAAGCTTTTTTTTGAAATGCAGAGGAAATTTTGGTGTTGTTGCAATTGCTGTACAAGGTGGTAATACTAATTGTATTATTTTGAGTTCTTTTCTGCAAAGCTAATTGAAGTTGCCAAAAGAGAATAAAATGCCTTCTTTTGGTGAAAAATGAACAAATAAATACAACTAACTCTTGGTTATGTCTGAAAATTTCTATTATTTAATATGAAAAAAATCTGTGAAAGGGTAGAATGTTTGTAAAGCACACTTTTTTTTTTAACCCACCAAGATCCCTTGACATAGATTCTGGAGTTCCTACTCGCACTTCAACAAATGTTTACTGAATAATTACTATGTTCAGAACATCAAAAGGATTATGTCCCCTGCCTCAGTCAGCCAGAGAAGATAAAAAAGTGCTTAATGGCTATTTAGCAAAGCATAAATTGGTACGAATGAGACTGAAAGATATGAAGTGTTAGGATTTCCGAGAATAAAGACAAAACTGGCAGCTGGAGAACACAGCCATGGAGCTGCCTCCATTTCCCTGAAGTATTCAGTTTTAGTGAGAATGAAGACTCAGCACACAAAGAAAGCCAAATAAATACACATTAAAAGTAAACATGTATCCGTTAGCCGTCTTTCCTCAAAGCTGAACACTTACACTTCCTGTGTCAGTTGGCAAACAGCAGATGGCAAACAGCAGGTACTCACCATATTTGCCTTCTTTTCTCAGAAAGGCGGCCTTATCAGTACATTCGAGTTACCAGCACACTAGATTATTTATTGTTTACCAAAGCCCTTTGTGGGTAAATAACATATTCTCATATATAAAAGAATCTTCCAAGACCAGAATCTACCATCCTAGATTAACAGAAAATGTCTGTTTGATCCAGGATTTTGGTCCATTTGAAATAATCTTAAATTACTATGTCACTATACCTTTCTGAAATATCCACAGGGATCCTAAAAGTGGGTCCAAAATGTGATGAGAATGCTGACAGAAAAGTGGGGAGTGATGCATTTCATCTCTAGGAAACAGCCAGAGACAGTTTCAGAGATGGAGTAATTTACAGACAGTGAGTAGTTCCTGTTGGCTACAGGCAGAGGGCATGCTAAGTGGAATGGTGGAGAGCACATCTGGCAAGCTAAGTTGGATCTAGTTCCTGGACTTTGAGAACTAACTGGCTGATATGATTGGCTATTTGTCCTTAGGCAGTGGAGAGTATGGAAGGTTTATGAGCCAAAATATGATCAGCACTGTGCTTCAAAAAAAGTTAATCTGGATTGGAAAGAGTAGAGTCTGGTCATAAGGGATTTACCGATACTGAAATAGTTTGGTTGCAGAATCAAGAAGCTCTGACAACTGATTAAATGTCGATGAGAGAGGAGGGTGCAGCCAAAGATGGCTCCAAGAGTTCAAGCCTGTTTTATTTAAACTTTCAATATTATTAAAATTATACCAGTAGAGGCCAGGCACGGTGGCTCATGCCTGTAATCCCAGAACTTTGGGAGGCCAAGGTAGGTGGGTCACCTGAGGTCAGGAGTTCAAGACCAGCCTGGCCAACATGGTGAAACCCTGTCTCTACTAAAAATACAAAAAATTAGCTGGGCGTGGTGGCGGGCGCCTGTAATCCCAGCCACTCAGGAGGCTGAGGCAGGAGAAATGCTTGAACCTGGGAGGCAGAGGTTGCAGTGAGCCAAGATTGCACCATTGCACTCCAGCCTGGGCAATAAGAGTGAAAAAAAAAATTATACCAGTAGAATTAATAACATAGAGGAGTACTGTTACATTTACATAATGTTTTACACGCATTATCTTGTTTAATAGAAATAATGGAGTTGATGAGGGTTTTTTGGGGGCAGTGGGTTATAGCTGACATCTGTTGCTTTTGCCTACTTAGCATACTTTTCCCTTTTACTCATTTTTTTCTATAGATAACTAAGCCTTCCTGCTCTGAGTTTATGTGATTGAAGCTTATCAATAACTCCCCAAATCTTATACTTTAATAGAGCATATTTCCACATTTGAGTCATGCCATTGGTTACAGGTTGGCCAGTGTACTGGGTTAGCCCAGTGAAATTCAATTGTAGGATTTTTTATGAAACTATCGGGAAAGACAAGTTCTCTCCCTTTCTGTAGGTTTACTAAGCCAGTGAAGGAAAGCCTGGGGCTTATGGGAGCTATAACATGGAGACCCTGACCTAGAAAGTCAGTGAGCACATACACACACACACACACACACACACACACACACACACACACACACGTGAGAGAGAGAGAGAGGATGGTGGGAGGGAGTGAGAGAAGAGGTGAGGAGAGCAGACTCAATTTCTGATAATACTGTTTGAGTTCCTGGATGTAGCTCAGGAGTCTTTTGGCTGCACAGGAAAATTTATTACTCTTTTTTCCCATATAAGCCAGTTTAAGTTGCATTTCCATCATTTGCAATCAGAAGGACGCTAGTAACTACAGTGATCATGTGTTTGACTTGAACATATAGAATTTCAGGTCCCAGAATTATATTCCAGTGGACTATAACTCAGAAGAGAAGTTGTAAGCAGGAATACATATTTGAGACTCAGCTGCATGAAAGTAATATTAAATATCTGAGAGTGACTGAGATCCACAAGAGAAAGAATGCAGAGAAAGATGGAAGAGAACGAAGAGCAAGATAATACATAACAACAGGAACTGAGAAAGGCAACTGGAGTAAAGCAGGAAATGGTCCTCAGGGCTAAGTAGAAATCAAGTAGAATAAAGATTCCCACTGGATTGGCAACTGTAGGTCATTGGTGATCACTAAGGTTGTGATTTGTAGAGTCATGTATCTTAAAAATAATTATAAGAGAATAAGATATGAGTTTCCCCTGTATATAATATTTTATTTTATTCTCCATTAGCATTTATACAAGACTCAGTAAGACACTATGTCTTATTCATCTTTAATACTCTGTGTCTGACACCCAACAGGTACTCAATAAATGAAAGGATAAAAAGAAAATTGGGATATGTATGTGTAGAGTGTTTTTATTTATGAAAATGGATTTTGTTAAGGAAAACATGCTACTTACAACACGCTTCAGGCATGTATATATTCTTATATATTCATATAAGAATATGCCTATGGCATGACAGCATCCACAATTTAAAGCTGGTAGTTAGGACTAATAAAGCTAGGTAGCTGCACAGCCCCATGACTGTGAGAGGGCCATAAACCACTAAAGAGGTGAGTTATATACTCAGACATACAAAGTAATCATCACAAAAGGACAAAAACATCTTCCTTTTGACAAGAGAAGAGGAGATGATATGGTTTGGCTGTCTCCCCACCCAAATCTCATCTGGAATTCTAGCTCCCATAATTCCCACTTGTTGTGAAAGGGACCCGGTGGGAGATAATTGAATCTTGGGGGCAGTTTCCCCCCATACTGTTCTCATGGTAGTGAATAAGTATCACAAGATCTGATAATTTTATAAGGGCTTTCCCCTTTCACTTGGCTCTCATTCTCTCTTGCTGCCACCATGTAAGAAGTGCCTTTCACCTTTCACCATGATTACAAGGCCTCCCCAGCCACATGGAAGTGTGAGTCCATGAAACCTCTTTTTCTTTGTAAATTACCCAGTCTTGGGTATGTCTTTATCAGCAGTGTGAAAACAGACTCATACAGGAGACAATCCTACATCATTAAGCTCTTAAATAATGATGGGTAAAATCTTGTCCCTAGATCCATTCTCTATTTTAAATTTTCCTCCTTATTTTAGAAAAGAAATGCATTTTTGGAATAGAATGGAAAATAGGCCCAGTCATGCATGTCAATACCAACCAAATGGCAGTGATGGCCTGGAGTACTGAGTGGAGAATTGTATGGCTCCATGAAAAAGAAATGATGGCTCTGGTTGATTACTCATGTCTGCCATGGTCAATGGAAGTGGAAAGGATCTCTCATTTCATTCAGGTCTCTGCCCAAATAATACCTCATCAAAGGGGCCTTTCCTGGTCATTTTACCCAAAATTATCTTATTTTTATTCATAACACTTAACATAATCCAACATTACATCACTTACGTATGCTTTGATGTCTGTCTTCTCTTCACTGGAATACAAGCTCCACCAAAAGTTCACTGCTGTATCCCCAGCTCCTAAAACAGAGCCTATATTAGTCTGTTTTCATGCTGCTGATAAAGACATACCTGAGACTGGGTAATTTATACAGGAAAAGGGGTTTAAAGGACTTACAGTTCCATGTGGCTGGGGAGGTCTCACAATCATGGTGGAAGGCAAGGAGGAGCAAGTCACGTCTTACATGAGGGGCAGCAGGCAAAGAGAGAGCTTGTGCAGGGAAACTCCCTGTTTTAAATCTATCACATCTCTTGAGACTTACTTGCTATCACCAGACAGCATGAGAAAGACTCACCTCCATGATTCAATTAGCTCCCACTGGGTGGGAATTCAAGATGAGATTTGGGTGGGGATGCAGCCAAAGCATGTCACAGCCTGCCCAACATTTGTTGAATGAATGAATGATATTCATCCTCTGTATTAGCCAAATTGGGCAAAGCTAAAGTTCATCTTTAAGACTGTGTGTATTAGCCCATTTTCACACTGCTATAAAGACTGGGTAATTTATAAAGGAAAGAGGTTTAATTGACTCACAGTTCTGTATGGCTGGGGAAGCCTCAGGAAACTTACAATCCTAATGAAATGCGAAGGGGCAGCAAGCATCTTCTAACTCTTAGAGAGAGAGAGAGAGAGAGAGAGAGAGAGATTGAGAGAGGGAGAGAGAGAAAGAGAGAAGGAGGAACAGTCAAACCCATATAAAACTATCAGATCTTGTGATAACTCACTCACTGTCACAAGAAGAGCATGGAGGAAACAGCCCCCATAACACAATCACCTCCCACAGGTCCCTCCCTTGACATGCAGGGATTATGAGGATTACAATTCAAAGTGAGATTTGGGTGGGGACACAGAGCCAAACCGGTAGAACTCAGATAGTGTGGAACACAAACAGCTATACCCCCCTCAAAAATTTTAAACTATCTTTTACCAGTACTGACTTCCATTGAAAATTAAGTTTCAAGAGCAGACAAACAAGCATGCTTTCCCCTTCTCAGAGGCTATATTTGGAACTAAATTGCTGGACCACCCACAGAGCTGGGGACTGGGGAAGATATATGTGTGTGTTCTGTGTTGGCTCTTTCACCTTAATGGAAGAGCTGTTTAAAAGAAACAACCACAACCTCGAGAAAGAGTGAGAGCAATGAATCATAACATTGCTGTGACGCTAATTTAAGATTCAAAGGGTTTAGGAGGCACAACTGTCAAACAGCAGGATGAGCAATGCTGGGCTGATAAGCCTTCATTATGAATGAGTGAGCACACATTTACCAAGCAGCAGGACAGAAATGCACAAAAGAAGACCTTGGTTAAGTTTATTTCATTGCTCAGGATTTGGGGGCAGGGTGTAAGAATCTCTGAACTAAGTCCCATTTTGGTCCCTCATAACTGAATGCTCAATTTCCCTAGGGGAATCTGTTGTGGAAAGACAGTTGACACTAATTCTTCTCTAGGGGAATGGGTGTTATGTTAGCCAACATCTGGGAGACAGGGGATGCATCAGAATTAGGGAAGAACAATGAACACTAAATGTTAGGGTCAGGACAGAGGTGGGAGCCACAAGCAAGGCCAGTAGGTGGAAATCAAGGAGAAAAATGAAGAGAATGGGGAGGTCTGGCAGGTGTGTTTGTGCCTGTAGTGAATAGTAACAAAAGATTATTATGGAGATTGGGGAAAGACCATAAGAAGAGGTGACTCCATGGCAATATGACTGCAGTCAGGGAGGGGTAAAGGATTGGTGGGTGGGAGAAAATGGACACACGTGTTTCATTTCATCATAATTTATATCTGCATAAACTTCCAAAAAAGTTAAGACAGCATTCAAGAATAGAAATAAATTGTAGTGCAGCTGTTAAAATAGAAAAAAAAATTAAAACAGGAAGGAACAGGAAACAAATTGACTGAATGCCTAGGAAAATCTGGTTATTTTAACTAGGCATTGACTTTAGCTCTGACTTTCCTAGTAGCAGAGGGAAAAAAGAAGACAATTTTAATAGCTGGCAGTCCAAGAAAAGAAAGCAGCCGGATGAAATGAAACTTTAAAAGAAATTCAAAATAAAAAGAACTGAATCTGCCTATAGGAAGAGATAGAGTACCAAGTTGTAAGGGAAGGTCTGACTATGTGGAAGGCAGTGGGGAAAATTGAGTGTGGACGTGCCTAGGGCCACATCACGTCTGCTGCTTGGGTCTTTTTTTCCTCCTGAAGCTGGCTCCCCATGCACCCTTATTTCTCACTATAGAACTTTCACTCACTGTCTGTCCTTTCCACCAGGCTAGCTGCTGTCTGCAGCATGGTTTGCAGATCTCCCTACACCCGCTTTTCTGCTAGGCTGTATACAAGCCCACCCTCATTTTTACTTTCTGGCTTTTACTGCTTGTTACTCTGGGTGAGGTCACAGATATTGGGAAAGTTTGGCATCTTCCACTGACATTGAAACATAAATCATTCCAGACTTTTGTCCTTAACTCCCCACGCCATGGATGGTATAGAGCCCCTCTATACACTGTTTCATCCCTCCTTGTATCCCATGAGTAGAGCTCAGTCTGTCTCTCATCTTCACCTTTCTCTGGAAGGCTGTATGGGCTCCTACATGTATATACTAGGACCCAGGGGGTGCCATCTGCAGCTGAACCATAAAGGTGGGGGTGTCACACTTTTCCCTCTCTTTAGTGGCCTCCTGAGTCACATTAACAAATTCTGATATTATTCTTGCCACAGTTTATTGTAATGCTCTTCATGCTTTATTATGATTGCTTGTTTAGTCTCCCAACCTTTCTACTATTCCCCTTCCCCTCCCCAAATACCAGAAGCCCTAAACTGAGAAGGCTGGCCTGTGCCTATGTGGTTTGCTGTGGCATCCCCAGCACTTAGCCTGGGCTTACATTCTCAGGGGCTTTGGTAAGTAAATGACTAAAGGTCATGGAGGAAATAAAGAGAAATTAATTAAGAAGCAACGAGAGGGGGCAGGACATTCCAACAGAGGTTCCCAAAGTAGAATGTGCCTGAGAGTGTGCTGGGGAACTTGATAAACACGTAGCACCTGGGCAGGGCCTCTCTCTTGTGGGTGGTCCTCAGACCACACTTGGAGAAATGCTGCACTCAAACCTGCCTGGGCTCCTGGTCAAGGAAGCTTGAGAGAATATTGATGAATTGGGTCAGGTTTTACCTTCAGGTAAAATAAAAAGGTGACCTGTGGAACAGAAAAAAAAATCAACCTATGGAACAGATAAAAAAAGAAAAGAAATGAAAAGAATAGCAGGTAAGGCTGTCATTTATCACAAGCAAAAATACCCTGGCTGCTTTCTGTTTAAACAGCCACCAGAACTCCTGTGCTGAGGCCAAAACTTGAACCACACCACCCACCCTGCTGATATAAATTCCTGGGTATCAGACCAGGCTCGGGGAGGACCAAGAAAAAGTCCTGTGCCATACTTTATTGAGAGACCAGGGTGTACTTACCAGTTTCTGGCTCAAATCTTCAGCTTTCTACTGTCACATGTATGACAGTGGGGAGAGGGCAAATCTCTTTTCCTGCTGTTCACATTCTTTGGAACTTGAGGCACGTGATGGGTGGCCTAAAGGCACCATTTTCCCCAGGCTTTTTCTACCCCACACAACTTCTGTGCTTCCTCCTCACCCACCTTGCAACTTGTGGAAAGAACACACATTGAAAATAAGGGGAGAGAAACTCATTTGGCCCTAGTCAGTCCCCGCCCACCTCAGCCTCTGAAGATCACACACCAACACCCCCAAACCTCAGCCTAACTAGCCAGGGAGTGCCTGTGCCCGAGTCCTGTGGGATCTGTAGGGTGAACACCCGACACTCCATGCCTCGAACGCTGATAATGCAAGCCTTCTTGGTGCCCGTTCCCCTCCTGGCCACCCTATCCCATATACTTTTTGCTTTTCGTATACTTTTTGCCTCCCATATACTTTTTGCTTTCTTTCCTCTCTCACTTCCAAGGTGCTGTGGTTTAAATGTGTCGTCTCCAAAATTCAGGTGTTGCCAATGTGATATTATCAAGTGGCGGGCCTTTAAGAGGTGATTAGACCATGAGGGCTCCTTCCTCATTAATGACATTAAGGCTTTTATAAAAGAGGCTTCACCTGGCATTTTACTGTCTGCCTGGCCCTTTCTCTTTCCACCAAGTTGAGGACAGAGCACTCCTCATCTCTGGAGGATTTGGCCCTCCCCAGACAACCAAACTTTCCGGTGCCTTGATCTTGGATTTCTTAGTCTCCAGAACTATGAGGAAACAAGTTCTGTTCTTTAAAAATTACCTAGTCTGGGTTCGGCATGGTGGCTCACACCTGTAACCGCAGCACTCTGGGATGCAGAGGCAGGTGGATCACCTGAGGTCAGAAGTTCAAAACCAGCCTGGCCAATATGGCGAAACCCCGTCTCTACTAAAAATACAAAAAATTAGCCAGGCACGGTGATGGGTGCCTGTAATCCCAGCTACTCAGGAGGCTGAGGCAAGAAAATCACTTGAACCCAGGAGGCGGAGGTTGCAGTGAGCCTAGATCACGCCATTGCACTCCAGCTTGGGCAACAGAGCAAGACTCTGTCTCAAAAAAAAAAAAAAATTACCTAGTCTAGGGTAGTTATTATAGCAGCATGAATGGACTAAGACACAAGGCTTTCTGTTAAGCTCTATGTACGCCGCACTATAAGGTAAGAAACAATTACTCACTTCTTCCCTGGGGGTTTATTCAACATCTTGTTGTAATGGAAATCTGACTAGGGTGGAGCTTCTCCTTGCAACCCTGTGGGTTGGAGGCTGCCCATTCCCCACGTTACACAAAGCACAGGACCTGGTGAGGTCTGCATTCTACAAGCCCCTCATTGCTGCTTTAAAACCACTCTCTATCCTAGTATAAAAGCCCCATTTTTGTTGAGATGTACACCATCTGGCTATGTACTGGTCTGGAGAAGCCTAGTTGCTTATCTTCTTTGTCTCAATATGTATAGGTCACTGATGAAAAACAAAAATCACCCAAATGTGCAGATTGGTGCTCCTACAAATCCCTGCTCTCCAATGCTGCTGCCCCACAAGATTTTTAACCATTACTGGCTAGGTCTCTCACCCTCCCCATCTCACCCTTCACTCATCCCCTTCATTCTCATTATTTCAAGTGTTTACCAGATTGGTCAACCTCTCTCCCTTCACTCTGAGTGGATGAATTCATGCTCTACTGCTAAGGCAGGGCCCTGGGGTCTAGCAAGAGCCTGATGAGCTCAGAAGTCAGGAGCTGCCTGAGTCTGAACTTGAGTCTGAACTTCTTGGCTGTGCCACTGTGGGGATTTTTTCCCCTTCTCTGTGTTTCAGCTTCCTTCTGTAAAGTGGGGGTGATAACATTTTAAAAACAGTCTAACATGTAATACAAACTCAAGAAGTATTGTTTATCTCTGTCAGTACTTCCAAGACTCCTTTTCTCCCAGGAGTGTGGCCTTCCAAACAAAGAACCCTCAAGGTGGAGGACAGAGATGGGCCATATTTGAAACAAGGAAGCTTTATCAATTTCTGCACTTATCACAGGATCAGGCCATATGATATCTCAAGTCTGGCTAAAGGGAAATTTACATAAAAGTTTAGGTAGTTTACAACTTTCCACCCCATTGCCTAATCTCCTCCCAGTTCAGTCTTTTTCTATCATTCTAACAACTCACATCCTTTAAGTGGAAGGGGTATTTTTAGGAAAACAGAAATGAGTCTACAAATGCATCCTTTTCCATGTTTCATAATTATCTGCTCTGCAGGGTTTAATTTTGACATTTTGTGGCATAAAGAACATGTTCGTGAGCACTGGGAAATCCACCAGGTGGATCCAGGGGATTCGAACTTCTCCATACCAAGAAGATTCCTTTCCCAATGCCCAGAAGATACCAATATTAGACAAATATATCTAATTCACAAGAGATGATGTAAATAAGCAAATAAGACCTCATAAAGGCTTTATTCTAAAGGGCAGAGGGCTGTACTCCAAGGCAGGTGTGAGCTGTCTACTGCATGAGCTTCACCTCTAGATTTGGGTACCTTGTCTAGCTCACCTTCATCCCAAGTACATTTGCATTGTAAATAAATCTACCTACCATTGGTACACTCAAAAATCAGGCAACCTCTTCTATACACCCAAATGTCCTTTACACTGAAGTGCAGTAAGTTCCACACAGTCCAGCCTTGCTTCAGGGAAGACCAAGTGACTCAGACTAAGGTGCCCAGGGATGGCAACAGTGCTGACTCTACCACATAAACAAGCTGATGTTCTCACTAGCTGCCTGCACATTTTAGGATGTAACACCTGGAAAAAGACAAAAGCTGGCTCTCCCAAGAGGAGGAACATCCAGAGGGGAGGCAAAGCATCTGATACTGTGAAGGGTGTCACTAATCTCTTCATAATAAGGAATAAGAAAAAAATAGAATAAGAAAGATTGACTAATAGGAGAGTGTTGTTTTTGAAATCCCTCCTTATCACCTTTCTTTTCATGTGAGCTCAAAGGTTTTGCCATTGCTCTCTGGTTGCAAGCAGTGTAGAGCCACTTTCTCTTTTCCATCTTCTTAGGGCATGTTTGTTGCATCTTCTATTATCTTGCTCATATCCTTTTGTTAGGTTATAATTAACAATATTAGAAGGTTCCAGGTAACAATTTTCTTTTCCATCAACAGTAGTTATGAATCCCATCAGTGTGAGAGATTGGCAAGGTCTATTAACTGAGTGCAGAGCCCAGAGATTTATCCCCATTAGGGTGCAGTAAGACAGAGCCAGGAAGCAACAGTCCTAATGGGAGTCTCACCTCCTTTGTGGGTAATTAACTCATCCTGATTTGG
Source organism: Homo sapiens (assembly GCF_000001405.40). Taxonomy (NCBI): domain Eukaryota; kingdom Metazoa; phylum Chordata; class Mammalia; order Primates; family Hominidae; genus Homo; species Homo sapiens. The sequence continues at coordinate 75,471,275 of NC_000002.12, read as the reverse complement.
GCAGGATTTTTCTAGCTTTGGAAGTGAAACCCCTCAGTTTCAGGCATACTGAATGTTTAGTCATCCTATGCCTGGGAACTTTATATCAGTGGTTTGCAATAGCAAACCACTGATGTCCAGACCCCCTCTCCAGGCATTATCTTTTAATTATGCTGGGTGTGGGTGGAACATTAATGTTCCCCTGGGGGAACTTTTAGACATCATCTGATATTCAATGAAGGTTGAAAATTACACATGTAGGAGATCATCAATCAGCTTGATCAGGCCAGTGACAAAGGATTCTTTTAGGACATGATAAGATAAATTTCTGATAGATTTCTAGCCTGACCTCAATTCTCAGAGGCCTTTGGGAGATGAAGGTATTTATGGTTTAACACTCTCCCTATCCCCAAAACCTTCTCTCCCAAAAGAGAGTTAAACAAGGGAATGAGAAAATCCAATTAGATGAAATATCTAAAAATTATTACCAAGATATGTCTAACTTTATACTTACACTATTTCCCAGACAATTCGATGAGAACAATTTCTAGGAGCTCATGTATGTTACACAATATTACCCGGGTCCTCAAGAATCCAGTGCCAATGAATTAAAAATTCAAACTGGGCCGGGCGTGGTGGCTCACGCCTATAATCCCAGCACTTTGGGAGTCTGAGGCGGGTGGATCACGAGGTCAGGAGATTGACACCATCCTGGCTAACAGGGTGAATCCCCATCTCTACTAAAAATACAAAAAAATTAGCTGGGCATGGTGCCACGCACCTGTAGTCCCAGCTACTCAGGAGGCTGAGGCAGGAGAATCGCTTGAATCCGGGAAGCGGAGGTTGCAGTGAGCTGAGATCATGCCACTGCACTCCAGCCTGGGCAACAGAGTGAGACTCCGTCTCAAAAAAAAAAAAAAAAAAAAAAATTCAAGCTGGCAAGGCCATTACCTAAGCTTAGCTAGTGCTCAGTAGTGTATACCCTTTATTGTTGGCTGCGACACACCCAGCCAGTCACATTCTCATTGTATACAGATATCTTCCAGTATTTCAGTATATTAAAAAGTAAATCCAGCAACCCTTGGCCAAATCCAAAGATGCTTTTCTAGGAGAAAAAAAATGAAACTAAATAAAGAACAACTAAAACCAAACCAAACAAAAAAATTAAGAGCAGGAAATGCAAAACATTATTCTTTAGCATTTCTCAGTAAGTTTTACTACAGCTTGAGACAATTTTCTTTCTCTAATTTTCAGCCCACCCTCTTAGACAAAAACCCAGCGGGAACCAGCATGAGGCTTCAGAAAAGGAAGTTCATTCTGGCATGCCTCCTCCAGAAAGCAGGAGCCCACTGGCATCTGTTTTATCCACTAACTAACCAAGACTAGAGTTTCTCATGGGGGTGTGGGATCAGCACAATAACTGAACACTCCTTGGTCTGGCATTGTCTTCTGTGTCCTTATGGCTGCTAGAAGGGACCATGACAAGCCTGTTCCGATTCTGGGTCCCAGCCTTCTCTTGATCTTAGTCACAGACCCCCATCCACTTCCACCCAGCCAAGAGAAAGATTGACTGCAAGCTGTGAATAATGAGGCTAGAAAATTATTAAGGCAAGAGATGAAGACAGGTTATGTCAGATATATAAGGATTTAAATTTAATGTAAACAAGATTTTAGTTCCCCGTAAGCTATTTAAAATAGCACAACTGCGAGAGCTCTGGTATTTATTAAAAAATTCCATGGGTCTGTGAACCAAAGTAACTTGTAGAGTTTAAAAAAATGTATGGATTCTGTGGCCACAACTCTACAGATTTCAAATCAATAATCTGGTGTTAGGACCCAAGAATCTGTCTTTCAAGGCTCCCCAGGTGATTTTTGTCCACAGCCAGGTTTGTGATCTTAACTCTGTAATTCTTTTTACTCCATCAGGTGTGTCTTTGAGAAGATGAGAAGATCGCAGACCTGTATTCTAAACTGGAATGGTTCTAAAGAAAAGGTGAGACCCCTGAGGTCTTCAGTTTTCAGATAAAAGATCAGTTGAAGACTGGCTACTATCCATATTCTTTTTAACTTCTCCTCAGTGTAGCTCTTTATTCATCTAATGAGGTCTCTAATGAGCTTGTCTCCTACCAGACAAGCCCCTGAATCCAACACTCATAGCCTGCCTCATCAGCCACAGTGATTTATCATTCAGGAGACCATATCATTGATCTTCCAAAGTGAGGCACATTTGAAAGGGAAAGGAACAACTATTAATAATCACACCAGGCAACATACATGAACCAGGACTGTCTGGGGCAAATTAGGATGGGTTGATCTCATTGTAAGTGTCAGTCACCTCAGCGCAGCCCCTTATTTCTTGAATCTATTGGTTGGTGACAAAATCTGTCTGAAACTTTCTCCACCCCAGTTCACTACTAAAGCTTAGGACATTCTGGTATTTGATTAAAAATTTGTGACCTTATATCTAACTCTATTCTTTTTTTAAACCCTCCTTATTACAACAGTTTACTCATACTAAAAAGTACACAGAATTACATTACAAAGAAAACTCAACCCTATTAGGTGTCTAACAGACATAGACAGGACACCTTGTATCCCCTCCTTCTTTCCTATCTCTTCTTCTCTCATCAGAGAACCAATCATCATCCTGAATTATTGCTGAATTTATCATTCTTTTGCATGTTTTTACTTTACCACATATGCACACTTCCATAAACAATGTCTGGCATTATTATTCCTGTTTTAAAACTGCATGTGTCTTTCTGCAATTTGCCTTTTCTCAGTAACATTATGTTTTTAGATGTTTATCTGTGCTAACACATGTCACTCTGATTCACTCAGTTTAAAAAGTCCTTTCTAATAGACCACAGTTTATTCATTCTCCCTTTCATGCACGTTTATGTTTAACTATTTTTTTTCTGTTACAAACAGTGCTGCTACGAAAAATTCTTCTATATATCTTCTTTTGGAACATGTATGAGAATTTATCTAGGGTATATTTCCAGAAGTTGAATTTGAGGCTGTAGGTTTGTGCCTCTTCAACTTTAACAAGTATTGCTAAATTTCTGTCTGAAATTGTTATACCAGCTTACACTCTCAGCATCTGCATAGGAGGGTTCCCTTATCTCCCAATCTTTGACAACACATGATATTATCAGCTATTTTAATCTAGTCACAATCTGGTATATGACTTGGTATCTTGTTATTTGAAATCACATTTCCCTGATATTAATGATATTAAACATCTTTCCCTGTATTTATTGGCTTTTTAGCTGTAAGTTCCTCTTCTATGAGTTACCCATTCCTATTGTTTTCCTTTTCCCCCTACTGCGTATTTTTGTTTGTTTCTAGTGATTTGTGGTAATTCTTTACAAATTCTAGCTACAATCTTTTATTGGTTATATACTTTGTAAATCTCCTGCTTCATGGCTTGAATTTTAATTACGTTTGTGATGCTTCTTGTTTAACATAAATACGTTTTTCTTTTAGAGGAGTCAGATTTATCAGTCCTTCCCCTTACAATTCATGCTTTTTATGTCTTATTTAAGAATCTTACCTTATTCTGAAACCAAAAAGATATTTTCTTCTGAAAGTTTAATATTTGTATTCTTCATACTTTATTTATCCTATAATTCATTTTTATTGATGAAGTGAATTAGGGATCTACATTCATTTCTCATTTAGAGGTAACCAGTTTCCCCAGTATCATGGATTGAGTAGTCCATCATCTTTTACATGATTATTTTATTCCACTGACCTATTTGTCTATCCCTGCACCATTACTACAATCTTAATTAACATAGCTTTATGATGAGTTTTGAGATCTGGTAGATAAATCTCCTTTTTTCTTCTTCAGAATTGTCTCAGTCATTCTTGGTCCTGGCCTTTTTTCTTATGTAGTACACTGACAGGAAACAGGAGTGAAGGTGCCTCTACCAGTTCCTCCACATTGTAGAATTTCCTCATGTATTGTTTGTGATCAATGACCACTGACACACAGACCCAGTGAAGGAGCCAGTGTCAACTTATGTGAGAAGTATTTATAAAACTTCATTTTCTTCTTGCTTTTTATTGACAAATAATTATATAGAAAGCAGTTCTACTATTTTCTTTCCATACTTTAGTGGCTATATCTATACTTCCCCAGAGTGCAAACCACATTTTGAAGACCTCTTGCCTAAATCAATGAGCTGCTTTAAAAATAATAGATTCCTCACCTAACCACATGACTGAATCAGAATTTCTGGCAGTGGAGCCTAAAAATTTGTATTTCTAACAAGCACCCTGGATAATTCTGTTGTATTTCCACGGTTGGGAACCACAGAAATGATTTGACTTTCCAAAATGGTTATCCTGGGAGTAACATTAGATTTTCTGGCCTGTAGGTGGCGCTCAGGCTTCTTCCTCCCCATCTGTCACCTCCTCCTTCCTGATTTCCATGAAGGACAAAGGTAGGCGCACCATGGCCCCAGAGCCAAATCATGCCTGCCTGTCTTTGTACAGCCCATGAGCTGAGAATAGTTTTGTAACAGATCAAAATTTTTGTAACATATCAAAAATCAAATTAAATGGTTGAAACAAATCAAAAGAAGAATAATATTTTCTAATACATGAAAATTATATGAAACTCAAACTTCAATGTTCATAAATAAAGTTTTCTTGGAACATAGTCATGCCTATCCATTTATGTATTAGCTGTACATGCTTTAGCACTACAATGACAGAGTTGAGTGATTGCCATAGAGCCGGAATGGTCTGCAAAGCTTGCTGGACCTTTGCAGAAATAGTTTGCCAACCCTTGGTCTAGGGTGGTCAGCAAGAATGTTATTGGCCTATGGAGCAAGAGATGGTGCTTGCACGGAGGCCCTGAGTCTGAGCAGTGAGTTCACTCCTGTGGCTCTCCAGGACCTTCTTCTCAGGTTCTCCAACAAAGCTCTTGCAGCTCTGAGGACCTGGCTTCAGAGCTACTTTAAAACTTTCACAGGACCTAGCCTCTCCTACTTTACTACATCAAACTTTACTAAATATACTACATTGCTAATAAATGTAATTTATATGTAACTGTAAGAGTCGAGTTGGAGGACAGTTTTCTGGTTGAGACAATACTACATTTTGTAGACATTTAAATGAAAGATGCACTTATTTAGAGAAATGTCACAATTCTGGATCTCTCCTGGCTTAGCCATCCAGAATCAAGGACTCAGGAAGCAGACACTTGCGTTCCAATCTTGACCCTATCATTTACTAGCAAAATAACTATTTTGTGACTCAGTTTCTTCAACTGTAACATGAAGATGGAAATAACAGTACCACAGGGATGCTGAAGAGCAAATGAGTCAGTATGAGAGAAGCTCTCAGAATAGAGCCTAGGGCATAGCAAGTACCATATAGGCATTTGGCAATATTACTACTTTTATTTGTAGTTTTCATTTCATGTGTTAGACCCTATCCAATTTTTGGTTCAGTTCTGAAACACTTTCTTTAAATAAGACTATGAAAAGTCCATTTGTGCTGCTGTGCGGTGGCACCTAGTGGCTTGGACAAGCTCTGCCCCATGTTTAGGGAGCAGTGATTTCCCTGCTATTTTGAAGGTGTGTTTTCCATGGGCTTACTGTTTGTTTGGCTCACCTTTATTTGTCATCAGAGAAGCATGGCACCTAATGGTTGGATTAGAGTTTTATCTTTTGGGGGAAAGAACTAGGAAAGCCACTGCCTTGTTTTGTTCTAAACTTTGGTTTGGAACTCCCTGAAGTCAGCCTAATTATCAGGAGACCATGTTAAAGAAGTCACATGACTGGAGCAGAAAAGAGCCTGTGTTTGCTTGGCCTGTTCTTCATATTGAATGTGGGGTTCTGTAGGTTGTGTAGGTTCAGAATCCTGGGTTCTAGTTGAGATGTTATCAGTCAAAATCTTTATTCACTGGATCACTTGTTATCACTCAAAATGTTTATTCACAGGATGTATTCTATAGCAAAATAATGTGATCAACCACCTCCATCTTTGAAGGTAGACATCTTCTATATCTCACTAGCTTAACTGCTCAGGATGGAGAGCCTGAGTTTTTCACTAGACTTTCCATGCTCAGACTGGGCCATATATTAACATCTTTCTATAAGTCAGGCAGTCTGGACCAAAGAGAACTTCGTAATAATCTCCAAGAGTATTACTATGATCTATTTTCCTTTTCTGTTTGTTATCTTAGTCAGATTTCAAGTCACCAATAACCGTCCTTGGGGTGGGTCAACTTCTCTTTTGTTCCTGCCAGCTGTTTCAATCACTTACAGATCTACCTCTTCCCTGTAGGCTTTTAAGATTATAACCCTTTATGTCAGGATAAAGTCTAGACTCAGCATACAATCTATTCAATGTGTACCCAGCTCACCTCTCCACTAGTTTCTTCTGCATCCCATTATCATGCCAATAATCCTTGGCATGATTTTATTTCAAACCTTTTTCAAGTTTTTGAAATCTTTTTTTTTTCCTGCACATTTGAGCATGACTATGTATTGAATGCTATTTTTGTAAGCAGGTGAGAGACCTCCCTCTACTGGGCAGATACACAACTGCTGCCCATACTTAGAACGAAGAAAACTAGTTTTTACATTCTATATTGAAAAAAAGGTAATTTACATCTTCAATATTTTAAAGTGACTTTGTAATACATCTTATCTTGCCCTAGGACGAGTTGTCACCAAGTATCTGCCTCTTCTCTGTTTTCCTGTAACTTTTGACAAAGCAGTCGGTTGGATAAGTGTTGCCATGACACATCATGTTGATGACCCACACAACACCAGACCGTTGTCAGCTTTTTCATTGCAGTGATGTGAAAAACTGATGCAAAGCCAGCAGGCAAGGTTATAGTGCCCTTAACTTGGTTACCTAATGGAGAAGTTTATTCTAAAGCAAATTCAATGGTAGATTCAGGCTATGCATGGGTTCTGCACAGATAGGTGCTAATTTCTGTGGCTTCCTAATGCGGGGTTGCCATTCTAATGCCTTGTCTGAGGAGAAAGTTTGTAGCCTTTCTACCTTTCTATAGCTTGCTCTCCTTTGCCGTGTTTTTAAATCCATAAATCAGGTGTTGGCCATGCAGGGGAAATGAATGTTCACGGGTTGGAAGATAGGAAAAAGCAGGGTATATTATGACCATTTTCTATTCAGAGTAACTAGAATAACGGGATGCAGTAGAAACTATGCTGGAGAGGTGAGCTGGATACACACTGACTAAGTTTTATGCTAGGTCTAGACTTTATTCTGACACAAAGGGTCAAAATCTTCAAAGTCTCCAGGGAACAGGTAGATCTGTAAGTGAGAAGCTGGTGGGAACAGAAGAGAAGTTGACCCATTCAAAGGAGGCAACCACAATTTTAATTAAAATATTTGAATTGGAAGAAGGTTGAAGCAGAGAAATCAATTAGGAGCTTGTTGCAGGATTCCAGGAGAGAGTTGACAATGGCTGGAAATAGGACAGTGGCAGTGTGGCTAAATAGAACTACATAGACGTGAAGGGTTCTTAACAAATAAGAATCCACATTCCCCCTTGCTTACACACACCCCTCAGGAATTGATCAGATGCTGCAGTGGCAATGGTGGGTGAAGAGGAAATCAGAGATGAAGCTTACATGTGGGTGATATTGGGCCCCTAGAGACAAGAAATGCATAAGGAGATGCAGGTTGGGAGTGGGGAGATCCAATATGCAGTCTATCTTAAATTAGAAGAGCAATCTGTCCTAGAGATACAGATTTTGGAGACATCAGTATTTTGATGATAATTGATGCTATATGAGTGGATGGACAAAGTAGTTGAGCAGATATTCTCTCATCTGTAGATTACCTGTCAAGGTGGACAGGTAATCCAAATGTTGGCTAAGGTGAATGACATAAAGTGCACACCTTTGTGTAAAATAATAAAACATTTTGTTAAAATATAAACATATTCACATGAAAATCTTTAATATAAAAATACGGGTTTTGCAACTTAGGTCCTATGACTGGAGTTCTACATGGTCTTTATTGCTTAGGTCATACTTAGAATACATTATCTGTGATTTCCAGTTTTCATTTCTATGAAGTAGAACGAGAACCAAAAGTTGTTTGCAAAAAAAAAAAAAATCTGAATATATATTCCATCTAGATGTTTACTTTTCCTTTTGGTCATTTATAGCTGTCTCACTCAACCTAATTCATTTTTTAAAAGTAATTTGTCTTTATTAAGTCTTTCTAAAGCATTCGACTCTTTTTGCAATCACATTGTTCAGATTGTGGAATATTTAAGTACAGTGCATATAAAATAACAGTAGAGTTGAATGAGGAACAAATATTCTCGGTAATTAAGTACACAGCTCAACGGGGGCGGTGGGGGGGAGGTGCCAAGGGCCAGGGTGTTCTATAGAGCAAACAAACAGCTGCAGCATGGGTCAGGATTCTTACAGAGAGGATCAGAATATTGGCTTATCTGCTGATTAGCTGAGGCTGATTAAGAGAACTTCTACTACAAAGTAAATTTTATGTATATACATGTAATGATATTTCCTTTTAAATCCTAAATTCTGCTTTGTAAAATCAAGCTTTAAAATAAAACAAACTTAACCTCTCAGTTTATCAGAATTTCTGTTCTTGTCTTTTTGCTTATTCCAGGGGCAGTAAGGCATGTATAAGCCTATTTTTCTCATTTTTCAAATAAAAAATAGAATTCTATTAAAACAGGACTCTTAATGTTACACCAAGCCTTTGTGACTGAGAGCAAATCTCATAGTTAAAGGGACCTTTGCCTTTCTCACTGTTCCTGAAATGTTTTTGCACTTATCTCAAACTGAGCCTCACACACAGATGGTAATTAGATTGCTAAGTTTTTTAATCATCCCTTGGAGCACGGCACCATCAGCCTTTCAGCAGTTTTCCTTCAGCCTGTGGGCCACTCATCAGCAGTGGCTTCCCCTCTATCTCACTTTGGCTGCCTCCAAGTATTTCAGATGAGAAAAACTCATTTCCCAGTCTTCTGAAAATCCTCCAGAATTCCTTCATTTCTTCTACATAAACCAGAAGAGAAAAAAAAAAGATATGCAGGACATTGCTATGCTGACAAAACAAAATTTTTATTCCAGTGACAGGCCTCCTCACTGATTTATTTTGCTTTCTTGATAGAGGAAACAACTTCCCTCTTGAATTCAATATTTCTCATCCCCACCTCACTCCTTGTTCCTCCGTTTTCATTCTTGTTCTTTGACCCCATCGCTTCACCATGCACTTGTGATCCCAAACCATAAATATGAGCTGCATCCTGATCTCGTCTTTCAATCCCATGCCCAGTTAGTTACCAGGTATTATCATTTTTCCCTTCTAAATTTATCTTCTCAACTTTGCCCTCATTGCTATTCAATTCTCTCACTCCATCCTGTTGTTCATCCCCTTCAGGACAAAGTCTTAACTTGTTGCCTTGCTCCTGGTTACCTCTTCGGCCCCCTCTGCACAGTATGAGACTCCTTTGAGTTCTCCCAAATCCACTGTATGGTCTAATGCCCTTGCATTGTTTGTGTCCCTCACTCTAGACAGCTCTTCCTTGCTTAGAAGCATGCCAAACAACTTCCCACCCCTTGAAACCCACGTGCCACTTTCTCCAAGCAGTGTCCTGTCCCACTGCTGCCCTTCACTCTTTCCACAGTGCCATTTCTGAATATGTATCTGCCTCCAGTGTAGAGATATTTATTGGAAAGTCTGCTTCCCTTATGTGACTGTATCTCCTTAACCACTATTCTGTTTTACTCACCTTGCTTTCCTGGCACTGAAGGAAATAAAACCGTATTAATAGTTGTTGTATAAATTAATAAATGTGAAGATATTCAAACATGTGAATGAATTAATAAATATATGATAGTATAGCTCTCTCTTTTTCTTGTATTAATGGGGGAAGTGAAGTCCTGAATAAATGAGATATTTATGACATTTAGCCCTAGTGGAATCAGGGATTAGATAAATATAGTAAATTTTCATGAGGAATAAAATAAGCTTGTTGGATATCCCAGATATTTGTCATTTCTGGGGAAAAATGCTTAGCATTACTGATCATTGAGGAAATTCAAATTAAAACCACAAAGAGTTATCACTTCATGCCTGTTATAATAGCTATTATCAAAAAGATGAAAGATAAGTGTTGGTGAGGATAGAGAGAAAAGAGAACTCTTATACATTATTAATGGGAATGTAAACTAATACAACTGTTATGAAAAAGGTATTCAAGTTTCCTCTAAAAACTAAAAATAGAACTACCATATGAACCCGCAATCCCACTTCTTTGCATATATCTAAGGGAACTCAAATCAATATATTAAAGGGATACCTGCACTCTCATATTCATTGCAGCACTATTCGCAATAGCTTAGAGAAGGAAACAATCTAAGTGTCCATCAGTAGATGAATGGATTAAGAAAATGTGGTGTCTATACATAGTGGAATACTATTCAGCCCTAAAAAAGGAAGGGACATCCTGTCATTTGTAACAACATGGATGAATTTGGAGGACACTATGCTAAGTGAAATATAAGTCAGGTACAGAAGGACAAATACCACATGATCTCACTTAAATGTGGAACCTGAAAGAGTTGAAGTCTTAGAAATTGAGAGTAGAACAGTGGTTATCAGAGGCTGTGGGGTGGGTGCTGGTGAATAGGGAAGGAATGGGAGTTGTTGATCAAAGGGTGCACCGTTTCAGATAGACAGGAGGAATAGGTTTTGAGACCAATTGCACAGCAGAGTGACTATAATCCATAATAATGTATATTTCAAAGTAACTAAGACTAAATTTGAAATATCTCACCATAAAAATGATAGATAAGCAAGGTGATGGATATGTTAATGAGCTTGATTTAATCATTCCACATTGTATACATATATCAAAACACTGTATTATACCCCATAAATGCATACAATTATGATTGGTCAATCAAAAATAATATTAATAATTTTAAAAAACAAAAAAGGAAGAAACACTGGTTTCTAGCCATGCTATACCTCCTTTATCCCCACCCCTACCATGGAAGGAAACTTCACTAGCAGACTAGTAACATGGGAGTTCTCCTGGCATGCTTTGTGTAAACTATCCCATAAGGTCAGCTAAACTGTGTATAACAATAAATATCACTTAAAATTCCTTTGATTTAATGACCACTCTGTGTTATGTGGCAACCGTAGGGAGAGAGACTGCTTGGCAAGTGTTAAACTTTAGTGGGTCAGGAGTTTGGAATGTATGTTTTAGTATCCATGTGGTAAATCTATAAATGCTGAGGTGGCATTATCTGTAAAGTCCACTCACTGTTATGCTTGTAAAGAGGAAAGCTACCCTCCAGCTCTAGAATAACTAATGCAAAATTGAACTGTAGCAGGAAGAGCCTCAGACAAAACTCCTCAGACACCGAGTTAAAGAAGGAAAGGGTTTATTCGGCCGGGGGCATCGGCAAGACTCCTGTCTTAAGAGCCAAGCTCCCCGAGTGAGCAATTCCTGTCCCTTTTAAGGGCTCACAGCTGTAAGGGGGTGTGCGTGAGAGGGTCGTGATCGATTGAGCAAGCAGAGGGTACGTGACTGGGGGCTGCATGCACCGGTAATTAGATCGGAACAAAACAGGATAGGGATTTTCACAGTGCTTTTCTATACAATGTCTGTAATCTATAGATAACATAATCGATTAGGTCAGGGGTTGATCTTTAACTACCAGGCCCAGGGTGTGGTGCCGGGCTGTCTGCTTGTGGATTTCATTTCTGCCTTTCAGTTTTCACTTTTTCTTTATTTGGAGGCAGAAATTGGGCATAAGACAATATGAGGGGTGGTCTCCTCCCTTAGAACCAGTGATTACTTACTACATTCGTTAGGATTCTGGATTGCTAATGAACCAGCCTGGCTAAACTAGCTTTAAGCACAAAAGGAAAGTTATTATAAGAGTGTAAGATTGTGTCATGGAACCCAAGAATGAAACTATAACTGCCCTGGAACAGCTGGATCCAGCAGACTTGGGGCCATCTTTCATATTTTCTTGCTTCTCAACAGTTTTAATCTTCTCTATCTTCTATCTTCTGTAAATCAGCCATCTGTGCTTTCTCTTTAGAGGTATGTTTTAAAATATAATTTTAAACCATTTTTAAAATTCTTATACAATAAAATTGACTTTTTTCTTTGAAAAAAAGTTTGTGAATTTTAATACACGTATAGATTTATGTAACTACCACTATGATAAGGATACTGAGCAGTTTCAGAGCCACTAAAACTGCCTCCTGCTATCCCATGATAGTAACACTGTTACCCCACTTGTAACCTCTAGCACGCACTAATATTCCTTCTGTCACTAAAGTTTTTCTTTTTGAGAATGTAAGCAAGCTATGCACTGTAACCTTTTGATAGTGGCTTCTCTCCTTTAGCATAGTGTCTTTGAAATTAATGTAATTTGATATATGTATCAATAGTGTCTTCCTTTTTACAGCTATGTGGTTTTCCATTGTGTGGACATATCAGGGTTTGTTAATCCATTCACCTACTGAAAGAGGGGGTAGAATCTTAATGTTTACCTTTCTCATTGCCAGAAAAAGATTAAATGATGTTCTTAGTTTCAAATCCAGAAACCTTGGTGAGGCACTCAGAGGCTCAACATGTATTAGATCACCACCCCTGGAGAAGTAATTCCCTGGATGTGGCGATGAGGTGTTAGAATTGGTCCACCATGAGTCTATGCCCAACCCAGGTGCACCATCTGACCAGGAGTGCATATGAGAATAGGGCAGCTGCTAACTGAAACCCTAAGAATGAAGAGGGAGAAGAGTTTGAGATGGAAAAATAATGTGTTTCTTACCTACTCTCCCATGAACCTGCTCCTCATCACACCTCTTCCCAGACAAACTAGTCTAACAGGTATGGTTTCCCCACCTGAATTCATAAACTCTTAAAGCCGTGCTGCAAACTGGATTTTGTAGGAGCAATTACACCCCTTGATTGTCTGAGTGGTGACAGGCAAGGGGAAGTGATTGCCTGTGGGAAAGGTGGCCAGTCCATTTGCCTTTGCTGAACTGGCCCTGCTCCTTCAGACTTGCTTAGGTATCCTTAGCAATGACTTGGATTCAAACAGAAAATCAAAGATGTAGTTCAAGCCTAACCTGGGGCAGACATTTTGCTTGTAAGTCATGTTCTCATCTTTCATTTGTCTTTTCTTTCCTTGAAAGAGAAAAGGCTTCTTCTTCTTGCTTTCCACCGTTTTGTTTGTTTTTCCATCTAAGGTATCTTTGTAATCAGTGCTATATTGCCTTCACTGTGCATTCCTTCTAGCCAGTGCACAATAATGGCTGTGATTGACTAAGGATAGAAGCCAGGCTTCCACTCAGCTTTATCTGTCAGCCACATATTACATGCATCAAACAGAGCTGCCTCTGCTGAAATCCATAAAGCTAACAGAAAAGAAAAAACAAAACAATTGTTGATCTCACCCTTGGAGGTGCCTTGGCCTTTGTTCCTGGGGAAATGGGAAGATGAGGGAAGAGCACAGCCTCAGGCATGAATGGAGCAGGTGGGACTCAGAGCCTCCTAGCTCTTTCCCAGACAGTGCTCCAGTGATGTCTACCACATACAGGGCATCCACTGAGATTTTATTTGAAGAAAGAATTCCAATGCTGAAAAAAAAAAATCCTACACCACTGCCCTAGTTAAACATAAAGAGGAAAATCCTACCCCCTAATACATGCCAGTGGCTAGTCTTACTCCTGTTTCATCTGCTTTGTTTTTATTTTGAGAACTTGTCTTATTTGAAAGCTATTTATCCAGGATATGCCTTATACGTAATCAAGTTATCTCTTTTTAGTTTGTTCAGGAAGATTTTTTTTTAATTTTTAAGTTTTTAAAAATTTAAGTAATTTATATTCCTTGTAGAAAAATTATAAAATGCATAAAAAAGAGGTAACTAAAAATCAACCTACAATTTCACCAGCAGAGACAAATATTTTTAATGCAACACTGTATCCTATTATTGTCCCTACAATATATATATAGAACATTTATCCACTCTATTCTGTTCCCAATTCTCCTACCTTAGTACAAGTCTCTAAACTGGTCTCTCTTTTCCACTCTTGTTCCCGGGCAGCCTATTTGCCTTCCAGTAACTAGGTTAATCTGTGAAAAATAGAAGTTCACTTAATCACTCACCTGGTTAGAACCTCTCAATGGCTCCAATAGACAAGTAAAACACCCTTTCTGTCAGTCACAGGGGCTGTGTGCTCTGGCCCTGGGAACTTCTTTTGCCGCATCTTTATGGTCCAGTTTCTCTCTGAGGCTGTTTCAGCCCCCAGTGGTTCTTTCTGCAAAACGCATCTGAGAAATTTCCTCCAGGCGTCTGGCATGTGTTGGTACTCATCTCCAGGTTCCAGTGTTAATACAGATAATTTCCTCTTTGGTTATTTCAGTAAGAATGTGAGAAACTAGAGATTAGATACAGAGAAACATGTTGCCCTTTTTCCTCTTTAAGAAAAAGCTCCTTCCCACTCAACAGTCAGCTGTGCTTTCGGTGCAGTGCCAGCTGCATCTCTAAGACATGGTGGTGAAGGTTTAGAATAAACAGATTTGGTCACATCAGGTGCCTGCTAGCCAGGAAGAACTGCCTTTAACATTTGCAGAGCAATATCGTCACTTTCATTGGATGCCATTTACTTCAACCACACTGATCACCAACTGTGATTCTTGTATGAGTCCTCCATAGCAAGTTAAATGGCACTGTCAAAGCTGAGACTGGAAACCTGTGATCAGTGGGAGGTACATCTCCATCTTACAGCACACAAGGCGGGTAATGCTGGGGCTGAATATGTTATAGAGTCCACTGGTGTCTTCACTACCTTATAAGAGGCTGGGACTCACTTGTAGGATAGACCCCAAGGTATCATCATGTCTACCACTTCTGTGGTTGCTGCCATGTTTGTGGTGGCAGTGAGTCATAAGATATATGACCACTCCTTCAAGATTGGCAGCAGTGCCTCCTGCACCAGCAAACTCATGGCCACCCTGGCCAAGGTCACCGTAGCATTGATGTTGTGGAGAGATTAGTGACCACAGTCCATGTTATTACTGCCATACAAAAACTTTAGATAGCTCCAATGGAAAATTGGCATGATGGCTAGGGTTCCACCCAGAGCATCATCCCTGCATTCGCTGGCACTGCCAAGGCTGTGGGAGGGTCATCCCTGAGCTGAACAGAAAGTTCACTGACATGACCTTCCAAGTACCCACCCAAAATGTGAGATCTGACTTGACCACTGGAGAAAGATGAAAAATATAACAGCATCGGCAGGGCATGGTGGCTCACGCCTGTAATCCCAGCACTTTGGGAGGCCAAGGCGGGCGGATCACGAGGTCAGGAGATTGAGACCATCCTAGCTAACACAGTGAAACCCCGTCTCTACTAAGAATACAAAAACAAAATTAGCCAGGCGTGGTGGCAGGTGCCTGTAGTCCCAGCTACTCGGGAGGCTGAGGCAAGAGAATGGCATGAGCCCAGGAGGCAGAGCTTGCAGTGAGCCAAGATCACGCCACTGCACTCCAGCCTGGGCGACAGAGTGAGACTCCATCTCAAAAAAAAAAAAAAAAAAAAAGAAAGAAAAAAGAAAAATATAACAACATCAGAAAAGTGATGAGAAGGCATCAGAGAGACCTCACAGGGGTATCCCAGGCTGCACTGAAGTTTTATAGTGATATCTGTCCCTCCACCTTTGATGCAGGGTCTTTCATTGTCCTTACAACTACCTGGTCAGACGTATTTTCTGGTCTAATGATAAACTTGGCTATAGCATATGTGAGGTGAACTTCATAGGCCATGTGGCCTTAAGGAGTAAGCACCCTGGACCATCAGCCCCAGCCATAGCACATGAAGAGAAAGGTTCTTGGTATCTGGGGATTCACTGGTGGCTATGGACTGAATTGTGTCTCCCTCCCAACCCAATTTAGATGAAGTCCTAGCTCCCAATATAATGGTATTTGGATATGTGGCCTTTAGGAAGTAATTAGGGTTAAGATGAGGTGATGAGGATGGGGCCTTCATTATGGGATCAGTGCCGTTATATGAAGAGACGTCAGAGATCTTGCTCTTTCTCCCCACCATGTAAGAACAAAGTGAGAAGGCGGCCTTCTGCAAGTCAAAATGTGGGCCCTCACCAGACGCTGAATCTGCCAGCACCTTGATTTTGGACATCCCAGCCTCCAAAACTGTAAGAAATATATTTCTGGCGTTTAAGCCATCAGTGTATGGTATTTTGTTATGTCAGGCTGAGATGACTAAGATAATGGCCCAGCTTTAATTCTTAAAACACTGAGATTCTCTTATCCTTGACATAATTTCCACGTCAGGTCACTTAAAGAAGCAGAGGAGCTTAGAGAGACCTATGTTGTCATGGATCATCCGTCACATCAGAAAAGCCTGTAGTGTACCTCTCCACACACTCACACAAAAAACTTGAAGTGAACTAAAACAACAATGAAAAACAAAACCAAAACAACAAAAAAGAAACTCCCTAAACAGAGTACCCTCAAACAGTTCAAACCAGAAAACAAAGCACAACAACACCAATAAAAAAGAAAGCAAAGGAGAGAAGGAAGCAAGGGAGGAGGGGAGGAAAGAGGATAAAGGAGGGAGGGAGATGAAAAGGGAGGGAAAGAGAGGAGAGGGGAGCAGGAGGTAGGTTGTGCATAAATTCCTTGACTTAAATATCTCATTTGGGGGCAAATGAGATTTTCTGAACAAAATGGGTGTCCTTGGGTTGGGGCCTGGTGGGAGACTTTATGATAGAGAATTAAGGAACCAAAAGTCAGACCTTAAGCTTCTTCCTTTATGATAGACAATTAAGGAACCAAAAGTCAGACTTTAAGCTTATTCCTTCCTAAGTAACCTGTCTTGGGGTCAATCTCCGCTCATACTTCATATGCATAATTTTTGCATGACTATGTAGCGGTCAGAACATTTGTGTAGCAACATATAGCTACAACTAATTTTTACATACATTATCCCATCTAATTCCAATGTTTCTACTCAAATGCAAATTAGCACCATCTCAAGAATCTTGTCTTGGGTTCCAACCCCAACATTTTCAACACTTTGCATTGAAATGCTGGAGCGAGTCATCTTTGAGTTTTACTTTCCCTTCTATGCTGCAAGACCCCATTCTCATCGTGTCCTGTGATCTTTATCTGACAAGCTGCTTACTCAATGTGGGCACAGTGGGTGCTAAATAAGTATTTGTTGAATGAATGAGTGAATGAATACATCTACATTTAAATCAATAGCTTAATGCATTTTTCCTGTTTGTCTGTGGCCTCTTTGTGAATTCTCCCATAGTTTCATTCTCTTTGTCCATATGTTCACACATCCCACTTGTTTATGTTCAAACTGCAGCAGGCAATGAATTGCCCACCGAACATGCAAAACATTTTCCCTCTTTTGCATTTGCATTTACGCTCTTCTCTCTGCCTGGAATGCCTTTTTTCCTCACACCGTTGTCTAACAAATGAACTCCACTCATCTATCATTGCCCAGTCTAAATACTATGTCTACCCTATAAATTTCTCAGAACTTCAGATTCATTGAATCAGAATCTCTGGGATAGAGCCTGGGTATCTTTATTTTCATTTAACAAGGACCTTGGTTCAATCCTCTGCATTTCTTTGGGTGGCTTTGGGAAATTGTTGCTTAGACTACATTGGTTCTTAAATCAAGGAATGCATTTTACTCAGCATTGCAGCCTAAGCCTAGCACAGTGTTTGTCTATAAAAGTCATTCAATACATGCTTATTGACCCAAACTGGATTGATTGTAACTTCCTGCCTACAGCTCTCAAATTCTTGAATTTAACAGAGGAAAAGGCAGTATATAAAAGAGAAAAAATGCTAATAGTGGAATTTTTACCATCAGTTCATCAATCAAGAGATATTTGAGGGCTGAGCATATTTCTTAATGATTGTGTATAAAGTCCTAAATAAGGCTCTTACCTAAAGGAAGAAGTCTCTCTCTCCTAAATTTACTGGAGGCTTACACCCTGACTTTGATTGCAGGTTATAGGAACTGGCTAGGAGACTAATATCAATTAGGTCTGTGCACTTAAGTTCCTCCCATCCATTTGTGTTGGTTACCAGGATATTGAGTCCTACTAAATGTTAAATTGATCACTGGAGGGAGCAATAGCTATTGCTGCTGATCAGGTCATAAAAAGCATCACAATCTGAAGGCAAGTTATATCTTGCCACACTTCAGAGAACTTAAACTAAGAGCTTTCAGTAGTTCTTTATCTTTTTTTCTGTTCAAGAGCAACTAAGTTTCATAATCAATAGAAAGAATTTATTGCTCTAATAAAATGAAACAATACAAGAGAAAGCTTGAGAGTATTGGCAACTTCTAAGACCTCCTTATCAGAATAGCTCAAAAGTACTTTGAGAATATTAGCTATTAAGACCATAAATATCTGTCAAATCTTTCTATCATGTTAAGTTACTACTCAATTGCTTATCTTGGGCAAGATTGACTTGCTGTTGCATCACATGTTGTCAATATGATAAAGTTCTTTAAAGACAGAGTATATGTCTCATTTTCATTTATATCCATCTTATTGCTTTGCCCAGTGCGGGTGACTGACAAGCACTATACTTGTTAATATAATATCATTTGCTTTTATTTTTATTTTGATGTTTTAATTATAAATGTAATACAAACTTTTTAAAAACCCTCAAATATATATGAATATATCAAGTAAAAAGTTAAGGTACATAAAGAAAAAGGGAAAGCTAGAATGACCCCTGGGGTGGTGGTTTAAAATGGAAGGTATTGAATTCATAAGGTAGGAACTCATGGCTTTTAAATACATATCCAGAGAGATAGACATAGAAACTAACATAGATGTGTGTACATATGGGTGTGTACATACATATATACATGTATGTTATATACATCTATATTATGCATATATGTAATATACATACATATATTTCCTAGTTCTGACCTCTGAGAGGGCCTAGAAACTATGATATCCTAGTAGCAATGAACACACCAAACACGTAAGTCTTGATTTCTAAACATTCTCTAATAAAAGGATCAAGGGCTCCTTGGAGAAACAGTTGATTGCAAGGCTGGGGAAGGAGAAAACACAAAATTCCTCTGGAGTACCTTGTGGGCCATAAAATAAAGAAGTGCTTAGTAAAGAATGAAGGCACATCAAAAGGGCAGAAACCAGCCTGAAAAAGCTCCCAATGACCATAGTTGAAAAAAAAGAGCCATAAATAAATAATAAGAGTAATGCTGGCTTATTAAACTCACAGAATAAGAAACTATTCATGAATCTTCACTGATATAAATAGTTTAGTAAATTAATAAGTGGGTGAAAAAGGAACAGCTCTTTCTTAATTCCAATTGATAAATGTAGAAGAAGCAATGGGGGAAATATAAAAACTACCACTAAAACACCACAGTAATCATTGTTACAGGCAAGATACACAGATCAATGTCAAAATCATTGCATGAAAGTATGAAAAACAAGATAATTGCCCAGTCTTAAAGTACATATTTATTATAAAAAAAAATAGTGATTTTGTGAGATTGAAACCCTGCAGACCCTACCTTAATCAAGTAAGCAGGCTAGCATCACCAGTAATAAGACTTATTAACATCATATTTCCCCTGATATGGTGCATTGGGAAGAGCATATCACCTCTGTGGTACTCTTGCCAAATGTTGCATTTCTGGGATTAGATCATGGGGGCAGATTTCCCCCATACCGTTCTCGTGATAGTGAGTGAGTTCTCACAAGATCTGATGGATTAAAAGTGTGTGACACTTCCTCCCTCACTTGCTCTCTCTCTCCTTCCACCAAGTAAGATATACCTTGCTTCTCTTTCACCTTCTGCCATGATTGTAAGTTTCCTGAGGTCTCCCCAGCCATGCTTAACTGTGAGCCAATTAAATAGCTTTTCTTTATAAATTACTCAGTCTCAGATAGTTCTTTATAGCAGTGTGAAAACGGACTAATACAGTCATGATGAATGATTCTTTTTTATATATTTTTAAATTCAATTTGCCTAAAAGTCTGCTTTAAAATTTTCACCTACATTCTTGAGGAAATATCCCTAAAGGCAAGCTACTTGCCTTTAGATATAAATAGCATTTCCTACTATCAGTCTTTCAGAAATAAAGTATTTCGCCTACCTTATGTAATTTTTTTTGTCTTAATTAGTTCAGAACTTTTACGGGAACTAAGAGTTGTTTCTTGAGGGGTCTCCCCAATATTTCAACCTCTATCAAATTCAGAATTATCAAGAATGGTACACTCTGGGTGTGGTCATCTGAAGGGAATTTTGATTCTCTTTGAGAATATCCCTCAAGACTATAGGTGAAAAATTCACTTTTCTTCTAGTACATTTTTCTGGTTTTGTATCAGGGTAATGCTGGCCTCATACAATAAGTAGCAAAATATTTCCTAATCTTCAACTTCCTAGAAAAAAATTGTATAGAATTGGTACCATCTCTTCCATAAATGTTTGGTAAGCTACCCCAGTGAAGCTAGCTAGGTCATATTTTTTTTTTTTAGAGAAGAGTTTTTTCTTTTATTTTTAATTGATACATAATAACTGTACATACTTATGAGGCAGAGTGATATCTTAGTACATGCATACAACATATAATATATAAGAAGGCTTTTAATTTAACAGAAAAATAGTTTCTTACATTTGTTCACATACTTGACATTTCTGGTGGATATTTACCAGTTCTGAGGTTCTTGACTATATCCAAATGATCTGAGTTTCTTTTTTCTATAATTTTCCTTCAACCTGAAGAATTTTCTTGGTTGTTCAGTATAGCTGGCAATAAACTCTTTCAGTTTTTTTTATCTTGACTCATATTTATTTTGCCCTCATTGTTGAAGGACATTTTTCTGAATATAGATTTTTGGGTTGACAGTTGTTGTTATTATTTTTAAAATTTATTTTAGCACTTTCAAGTTGTTCCAGTATCATCTGTCTTCCATAGTTTCTGGTGGAAAGTTAGTGGTTTCAAATTATTACTCCCTTGGATGTAATGTGTCACTTGTCTCTGGCTGCTTTCAAATTTTTCTGGTTTTGATTTTTATTAGTTTGACTATAATGTAGCTAGCGAGATATGTTAGTTTTTTTTGGCATTTATTCTGCTTGTATTTTACTGAGTTTTTGAGTCTCAATTTATATCCTTCCCCAAATTGGGGAAAATTTTAACCACTATTTATTCAAATACTTTTTTCTCTCCAAATTTCTATCTTCTCTTGTGAGAATTCAACTACACATGAGTTGAACCATTTTATATTACTCATGTAAAAAAAATTTTTCTTCTTTGTTTTCCAAATTAGATCATTTGACTTATTTATTTTCAAGTTCACTGACTCCTTCCTTTGTCATTTCCTTTTGGTTATAAAGCCTACCAGGTGAATTTTTAAGTTTAGATATAACATTTTTTAGTTCTAAAATTTTCATTTGGTTCTTCCTGTTTTTTTTTTTTTTTTTTTTTTTTTGAGATGGAGTCTCGCTCTTTCGCCCAGGTCAGACTGCAGTGGCGCTATCTCGGCTCACTGCAAGCTCCGCCTTCCGGGTTCGTGCCATTCTCCTGCCTCAGCCTCCTGAGTAGCTGGAACTACAGGCGCCTGCCACCGCGCCCAGCTAATTTTTTGTATTTTTATTAGAGATGGGGTTTCACCGTGTTAGCCAGGATGGTCTCGATCTGCTGACTTCGTGATCCACCTGCCTCGGCCTCCCAAAGTGCTGGGATTACAGGCGTGAGCCACCGCGCCCGGCCGGTTCTTACTTTTATCATTCTTGTTTTGTTTTGTTTTTGAGGGTCTTGCTCTGTCACCCAGACTGAAGCACAATGGTGTCATCTTGGCTCACTGCAACCTCTGCCTCCCAGGTTCAAGCAATTCTCGTACCTCAGCCTCCCGAGTACCTGGGATTACAGGTGCATGCCACCACACCTGGCTAATTTTTTTTATTTTTGGTAAACACAGGGTTTTGCCATGTTGTCCAGGCTGGTCTCAAACTCCTGACCTCAAGTGATCTGCCTGCTTCGGCCTCCCAAAGTGCCGGGATTACAGGTGTGAGCCATGACACCTGGCCTTGTTTTATCATTTTTATTGATGCAGTCTTCCTTTGATTGTCTTTTATCTTTAGAAGAAGTCACTTTT
Organism: Homo sapiens; assembly: GCF_000001405.40. NCBI lineage: Eukaryota > Metazoa > Chordata > Mammalia > Primates > Hominidae > Homo > Homo sapiens. The sequence goes on along the minus strand of NC_000002.12, from coordinate 75,449,096 downwards.
TTTTTGACTCTTCATATGTTAAAGAAGTTTGGATTATATAATGAATATTGTGACTATTATGTTCTTGATTCTATTTCATGTCTCCAAAAATGCTAATTTTCTCTTGTTTTATCAGGTGGTTAACTTGTTTGAATTCATACTGCAAACTCGGTCTCTTGGTAGTAGCTCAAATATAAGTCCAGTTCTTTCATTTTTAGCTATTATTCTTATACTCTGTCTCATGCTTATATGGTTCAGCGTTTATTCAGAGATTTGGGCAGATTTTAGATGTAGATTGTGTCCTTCCTACTTTAGCTCTCTCCTTTCTGAGATTTCTGCCTTCCTCTCATTTTCCACAGACTATGCTTCTTCAAACTAGAAGGATTGCAGTTTTCTATCAAACTGTTAGCCTTTCCTTGTGGCCACCTTCAGACTAAAAAGCTGTAAAGATAGAAAACACAAAAATTATTTTGAAGATAAGTCAAATTATCTAATTTGTCCTTCTTCCAAATTTTGATTCTCTTCAAGAATATTCCTACTTTTATTCACTCTTCAATGCCTTCAGTAGTTGTTATTTATATTTAGTTGACATCTGAGGAAGTATTGGCTTGGTAGAGGCTTTGTTTTATATACCATAAGCAGAATCTTATATTTCTTACTTTTAAACATCTGTTATTAGGAGTATATGACTTTTTTTTTTTTCTTAGGCGGAATTTCGCTCTTGTTGTCCAGGCTGGCATGCAATGGCGCGATCTTGGCTCACCGCAACCTCCGCCTCCCAGGTTCAAGCAATTCTCCTGCCTCAGCCTCCTGAGTAGCTGAGATTACAGGCAGGCACCACTACACCTGGCTAATTTTGTATTTTTAGTAGAGACAGGGTTTCTCCATGTTGAGGCTGGTCTCGAACTCCTGACCTCAGGTGATCTGCCCGCCTCAGCCTCCCAAAGTGCTGGGATTACGGCGTGAGCCACCGCACCCAGCCAGGAGTATATGACTTTTAAATTACACCTGGTATTTCTTACCATATGATAGATCCCTGTTAGCATAAAATTCCTGGCTTCTCTTTGCTCATTTTTCATCTTATAGAAGGTGTGGTGATTTTACCAGTCAATGAGTTTGTATGGAAAACTGAGAAGGCATAACTTTGTCCACATATTTCCTCTTTTTCCTCTTGCAAGTGAGCCTGTCTACTGAAAGCACACTATCTACTCTATTTCTTTATTCCATATTATGGAGGCAGGCCATAAAGGAGGCTTATCATGGTCCAGGGCTACCTAGGACTCTGGGGATGGGTCTTTCAATGCTGAAATTCAATATCAGGCAAGCTACTTGCCTTTAGATATAAATAGCATTTCCCAGTATCAGTCTTTCAGAAATAAAGTATTTTGCATACCCTTATTTGTTTTTTTGGTCTTAATTAGTTCAGAACTTTCATGGGGACTAAGAGCTTTATTTCTTTGGGGGGGGGGTCACATCTCCCCAATATTTCAACATCTATGAAATTCAGAATTATCAAGAATGGTACACTGTAGGTTTGGTCATCTGCAGATAATGCCATAAAAACAGCAAGAGTTTAGAATAGAACTAAGGAAAAATAGAGACATAGAAGATGGTAAATACTATGGTCTAAATCTGAATCTGAAATCAGTAAATCAGAAATACATCTTATATTCTTATTTGACTGTAGCATATGCCACAGCAGAACAACGTTGGGCTGTGAGACTCACATTCATCCCCATATTTAGCTTACATGACAGAAAATGAACAATCCCACAGAAACCGATGCTAGCCAGCTCCCAGTAATCCCTACTTCCCGGTATTCACTCCCTTCTTTCCCACATCGTATCGTAATTGCTGCATGTGAATAATATAAATATAGAGGAAGTATATGATTTCCTTGTATATGGTTTCTGAGATTATTGAGGATTCTGCCTTGTTTTCTCTCTCCAGGTTTAATTGTTTGTGAGGGAATCCGTCTGCCATGTAATCAGGACACTGAAGCAGCCCTGTGAAGAGGTCAATGAGGTGAGGAACTTTGGCCTCCAGCTCACAGTTGGCAAAGAACCATTGGTGTGTGACCTTGAGAGCAAGTCCTCCAGCTCCAATCAGGTCTTCAGATGATTCCAACTTTATGAGAAGTTGGGCGTGGTGGTTCACACCTGTAATCCCAGTACTTTAGGAGGCTGAGGCGGTTGGATCATCTGAGGTCAGGAGTTCAAGACCAACTTTCTGAGAGACACTGGGTCAGACCACCCAGCCAGACTGCTCCCACAATCCTCACCTAAAGAAACTGTCTTAAGCTACTAAATTCTGGGGGCAATTTGTTACACAATAGAAAACTAATACATAAAGAGGCTATGTATTATCCTACTTACCTCATTGCTATGTATCATTTCGTAGAGAAGGGAGGAGGCAGAAGGATAGGGGGTTTAAACAGAATTAGTTATTCACTCAACTCGGCTTTACCATGCACCAAATACATGGAGCTAACCTGTTGCTTGGATTCTGCTTGCCAGCATCATCACATTTGTGCATCAATAAGCATGCATGGACTGAGGAACATGCCAGATCTCTCACCCCCTCAACCCTCCACATCTCTCTAGCATAAAGTCTTGCTTTGCACATGCCCATTTTACAGATACGGCTGAGAAATAAAGCACTAAAAATTGTGCTCTCTATACTAACATACTCATCATAAAAATGGGATCACTCTCATTTTTTTTCTGGGTGTTGTGACCACATGTTGCTTATAGATTTTGTTTAGGTAAGTCAAAGAAAATTGATTAAGTACCAGTGGAAAGATATTTTGATTTCTTGGTTGTTGGCCAGTGACTTGCACAATCATCTCTGAAAAGGAAGCAAAATGTCTTGAGTTATTAGTATATTTTAAAGAGCCAATGGAAAAGAATTTCTGTAGACATGAAACTTTTCCACTGATTAGCACGCCATTCATAAAAATTAGCTAACAGTACCTATACGCGCACACACACACACACACACACACAGACACACAAACACACACACACCCCTTAAGTTAGAACAAGCGATACAGACTTTTCCTGCCATGGTTCTCTGCCTTCTTCTTCTTTCAGAAATAGGCCTTTCATTTTCTCGCTCTCTATTATCCAAAAACCTAAGTTTTGGGAAAAAGGTAGATGTCATTTCCAATACTTATTAGTGAATTTGAACATTATATGGTCAAAGGAGCAATAGGAATTTAGGAACTGGAATGGAACTGAAGTCAATGCAAGACTTAGAGGGTAAAGGGAAAGGCTGGGCACAGCACATTGGAGCTGGCATGAGAATGGAGACAAGGATGACAGGGTCCAGGAGTGAAACTTGAGTTGCTAGGTTTCCATAGTTGCATCTCTTAAATAAGGCATTCTGGGTCTCCCTCTCCCCACACATATACACACAAATCTTTTAATGCTTCTACCAAAGTTATTTACAGGAATGATCTGAGTTTATATGTTTTCCTATTTCTCTGCCTGTCTGTCTTATTCATTTTTGGTCTGTAAGGCCTGGAATAGTGCCTAGAATGTAGGAAAAAGAATAAAAGGTTTTTGTTGAATGAGGAACTGAATAATGGTTGAGATGGATGAAGAGTGTGGAAATGATTATAATCTAGATACTTGGATGAGATTAGATCACATGTATCCTAACACCCAAAATGTTATTTTATTGGGTAACTATGATCATCAGGGGCTAAAGAGAGTCTAGTTCGGAATCTAGAGGTAATAAAAACCCTCCTGACACCTGGGTTAGGCACAAAAATAAACCTGAATCAAGGACTTAATAGAAATCTGAGGACAATAATTAGATCATTTGCTATCTTGTTTGAATTCTCATTTCACTACTTCTTAGCTACATGAACTTCAGAAAGTTAGTTCCTGTCTCTGAGCCTCAATTTTCTCATCTGTCAAATAGGGTTATATAGTAACCTACATCATAGAAACTGTGGTGAAGTGTAAAGAAGGTAAGGCATGTAGTGCTTAGAATAGGGCCTGGTACATATTTAGGACTCAAATTACAGTACTTCTCAACTTTCCTGGTGGATCATCCCTGTGGTCCACCATTCAAGGAACATCCAATTGCCACCAAATTTCTTAGGCTGCCATATCTACCTGCTTCACCCTGCTTCCTTGTATTGAATCTCTTTTGGGAAGACACTGCATAAATCCATCCATGAATCTGGATCCACTTGAATCTGGTCCCTGCAGCCCACCATTCTTTGAGATGGGATTAGTTACAAGTCCCAGGTCTTATAGTCTTCCCAGTCCTGCTTAGATAACAAGATAGATCAGCAACAAGACGCCCTTTCCAATCTATGCCTACCTGTACAAACTATTCTCTCACTTTGATGCTCTCTCTACTTCTGCAGAATTAATGCTCTGCCCTTTTCAAAACTGACTCCCCACCCCCAGTTTGTATATGTTTGATGCCTTCTCCAGCTACATATTGAAATTTATCAGAAAGAGCCAGTCCACACATTTTTGTCCTATTTTGTTCAAAGGCCTCTCCTTAAAACATAATAGTGGTTCTGGAGCCAGATGGAGCTGGACATAGACCTTGACCCTTTGTTTTCTAACTTTGTGACATGGGGCATGTTAGCCTCTTTCTGTGCCTCAGCAACTACATCTATGTAGGGATAATAATACCCACCTCATAGGGTTGTCATGGTGGTTAAATGGGATAATATATTTGTAAAATGTTGTGCCTAGCATTTAGTCAACACTCAATAAATCATAGCAACAACTGCTAGTGATAGCAGCACTGCCTATCATTGCCAATACCACCCAGCTGAGTTGGATGAAGGGCCAGGTCATACTGGGCACTCCATGACATGGACTGAATGCAGGAGGGCAGTTCCAACTGATGGCCAGGTTGAGATGCATTCCCTGCCCCAGCAACTTCCTTCTCAGGTTGTGTTTGGAATAATGGCTTTTTATTCTGACCAGCCCCTTTTTGAGAATCAGGCAGAGCATTTCAATTTCTTTAGCTTTCTGGCTTGTGTTTTCCACATTAAACTCATTCCTTCAGAATATAAGGTAACTGTTGAATGTGCTGTCATTTAATACAAAGTTGTTGATTACGCCACAGCTGATTTCTGACATGGGTGGGATCTTATCCCAATCAGAAGCTATTGTCCCCCACAATCCCCTATTGAAATTGCACCTGTGTGCTTCTCCCAGGCTATATTTCCAGAATGATAGACTTCAAAGCTGCGGGTCAGTGCATGTTTGGGGCCCAATGCCAGTCAGCTTGGAGGTGTTCACAGCCATGCATCATGTTCTCTACATATGAAAGAAAAGTGACGCTCACAAAACTGGTCTTTGACGTGATCCAGAGCACCATGAATAGCTGAGTGATTGCATTCTCAAGGAGGTCTCAGAGTCAGACAGGGAGGGTGAGAAATATATGAGAAGAAGAAGACAGAAGAGTTCATTTCAAATGGGAGTACAGTGATGCAGAACTTGTGCATACCTGCTGGGAAGGGACGTTAGGCCATCGACTTTTCAACTCTCATGGCTACCTTACCAAGGAATGAAGTGACTGACTCAGCCAAGGTCATGTCCTGATGAGGCTGGACCCTGGTTCCCTTGGGCTCCCCCAATACACACAACATTCTTTGCACTGAAAGTGTACCTGGCAAAATTTGGCTTCATTGCCTATGTTGTGGTACTTGAAAAAAATGTTTAGATAGATAAGCAGCCAGTGGCTGAGTGGTAAAAACAAAGTGTTCATCAAGGAGAGGCTGTACAGTGGTTCTCAGACTTAAGCATGCACAGGAATAACTAAGGGAACATGTTGCAAAGACAGATTCTTCCACCCCATCCCAGACCTGCTGGATCAAAAATGTTTGGGTATGAGGGATGGTGCCTGAAAGTCTGAATTTTAAATATAACCATAAAACTGATTATTGCATAAGCGGTCAACCTCACGTAGTCATTCCTATGTGGCAAGCACTGTCCTGATTGTCCATAGTTATAACTCACCTAATAGTCACATTGGTCTTGTGAGTAGGGTCTATTATTCTCATACTCCCCACTTACAGATGAGGAAACAGAGGTGAGTAACTGACTCAAAGTCACATGACCCAGCTAGGCAAGATTGGCTCTAGGGTGAGATTCCTGGGCCACAGTAAATTTTTTTTTTATTACAATAGCTTAAGGGTTACAAGTGGTTTTTGGTTTCATGGATGAATTGTATAGTGGTAAAGTCTGGGATTTTAGTGTACGCATCACCTGAATAGTGTACATTGTACACAATAGGTAGTTTTTCATCCCTCACCCTCTTCCCACCCTTCCCACTTCTGAATCTCCAATGTCCGTTATATTATTCTGTATGTCTTTGAACACCCATAGCTTAGCTCCCACTTATGAGTGAGAATACGTGGTATTTGATTTTCCACTTCTGAGTTACTTCACTTAGAATAATGGCCTCCTGGCTGGGCGCAGTGGCTAATGCCTGTAATTCCAGCACTTTGGGAGGCCAAGACCAGCGGATCTCCTGAGGTCGGGAGTTTGAAACCAGCCTGACCAGCATAGAGAAAAACCCATCTCTACTAAAAATACAAAATTAGCTGGGCATGGTGGCACATGCCTGTCATCCCAGCTACTTGGGAGGATGAGGCAGGAGAATCACTTGTACCCAAAAGGCAGAGGTTGCAGTGAGCCGAGAACACACCATTGCACTCCAGCCTGGGCAACAAGAACGAAACTCTGTCTCAAAAAAAAAAAAAAAGAGAGAGAGAGAGAGAGAGAGAGAGAATAATGGCCTCCAGTTCCATCCAAACTGCTGGAAAAGACATTATTTCATTCTTTTTATGGCTGAGTAGTATTCCATGGTGTATATATACCACATTTTCTTTATCCTCTCATTGGTTGGTGGGCACTTAGGTCAATTCCATAGCTTTGCAATTGTGAATTGTGCTTCAGTACACATATGTGTGCAGGTGTCTTTTTGATATAATAATTCCTTTTCCTTTGGGTAGATACCCAGTAGTGGGATTGGTGGATCTACTTTCAGTTCTTTGAGAAATCTCCATATTGCTTTTTATAGAGGCTGTACTAATTTACATTCCCACCAGCAGTGTATAAGCATTCCCTTTTCACCACATCTGTGCCAACATGTATTGCTTTTTCACGTTTTAATGATGCCTGGGTTGCAATATTGATGATGTCTCGTTCCCAAAGTTATGCAAGTGCTCCTCAGGGAGTAAGAGCCTCTTTAAATTGGCTACCCTAGGGGCCTCCCTTGCCTCACTCGAGTCCTGGCTTTGGAGCTAGGATTTGGACCCAAGGAGTCTTTCTTCAGAATACATTATTTTAACTGTAGTACATGTGAATACCACAGGGAAAGATCTAAGATATGGAGACAATTTCTCCCTTTACCTTCATTTGGCAGCCAAAGATCTCCCTTCTGAAGAATATCCTGCAAGAAGTGTAGGTGATGGACAGGCTCCAAGGCTGCACTTCAGGGTCTTCCCTAGCTTTCATGTCCAGGCTACACCCTCCCAGGGCTGGGGGCTTAATTTTGCTGGACTATTTCTTCCCAACACCAGACTTCCTTAAACAACAAAGTTTGCTCTGGGTTTCCCATCAGCTTAGCCAAGACTATCTCAGAGCTGCACTACAGTCTAAGGCTCATTTTGTTCAATCTGCCTTCCTATCCTCCCCTCTTTCAGGTGTTAGGCCCACATCACAGTCTGGCGGCTCCTTCTGTCTTCTCCTCTCTCTTTGTCCTTCCTTCACAGTTGTTTCTACAATAAAGCTTCTGCATGTTTAATTCTGTCTTGGTGTCTGCTTCTTGGAGAACCTGGACGGACATAACCATCTCTTGCCTTCTAGGTCAGTGACTTTGAAACATTTTTGGCTGAGACCCACAGTAAGAAAAAAAAAGTTTCATCTTATCACAGTACATGTATGTGTTTGTGTGTGTATGCGTGTGTATATATGTGAATATATATCTCATATATTTGAGAAAAAGTTTCAAAAGCAATACCTACCTTCACTATATGCAATGCATGATTCTATTCTATCTCATTTTAAGAAAGTGCATCTAGTTATAATTCACAAAATTGCATTCAAGACCAAATATATACTAGAAATGCGATTTATTTTCATCCATTGGCAGCATTTGCTGATGATCACATGATGGTAGCATTTACATTTGATTGCTCCATCAGCCAGTGCAAGAGCTCCTTGCATTGTATTTGACTTTCCTGGTGGTCTCTTTTTCATGTTGGCTTCTTTTTGGTGCAACATAGCCATGTTTAGATGAGTATATACCGTTATATTAATAAAATAAATGTCAAATCAAAAGATTTATATGGGTAATTTTTAAATTGTTTCAATGTCAGGAGCACCTAGAAGTCAGGATACTCTTTTCAGAATACTTTAGATTTGGTAAATTTAAGGTCATGATTGACAAATAGTGTGTGTATTTATTTAATGAAAATACATTCCCTATGCCCCCCAAGAATGCTGGTTTTTAAATTGTTCATTTGATATTTTCTAGGTCTCACTGGCAGCAAGCAGAGGCAGTTTCCTATGATTAACAGATATTTACTGGATGTAAAAAGTAAAATTTAGAAGTTCTATCCATTTAAGTTTTGATTAATTGGAGAAAGGCTGATTTGTTGATGTCTTTTTAATTTTAGCTCTTTGAATTTTAGCTCAAGGAATGTCATTTGTCTTCAGGGGCATATTTTGAGAGGCAAATAATGGACACTGTGTTCCTAGCCCCTGGGTTCTACCTGCACATCCCACTCATGCAATTTAAAGACATCTCAGTGCTGTTTGGTTTGTTAATTCTATTATGAGATACGTATTCTAGAGAAATCATCAGAATTACAGAAAATGATTCATGTGCACAGTGGTCATCATTTCATTATTCATAATGATGTAAAATTGGGAACAACCTTAATTTCCAATGCTGGGGGATGGTTCAGTAAGCCATGCTGTGTCCATAAGAATAGAGATGTCCCTGATGTGCTGTTAGAGAATAAAGGCAGGAGGCTGAACTGAGCACAGAATTTACAATCTACATCGTTAAAACATGAAATCTGGCAGTAAATAACCAAAGTGCAAATGGCAATACCTTCTATATTCTAAAACATTGATTCTCAACTGAGATAATTTTTTTTCTGTCGGGGGGACATTTGACAATGACTGAAGACAGTTTTTGGATGCCATGAGTGGAGTGAAATGCTACTGGCATCTACTGGGTGGAGACCAGTGATTTTCCTTATCATCCTGCAATGCACAGGATGGACCCCACAGGATGGCAAAGAATTAACTATCCCAAAATGTCAATACTGCTGAGATTAAGAAACCCTACTCTAGGAGCATGAGCTGTTTTAGTTTTCTTCACCATACTTTTATCAGCATTTTTCAAATGTTTGTTTTTAACAATAAGCATATAGTACCCTTATTATTAGAAAAATACATGAGTAATATGTGATTAAGAAGTCTGTCTAACTAATAAGTTTAAAAGAGCTCATTTAGTAAGGGCAAAGTAAAAATTCTAAGAGATAAATCACTGTGTTTTGATTCAACTGGCAGAGTTTTGTTTTGTTTTCTGCCTTTGTGGTATATAAATGTCTTCCAATTGACGGCATCTTAGATGAATGAAATACAGCATTTTCCAGCTGGGGAGAGGTTTTCTCTGGAGAGCTATTCCTACATTCCTAGCACTCCTTCCTTCAGGTTCTGAGTTTCTGTGGTGTTTTTTCCTTTTCTAATTGGTTTTCTTCTTACCTCTCTAATGCTATTTTCCAGACTTTCCTCTCTGGTTTTCAGCAGGTGAAGTAGCAGAGTTCCCAGGGTTTTGTGCTCAGATCTGTAGGTATCTGTTTCTGTGGAGGCTCCTTTGGGACTGTTACCCCTCTCTGGGCTCATTCCTTCATAAAGCTGCAGAGCTGACATGCAACTTCAAGTCTGTGAATTATTCCTTCTGAATATTTTTTGAATGTGTTCTTTCTCTATTGATACTGACCCCATCATGGTTGAGGCTTTTTTCGTCATTCTCCCTTACTATACCAATCAGTTTTCTTAATTTAGTTTTTTTTTAAATTAAAAGTTTCTATTTGAACGTAATAGTAGACTCACATGTAGTTGTATGAAACAATACTGAGAGATCCCATGTACCCTTTACCCAGTTTCCCTAGTGGTAACATCTTGAAAACTAATGTACAGTATCACAACCAGGATATTGACGTTAGAGTCAAGATACAAACCATTCTCCTTACCACAAGGAACCTTCAGGTTGCCCTTTAAGGGCCACATCTCCTCCTTAACCCTGGCAACTACTAATTTGTTACCCACTTCTATAACTTTGTCATTTAAAAAATATTTTATAAATGAACATAGAGTATATGACCATATGAGATTGGCTGTTTTTCTCCACTCGTCGTAATTCTCTGGTGATTCATCCAGGTTGTTGAGTGTATCCATAGTTCATTTGTTTTCAGTTGCTGAGTAGTATTCCGTAGTGTTGATGTACCACAGTTTGTTTAACCATCTATCCACTGAAGAATATCTAGGTTGTTTCTAATTTTTGGCTATTATGAATAAAGCAGCTATAAATATTTGTATACAGGTTTTTTGTGTGAATATATGTCTTCATTTTTCTATAATAAATTTCTGGGAGTACAGTTACTGCGCTATATGGTAGTTGCATGCTTAGTTTTTAAAGAAATTGCAAATTGTTTTCCAGAGGATTTGTACCAATGGCAATATATCGGTGACCCAGATTCTTCACATCCTTGCCAGCATTTGGTGGTGTCATTCTTTTCTTTTTTTTTTTTTTTTTAGGATAGATATATTTTATTTCATGAAGACAATAATTCACTTTACAGCAATGAAAATGAATAAATTATAGCTGGCATGTAACAAAATTGTTAAATTTCAGAAACAATGCTAAACAGAAGACAGAATCAGAGTACATACTGTATGATAGCAGTTCAAAAGCAGGCAAATCTGATGTATAGGGAACATGTTAGTAAGTGATAAAATTGTGAAGCAAACCACAGCAGTTACTTTAAAAGCCAAGAGTGGTTACCTTTATTTTTTAATAGAATATTTTTATTTGTGTATTTCTTTAATTTGAAAATTTTCAAAGATGTCTATACTCAAAGAAAATGTCAAAATAGTCTCCAGATTCTTTATCCAAAGCTTTTGGAAGCGTTCAATAATAGGTTGTGTGTTACTTTTCATTTATATTGTAAACATGGAAACAAAAAACAAATTATAAAAAGTAGAAAATTCAAAAGAATATTGAAATGTTGGAAAGAATTAGAAAACTTTTCAGAAATAATTTGAGTTTTGCCTGCCTGAGGCTTCATCTTACTTGATTAACTCAATATTTTCTGTATGTTTGTGTGTATATGACTGAGTTCTTATAGACTTAGAAAAACTTTGAAATTGCATTCACAAAAGTAAAAAAATTTTAGGTTGGGAGACTTTAATTCAGTTTAACAAATATTTTCAGAATCTGCATAATGCACCTAGAAATATATTCCAGGGTTGTATTTTCACTGTAGTCTACTAAAATTTCCTTTTAAATTTTTTAAAAAAATTTTTTACTGTTAAGGATGAGTTCATGTCCTTTGTAGGGACATGGATGAAGCTGGAAACCATCACTCTCAGCAAACTATCACAAGGACAGAAAATCAAAACACCGCATGTTCTCACTCATTGGTGGAAATTGAACAATGAGAACACTTGGACACAGGATGGGGAACATCACACACCGGGGCCTTTTGTGGGGTGGGGGGATGGGGGAGGGATAGCATTAGGAGATATACCTAATGTAAATGACGAGTTAATGGGTGCAGCACACCAACATGGCACATGTATACATATGTAACAAACCTGCACGTTGTGCACATGTACCCTAGAACTTATAATAGTAAAAATAAAAATGAAAATAAATTTTTACTGTTTAATTTTACTTTAAGTTCCAGGATACATTCACAGAACATGCAGGTGTGTTTCAGAGGTATACATGTGCCATGGTGGCTTACTGCATCTAGCAACCCATCATCTGGGTTTTAAGCCCCACATGCATTAGGTATTTGTCCTGATGCTCTCCCTTCCCCACCTGCCCACCTCCTGACAAGCCCTAGTGTGTGTTTTTCCCCTCCCTGTGTCCATGTGTTCTCCTTGTTCGGCTTCCACTTATGAGTCAGAACATGTGGTGTTTGGTTTTCTGTTCCTCTGTTAATTTGCTGAGGATGGTAGCTTCCAGCTTCATCCATGTCCCTGCAAAAGACATGATCTGATTCCTTTTTATGGCTGCATAGTATTCCATGGTGTATATGTACCACACTTTCTTTATCCAGTCTATCATTGATGAGCATTTGGATTGGTTTCATGTCTTTGCTATGGTAAGTAGTGCTGCAATAAACATACATGTGCATGTGTTCTTATAGCCAAATGATTTCTATTCCTTTGGGTATATACTTAGTAATGGGATTGCTGGGTCAAATGGTATTTCTGGTTCTAGATCCTTGAGGAATTGCCACACTGTCTTCAACAATGGTTGACCTAATTTACATTCCCACGAACCATGTAAAAGCATTCCTATTTCTTCACAGTCTCACCAGCATCTACTGTTTCTTGACTTTTATTTATTATTGATAGTAATAGCCGTTCTGACTGGTGTAAGATTGTGTCTCAGTATGGTTTTGATTTGTATTTCCCAAATGATCAGTGATGTTGAGCTTTTTTTCATGTTTGTCGGCTGCATAAATGTCTTCTTTTGAGAAGTATCTGTTCATATCCTTTGCCTGCTTTTTGATGGGGTTTTTTGTTTTTTTCTTGCAAATTTGTTTAAGTCCCTTGTAGATTCTGGATATTAGACCTTTGTCAGATGGGTAGATCACAAACATTTTCTACCATTCTATAGGTTGCCTGTTCACTCTGATGATAGTTTCTTTTGCTGTGCAGAAGCTCTTTAGCTTAATTAGATCCCATTTGTCAGTTTTAGCTTTTGTTGAAATTGCTTTTGGCATTTTCATCATGAAATCTTTGCCTGTGCCCATGTCCTGAATGGTATTGCCTAGGTTTTCTCCTAGGGTTTTTACGGTTTTGCATTTTACATTTAAGTCTTTTATCTATCTTGAGTTTTTTTTTTTATTATATTTTAAGTTCTGGGATACATGTGCAGAACATGCAGGTTTGTTCCCTAGGTATACACGTGCCATGGTGGTTTGCTGCATCTAGCAACCCGTCATCTAGGTTTTAAGCCCCGCTTGCATTAGGTATTTGTCCCAATGCTCTCCCTCCCCATGCCCCCAATCCCTGACAGGCCCTAGTGTGTGATGTTCCCCTCCCTGTGCCCATGTGTTTTCATTCTTCAACTCCCACTTATGAGTGAGAACATGTGGTATTTGGTTTTCTGTTCCTGTGTTAGTTTGCTGAGAATGATGGTTTCCAGCTTCATCCATGTCCCTGCAAAGAACACGAATTCATTCTATTTTATGGCTGCATATTATTCCATGGTGTATATGTGACACCTTTTCTTTATCCAGTCTATCATAGATGGGCATTTGGGTTGGTTCCAAGTCTTTGCTATTGTGAATAGTGCTGCAATAATCATATGTGTGCATGTGTCTCTATAGTAGAATAATTTATATTCCTTTGGGTATATACGCAGTAATGGGATTGCTGGGTCAAATGGTATTTCTGGTTCTAGATCCTTGAGGAATTGCCACACTGTCTTCCACAACTCCCACCAACAGTGTAAAAGCATTCCTATTTCTCCATATCATCTCCAGCATCTGTTGTTTTCTGACTTTTTAATGATCGCCACTGTAACTGGCGTGAGATGGTATCTCATTTGGTTTTGATTTGCATTTCTCTAATGACCAGCGATGATAGATTTTTTCATGTTTGTTGGTCATGTAAATGTCTTCTTTTGAGAAGTGTCTGTTCATGTCCTTTGCCCACTTTTTGATGGGGTTCTTTGTTTTTCTTTCTTGTAAATTTGTTTAAGTTCCTTGTAGATTCTGTATATTAGACCTTTGTCAGATGGACAGATTGCGAAAATTTTCTCCAATCTGGAGGTTGCCTGTTCACTCTGATGATAGTTTCTTTTACTGTGCAGAAGCTCTTTAGTTTAATTAGATCCCATTTGTCAATTTTGGCTTTTGTTGCCATTGCTTTTTGTGTTTTAGTCATGAAGTCTTTGCCCATGTCTATGTCCTGAATGGTATCGCCTAGGTTTTCTTCTAGAGTTTTTATGATTTTAGGTCTTATGTTTAAGTCATTAATCCATCTTGAGTTATTGTTTGTATAAGGTGTAAGGAAAGGGTTCAGTTTCAGTTTTCTGCATATGGCTAGCCAGTTTTCCCAGCACCATTTATTAAATAGGGATTCCTTTCCTCATTACTTGTTTTTGTCAGGTTTGTCGAAAATCAGATGGTTGTAGATGTGTGATGTTATTTCTGTGGCCTCTGTTCTGTTCCGTTGGTCTATATATACATCTGTTTTGGTACCAGAACCAGGTTGTTTTGGTTAATGTAGCCTTGTAGTATAGTTGGAAGTCAGGTAGTGTGACGCTTCCAGCTTTGTTCTTTTTGCTTGGGATTGTCTTGGCTGTATGCGCTCTCTTTTGGTTCCATATGAAATTTAAAGTAGTTTTTTTCTAGTTCTCTGAAGAAAGTCAATAGTAGCTTGATGGGAATAGCATTGAATCTATAAATTACTTTGGGCAGTATGGCCGTTTTCACAATATTGATTCTTCCTATCCATGAGCATGAGATGTTTTTTCATTTGTTTGTGTCCTCTCTTATTTCCTTGAGAAGTGGTTTGTAGTTCTCCTTGAAGAGGTCCTTCGCATCCCTTATAAGTTGGATTCCTAGGCATTTTATTTTCTTTGTAGCATTGTGAATGGGAGTTCACTCATCATTTGGCTCTCTGTTTGTCTATTATTGATGTATAAGAATGCTTGTGATTTTTGCACATTGATTTTTTATCCTGAGACTGCTGAATTTGCTTCTCAGCTTAAGGTGTTTTGGGGCTGAGACAATGGGGTTTTCTAAATATACAATCATGTCATCTGCAAACAGAAACAGTTTGACTTTCTCTCTTCCTATTTAAATATACTTTATTTCTTTCTCTTGCCTGATTGCCCTGGCCAGAACTTCCAACACTATGTTGAATAGGAGTGGTGAGAGAGGGCATCCTTCTCTTGTGCCAGTTTTCAAAGGGAACGCTTCCAGCTTTTGCCCATTCAATATAATATTGGCTATGGGTTTGTCATAAATAGCTCTTATTATTTTTAGATATGTTCCCTCAATACCCAGTTTTTTTAACTGTTTTTAGCATGAAGGGGCATTGAATTTTATCGAAGGCCTTTTCTGCATCTATTGGGGTCTCACCCAGTTGGGTGGCACGGGGAGCAGGACCCATTTAACAAAGCACTTTGGCTGTCCCTTGGTGGAGGGGGTGTGCCATGCTGGGGGGAAACTCACTCGTCTGAGTTGCCCGGATTACTCAGAACTAGCAGGAGGAAAGACTAAGTCTGCTGGTCTGCAGAGAATATAGCCACTCCTCCTCCTAGGAGCTCAGGCCCAGGGACATCAGAGTTCTGTCCCTGAGCCCCTGAATGGAGTTGTTGGAGTTCCTCCAGGGAGGCACCCCAGTGAGGAGGGATGGGTCAGGGTCAGGCCTGAAGATGCACTCTGGCTGCAGTCTGCCACAGCCTGTGTGTTGCCCTGTGAGGAATAACCTCTTAAGACCAAGCCTTCCAGCCTCCCTGGCTCCAGCCAGGGAAAAGTGCAGCCTGGAGCTATAGAGATGGCTGCCACCCTTCCTCTACCCCAAGAGCTTAGTGTATTAGACAGCTAGCAGTCCCATTGTTGGCTGCTGCCCTTCCTCCAAGTCTCTTGGAAGGCTTAGACAGTAGGCGGCTGCCCCTCCCCACCAGGAACTCAGCCTGTTTAAGCAGTTTCTAGCTGAGTGGCTGTTGAGAATCTGCTCAGCTTTGTGGTTTTCTAGGCCCCAGTGGTGTGAGCTCACTAGTGAGATTTTCTAATCTGTGGATTACACAGTTCCATGGGAAAAGCACAGTTTCCCAGGCTGGATAGCACTCTTACTCACCACCTTCCTTGGCTGGGGGGTGGAAGCTCCCCTGTCCTGTGTGGCTCTCAGGTGGGCCACTGCACCATTCTGCTCTTCCTTTCTTTCTGTGGGTCACGCCAGCTGCCTAGGGTCAGTCCTGATGACAGAACCTGCATACCTTGGTTGCCGGTGCTGGATTTGCATGCTGTTTTGGTTCTTTTCAGTGGGAGCGTCTGATCACTGCTGCTTCTAGTTGGCCATCTTGACTGCAGTCATTCTTTCTATCTTAGAGCTTCTGATAGATGTGTAGTAGTATCTCACTATGGCTTTAATTTGCATTTTCCTAATGGCTAAAAACATAGAACATCTTTTCATGTGCTTATTTATCTTCTGTATTTGTTTTTTGACGAAATGCCTTTTCATGCCTCCTGCCCATTTTCTACTTGGATTGTTAGCTTTTTTGTTATTGAATTTGGAGAATTTAAAATATATATATATTCTTGACATTAGTCCTTTGTTGGGCATATGGTTTTAAAATATTTTATTCTCCTCTATGGTTTGCATTCTTATCCACTGTTACAGTTTTTTCTGATTCATTCTAATTCCTAGCCTCTTTCCTTCAATGCTGTCTTCAGAGGTATTTTAGTACCAGGAACTCCTAACATGAAAATCCTTGTAGGATTCCAGTAGAGACTGGAAAATTGTTTATAAAACTGGTAAAATTTACATAAATATCTGGATCTTAGCTTCTCCAAAAGAATCAGGTAATCAGGCAACACTGGTTTGCATTTATTTTGATAACACTCAGAACTCACTTTAGATAGTACTCTCTGAGTTTTCACTTTCTTCACTTTTTCCTGTTGGCTAATAACCAGACTGCTTTATTTACTTCTGTTAGAGTTTGTATATGGTTGGTTTGTCCCACCAAATCTTACATTGAAGTTTGATCCCAGTGTTGGAGGTGGAAACTACTGGGAGGTATTTGTGTCACTGGGGGTGGATCCCTCATGAATAGATTAATCCTTTCTCTGGGGAGGGGTTGAGATGAATGAGTTCTCATACTATTAGTTCCCATGAGAGCTGGTTATTAAAAAAGAACCTAGAGTTTCCTTCTCTCACTTCCTCTCTTACCAGGTGATCTCTGTACACATTGGCTCCCCTTTGCCTTCTGCCATGAGTGAAAGCAGCCCGAGGCTTTTGCCAGATGCAAATGCCCAATCCTGAACTTTTCAGCACTCCAGAATTGTGAGCCAAATAAATCTTTTTTCTTTATAAATTGCCCAGCCTCAAGTATTCTTTTATAGCAGGACAAAATGGACTAAGATGCTTCTTTACCTGCCTAGCCCTGGTAGGCATTAAGATTTTAACCCCTGGCTGACACAGTACAGTTTAAATTCTCTTGCATGATATGGTAGGCTGAATTATGTTCCCCAAAAACACCTAAGTCCTTGTAAAACAAAAATAAAATTCTAACCCCCCCACCCCCACCCCAACCATCTGAATGGACTTCCTCCTCAGCCAGGACACTCTTAAAATTTAACCTGAAAGATTGGTTCAGGCCATTGCAGGAAGTGGGGCTCAGACATGCCTCATTACGCCTCTCTGGCATTAACATCAACACAGACCTTAAGTCTGATAAGAAGTATTTACAATCTATTCTCTCTGAAGCCTGCTACCTGAAGACTTTCTCTGCACACTAAGAACTTTAGTCTCCACAATCCTTTATCTTAACCCAGACATTATCTATTTTCTTTCTATTGATCCCAGGTCTTTATATAAACTCAACCATTTGGCAACCAGAAAATTTAAAAATCACCTATAATCTGGAAGCTCCCCCCAGCCCCCCACTTCAAATTGTCCTGCCTTTCTGAACTGGACTCATGTATTTCTTAAATGTATTTGATTGAAGTCTCATGTCTCCCTAACATGTATAAAACCAAGCTGCACCCCAACTTACACAGCGTCCATGTGAAGAGACCACCACAGGCTTTGTGTGAGCAACAAGGCTGTTTATTCCAGCTGGGTGCAGGCGGGCTGAGTCCAAAAAGAGAGTCAGAGAAGGGAGATAGGGGTGGGGCCGTTTTATAGGATTTGGGTAGGTAGTGGGAAAATTACAGTCAAAGGGGGTTGTTCTCTGGCTGGCAGGGGCAGGGGACATAAGATGCTCAGTGGGGGAGCTTTTGAGCCAGGATGAGCCAGGAGAAGGAATTTCACAAGGTAATGTCATCAGTTAAGGCAGGAACAGGCCATTTTCACTTCTTTTGTGATTCTTCAGTTACTTCAGGCCATTTGGATGTATACGTGCAGGTCACAGGGGATATGATGGCTTAGCTTGGGCTCAGAGGCCTGACACAACCCCCTTGGGCACGTGTTCTCAGGACTTCCTGAGGGCTGTGTGACAGGCTGTGGTCACTCGTATTTGGCACAGAATAAATCTCTTCAAATATCTTACAGAATTTGCCTCTTTTTATTGACATCCTGATTCCTAGAACCTGCAAATACGTTACCTTATGTAGCAAAAGGGACTTTGTTGAGGTTGATTAAGTTAAGGATCTTGAGAGGGGGAATTATCCTGGATTATCTGGATAGGCTTGATGTAATCACAAGGGTTCTTACAAAACAAGAGCAGAAGGGACAGGGTCAGAGACGAGATGTGGACAGAAGCAGAAGCTGAAATTATGCACTTTGTAGACAAAGGTAGAGGCTGCAATTCAAGGGATGCAAATGGCCTCTAGAAACTGGAAAAGGCAAGAGAACAGATCTCCCATTGAATGTCCAGAAGCAGTGCAGCTCTTCTGATACCTTGGTTTTAGCCTGTAAGATCTATTTTGGATTTCTGACCTTCAGAATTGTAAGCTAATACATCTGTGCTGTTTAAGCCACTAAGTGTATGGTAATTTGCTACAACAGCAACAGGAAACTAGCACTCACAGTGTTTAAGTTTATTTACTACCTGACTTCAACAAATCCCTGAATGCTGGTTTCTTTCCCCTTTGCTCCATTCTCTGTATACCCTATAGTCTCCACATGAAATTACTCATCATTCCCCAGGACACCATGTTTTTCACATCTCCATGTTTTTGAGTCATGCTTTTTGCCTAAAATTCTATCTCTTTCCATAAAACTTCTAGAAAAGAAAGGGGGAAGCCTACTTTAATATTATAACTACCAAAGATATTTTTACCACTTACAGTGCAGACAAGCTGAAGTTGATGAAAGATGCCACAGATCATTCCACAAGTTTCCCACCTGAGAGAGTACACCCTATTATAAGAGTCCCATTAAGATACCCTAATTTGGAAGAATTCAAACTGGAAAAGAAGGCAGTTCTCTGTGGATCAGGTGGGGAGTTCTTGGCTTGATGTCCTTTTAGCATTGTAGAATAACACTGGGAAGCCAATGTGATGGGAGGTGCAAAGGCAGGTATGGGCATGGCAAATGGAAAGGTGACAAATGGTGGGACCTCCTAAAGATGCAGCTTCTTTGTGCCTTTCTGTGGATCCCAGTTTTAGTATTTAGCATGTCATGCATTTGTAGTTAAAATCTAAAGCTAACTTAAGAAAAGAGTTGAGACTGTAGTCAGCCAGGTTCAGCTTTGCTTGCAGCACTGGTGGTCCCAGGAAACAGAGCAGCTGTCTCCCAGTGGAACAGAAAGAACTGCTCTAGCTGACAGCAGTTGCATTTGCACCGACTCAACCAAGGCAGTGAGCAGTTCCCACCACATGCCTATGGAGACGTGCTGCTCCCAGGCTGCTGGGCACCACTCAGTCTGATTCCTGGCTGGGCTCACTGCCACGTCTGCTGAACCACTTTGTTTTCCAAGATCTACAATGCCACCAGTATGACCAATTAATATTGCCAAGGCACCTGCCACAGTTGGCCATGGCTTCTGGGAATGGTAGTGACAACAGATACACAGGCAGGACACAAACCAAGCTTTGTGGGTAGTTCCCAGCATTTTACCAAAACTGCCTCTTTTGCTGCAGGGAGATATTTTCCCTTTCAGATATGGAACTTTCCATTCGAGACGCCCATACTCTACCCCAGCCAGCCTCCTCTTCCACAGGGAGATGCATCATCTTCTCATAATTCCTCTTTATGCAGCCCTTAAGTATGGCCTACACAGCACATGCTTAAGCACAGCAGAGCTTTCCTCTTAAGCCTGAGGTCTTTCACGGCACCTCTTCCTCTGGCACTGCACTAGCAGGGCAGTGAGATTTCAGAATCCTGACATTCTGCTGCCACTGCTCATCTGCTTGATTTGCATGCAAGGCAGAACCCTCTCTAAAAGTGACAACTAGAAAGTATTTTAAGATGCCGGCTCCTAGCATTATTAATCCACCTAATATGTCTCTGAGGGACTAGGGGGCAATCTTGTAACTCCATGCTGGTTTTTCAACAGTGTTAGCATGGGCTTTTATCAGAGACTTTAGAATTTTCAATTGCTTCTATGTAGCTACTTCCAGGATTTCTTCACCATAATTAGTTCTTGTCACATGTTTAACCTGTTGTTTTCAGAAACTGATGAAACCTAATGAATTCTTTTAGAACTATATTGTTTAGGGAAAGGTAGACGTGTGGGATGAAGAGAAACAAAGCCTTATAGATGCTCAAAAATCAGCCCCAGCTCTAAAGAGATAATGCAGCTTGGATTTTCTGATACTCTCCTTGAACTTTCCAATCAGGAAATAGGCACTGGGAGAGGGAAACCACATTTTCCTCTCTTTTTCAAAAAAAATGTTGCCCAACAGGTTTGTGCTATTTCTGATAACAAAGCCCGTGTGGGCTGTGTCATCCAATTATATCCCCGTAAGATCTTTGTGATAGATTGATTTTCACTCCCAGTTGATGAAATTGTTGTCTTTTTTTCCCCTTATGTCTTCACAGGCTTTTTAGTGGAAAGTTGAAAAATGCTGCATTTGGGCCCACTAGCTGGATTGCTTGCTAAATCAGACTTCTAGATGTAACTTTCAAAAGTCTGTTTTGTTCTTTTTTTTTTTTTGTCTATTCAGAGAAGCCCATTTTATGGATTGTAGAACAGGGCCAAGTGGAGGTGGTTATTATGGAGAATGAGGAGCTGCATTCAGTCTTTAAGAAAACCTTGATTTGAATGGAAAGCTCAGAAACCCTAAGCTTTTACATTTCCATACTTGCTGGAGTCGTGGTGCCAATTTTTATTTCCTTTGAATGAGAGACAGGTAATTTGTAGTTTATTGTGCCTTTACAATGCAATGCCTGATGCTTTGTTAACTAACAAAACAACAAATTTCATCATGTGTCAGTTAATGATATCTTCTCTCCCAGTGTATGGCTTTCTTGAATACTCAGAAATTGTCTTAAAATTTGAGGAGTTTTCTTTTGAAATATAGCTGTCACTCTAATTCCCTATCCCCCTTTCAGTCTTCATCTTTGGAAGAAAAATTTGCACTTGTCGCCACATTCTCGCCTGCTCCCCGCCCCCCGGGCCCCCAACAATTTCCCCAACCTCTCCCCAGTCACTCCTTTGCTTACTGGATTCTGGGCCACCATCAGTCCATGGCAAATCATCGTGAAGGCCACCACTGAAT
Organism: Homo sapiens; assembly: GCF_000001405.40. Classification (NCBI taxonomy): domain Eukaryota; kingdom Metazoa; phylum Chordata; class Mammalia; order Primates; family Hominidae; genus Homo; species Homo sapiens. The sequence continues at coordinate 75,427,480 of NC_000002.12, read as the reverse complement.
TGCTAACAGCCAAATTCAACCTCCAAACTTTTTTTTACCTGATTTCACCTCCTGCTTCATTTTTTTAAATAGGAAAAATGAATGTGAACAAGTTTGAATTTTCTCACATCACGCATTCTTACTCCCTTCCCTGTTGAGTGAGCCTATCTGTTGTTCAAACTCCATTCTTGAGACCCTTTCATTTCCTCTGGACTCTTACTCCATCAATAGCTTCTCTAGTATATTCCGATTTCCTCTTTCTACTGGCCACTTCCAAATTAGCCTATGAATGTGTTTGAGTATGTCTCATCTAATACACACAAACACACACACACACACACACACACACACACACACACACACACGCTTTGTCCCTTGATCCTGTGTCCTCCTTCAACTCTTAGATTATCTTTCCTTGAAAAGCCAAATTGGTTAGCAAAACAGTTTCCACTTGCTATCTCCAAATTCTAACCTATCATTTTCTCTTGAAAACTTCAAACACCTTTTTGTGGCATCTAATGGGATGATTATACGTTTGTATGGTTTTCTTTTCTTATCTGATCAGTGAATGTCATGAATTATTTTAAAAAAATGTTGATCAATCCTTGGAGCGCCTTTTTTTTTTTTTAATTCAACCTGCTAATGTTTTATTTGGCAGTTTGCATGTCACAAATATTTACCCCTGTTTTCTTCTGAGAGTTTTATAGGTTTAGCTCTTACATTTAGGTTTTTGGTTTTCAATTTATTCTGAAGTTAAACTTAGGATTTATATTTAGAATCTAGACGGTGGTTCTGAAAGTACTGCTCCCACACCAGCAGCATCAATACCTCCATAAACTTGTTAGAAATGCAACTGCTTATAGGAATGCTTTCACACTGTTGGTGGGAATGTAAATTAGTTCAACCATTGTTGAAGACAGTATGATGATTCCTCAAATACCTAGAACCAGAAATAACATTTGACCCAGCAATCCCATTACTGGGTATATACCCAAAGGAATATAAATCATTCTATTATAAAGATACATGCATACGTATGTTCATTGCAGCACTATTCACAATAGCAGACAGGGAATCAACCCAAATGCCCAACAAAGATAGACTGGATAAAGAAAATGTGGTACATATACTCCATGGAATACTATGCATCCATAAAAAGGAATGAGATCATGTCCTTTGCAGAAACATAGATGGAGCTGGAAGCCATTATCTTCAGCAAACTAATGCAGGAATAGAAAACCAAACACTGCATGTTCTCTCTTATAAGTGGGAGCTGAACAATGAGAACACATGGACACAGGGAGGGAACAACACACACTGGGGCCTTTGGGGTGAGGGAGGTGAAGGAAGGGAAAGCATCAGGATGAAGACCTAATGCATGCGGGGCTTAATACCCAGGTGATGGGTTGATAGGTGCAGCAAACCACCATGGCAGACGCCTACCTATATAATGAACCTGCCTGTCCTGCACGTGTATCCCAGAACTTAAAATTAAATTAAATTAAATTTAAAAAAAAGAAATGCAACTTCTCAGGTTGTAACCCCAGATCACTGAGTCAGAAACTCTGGGAGTGGAGCACAGTGATAGTGGCAGGAGGCAGCCAAATGCCTGAAGCCAAGCCTGACGCCAAGCTACAAGTCAAATTCACAGACTGAATTGAGAACCTGTCTTCCCATTTGGTGCACTTTCCTCTGATTTCTCCCTACCCTTCACCTATTTAAATATAACTACCTTCCCTAATTGGTTTTTTACACTGTCATGCCCACCTTTGAGTGGTGCCTTTATTTTAACCTTTTTCACATACTCGCAAACCAATCAGCACACACTCCCCATTCTGAGCCCATAAATGCCTCGGACCCAGACACACTGAGAGAGAAACCACCCAATTTTGGGTGAGGGACCACCCTCATGTTCACCCTCTGCTGGGAGCTGTTTCATTGCTCAATAAAATTCTTCTCCACCCTCCTCACTCTTCAATTGCCAGTGTGACCTCATTCTTCTTGGATGCAGGACAAGAATTTGGGACCCAGTGAATGTGGGTACACAGAAGGCTGTAACAACTGTAGCCCTCTGCCCTCACCAGTGGAGGGCAACCTCCTCACATGACAGGAAGCAGTGGTGGGGCTGAGCCAACCCTGGAGCCATGAGCCGGAGCAGGGTAAGGGGCTGACAGAACTGTTAACATGCCATTGTTCATCGTGCTGCAGATGATGTGACTGAAAGAGTTAATTATCATGCTGTAGCACCCCCTCTGGGGCTTCAGGGTCGAGGGCACCCCTGCCTGGATGCCACTGTGTTCCCCTTCTCTGGACACTGGAGTCCACTATGGGAGTGGCTTGTGACGTGCCTGGTCCAGCCACAAGTACCACACAGAGCCCATTTCTGTGCCAGCACTGGGAGAGGCCAGCTAGACCCTGCACTCTCTTGCTCACACACCCCCTCTCACCAGGGGCTGAGTGTGCAGTTGCAGCAACAGGAGAATCTGCACCAGAGTGCAGGTTGGACTCTGCCAAGCAGGCTGAGTGGATGGTGCATCTCCTGCAGTGATCTGGTGCCTGAGTAAATCCCAGACAGGGGCGTTGCCAGCTGGAGGTCTCCACCTGAGAAAGTGACTAAGAAAAATCCTACATCAACAGTAGTTTGTGTTTTAACTAAACTTCCAGGAGGTTCTGATACATGGTCAAATTTGAGAAACATTTTACTGGAAATGCATCCTTTTCATCCAAAAACATCCATCACCTCCAAAAGTTTCTTTCTTCCAGCCCTCTTTATTTATTATTGTGCTAAGAACATGTAATATAAAATTTACCATTTTAGCAAAATTTTGCAACACAGTATTGTATACAAAATTGCGCAAAATTATTTATTATCTTTTGTGATAAGAACACAACATAAAATTTACTTTCTTAGCAAACATATGCAATACAGTATTGTTAATCGTAGACATTATGCTTTTTCAAGTAGATGTCTAGGACTTATTCACCTTATACGAGGGATACCTTGTACCCTTGGACTAATACCTCCTAATTTTCCCCTCCCCACAGCCCCTGGGGACCACCATTCTACTCTCTGCTTCTATGAGTTTGACCATTTTAGGTTCATTATATAAGTGATATCATGTAGTATTTTTTCTTCTGTGTCTGGCTAATTTCACTTAGCCTAATGTCCTCCAGGTTCATCTGTGCTGTCATAAATAACATGATTTCCTTCTTTTTTAAGGCCGAATTATATTCCACTTTCTCAGTCTGTTTGAACTGTTATAATAAAATACTCTGTGGCTTATAAACAATGGGAATTTATTTCATTCAGTTCTGGAGTCAGGAAAGTCCAAGGTCAAGGTGCCAGAAAATCTGATGCCTGGTAAGTGTCATCTTTTCACTGTAACCTCAGCAGCAGAAGGGCAATGAATTTCTCTGGGATCTCTTTTATAGGGGCACTAATCCTGCTTATGAGGAGTCTGCCCTCATGATCTGATGACCTCCCAAAGTTGCCACCTTCTAATACCATCTCCTTGGGGGTTAGGATTTCAACATATGAATTTTGGGGCACACAAACGTTCAGACCATAGCTCCATAGGGTATATATATTTATACACCACATTTTCTTTATCCATTCATCTGTTGATGGACATTTAGACTGCTTCCATATCTTGGCTATTGTGAATAATGTGGGAATAAACATGGGAATGCAGATATCTTTTTAAAATCCTGACTTCATTTCCTTTGGATGTATACCCAGAAGTGAGATTGCAGGATTATATGGTGGTTCTATTTTTAATATTTTGAGAAACCTCCATAGTGTTTTCTTTAGTGACTACAACAATTTCCATTTCCACCAACAGTGTCCAAAGATTCCCTTTCCTCCACATCCTCACCAACACTTGTTATCTTTTTTTGGTGTATATATATATATGTGTGTGTGTGTGTGTGTGTGTGTGTGTGTGTGTGTGTGTGTATAAAATAGCCATTCTAACAGGTGTAAGGTGACATCTCATTGTGGAAAAATCATATTCAAATAGATGTTAAATAGACATTCATATGCAATTTACCCTTGAACCCATCCATATACAATTTACCCAATTTACATGTTTGAACTGTGCAAGTCCACTTATACCTAGATTTTCTTCCACCCCTGCTACCCTTGAGCAAGACCAACACCTCTTCTTTCTCCTCCTCAGCCTACTCAATGTAAAGATGATGAGAATGAAGATCTTTATGATGATCCATTTCCCCCTAATGAACAGTAAATATATGTTCTCTTCCTTAAGATTTTCTTAATAACATTTTATTTTCTCTAGCTTACTTTATTGCGATAATACAATATATAGTACATATAACAGACAAAATATGTGCTAATTGACTATGTTATTCATAAGGCTTACAGTCAACAGTAGGCTATCAGTAGTTAAGTTTTAGGGGAGTCAAAAGTTATGTGTGAATTTGAGACTGCATGTGGGGACAGCATTGCTAACCCCAGCATTGTTCAAGAGGCAGCTGTAATTTAATATTAGTTCTGGACAGAATTTTTTTAGAAATAGGAAGATAATTTTGTTTAACATGAGAAACATGCACACACTATCATAAAATCCTAGGGGATTCCCATTAAAGAGAAGTAGAGAAGAAGTATGACCACTGTGACAACTATGGTTTAACACTGTTCTGAAAGTTTTAGAAAAAAACAAGCCATGGAAATGAATTAGGTTGGTAATTATTGGAAATGACATAACAAAGTTATGATTTCCTTGTGTTCTTTGCCTAGAAAACCAAAGGAAATAAACTAATAAAAATTTACTAAGATGATGAGTTAAAAATGGCATATACAACATTAAAGATTTTGTATATATTCAACAATGCAGAACATATAATTGTAAAAAGAGCCCACTGACAAAAACAATTGGAATATGCAGGATTAAACTTAATTTGAAATATTCAGAACCAACTGAAATAAAGCTCCAAAAGTAACAAAAATACACAATTTAATAAAAATAGATACCATGCTTCTGGATACAGAATTCTCAATATCATAAAAGTTGTCTACAAATAAATGTATACATTTCGTAGAATTAGTAATGGGAAGGTGTACAATATTGAGATGCTAAAGTTCATGTGGACAAATAGGCAATAATAGTTTATAAATTTTTTCAAACAAAACTGGAACAGGGATCTATAATACTAGATATTAATGCATGTACATTTTCAGTAATTAAGAGTGGAGGCTTTGACTTGCAATTCTGATGGGGTAGCTTGCTATAGACCAATGCTCCTGCCAAGAAAACAAGAAAAGCCAGATAAAACACAAAAACCATCTGTTTGAAGGCATTGGTGAGCTGCCAAGCAAAGAGAAGATAATGGAGTGACATCTTTGAGTGCTGAAAGAAAATAACTAGAATCCTACAGTGTTAAGCAAATAACAGTGTGGAGCAGAAGAACTGAATAAAGCGGATAATGTCCATACAGAGACCCTTTCCTCCTTGCAAGCTTCTCTCACTATCCCAAAGGCCTTTGGATCAAACTTTTATTTAGGACTCATCCTTAGGGTGGAGTAAAAGGGAGATGGACAGGAGAAGGATTTAGTGTTGCTTCTGTGCCTTACCCCTTGGAAACCAAAATCCCCTTCCCCTGCTCCCAGTTTTTGTTCTTTCTCTTTTTAACCCCAATTGGGATACAGGGAAAACTACAGTCCCCAGGGTTGTGGCCATGCCCTATGCAGAAACATTTCTGGAGAATCAGGTCAATTCTGCTGGCTTGTAGAGCTGCTTCCTTAATTCTTGCCTGTTTTTGCACGTCCCCCTGGGATAACATGGGGACTTCAGTAGCTCAGTCTTTGGAATCACCTGCTAAGTATTTTTAAATGGATTAGAGGGTGTGACTTATCTTTACTCAACTTCTGACATAGGAATTCAACTCAGTATTCCACTTTCCATCTTAAATGGGGTTCAGTGACTCTGATTAGCCAAGGCAACAGATTATACAGTATGCATCAGAAGATGCTATCACCCTAATTATACAGTGCCAAGCATATGTAATGCCTCACAGGGCTGCTTCTTTCACAAATGGTCTCTCCATCTCTTCCCAGGCACCTTTCTCACTCCTAACTAAAGATGAATCAAGAGCAAGTTTCTCTCTCCTCTCTTCACTCCACCTGCATGGGAGCCTACTTCTTCTGGACAGTCAGAAGTTTTTTTATTATACGTTTTTTCCCAAAGAGATTCACTTGTCTTGCTATTTCAAAGCTCTCTCTTAATTACTTTCTTTTTAATAAAACTATATTTAAAGAAGATATTTTTGGCTTGAAACAACAATGCCTCTTTAAGCTGCTTAGACATATGCATTTACTCTTTGAATCAACAATCTCAATTCTAAGAATCTATCCCAAATAGACACTTGGCAAAAGCATAAAAACATGCATGCACATGGCTATTCTTTAAAGCATTTTTTTAGATAGGAAAAGGCTGGAAATGACACAAATGTCTATCAATGGGTGATTGCTTGACAGTTGAGAAGGAATTTGTAGGGAAATTGCTACAAAGAAATTAGAAGAGATAAAGAGCAAATGAGTTGGTGGGGAAACCCAGAGATAACAACATCAGGCAGCCCTTCCATCTCTAGGGCCAGAAGGACAAAAGGAAAAGCTGGTATTAGCAGCTAGGGCTTTCCAGTGAGACTGGAACCTCATAGGAGATGTGGCCAGAGACACGGCCCAAAGCAGAGGAGAATAGAAACCTGCTTCTTTCCTCTGTGCCTCTGTCTCCTACACTGTCTAACTCTACCTACCAAGGAAGGCTGGTTTGCAGAGGTCAGATCAAGAAAAGCTGGGGAAGGCAGAGGATACAAATGAGACATCAGATTCAGTTTCTACTAACTGCTTTTTTTCCCCTCCGTTGAATATGAGTCCTATTTCTTTGTATATCTCATAACGTTGTTTATTGAAAATTAGAACCGGGCGCCGTGGCTCATGCCCGTAATCCCAGTACTTTGGGAGGCTGAAGCTGGTGGATCACCTGAGGTCGGGAGTTCAAGACCAGCCTGACCAACATGGAGGAACCCTGTCTCTACTAAAAATACAAAATTAGCCAGGTGTGGTGGCACATGCCTGTAATCCCAGCTACTCAGGAGGCTGAGGCAGGAGAATCTCATTCCAGCCTGGGCAACAAGAGCAAAACTCTGTCTCAAAAAAAAAAAAAAAAGAAAAGAAAAGAAAAAGAAAAAGCAAGGAAGAAAGAAAATTTAGACATTTTGATAATACAGCAACTCTGGGTCATGGTTTTCTTTTCTGATATTTGTTTTTGTTGTTTTATTTGTTGAGTAGCTTTCCTGGGCCAAACCTGTGAAACTGGTCTTCCCAATGGCTGCTTATGTCTCTGTTCCTTTTTGTTTTTTTTTAAGTTATTGTTGTTTTTATGTTGGACTTATGAGGGATCATTCTTCTTTCTGTGTAGCCTGGTGGTCGGCCAATGATTGGGCAGACACTATACTCAAAACACTTGAGCCAATAAGGTTTCTGTTCTCTGTTGATGGATTTCTATGTAGGAAGAGTACAAACTTCAAGCTGTTTTCAATTTTCCTCCAGATTTTTCTTCCCACCAGGCTCTTCTGCACATTTTCTCTGTGTGTGCAACCTCGGTGTTGGCCAGTAGTATGTAGAGGGGCTTAGGCCATCTTGGTCTCTGTCGTGGATATGTGTAGCCTTAGCTGATATTATGCTTGTCCCAACAAAAACCTCAGATTAGAAAAATCATTGGTCAATTCCACTGACCCTCTGCCAAGACTGTCACTTTTACTGACATTGCTGCATGGGCATGGCCCACCTCTCCAGATCAAGTGTGCCCAGCATGACCATGGTAGCAAAACTACTAGTTGTCACAGCCTGTTCCACTCTCACAAAACATCCATGTCAACCAGGCTGGCAGGAGCTTTGGAGTTGTCCCAGTAAAAAATGTCCTAAGCTCCTACTAATCTTCACAGTTCCACAGGTTTTCAAGCATAAATGCTTCTCCAATTGGCTATGCCTTTGGCAGATTCCAAGAGCATAGACATAGTTGTTTTTGTCATTTTTGTTTAGCTTCTCACTTGCTTTTGGGGAGAGGATTTGCTAACCTTCTTACTAAGCCATACCCTGAAGTTCTACTTCATTCATCTAATAAGTATCTATTTCATACTTTCTTGTAAAAGGTATTTTTCTGGGCATTGAGATTCCTTAATAAATAATACAGACCTAGTTCCTGTTCTTATGGAGCTTATGTTTTTACAAGGGAGATGACAAGTGACCATATAATCATTATTTAATTACAAATATAGTGAGTGCTACAATGGAAAAGCACTTAGACTTCTGTTTTTGTTTCATGTCTTATTGAATCAGCCATAACTTCTAGAAAATCATTACCATAACTTTGTAATAGCAATGATGTGTGTAATTTTCATGTTTCTGATTTTGATAAACATGCTTCTAATGTGTAACCACTAAGATTAATGATTTTAGAGATCATGTTGAAGAATTACATATTTATTCCTCATTTTCTAGTATGTTTTCCCCTCAAAAAATGTATGTTGAGATCCTTTTGTGATTCGTAAACATGATGATTAGGTTTTTATGCTTAGGTGTGAGATGTGCCTCCCTCACATCTTATTACGACATCTGTACATTACCCATCTCATGTGAGAAAAATAAAGAAGAAAAAAATTTATGTTGAAAGTTATCAGATGCTTTTTCAGCATCTTTTGAGATTTTTATATAAATTTTCATATTAGGCCCATTTGTATCACATTTTATGTATTGAGATATTCTAATAGCAAAGTGCTTTGCAGGACTCGAGTGAAATAAACTAGATGGAGATGGTGATCATTTAAATTTACCTGAATTTCATTGGCTTGTACTTTGTTTAGTATTTTATTGAAAGTGAGCTGGCACCACTATTTTGGTCCTATTATTTTTCAGTTTTTAATCATTTTTAATATTTTTCTGTGACCTGCAATTGTTCCTGTAAATGTGTGACAATTTAAACAAAAAGAAGGGAAAGAAATTTGGTAATTTATAATATTATATTAGTTATAGGACAGGAATACTACCCAGGCCCCAGACTCATAAAACCAAAATGTTTTACTAATGTATCTTGAAGGACTTTTTAAAAGATTATCTGGTTTATAATCTGAAGTTCTCTAGCCTTAAAAAAAATATAAACCTATGTCATAACAAGTTAATCTGACTGGCTTTTATTTAGTACTTTGAATTTAGTTCTAAATCATAATAATGACAGCTCCTCAAGTTGAGAAAGATGGAGAAGTCCCACTAGGCAGAGAACTGTGACTCCCATGGCACCAGTAAGTATATGTTTATTATAGTACTTGTCTCATTGAATTAAAATTATTTACTTACAGGTAGATAATCCCCACTAGCCAGTAGCATCTTAGAGTGATGACTTAATCAGTTATCTGTCCCTACGTCCTGGTGCAGCTCCCAGCACATGCAGTTACTTCAAATCTTTATCGTAGGAAGGAATGTATGGGGCCGTAGAGGGCACCCCAAAATCTAAATGCCAATTCTTACTCTTCCAATGTCCCAATAAAATACCTAAAGAAGAGATATTATACGGGCATAGAAATGATTTAAAGATTAGGTTGAAGGAGGAAAACATGCAAACGTCAGGGACTTTCACTGATGGATGGACAGTCGTTACAATGTACACAGTGCTTCTGCAATGATATCTTACCAAGAAGAAAGGCAGCCTGTTTTCCTAGAGATGCCATCGGATTCACAGAGACCTATACAAAATGTGTTTTCTTGAGGGTCCACATCTAGCTACACGAGCTCAGGAAAGTCACATAATTTTTCTGGATCTCTGTCTTTCCAGCTGTAACATACAGGGGTGATAAGCCTGT